>NC_000010.11:20010000-20635000 GCF_000001405.40 Homo sapiens | reverse complement strand
ATAAGAGTCTGGGCCATGCTCGACGTTGTTCACTGTTTTTATCCCCTGTGTTTTTTGCTACATCTGCACAAGGATGGTACTCAATAAATAGTTGTTGACTTAATGAATAAATAACTGGGCTCAGCGCTGTCTTGAAAAAACATTTTTTTTTTCCAACAGAACTCTCTCTTTGCCTTATGCTAATTTCATCTATGGACACAAAAGTTGCTTTTGTGCATTAAATGAACTATTTGTCTCTGACGATAGTGCTGGAGAAGAGTTTGAGAGAAGGTTGTATTATATTTTTTCTTAACATTCGCATGAAATAAATAGGCCTTAAAGCATCTTGGTTTTTCTCTAATAGCCTATTATATATTTCTACTGCATAAATTTGTCATCTTGACACATTTCCTCAATATACTTTTAGTCCATACTTCTTTGGAGTGAGTTTTTAAAAGTTGTATTATATCCATTCTTAGTTGATTTTGACCCAGATTTTAAATATTTGGTGTTTGTCTCAATAAAGTGGGACTATTTTTCCTCAATCCTTCCACCCCCAGGCTGCTTTGTCTCAATTTGCTATTTCATATAGAACTAATGTTTGAAAACTTATTTTGTGTTAGGCATTCTGCTAAGGATTTTGTTTTCCAGATACATATAATACATAAAACAATTCCGTGATAGGGCACTATCATTATTTCCATCCTACAAATGGGGAAACTGAGACTTAGGGTGTTATTACCTGGCTCAAGGTCAAATATTTAATAAGTGGTGGAGGAGATTCTGGATCCAGAAGACAGCCTTCTTGTCAGCTGTGCAAATCTAAATGACTTTTAGAAAGTTTGTTTTTAACATGCGTGTTGCTAGTATAGCAAACACATTATGTGCTTTTATACTGTGATGATTTAATGTTCAAGACAAATAGTAAAGTATTTGCTTATACATTTTTTTATCTCTTAAAATGTAAAAAAGTCATATTTTTTGTCAGGAGCTTTTTAAATGTGAGCATGCAACTCCCTCTCCCGTAAGTTTATTCGTTATCAATGCCAGATACCTAAATGGTTACTCCCTTGCTCTGTCATTCAAATTCCCATTAGGGAGGTAATGAAATCAAGTAGAGGGCGGAGCTACGAAGACTTGTTCTCTGGTGCTTGATGACTCTGAATCCAGTTCCCTTTCTTTCTTTGTCCTGATGGCAAATTTATCTTTTATTTCCTGGAAGAATTTGCAGCCAGATGTATTACTCTAACATTTATGCTTCTATGGCAGGCTTCTTACAGTGGAGAAGGTTTGGGGAGGTGAAGGAAAAAAACTAAATAACCAAAGAAACACTTCTACAAAGAGAGAATGATACTTTTTGCTTTGCTTTTAAAATCTACCTTTATTCATTAAAATAATGCATTTCGACAATTCGTGGTTATGTATAACTGTTGGCTGAAGGAATATTCAACTTCTTCATTCACATTTTTATGGCTGGAGCAGTTTTTGCTCTCTGGGAAGTAGAAACTCTCTTGGGTGGAAGCAGCCGAGTGAGGCTGCCTTTCTTATTGTCTCTATGAGGGAGATCCAGTGGGCCCTATCTATGGTGTTTGCCCACAAATCATGATTTTGGCCTGAAGTCACTGTGAGTAAGAAGAGTGAGGAGTTTTACTAGCCACACTGAAATGATAATGGGAAACATCAAGGTGCAAATGCTGATTTGATAGTCACAGAGATTTGTTCAGAAATCCAGCAATTAGGAATGTGAAGGTTGGCATAAGCACAACAGAGGTCAAAAGGACAGAAGGGAGCTGTCTTAGATCATTTGGAACTTATTTTTTAAAAGTCTTTTCTGAGGTGACTTAAGTGAACTTCTTGAAGTAGAATGTAAAATTAGATAATGATGCATGAACATAAAGAGGACATTTGAATCGTATCATTGAAAAATCCAACGTTATAACAGTAGAAAAATTAAGAGGATATTTGGGGGCCATTCCTTTCCTTTCAGGATTGACAATATCCACCTCCCTAGGCTCCCACCACTTACAGTCAACTCTTAAGTCTCCTTTTGGGTACCTAAAGTGATACTCTTATTTTAGAAAGATGATACCACTTCCTGCTGTCTTCGAGCTCTGCAGTGGGCAGCCATGCATCTGATGTTCTGGCCAGAAGTCAGCAAGGGGTCCTTCTAGCTATCTATTTTGAGGTGAAAGAGAAATAAACATTTCCAAATACTATCCCATGGGTCATCTCCCTAGCTCACAGGCCCATAAATATACTTAAAAGCATCCTGACAATAGAGACATAAATTTTGTTGAGACACATCTTGAATGGAAAACATTTTATATTTCTAAAGTGCCTCTTCGGACTTATCTATCTAAGAGTGAAAAAAATCTCACAAAAACAGATTTTCACAGCTAGGTATATCTTTGAAGCTACATGTGACATTATTACGTGGTCATAAGACATCTTCATACCTACCCACTCCACAACAAACTTGGGTATGTGTATGCACATGTATGTATGTGTATGTGTATGTGTGTATGCATTTTCTTTAATAAAGGTCTCAGACATTTTCTATTCTGAAGAAGGCCAGGTTTTTAACCTCTTACTGGAATCAACTTGTAAATTAAGCTTTGAGATTTTCAGAACCAATTAGTATGTACCAAGTAGTAGCTGATACATAGCAAAAGCTGAAATGCTCATTGAATGAATGAATGCATGAGCTCATGGGAATGTATTCTCCTTTGAGCACTCTAAGAGCTGTGAGTCTAGACCTGGATATTTCCACCTATTATTTATAGCTCTAGTGATCAGGAGAAATTTTTTACTCACAGGCATTTTCAGGAGGTTTTCTCAAGTCAAAGTCTTGGAATTACAGTCGCCATAAGTGAACACACTTCTAAATTCTTATGACTTCATTGTGGCCTTTAACATATATTGCAGTCACCTGGCGCATCCTTAAGGCTGCATTGTCATTGCGTAGTTAGACACTTTGCAGCATGACAGAGAATGTGTTGGATAATTGGTTGAAACTGTTAAATTATGAGGACAAGCATCCTGGGCCATACACACCATGTATAATGTGTTGAGTCATCCACAGATAATTGAAATCTGGACTATGTGTGCAGGTTTTATAGTGGCCATAATCTCTTGTTTTGACATTTGAGACAGGAAAATGCCTCCTGCATAATGAGAATTAGTAGTTACCAAAGCCTTATATGCAGAAAGGCAACATTTTGACTAAAAATGTACCTAAAAGTGTGAATAATTCAAAATCTGGCTTATTTTATTTTAGATAGCCTGTTACCCCAATTAATAGAATAAATATAAAAGAAAGCCAACAAACATCTTTCCTGCAATGCTAAAGAATAAATTAATTGTACCAGATATTTTAAAATACTTTGAGACAATTGTAGGGATAGATTAACACTAGGCTTATTAAGTTTGCATTGATTTATCATCACCTAAATATCCCTTTTCTTCCCCAAGATGCTGACAAAAACCACAGCTATACAACTGGGAGTATGAGAAGAGCAACTAATAGCACATCAACTACTGTTTCCTGACAGTTGTGTGTATGCCTCAGATAATTGGTTCAAGTTTCTTGCCTCATTGTAAGACAGCATCTCCTCAGAGATCTCAGGAAATATGCTCATTTTTCCCAAATTGCATTAAATCGCATAAAGATTTTTCCCTCTAAAGATTAGCTTCTAGGAGGAATGGTTAACTATCAGGAAGCTGTACATTAGCTAGTCCAGTTATTGCTGCTCAGAATAAAAGCAAAGAATGGAAATATGAAGCCAGCAGCCTTCACTGCAGATGAGCAGGGGCAGGGGATATGATTTAAAAGAAACCAGACTGGCTTCACTAACTTGAATAAGCCCAGCCCAAAGAAAGAAAGAAGCTGCTCCTAGACTGAGAGGCTGAGGGACAGGTGTCTGGCTAGTTGCACTAAACCTTATTGATCTGACAAAAAGGTTAAATTCCGGGACATTGGAGTGCCCTTAACTCAAAGGGCACTTTGTTCCTTCTATTTTGTTATCTGTCAATGATGTAAAATTAGCTCTTACTAGAACTTGATGTGTAACATTCAAATCAAAAGGAAGCTTGTAATTATTTTCAGAATTTATTCGGCAAAAATTCAACTTATATAGAATCAGTCAAGATATTTCAGGCAGTGGTGCAACTTCTGTAATGATTTGGCTGATTGGTTCTCTTCTCCACTTCAATTGGTTTGTCTGATCATACATCCAGTAAATTTCCAATATCTGCATTCATGCTACAATCTCCATGCAGCCTGTCTAAGGAGTAAATAGAGTGAGAGGTAAGTAAATGACTACTTAATGGATATCTTTGAGAACAGGAAATTAGGGATAGAGATATTTTAATGTATCTTCTACTTTTAAACAGTATTATTCCCTTCTTTTGCATAATAACAGGTTTGAATTCATATCCTTTTCTGTTCTTACAACAGGAACAACAGCTCATTGTTGTTTCGGTATGTTACTCATACTGAAAAATAACTTCACAGTGAAAAAGTTTTCAGGGTGGTCACAGTGACTCACACCTGTAATCCTAATTCTTTGAGAGGCCAAGGTGGGAGGATTGCTTCAGGCCAGGGGTTTGAGACCAGCCTGGGCAACACAGAAAGGTCCCCACCTCTGCAGAAAATAAAAATTAGTAGGGATGTTGGCACATGCCTGTAGTTCTAGCTACACAGGAGGCTGAGATAGGAAGATTGCTTGACCTCAGGAATTCAGCATTACAGTGAGCTATGATCATGCCACTGTACTCCAGCCTGGGTGACAGAGCAAGATCCTGTCTCAAAAAAAAAAAAAAAAAAAAAAAAGTTTTCAACACTCCCTTCACAAAAATTTGAAACATCCATCTAATTTTCTATTTTTGAAGTAGGTAATGCTAATATATCTTATTGGCAATATGATACTATATTGACATATTTACAACACAATATAATTACAAACCTAGAGAGAAAGTAGCATGCATACATCTTGCTTGAAAGAGAAGTCTACAACCTTCTGTGAATACTGCATACTAGAAAAGCAAATTACTATTTCCAAGAAATTTGCTTTCAAATTTGTTTCATCACAGGCATACTAAGAATATAGAAAATATCACAGTGCAGACATTTCAAGAAGTATCCTACCTAGTTGGAATGGAGGCAGCCAGAGATGATTAGAAATACAGGAAGAGAATATTTGAATTAGAAAGGACTCATGCTAAAGTGGATATAATTACAAAATATAAATTAATGTATAAAATATTATATGAACAAGAGTAAAATTCAGAGGTTAATGAAACCAATTCTAGATTTCCATGGAATCTTATGCCTTGGGGAGTGAGGGAGAAGATACCAATGGTGGAAGGGAAACGCCAAGCCAGAGTCTCTTGGCCTCAGCCCCTTCTTTCTTCTTTTATTAATAGTGGGTGCTACCTAATATTAGGTGAGATAATATCAGACCAAAGAGGAACTATTTCCTCTGAGAATATATAGGAAGTCAATAAAAGAAGTATGTCACATATTTAAGTTTGACAATGTTAGACCTATAAGCTGTAATCTCATTCTATTAGTGGGTTTTAACTTTCTTAAGGAATCTCACTTTTTTCTTATAAACACCTAATTTTGTCCAGGCCTTCTAATGCTCTGAAGAATGCTGACACAATATGGTTTATTCTGTCTGGATGTGTGTTATATCACGTTGCCCCCTACTGATCAAGAGACACTGGGATACGTGAGCCAATCACTAGGACACCCATCAGTGAAACAAGCAAGATGGCTTAGCCAGATATCCACTGCTAGCCTCTATACAAGAGGTCAAAATAGAAGTCTTTATGGCACTAACAATTTATTATTAAAGCAATGAACATCACAAATGTTTGGCAGGTGATACAATGAGTTATTTCTCTATTCATTTTCTTGAAGGTCAAAATTAATTTAAGAAGACAATCTTGTAAGGTGAGAATAGTTTCAAATTATATTGAATTCCCCTTGGATCAATTGAACAATTTCTCCTTGGAGGTAAGATTCCTCAATTGTGATCAATCTCTGTGGGTCAAATTCAAACTTAATGTTTTTGAATGTTTTTGATGGTTTTGAGAAAGTTTTTATTGCATTTCACCTCTGCCAATAAATAGGTGTTCAAGACACACTTCAATATATTGTATATGCTTCGTATCTACTCTGATTCATGGGTCTGCATATAATATTTGGCCTCTCCTTGCTTTTCAACATGCCGAGGTAAACCATAATTATCCCCACTCCTGTTTCATATTACCTTTTGGCATGTATACCTAAAACATCAACTCCTGTTGGAACAAACGTAAAGCAAAGTGCAAGACCAGGAAGGGAGTTTGTCAAAATATGTTGGACTCACATGTGGGTGAATTTATATGACACTATCAATTTGGAAATAATGGTTTCAATTCCCTTTTACTGCATATATCAAAACAATTTTTTATTAACTAATATGATATTTTGACTTTTGATTGCACTATGTTTTAGTAAAAAAAATCTAGGGGCAATGTATTCACTTGAGTATATCTGAGAGGCATATTGTTCAGTTGATTCCTCCTCTTAATCTCTTTCTCTCCTCATACTAAGGACTGTTTCCAATGCTGAAAGAATCTCCAGGTCCTAATCTAACCATCTCTTCCAGAACCTTGGACTCTTGCCTCCAGTTTTCTCTGTCTTGGTTTTTCTCATCTGTGGAATAGGGAGACAGGACTACATAAGTGTGAATATTTTTTTTTTTCTGACTCAGATATACCTAGAACTTTATCTTGTTGCATCTTTCATTTTTAAAGTAAGTTATGACAAAAGTTCAACAAATACGTCACCTGGGAGAGCTTTGTTCATTCAAATAAAAGTGTATTATATTTGTGATTTGCCAGGAAGGTCTAGTTCTATAGTTAAGAAATCAGTTTCCACAGCGTTTTTCCTCTCTGAATGGGAATTTTTAAAATCTTAAACAGATGTTCTGTGTGGTCCAAAATTAAGGAAATAACCAGCTGGCCAACAACAAAAAACCCCTGCTTATATTTGCCGTTTAAAAAATTCTTTCATGTTGCCTTGTATTCAGAAAATTGAGCATCTAAAAATGAATATATTTTTCTCTATGTAATCATGCAATCTGTGTATGTGTACCTTTTGTTCTTGATGATACACTGGAAAATAATGGTTTGTGGAAAAAGCCTATCTTTCTCTGGGGCATAAGCCTCAGTTCTGACACCTACCAGCTCTGAGACTTGATCACCATCTGTAAAATGGGAATATTAATGCCTATCACATGGGGTTGTAAGTAGGTAGCATTTGTTCTTATAATAACATGTAAACTAGCTCAGGCAAAGCCTCATATAAAATATACACTTCCAAATGTTATAGTCTGCCAATGAATTATCATATAAATGTGAAATACAGTATAGCAGAGTGAAAGGAGGGTTTTGGGGGGTGAATATTTAAAACTATAAGAAAACTTTCCTGAAATTAAAGAGGATTTGAACATATGTATGTAAATAGACATGCCACTTTTCAGGAAAAATGGACCCTGTAGACCCAACATGGGATATAGCCTAATAAAACTATTGAATTTAAATGCAATGGGCTTAAAAAGAAGGCAGGCAAAAGGATCACATCTCTCAGAAGAAGGAAACTAGATTGGCATCAGACTTCTTTATGGCATCGGTTAATGCTAAAACAGGATGCAACAATAGTTAAACAATGCTGAAGCAAGGACAGAGAAAGCCAAGGGTTTTATACTCAGGCAAGTTCAAAGTACAAAGACACTTGCTATATAATAATCTTGTACAAAGGCACTTGCTGTATAATAGCCTTGAATATATAAGAACCTATGAAATGTTTATTCCCATGAGTCCTTTTGGAATTAAATACTAAAGACAAATTTGAGCCAATTAAGAGATGATATCTAGGAATAAACTTAATGAGAAGTGGGCATGACCTATATGACAAAAATTTAAAACACTCCTTAAAAATTAAAAAAATAGACTTTAAAATATAAAGGCATATAAAAATTAAAAAAATAGACTTTAAAATATAAAGGCATACTATGTTCTTGGATGGGCTAATGCACATTATTCTTTTTAAATGTAACGTGATTTTAGTAAAAAGTATCAGTCTTTTTAACTAAGCAAGCTGATACTAAAGTTCATCTCAAAAATAACCAAGTAAGGATAACCAGGAAAACTATTTAAAATAAAAGCAATAAGGATATGTATCCCTAGAAGATAATTAAATACACTATTGCTTTAATAATATAGTGTCACTGCATGAAAAGGTAACAGACCAAAAGAACAGAGGAAAAGTCCATAAATACCAACACATTTTGGAACTTAGTATCTGATTAACGTGACAGCTCGAATAATTGAAGTAAATATAGATTCACCATACCCTAAAAATAGGATTGGGAGAACCATGTAGCTATCTGGAAAAAGATAAGATTGTATTCATACCTCAATCTATTGCATTAGAATTAAAGCACCACATTGAAACATGAGCTGATTCCTTTTTAACAAATGAAGTGAAGACTTTGCTACTAGTTATTTGGAATCCACTAGCCATTAAAAACAAATATATAAACAAAACCAAAAATAATCCTATATCAATAAAAACAAACCCAAACTTTAGAAAGAGGGAAAATAACCAAAAAACTTCTGCATGGCTATATGAATTTGAAAGACAAATGAGAAATTAGAAAAACATTTGCAACTCATTCTTCTCTAAGAGAACTAATCTCCCTAATATATAAACATTATTAGAAATAGAGAAGGAAAAGACTAATGAGGCAATAAAGCAGTAAAAAAAACCTGAGCAGATAGTTCACAGAAAAATACAAATGGCTTACAGGTAATTTGAGAATGCAAATTAAAATGACATATAAAGGCTACTTTTTTCACACCTCAGATTACCAAAACCCCAAAGTTTTACAACTCACACTTTTGACAGAGCTGTGAAGAAACAGGCACTCAGATATCCTGCTAGTGTACAGGGCAGTGCAAACATTATGGAAGACATCTATATAAATTACAAATGCATTTACCACTTGACCTAGCAATTCTACTTCTGGGAATTTATCCTATAAATAATTCTATATTTATAGAACGGCAAATATAAAAGATTATTCATTGCAGCAACATTTGTAATAACACAAGACTGGAAATTACCCAATTTGTCCAACAATAGGAGTCTGGTTAACTGTAGTGCATCCACATAATGAAATATTGTGCATCTATAAGGAAGAATGGAGAAGCTCTTCAGGATGTATTAATAAATGAAAACAGCAAGGTGCAAACGGTGTATACAGTATGTTATTTAAGAAAGTGGATAACTAGTTTATATGTTTGCAAAAACAGATTTGGAAAATGATATGGTTTAGCTCTGTGTCCTCACCCAAATCTCATCTTGAATTGTGCTCCCATGGTTCCCACCTGTTGTGGGAGGGACCTGGTGGGAGACGATTGAATCATGGGGGTGTTTTCTCCCATGCTATTCTCTTGGTAATGAGTGGGTCTCACAATATCTGATGGCTTTATAAGGGGAAATCCGTTACTCTTAGTTCTCATTCTCTCTTGCCACCACCACGTAAGAAGTGCCTTTCACCTTCCACCATGATGGTGAGGCCTCCCTAGCCACGTGGAACTGTAAGTCTATTAAACCTCTTTTTTAAGTTGCCGAATCTCTAGTGTGTCTTTATGAGCAGCTTGAAAATGGACTAATACAGAAAGGATATAAAAACAACTTATAAAAGTGATTACCTCTAGTAGGTGGGAGTAGAGGATAGGATGCATGCAGATAGAAATGAAGTGGATCTTCCCAATGCATGACATTCTGTGTGGATTTTATTTGTGAACTAGGTGAATCTATTTCTTAAAAATAAAATCAAATAATAAAATTTACCAGTGCATGCTTTAGGAGTCTGCTTTCTGTATTTCAGATGGTTCTGCGTGTGTGTGTGTGTATGTGTGAACATGGGTGTGTATGTAGATGTGTGTGTACATGGAGAAAACTTTTACAGGGTCGTCATTGCCGTCTTTTTCCTCAATTATTCAGTAAAATCTTCCACACCCCAAATGTCTTGGTGAGTGGCTATTTTGTGAGAAGGAAAGGATAGGGAGAAAGAAGCTTGAGGAAAATTCCACAGTTATGTCGACATGGCTGGAAGTCTGGCCAGCAAACACAAGACAGTGACGCATCCAGAAACTGAACTGATTCAGAAGTAGTGGGATTGGGAACCATGAAAATGTCTGCTCCCCATGAATTTGCAGAACTCTCCCAGATAGAATGGCATGGGCTTTCAGACAAATGTTATTTAGACTTTAAGAACTAAGTGTTCCCAGGTAACATGAGGGTTACAAAGCTCTGTTCTTAATTTCTAATTCTTTCAGAGTTTGTAAACCAAAATACCTAATTTTTAAAATGGATATGAAACAGAAGGAAAATAATATAGTTCTGAATATTAAATCCAGAAAAAAGAAAAAAGTAAAATTTAAATATATTAGTAGCAAATGTATTGTGATTTCTAAAACTCTGGAAGATTTTTTTTTATATATTAGTATTATTTGAAATATACTTAGGTTGTAATCAAATAGGTTAATTTCCCTCCCATATTTCACCCCTAAAACACTAACTCATGCCCATTCAAATGACAGATCCAAAATTAAAAAGTAAGTCAGTATCTAAGATAAAATATTTATTCATGTAGCTCTAAATCTATAATTACAAAATATTAAATTATTAAAAATGAAATAACTAAAAATAACCTAGTAGTGATAGGAATATCAGTATAAATTTTCCTTGTATCTCTGTTTTTTTGAGAAATAAATTGAAAATCTCAGTAGCAAAGTTCCTGATCCATAAACCATTCGGCAACCTCTCTGACGCTTCTGCTCCAAAGATCTTAATTATTTACACAGTTCCACTAGAAACTGCTTAAGGACACAGCATTGCAAAAGATACAAGTTGTCACTACTTAATAAATGTCCTTGCCCCAAACACTGAAAACATAAGTCTGTTTTACAAAGTTTTCTTGCTGAATATTCTTAATTTTAAATAATATCAAATTAAGATGATATACCAGCATATGGCTGTTAAATATGTTGCTCAAGGACTTTTTTCCATGAAAAGTTTTGTGAATTTTTTCCTGATGAACACAACTTGAGAGAGACCCAGATTGTAAAACAATCAAGTTGGTTGGAAACTTAGGATGGACTATCTTAAATTGCTATCAGCCTCTGCTGTTTCCAGGCTACTGTTCCCTGGAGATCATTAAGGAGTGATCCTGCTTCAAGAAGGGAAATGGATTAGAAAATCTCCTTAGGTTCATTCACCCTTACCTTTCATGATACTGAAAGCTCTGATTGTCTTTGGAATAGGGTTCAAGAGGACCAAGACAGGAACTACAGCAGGAAGTGCTTCTCTCTGACATTTTTAACTGGGAGGTGGGTGTTTACAAATGAAGACAGAGAAAGGAACAATCAGAAGCAAGCTTGGGACCTCTTAGACCCAGTTGTGTGGAGATCATTTTATTCGGGAACACACAATTTTAAAAGTCTTTTGAATCCTTAGGGCCAGCACAGGCCATTGCCTCCAGTAGCTACCCAAAAAAAAAAAAAAAAAAAAAAAGAAGAATCGTTCAGAGCCCACATTTAAGAGTGAGGCCAGGAAAAGCACCATGGAACTAAAGAGGTCACCAGAAACAGGCAAGGAATCGAAGAAAAAAAAATTGCAAAGAATGATTGTGTAGTTTCTCTAATTCAGACTTATGATTTTTCTGGTTGTGGCCTCCCTTAAAATCAAACAGAAAACCTACAACCGCATTCCAAGAACGCACATGAGAAGCTAACAAGAACTAAATAAACAATGTTCTGTTTGCTCAAATATTTAGCAAATAGCTCAGGGCTTACTTGCATAAACCACCGTGGAAATTCTAGCCAATTCTCAAAGATGTTTCTATGCTCTGCTAATAAAATAACTCATGTATGTACAATGGTGTACATTGTAATTATTTCCACATGGTTAGCACTTAGACAAAACCTGAGGGAAGAAGGTCAACATTTGATGAAACTTCATCACAAATCAACATTCACGACAGCACAGTCAAAACCCAAAATCCAACACAGGATAAAACCAACAGATACAATCAGCTGATATGTCAGTACATATTTTTTTTTTCCTCAGGCTTTTTTCTCCTTATCACTATTTTTTTTTTTCTGGTTATGACCTGCTTATAGAAGGATGATAAAATGACAGGAAATAACACATTGAAGTTTTGTAGATAAAATCTTACAAAGTGTTTAGGGGTGTTTTTGTCTTTAGCTGCAAACACATAGCAAATCCTCGACTGTGAGGCAACAATTTGTAGAGGGAGAAACCTCAAAGAGAAATCTTTCGGTAATGCATCTGGGTGATGGGACCAAATCCAAATGATTATGATTTGTGACTCTAATCTCAAGCAAAGCCTTGTTCTGGGATTATTTGTTCTTGTTTCCGTAATTCACTTACATAGTAGAATTTCTATATAAGGTAATAGCTGAATAGAAGAGAATAAAAACCTTTCTGATTTTACATAGTGCAGTTAATGACATTCAGAAAGAAGTCACGGGTCTTCATAAAAAGACTTAGCAATCTTTATGCCTAAAACTTAAAGTATATGTGTTTACAGTTTATAAAAAAGTAATGGTGTGGAATGTGTTAAGCTATCTCACGTTTTATTCTGGGGACCAAAGCTCAATCCATTGAATAGAACTTACTATTTATTAGAACAAAAATAAGTGGATTGGGATACGATTTCATTTTTTACTTTATACAGCTCAAGGATTAAAGTCAATATCTTCATATATCCTTCATTTATTCAGTAAGTATTTGTTGAGTGCCTATTAAGTCACAGGACTGTTCTAGGCATCAGAAATAGAGCAGTGGGCAGAACACAGTCTCAGCTTCATGGGGATTCTAGTTTGGAGAAAATAATAAATATATAATATGATGTTACCATATATTACGCATATTTCAAAGAAAAAGGCTAGAAGGGAAATACTGAGAGCAGGTAAAGAAACTCTTTTATGTAGGGTGATCAGGAAAGACTTGGAGGTTCCAATAGTTAAGATGAGACTTCAATGAAGGAAAGTGAGACTTTCCATGAGAAAGTCTGGAATTCGGAGGAAGAGTCAGAAGGAAAAATGAGTACAAAGATTCTCATGCAGGACTAAATTTGCCTTATTGAGGAACTTCTAGCAAGTCAATGTTGCTGGAGTGAAATGAAAAGTTGAGAGAGGAAAGAAATGTAGAGGGTAGGGCTGGGTACAGTGACTCAAATCTATAATTCCAGCACTTTGGGAAGTCAAGGCAGGATGATCGCTTGAGGCTAGGTCTTTGAGACCAGCCTGGGCAGCATAGCAAGACTCTGTTTCTACAAAAAAAAAAAAATATAAATACCATTAAATTTGAAGTTGTTACTGCATGGGTAGAGTCCAAATCAAGAAGAACCCTATAAAATCAGGTAAGAATTTGGACTCATTCTAAGTATGATGGGAATCACTGAAAAATGTTGAGAAGGGTGACATTATGTGATTAAGGATTTTACAAGTCTCTCTGGCCGTTTTGTGGAAGACAAACTGTATAGAGGAGAAGGATGACATGGGGAGGCCAAGCAGAAGGTTATTGTGCTAGTACTGGCCTTAGATGATGGTGATTTGTATTAGAGCTTAGCAGTGGAGTGAGAAGTGGTTTACTTCTCGATACATTTGGATATACTTCCTAGCCAGGAATACTAAGACTTTTCTGCTGGATTCAATAGGTGTAAAGGAGAGTGAGGAATTGAGAACGATTCCAAAGTACTTAGTTTGAGCCACTGGGAAATGGTTGAGCCAATTATTCATTCTTTTCTCAAGTATTTATTAAATATAATTTGTGCTGGAGGCAATAAAAGGTGCTTGGAAAATGTATTGAGCAAAATAGACAAAAATCTCTGGAAGAAAAGGGCAATAAAAATAAACATAAATAAATCTTAAAATATATTCCAAGGTTATACATGTGGTGAAAGAGAGACACCAACAGAGAAGGCTAAGAGGAGTGGGCAACAGAACAAGCTCCTTTATTTATTAGGGTGATCAGGGTGGTCCCACAGAATCTGAGCCAGGGTAAGGGGGCCAGTGTGTCTGCAGCTCAGTGAGCTAGAGGTAGTATAGGGTGGGTGATGGAGGAAGAGAAACCAGGAGGCATGATTGTTTAGGACCTTGAAGGCCACTGGGGGTTGTCATTCCTTCTAAATAAAATGTGGAGTCATTTTAGGGTTTGGAGCAGAGGAATTACATGGTCTGACTTATGCTCAAAAGTCTCACTCTGGCTGCTCCTCTAAGACCATATTGCAGGCAGCAGAGATCAAACAGGGAGACCTGCTCTGAGGCTATTGCAGTAATCCAGTTGAGAGCTAATGGCTCAGTGGAGAGTGACAGCAGTGAGATAACAAGTGACCAGATTCTAGATATATGTAAAGGTAGAACCCTCCTGATTTCCTGATAGATTAGGGAACCTTGATTTTTTGGCCTGAAAAACTAGAAGGATGATGTTGCCCTTGACTGAGATGGTGAAAAATCCTATTTGAATGTGAGGTGAGGGAGATTCAGTAGTTTAGTTTTGGACATTTTAGGTTTGAGATGTCTAGTAGAAGTGAAAGAATCATACTGGTGGTTGGATATTCAAGTCTGGAGCTCAGGAGAAAGTTTTGAGCTGGAGATACGCCTTCTTAGGTGGAGATATACACGTAATATTGAGAACCATGGGCAGTGAAAGAGACCACTTAGGGAGTGAATGGAGACAGAAAGTCAAAGACTGCGCCCTGGGGGTAATCCAACAGTAAGAAGCAGTGAAAAGAAGAACTAGCAAAGGAGGCCCTGAGGCCAGGGAAGAGCCAAGAGGATGTGTGCTCACCTAAGAGAATGTATTAAGGAAGGTGTGGCCCACTGTTGTAAATATTCTTGAGAGGCAAGTGCAATGAGTGAGAATTGATCACTGAATGTAGCAACATGAAGGTCATTAATGATTTTTGGGGAGCAGTTTTGGAGTTGCCATGGGGGAGAAAGTTTGGAAGAGAATAGTGATGGGGTGGAAAGGAAAAAGCTATTCACTAAAGTGAGGAACAGTGGGGGAAAGCAGATAGGGGCTGAGCATGAAGGGATCAACTAGAATTATTACATCTGTTGGGATTTATTTTCCTTATTGGCCACATAGAGCCAAGTTCTTAGGCAGATCTGAAGGAATGCTGCATCATTTATTTTCTCAGTGACTAGCATTTAATCACTTCATTTAAATATTTGTTGTTTTATTCAAAATCAATTTTGTACTTCCCTGTTTAAGCCTTCCGAAAATCCATCTTGCCAAAAGAAATATGAATCCTTTGTAGGGTTACTGTGGCTCAGAGACAAAAAGATTCCTTTTTTTTTTATTGAATTATTCGTGTTGCCCAGTCTGGCAATGCTCTGAATCTCATATTGTAATAAGTTAATATTTTATTGTACTGCAAACACAATAATGTGGTGTTTGGTGTTAACTATAAAAATAATTGGATTTTATATATACGTGCCTGTCCAAAGGCAAATGTGATTGTACAAAGACTTTGTAAATAACAGTACATTGCTCTGTGATGTTCCTTGAACAGTTGTTTTATATTTAGCTCTTATATTGTTGATCTTCTGTATTTCTATCTGGATTATAAATTCTTGAAAGGCAGAGTGTATATCACGCATATCTGTCATAGCAAAGAGACACGTGTGTATTGAATATTATGACTTTTCTGTTAAATGAATGTTCTCTTGCTTAAAAACTGGGAGTAGGCCGGGCGCAGTGGCTTACGCTGTAATCCCAGCACTTTGGGAGGCCAAGGCGGGTGGATCATGAGGTCAGGATATCGAGACCATCCTGGCTAACATGGTGAAACCCCGTCTCTACTAAAAATATGAAAAATTAGCCAGGCTTAGTGGCATGTGCCTGTAGTCCCAGCTGCTGGGGAGGCTGAGGCAGGAGAACCGCTTGAACCCGGGAGGCAGAGGTTGCAGTGAGCTGAAATCGCGCCACTGCACTCCAGCCTGGGTGACAGAGCAAGACTCCATCTCAAAATAAACAAACAAACAAACAAATAAAACAAAAACTGGGTAGTAACAAAGGCAGGATGTAACTAGAATGTCTTCTAATTTGTAGCTTAGCTTTTCATAGTGCCAGTCCTTAAACTAGATCAGTATTTTAGGGGCTCTTTCATCCTACCTGTCCTTCCTACTCTGTGTTAAGCATTTTGATCACTGAAGTCAAATAGACCCTTTGGGAAGTAGTACATTGTACATCTCTTTCTTCCTAATTGGAATCTACATTTTAGTGCAAGTGGTTGTATTTAATCATTTCTTTTATAAATAAAGGCATTTAATAGCCTTTGTAAGTCTTGCAATTGGTAAGTGATGACGGACATATAATTTGATCCTCAATTTGTTGCTTTCATTGCAAATTTCTTTGAAATGACCATTTTTCAATAGATTTTCATCTTTCCAAAATATTTATTAACAAATTTCTCCAAATAAATGCAATTTTAAACTATGGTCTTATAATTTCATATAGGCCTTATAACTTGAAAATTTGCCATTTGTTACTTTAAAGTTGAACTTCTTCTCATGTAAAAAATTTGCTGACTCTCTGATAATCTCCTCATATGAAGTATTTTAAAAAATAAATAGAGGAGACCAAGTAAATATTATGAACTACAGAGAATTAAACAGCTTAGTTACCCAACTAAATAGGTGCCTCTTGAAAGAAACATCTGAATGGGCAATTTCTATTTAGTGCTTCAGTTGAAGAACATCACAGAACATTCTCTCTGGAAAGTCTCCTTGCCTTAGCTAGTTTGCTTTCTCTTCCAGCGTAGAAACTGGCACATACTTCTTGAATCTATGCAAAGCAGCTACGTTTCTGTTTGGTTCTTAAGGGCCTGGTAAAGACTTAGGACACACACAGATCGGTACAAGCAAAAACTTAAGTTTGCAAATTGTGATGGAAACTTCATGGCAAAAATTCCCACCACAGTAATAAAGTAATAAAGGGCTCTCTGGCCTGATATTTTAGAGTCTATCATTTATGAAATACTCTTTCTTAAGTCCTGCCATATGTCTTTAGAGTACATGCTCTTTCTTCCTTCATCTTGTCAAAGAGGAGGACTAGCTTAAGTTTTATGATCTACATCGTTAGGTGTTGTGATGTTAAGACATTGCAGCCAAGTCTCTTTGTCAGTTTATTCCTTTTAAAACTTTATTTATATTTATAGAATCTGAAACAGAATAAGGGTCTTTGGAAACATAACATGGCTGTTATTCTAGTGGAATGTGCACTGCTGCAATCATCAGATATCATCGGGTGTCTGCTATGTGCCAGACGCATTGCAATGTATTAGACATAGAGGCAGAAAAGACACAGTTCTTTCCTTAACAGAATTAGAGGGTAGTGGCATCAGTTTATTTTTAAAATGGGATCAGATGAAAATTGTGATTAGATGATTGCACTTGGTCTTTTCTCTCCCCTTGCACACTGTGGAGTTGTGACTTCTACCCCATCTTGCACTGAATCTCAAGGGGAGGGTTCAATGACGGACAAATCTTCAGGCTCTTGTGCAGAATCAGAGAGAAAGGGGAAGTGGAGACGACAAAGGGGAACAAGGCCTGAGTGCTCTGGATGTTTCACAATGGATCGTGTGATTAGTGAACAATTTGAACATGAGAATTCTGTGTTTGATTGTGCAAAATTTCACCCAGAAGAAACGCTAGTAGAATGCAAAAAATTGCACCTTCTGCACAAAGCCACTTACAAATACATAAAATGTACCTCAAACCTCTACCAGCAATGTGTGTCAGGAGTCACTCTCACGCACACAGGATGTTAACGACGTTCTCTCCCGTTTCTGAGAACCTTCCTTCCACCTTCACGATAGTTCACAAGCAGTCACAGTTCCCACACCCACTTCCTCAAGCAAACTGCAGGTCTTTTAAAGATAAGGCACCATATTTATTGTAGTACTTAAATATACTTCCTATCCACTTAACATGTGTAAAACTGTGCTGCTGTTAGCATTTTACTTTCTTTTACGTGTCACTAAGTATCTGAGTGGTGTTCCTCAACTCCAATTTTTCCTTAGTTCTGTGGTGTTAATTGCACCATTTTGGATAGCATTGGTAAGTTTTAGAAACATATGTCCCATTCTATCAGAACTAACTGTATCTTTAATATTCCCACATATCCCATATTCCAGATTTTACAGAAGACAGCATGTCTGGAAGTGTAAACAGTTGGGAAAGAAAAGTATTAGCCCTACAATTGTAGCCTGTGTATTGCTTTAATAATAGAACTTTTGGAAGATACAATAAAGAAATAAAATGAATTTGAAAGCACTGCTCTGGGTAAGAAGAGAAAAGTTAGAGAATGGGAGGCTCAAGCCAGAGTCAAAATGTGGTTGTTGAACACACAGTGTTGAATGATCCTGTTAGCACCATGGCCTAGACTTGCTCATGTCTGGCATGATCTAGGTAGGTCATAGATAGGTGTAATTTTACCAAGTTGTTTGTTTGCATTGCAGTAACTAGCAGCTAAATGTCAATCTTTCTCAGGTGACTTCACAGTTCTCTGGGACCTCCTTTGAAATAGTATTTGTGTACTTGACTACGGAATCCGCTCTACTGTCTCAATATGAGCAGAAGAGTAACAGTTTATTCATGCTGAGGCCAATGAGTAATTTCCTAATCTGGTCAACAAACTCATTCTCTTGTCTTGCAAGCAAGACCATGTACTTAAAAAGTCCAGTGATGTTGACTATGTGGTAGCTGTGAATAGCTTTTGAAGACAGGAGTCTGAATTAAACTCGATAATGCTCTAACTTTTCCAGTTAAAAAAGAATACATTTTAGTATATATAGGATAAAGATTACTGTCCCTTATGAGTTCTAAAGCAAATATTGAACTATCTCTATTGTTACCTACATATTATTCTCTAGATAATATTGCTATAGTTAAGGATGTTTTCAAATGTCGGAATAAAAGCTTGATCAAACTTACCTTTTTAAAATTTCTAATTGATATGTGTAGAACAGAGTAAATGGATACAACTAGCTTTCCCAGTAAAATTTTCCTTAGCTGTATTTTGGACCTCTCCCACTATTTAGGCTGGGAAGCTGAATTCCATTTTAGCTTAGTCTTTCTTGGCTTTTCAGTCATAAACCAAGGTTGAAAAATGTCACATTTGGAAGTTACTTGGCAATGTTCTTCTCTTGCCTTCAGCACAGCTGACCTCAAAAACATATATTCACTCTTTCCTAGTGTTCAGTCCCAAATCCATGGTTATTTGTTTTGTTGTGGTTGCTCTAGTATGGGAGCCTCTTCACTTGAAATTTTACCCTTGGTAATGAGACATATTTGCTCCACCCTACAGACCTTTGTTAATCCTACATCTGTCCAGCTCATCCAAATGCTATCAGGGAGAGCTAGAGGCAATCACAATCAAACCCTCATCAGTCAGTTCCAACTCCTTACATAATAATGAAAAGGACTTGGTGAAAATTTGCAAGATTGTGAAGTGGCTACGTTGTCTGTGGTAAATATCTGAGGTTCGTTGTCTCACACTAAGGAAATCAAGGACACAGACACACAAGAAGTGAGTTGAAGAGCTGAGGTTTAATAGGCGAGAGAAAAGAGACAAGAAAAGCTCTCTTTCCTGCAGAGAGAGCATGGGGCTCCCAAGTGGGTCTTCTGGTTTCCTACTGAAATGCAAGGGATTTCATAGAGGAGCTTGAGGAGGCGGTGTCTCATTTACATAGGGATCAAGAGATTAGTCAGACCAGGTGTGCTGTTTGCATAGGGCGTGAAGAAGCTGGACATCTCACCCTAATCTTTTATTATGCAGATGAGGCCTCTACCTGGCTGGCTCCATGCTTTTTTACCACTTATGTAGCCACAAAAGGGAAGAGGGAACCTCCATGTTGAACATACCTGGCCCTTAGGTAGTGTGTTTCTATTGGCACAGTTGCCACATTTACCTGTGAAAGCTTCTAGCTTGCTTATCTGTGTCTGTGGCTTGATTTTACCGGCTGCTCTTTGTTAGAAAAGAAATGATTTGGCGGGTTGCTTGTGTTAAAAGGGAAGCCTTGCCAAGAACTCTCTTACCCTCATTAACTGCCTAAATAATTTCTTTTTATCTCCTGTATCCATTGAACATAGGTATTAACCTCTGCTTCTCTCTGAAGTTCCAGTAAATGACAGTTACAGGATTTTTTTTTAAAAAAAAGGGTTTAAGAAAGAAGAGATGAAAGAGGAGAACAGAATCATCAAATTTCAGAATCCAGGAAGCAGGATAAATGACATTTTATCCCAGACATTTTATCTCAGACACAGGTCTGAGAAAGCTGATTCCTAAGGCAAACTCTAGTAGGGATCCGAAGGCTGCAGTAGACCAAACACATCTGGGAGTAAGGTTAAGAATGACCAGAAATGAGGGATTGGTGAGAATTCAGCTCAAGAAGCAGGTACATCCATCTGAATAACAGGAAAAAGAAGAGAGAAAAGAAATTATTAGAGAAAAAAAATTCAAGAAATTAGCCAGAATTGTAGAAAATGAGTTTGTACATTAAGAGGGCTGTGCTACTGTGATATAATAAGAAATATATATTTTGGTCTTTGTATTAGTCTGTTCTCATGCTGCTAATACAGACATACTTGAGATTGGGTAATTTATAAAGGAAAGAAGATTAATGGATTCACAATTCCACATGGCTGGGGAGGCCTCACAATCATGGTAGAAGATGAAGGAAGAGCAAAGTGACATCTTACATGGTGGCAGACGAGAGTTTGTGCAGAAGAGCTCCCATTTATAAAACCATCAGATCTCATGGGACTTATTCGCTATCATGAGAACAGCATGGGAAAGACCTGCCCCCATGATTAAATTACCTCCCACCTGGTCTCTCCCATGACACGTGGGAATTATGGGAGCTACAATTCAAGATGAAATTTTGGTGGGGACATAGCCAAACCATATTAGTCTTCCACTAAATATTTGATTTTATGGCATGTAGCTCCTAAAACCCTTGGAACCTCTGACATGATAAGCATCTTTTAGTATGCTAATGAGATGACTGGTGGCTGGAGACTCCTGGACAGGCACTGGACGAGGCTGCTTGTCAGAGGAACTAAGCAAATGATTAGAGGGTTGGAACATCCAGCCACACCCTTCAACCTTCCACCAGTGGAGAGAGGGCTGGAGATGAACATCACAAACAGCCAATGATTTAATCAATCCTGCCTGCTAAATGGAGCCTCCATAAAACCCCAAGAAGACTGTGTTTGGGGAGCTTCCAGATTTCTCAACGTGTGGGGGTCCTGGAAGGGTGGCTCACCCATGGAGGGCATGGAGCCTGCGTGCCCCTTCCCTCATATCTTAACTTAGGCATCTCTTCATCTGGCTGTTACTGAGCTGTATCTTTTTATAATAAACTGATAACAGCAAAGTGCTTTTCTGAGTTCTATAAGCCACTCTAGCAAATTGTCAAACCCACAGAGTTGGGTGTGGGAAACTCTGGTTTGTAGCCAAGTAGGACAGAAGTTGTGGGTAATCTGGGAACCTACTGTTTGCAACTGGCCTGCAAAGTGTGGGGCAGTCTTGTGGGACTGAACCTTTAAACTTTGGGGCCTACATTGATTCTGTTAGTGTCAGAGTTGAATTGAACTGGGGGGCACCCAGTTGGTGTCTGCCAAGAAGTGGAGAATTGCTTGGTGTGGTAACACTCCTCCCCTGTCTCTTGTCAGATGCATTGAAAGTGACGTATCAAGAAGAAAACAGTGTTGTTGTTTTTTTTGTTATTTATTTTTTGTTTTTTTCCTATATAAGGACCTATTGAGTGTACAGCATAACCTATAAAAATAAAACCACACCAAGCACTTCATTGTGAATTTCAGCCATGGGGGCAAAGAGGAGTACCCAAAAGCTACCAGGTAGAGGAACCTCCTTCTCCCCAAAGCAGCAGGAGGTTCTTCTGAAGGATCAGGAATCAGATTGGCTTTAGATGCCTCAAAAACAATACTAGAGGGAAGAAGTCAATGCAGTAAACTTTTGATATCCCAAGGGAAAATGATTTACATTAGAAAATAGAGACATGTTCACATCAAGTCTTTGTCAAATTAGTTCTCCACACATGGATGGTCTTGAGAATATGCTCCACCAAAACTATGAACTAAACTAGCAATAAAGACACAGGATCCAGTTATAGGAAATCCAAACCCAAGTTGGTGGTTAAGAAAGAGCCAGCTGGGGACTGGGAAGAAACCTGTCCAGACTAGAACAGGTCAGATGTCACCAGAGATGAAATAAAGATGCAATCAATAAAATTAGCTCATGTGTGAAGCTTAGACACTGGAGGAAAAGTTTGCAAAGTTAGTGACAGACATTTGCACAACTAAGCAAACACAAGTGTGATGATTAACTTCAAGTAAAACCAAAATATTGCTCATAAAAAGGAAAAGTTATTATAGATTAATATGTGACCCAGCATTGACCTAACTATAATAAGGTAAATACTGTATAGTAATCTAACTAAACTAATGAAGATGATACTTGGGGGTCAGTCAGGTTGAGGGAGAGTGAATGAGAGTGAATCTTGATTTTCCATAGAGAGAACCCATTAGATAGCCTCAAAATAGAAATATTAAAAGTAACAGCATGAGCTATTTAGAGTTATGGAAGTAACTATGAGCAACAGCAACAAAAAATCTATCAGAATTTAAAGTAGTTTTCTCTAGAAAGGGGAGAAATCTCGGATATATTGGACAAGGTGTGAGGACCCTGTTTTAAGCACATTAGGAAGCCCATGGTCTTCCTACTATGCTTAAAAGAATTATGTGCATCTATAATTTTGATGAAATTAAAAGCCAAACTGAAATATGCAGAATAAAAGAACCAAAAAAAAAAAATGACAAAAACGTCACACGTTGTTCATTCATAATTCTGCCCAAGTAATTGTTTTTTCAAAAAGTCTGACATTAATCTTTTAAGCTCATCTCCCAAGATGGTGCATTTGTTTTTAATTGATTTCCATGGAAAAGAAGAACATCTAAATGAACACATAACCTAGAATGTTACCTAGAATTCAAGTGAGTAAATTGTTTTCAAACAAAGATGATTTATGATTAAAAATGATTTGCTGATTTGCTGTGTGAATGTGGTAAGAGTTCTTTTGAATGTTGAGTGTTTGATGAGCCTCATGGTCACAGAGCATCTTCAGACAGTGAATTTTGACATGAAACAAAGTGGTCAGCACCTGCATCTTTTGCTGGTGCTCTGGAGCTTATGACACCTGCATACTTATCAAGTGACATGATTTTCTGTTCCTAAATGTAAATACATTAGCTTATGATTCACAAATAGAAATGTGCTCAGTTAATAGCCACCAAGACAGAAGAAAAGGCAAAAACCTTAAACGTCATAAAACTCAGATGTCACTTTATATCAAGGATATGGCTAAGAAGAAACCCTCAATATATTTATTAGGTTATTGGTATATATCATGCTTAAGTTTATTAAGGCCTCTGCAAGGAAGTTACTGGCAAACATCTATCCTGGCTTTTCAGCTGTTGGAGTGACGTGTGTACAAGCAACAAGGAAACTGTCATTTGTCAAATTTTGGGTTGAGATAATACTAAGCTTTAAATCTTGTTACAGACAATTGGATGGACTCTTTGGGATTATAAATTTTATAATTTTTCCCCATAGAATTTCAAAACAATCCTTAACTGTGTAGAGCAAGAGTAGGGTAGATGGGTGGGAGACACAAGGAAAAAGTGAGAGTCACTCGGATTGTTTTTAAGCAGAGAGACAGGGAACAATGGAAAAGATGGAGGGGGAGTCAGAAGTTGTGCTCGTGACTTTCTTTCATTTGTTTGTTTTTTTCATTTTTATTTATTTATTCATTTAAGATAGAGTTTTGCTCTGTCACCCAGGCTGGAGTGCAGTGATGTGATCTCGGCTCACTGCAACCTCTCCTTCCCAGGTTCAAGCAATTCTCCTGCCTTAGCCTGCTGAGTAGCTGGGATTACAGGCATGTGCCACCACACCCAGCTAATTTTTGTATTTTTAGTAGAGATGGGGTTTTGTCATGTTGGCCACACTGATCTTGAACTCCTGATTTCAGGTGATCTGCCCACCTTGGCCTCCCAAAGTGCTGGAATTACAGGCATGAACCATTGTGCCTGGCCATGAGTTCCTGTTTAGTTGCTTGTAAATCTGTGCATAGTTTGTGTACTAATAGCATTACCTCTACCCCAATATTTCACTGTTGAGTTCTACGGTGATATGGATTCAGAGAATCAGGGGTTAGGTTTGAGTCAGACATGGTTCACTTGGTTCACATCTTACTAATGGAGTAGTCTTGGGCAAGTCTCAGCTTCCTCCTATGTAAAATTAAGTTAAATTTTAGATATAGTATGTGGAATCATATTCATAATTATAATAGTGTGCTGCTGTGACGATCAAATGGTATAACACATGAAAAGTACTCAGCACATTGACTGGCATGCAGCAGACACTCAATAAACACTACAAAAATGATGGGGATGGGAACAGAAAGGTAAATGGAAAGAAGAGAGGAAAACGGAGTCAGTCAGGGAAAAATTGACGATGAGAATTCAGGCTCTTTATGTTCTTCATTTCCTTTCTGGCTTGTCTTCTAAATTTTGTTTTCTCACATCTGACTGCAATAAAGAATATGTTTGAATTCAGTTATGTGCTTTGGTCATTAGCTTACAGCTATCTATAGATGTAATTCATGATACTCTCAGCTCTGGTGAAACCGGAGTGGATTATGTAGAGAGATGGGTCGCTGTTAGTGAAATTCATCACTCATGCACTGAGAGTATTGTGTGAGTCGGTGATTGTGCTGGGACCTCTGGGAGGAAGATGGGCAAGGCTCATGTTCTGTCCTTAAGGTGTCAGGTTTACTGGAAATCACATTATTTCACTTCAGTTCAGTTCAGTTCCACTCAATTCAGTTTATTTTAGTTGACTTCATGCTTCAGCCAGTTGTAGAATGGAACTGGATCTTAAAATAGCAGCACAAATTATCAGAGGGTTCCGATCTTAGGTAGCTGTAGTTTGAGAGGAAAACAAAAAATGTGCTAATCAGCTTGAGTCTTCTCTGTTCTTATCTGATTGTGAAATAAAGAGAAGTCATCTAGCAAGTAAAGAGGCTAAGATGTATCATTCATATCATCACAAAAGATATAATCCTAAAAGAACAATAAACGTTATTTTTATAAAGGTGATCAAGAATTCTCAGCAAGTGATACATTCTGCAAAAAAGAATTTTTCAAGAAAGGTTCATAAGCTCACCACATGAATTCTTTATTTTTTCTTTCTGTTTGTATCCACTCTTACATATATGTGTATTCACTTCTCTATCTTGTTTGTGATTAAGAGTTTATTGTAGCAAAATTATAGCAAATATATCCATTATGGTAAGTTAGTTAAAGCAATTGAATAACCAGAAAGTTGTGTCTTAATCTGTGCTTTAAATTTACTTTCATCCCAAAAAATTATCTTTGAACTGAAGAAATAATTAAATGTATATTATATGTGTGTGTGTGTGTGTGTGTGTGTGTGTGTGTGTGTGTACATTTTTTTTTCTAGACCACCGGGAACAAATAGTCTGACAAAGTCAGATTTATAACGACCAAATCCTGAGAGATAAATAATAAAGCTGACACAGGAGAGACAAAAAGGTCATCAGACCCCTGGTCCAGTGAAAAACTCACACAATTGGTGACAGGGAAGTCTTGAGTAGGTGAGATTCATGGGGTCTCAAACATACACATTATTATGGAGTTAGGGTCTCAGTTCATGGCAACGAAGGTCTTAGCCAACTCTCTGTGAAACCTCCAACTTGTGACAGGCTAATGGGTTAGTCACAAATCACTATCAACAAACCCAGAGTCCGACAAAATCACATGTATTGAGTCAATGCAGCAAGGGGTGGCCTTTGGGAAGAGCCAGGAGTGCTGCATGATAGGAGGAAGTGTCTTTCACAAGGTCTGGGTTCTAACTGAAGAGCTTGGAGGAGGATCCAGCAGAAGCCAGTGGGGATCAGTTCTGGATTAGGACAAATGAAGATTAGGGATTATGCCATGTCATGAGGCAAGGACATTTAGCAATTCTGGATCCCCAGGAATAGATGAGTTACAGCAAAGCATGTCTGTGAGCATCATTAGTGACAAGGCAGAGGTGATTCAGGAAGAGGGTTGTTATGGCATTGAGCAGCTGCTGCATGACCTTGGGAAAATTGGGTTTCCTGTTAATTACACAGCTGGCCTTATGTAGCTGTCCTCTCCACTGGATTAGCAGAAGGACTCCTTGTTTCTTTTTCAATCTGAGTTGATTTTCACTCTTTCATTTCTGGACAGGTTCACTTTCTCTCTTTTTCTCTCTTTCTCTATATATGTAAAATTTATATTTTATACCAATTATGCATATGTATACTATTTATATATTTTATATTTACATTTTAATTTAAAATTATATACATGTAAAAATATGTATCATTTGGGAGCAAAGACCCTACTACCTATTCAAATAGTGAAATTTGATGCTAATAGATGCCTATAGGTTTCAGGTAAGAGAAAATTCTGTTTTTAAGCTGAAGAGAACCGGTGAGTTGGAGCTGAATCTGGAGCTTCTAATCTATGATTTTTTAAAAAACAAATATTAGCACATTTTTCTGGACGTTTTAGTGGAGAAAGGGTTGTGATAGATTGTCGAAAGGTTCAAGATTAAACATCCTTGATTTTCCAGGGAAGGCTCTCTGCAGCTTTTCCGGAAGCCGTAGACCTGCTACAAAGATTCCATGCCTACTCAGGAGAGAAATTAGCTGCTGTTAGTGAAAAAAAAATCTGCCCACTCCACAGGTGTTGTCCACACACTGAGGGCTGAATTTACGTATTGTTTGACTTCCTGACACATCAAAAGATTGCATGACATGGGAGAGGTATGGTAATTATTTCCCTGTCATTACATGGAAATCTTGGTGATGAATGGAGAACCTCAACTGGCAATTTATAAGTTGTGTGACCAATATGTTTCTCTGGGAATAGATAAATGTCTTCTTTTGTCAAAATCCTATTATTCTTATTTATTTGATTGACTCATGTTATCAAAGAGCTTCTATGATAGATTGGGAGGAATTCAGTTTTATTTATTATTTATTTTTATGTTCAAGAATTGCTGGGCATTGTGGCTCACGCCTGTAATTCCAGCACTTTGGGAGGCTGAGGTGGGCACATCACTTGATGTCAGGAGTTTGAGACAGCCTGGCCAGCGTGATGAAACCCCATCTCTACTAAAAATACAAAATTAGCCGGGCATGTTGGTGCAGGCCTATAATTCTAGTTACTCAGGAGGTTGAGGCAGGAGAATCACTTGAACCTGGGAGGTGGAGGTTGCAGTGAGCAGAGATCCAGCCACAGCACTCCAGCCTGGGTGACAGAGCCAGATTCCATCTCAAAACAAACAAAACAACAACAACAACAAAACCCAGAATGTGTTGCCTGGAAGCCACTTGTAGGGAAACTGTTAGTACCTCTTCCTTTTGTCTGTACTTTCGCAATGATTTGGGGTCTTCCAGAAAAATGGGTGCAATGACTTTGAACTAATAATACCACATTATCTCAGTGAAACTGTTTTAAGATTATAGGATGAATTTTCTTTACCCTTTTCTGCAAAGCAATGGCAAAGTCATCATCATCGTCATCATTATTATCATAATCATCATCATAATGATGTCATCTTTATAATTGCGGTCAAGTTTTCATTACAGTGACATTTTTATCAAGTACGAAAGACTTCAGATTAAACTGACCTTGGTCTTGCCCTCTGGGGAACTAAATTGTAAAAAAGAAGAACATCGTAATAAAATGGATACAAGTCTGTAATTAAATAAACATCAAGAGATTAAATGTGCATTCATTTAGTGTCAAAAGCTTATGAAATTAAGCAAGAAAAAAATTGCAGGCTTACAAAGTTTGGCTTCTGATAATCTGTTTCACTTTTCAATATTTAAAATAGACTCAATATAATTCTTCCCTCTACCATCTCTGTGTTTGGGTTGCTTATGTTTCAATTTTTAGATTTTATTTCTCTAAGCATGACCAGATCAGAAATTATTCTGTCTTCCTTTTAGAATAAAAGTAAAATCAGAGATAATGCATTCTAAGATTAATTTCTGCCTCAATTAATAAACATGCAGCAATCCTTACACTTACAAACAAATGTATCACACTAATGCCTGCTACATATTATATTATATTTTAGGAATTAATGTGAAATATGCATTATTGAGAATTGTAAACATGTGCATTCCTTAGTATCTCAGACTCATGAAGAGCAGGCTTTCCTTCTGGGTTAATTCAAACCAGGCATGTAATCTGCGTATCCTTGATCATTTGGTCCAGATTAATCCATGAGTGGATATAGGATAAAACTTTATGAACAGGGTTCTGGAGTTCACATCATTTAAATTCAATGGACCTTTATGATTTGTGTGAAGATTTATTTGTTTAGACATATATAACAGCATAGCTCACCTTATCCAAGTCAGAGTTCTGTGGAAATAATCACAAGACAATTTACCTGTAAGTAGAGAGCTGTAGGACATTAGGTACAATGGTGAGTATAAAATTACAGCAATATTGAAAAAACAAATGATATTCTGCCACCTCCATAGTATTATTTACAATGTAATCTCAATATTTGAATGATTTTACATTTCCAACCCATCTAAAATTTTTTCTCAACATAAAATAATACATGCTTATTAGAATAAATAATAAAAGTAAAATTTTATAATTCTATCATTTAGAGAATCTGTATTTCCTTTTGGCCTCTTAAAATCATTACTAGCTTGAAATACATATATTTCTTTGTAAAAATGTTGAAATCCTATTGTTTTTGTACATTTTTTCATTTAACATTGTATCAGAAACATTTCCCAATATCATTAAATAATTTTCAAGGCCTGACGTTTAATGAGTACCCATTTTTCCATTGTATAGAAGCACCATTTTTTCCCATTTCCTTCCTATTGTGCCTATTGTATTGTGCTTGTTCCTATTGTTCTTGTAGGTAACAATTCCTTTTGAGGATTCCCCTTTAGTATAATGTAGTACATAACTGTGGTGATGTATACGTGTGCGTGTGAGATGAGAGCACACCAAATAGCCTAAGATAGGGCCTAAATGGAAAAAAATCCCTATAATTGTATGTAAGTATTTGAGCTGGCTTAAGAAATGCTTTTAAACAAGTTGTCTTTTATTCGTTCGTTAACTATGTTTTGTAAAATGTAGAGGTTTAGAAATAATTAATCCATTGTGGTTAATATAGGTATCAAAGATTTTTCAATGTTGTGATTTAATTTGCTTGACTAACTTTAAATTCCTCTATCATCTTCTCCCTATGACCTCAGGAAATCTTGGTATCAATATTTAGGAAAGGAGTAGGGTAGGGAATAAGAATATGTTGACCTAACGTATCCTGATGGCTCAACATGAATTCCACATAGCTTAGCAATGCCTTTGGGGACTGTATGTAATTCGATGTTTACAGTTTTGATAAAATGAAAGGTGATACAGTACTGTATATTGTACAAGCTAAAACTTATAGCAGAAAATCAGTCGTTAAATTGTGGAGAGAAACAGCACATAACTACTGACAGTGGAATTCCCAGAATGCTGGACTCACAGCTTCAGTTCAACGAACAGAAATCTATTGATGAGTTGAATTACCCCTGATAGCTTCGATGTCCAGAAAATCATAAGATGAAAGTTGGAAAGAAGTTGGGAAGTTGGAAAAATGGAAGAAGAAAACTGTTTTTAGTGTGAACATAAGATAAGAAAGGACGTATAAATTCTGAAAAGCATTTTGTTAGACCCCCCTCTCTGTATATATATATGTATAGTCGTGAGCTCCATAACGTTTTAGTCGACAATGGACTGCATATATAATGGTGGTGCCATAAGATTATAACGCCGTGTTTTCCCCTTCCTCCCTTTCTTTTTCTTTCTTTCCTTCCTTCCTTCCTTCCTTCCTTCCTTCCTTCCTTCCTTCCTTCCTTCCTTCCTTCCTTCCTTTCTTTCTTTTTTCTGAAGTCTCACTCTTATTGCCCAGGCTGGAGTGCAATGGCATGATCTTGGCTCACTGCAACCTCTGCCTCCTGGGTTCAAGTGATTCTCCTGACTCAGCCTCCCAAGTAACTGGGATTATAAGCAACCGCTACCACACCCGGCTAATTTTTGTATTTTTAGTAGAGATGGGGTTCCACCATGGTGGCCAGGCTGGTCTCAAACTCCTGACCTCAGGTGACCCACCCACCTTGGCCTCCCAAAGTGCTGGGATTACAGGCGTGAGCCACTGTTCCCAGCCTACTTTACCTTTTCTATGTTTAGATACACAAATACTTACCATTGTCTAACAATTGCCTACAGTGTTCAGTATAGTAACACACTGTACAGTTTGTGGCCTAGGAACAATAGGCTACACCATATAGCCTAGAAGTGTAGTATGCTATACCATCTAGGTTTGTGTAAATATGCTCTATGACGTTTGCATGACAATGAAATTGCCTAATGATGCATTTCTCAGAATGTATCCTTGTTAAGTGAGGCATGAGTGTATACACACACATACACATAACACACACAATATTTTACTGCCTCTTGTAGTAAAATAAAGAGTGAAATACAGTAAAATAGTCTATCTACTATCATACGGTAAAGAGTAAAACAAAAGAGAATCAGCTTTTGAAATAAGAAGGAAACTTAGTATCCTACCACTAGATTTTCAGTTGAGGAACTGGGACTCTGGGAATGAAAGTGGCTGGATTCTGACCATCCAGTCCAGAGTGGTTTCCATGGCACTATAGACTTACAGGATGAGATGGATTTTGGTTTTTAAATTATGACAACACTTTTTACTCTAAGGAGTCACTATAACTTACAAAGACATGCATCTTCCTAGTAACTACTGAATTTCTAGGTTGTAGTCATTTCTTCAAGATTGTTATTTTAAGTCTTTACATTGGTGGTGATACAGAAAAAGGGGGAAAAAACAGAAAAGGAAGTCTTCTGTCAGTAAGGTCAATTATCCAGGCTGATGACTATTCCTATCAAAACTCATTTCCTGGGTAATGACATAGTTTAAATACTACCAATATGCTGATGTCTCCAAGATGTAGTTATCTAATTCTGACCACGCCCTTAAACATCTAACTTGTGTATTTAGGTGACTGCTGGACACTCCATTTGGATGTCTAATAAGATAATCCAGTGTAACAAAACAAGTTTCAAACTTAAGCCTGGATTCCCCAGTACCCAAACTTGTTCCTTGCCCACAATCCCATTTTCAGTAAATGGCCACCCCATTTTTGTAATTGTTCCAGTCAATACATTTGAAGTCATCTTTGAGTCTTCTCTTTCCATACCTGGCATCCATTCCTGTTGGCTCTGCCCTCAAAGCGTATCCCCAGTATGACCTTTTCTGTCTGACTTCATGACTGTCAGTCCCAGCCACCAAGCACCTATTGTCTGTCTATTGCAAAAGCCTCTCACCTTGTTTTCTGATTTCCCTGGTTACTTCTCAATAGTCCATTTTTCACACAGCAGCAAAAACAGCCCATTATACTCAACATCAGAGCAAGTCACTGCCTGCTGACCTTCCTCCAAGGCTTCCCATGTCAATCAGAGTCAAATCACCACTCTTTACCATAGATCAAAAGACCTACCACAGGTTAAGAATCCCTTCTCTAAAATGCTTGGGACCAGAAATGTTTCAGATTTTGGAGTTTTTTTGGATTTTGGAATATTTACATTATCCTTACTGGTTGAGTGTCCCAAATCTAAAAATCTGAAATCCAAATGCTGCCAAATCCAAAAGTCTTGAGCGCCAACATGATGCTCAAAGGAATGCTCATTGGAGCATTTCAAAGTTTGGATTTGGAATATTCAACCTCGATCGCTTTCCCCCTTGCTCACTTTGGGCAAGCTTCCTCAGCCTTTCAGATGGTCTTAGAATACCCCACGCATACTCCTTCCTCAGCATCTTGGTCCTTGATGTTCCCTCTGCCTGGAATGCTCTTCCCTCCAATACGTATGTGGTTCATTCCCTTACGTCATTCAGGCTTCTTGTAAAGGTCTCCTCTAACAGGCCTTCCCTATCACCTTACCTAAAATAGTGCATTCCAGCACGTTTATCCCTTTCTCTTTTTTATCTGCCTTCTTAGAGCTTTCCATTCCCTGAAATGTATATTTATGTGTTAAATTTTTTTTTCTTCCAGTTCCATTGGAATGTGAGGCCCCTGAGAACTGAGGTCTTACCACTTTTTTTCCCCTACTGCCTTCTCAGTACTTTCAATAGTCTTGGTACATCATAGGTGTCAATATTTATTGATTTATTTTAGAGACAGGTCGTCCCTCTGTTGCTGAGGCTGGAGTGCAGTGGTGCAATCATAGCTCACTGCAGCCGCAAACTCCTGGACTCAAGTAATCCTCCTGCCTCAGTCTCTCAGGCAGCTGGAACTATAGGTGTGTGCCACCATGCTTGCTAATTTTTGTTCAGGCTGGTCTGGCACTGCTGGCCTCAAGCAATCCTCCCACCCAGGTCTCCTAATGCTCTGGGATATGAATGTAAGCTACCACACCCAGCATAATTTCTTTATTGAGTGAATAATGACATGTTTGAAGAGCCAACACTGGACCAATGGTTGAATTTCTAATGAAGGAAACAGAAAGTGTATCTGCTCTGGCTTTGAATAAGAGCCTGGCTCTTGTCCATTCTCTTTTCCCTCTTACAATATTCTGTGGCTCTGTGTAATTGATCCAGTTTTTCTCTGCCTCTCAGTCACCACAGTGATGAACCAGTTGATCCAGTGGCTTGGTTGTGATGTCTCTAATTTAGTTGTACTATATCTTCAATTCTAATATTTCTATTAATAGTTTTTGGTTAAGATCTATTAAAGTCAGAAAAACAAGAATGATCATGAGAAAAATTCTAAATAATTGATTAGCTATTTCTCTGTGCCAACCCTGGTGATATGTTAATTTGCCAATAATATTTGCCCACATACAGAAAAATGTTTGGTTTGGGGTTCATAAACAATAAATTAATGACAAGCAGTAATGTGACAGCTAAATGAAAAACAGATTTTGCAATAAAAAATGCTTTTGATTAAAGCCAAAGAAATTGTTAAAAATGAATTTTGCTGTTTTTGAGTTCTCTGGCTAACACATAATGTTTTCTTCTTAACTGTCTGTTTGCTTGTTTTACATAAAACATTTGCTGCTTCATGAGGGAAAATGTTTCATTTTATCTGAAAGTTCTCTTTGATCCCTTAATTTTTTTTCTAAACTTCATTGTAGATGTGGGAAATTAAAGTTCAGCAATAATTCCCACGAGGAGGAAGGGGGTGGAAAACTAATAAGAAAACAATTGGCTTTAAGAAGGTCCAGTTCATGCTTCTCTGTGTCTTGGGCAGACATCTTTTGCCATTTACGTTTTGGGAAGGATAAGGGTGAACTCCAAGCCTATTTTCCTACAGAAGGAAAAGCTGGCTAAAATGAAACTTTGCTACTCGCTTCCTTTTTCTTTCTCCCAAAAAATAATCATCTATATTTGAAATCCTACTTTTTGTTGGCTTAGAAAGTTACTATACTTCTGCTACTGTCATCATTTCTTTCAAACACCGTTCTCTAAGTTCAAAAAATAATTCATGTTTGTGATGCAAAACTCATTTCTGCTAATGAGAAATGAATCATTATTTCACTACAGGCTGTCTATTTATTGCAATAGAATAATTCAATCAAATTAAATAGTGAAAACATTTTTCACCAAGCACAACGAACAATCAGCCAAACACAAAGCACACTGTGCTAAGAGAAACAGATAATTCAGTGATGAAGCTTTTCTATAGAAAGCAAAAACTTCTGTTAAAACATATACACTTAATAGGCTACATGGTAATAAATTTTCTTTTTTGTGAATAAAAATATAGTAGTTAATGTTTTTGTTCTAACCTACTGGGAGCCAAGCTCTCAGTATTGTTGATCTAAATTATCAAAATAATTATTTTCTTCATTTTAAAGATGGAAAAACTTTGATGTTCTAAGAGTTCATAAGCTAGGCAAGGTCACACAGCTACTAAGTGGCTGGGACTGGATTTGAATTCAGCTCTGATTATAAATATCTTTTTTCAGTGTGACTACACTCTGTCTCTCCTTCATGCTATTTTGCATCAATCTGAAAAGCTTGAGTTATGTTGATATTTCACAACCCAAATGTTTCAGCTCATTTCCTACCCCCCATCAAAGTTTTCCTATAAGCATGATGTTCAAAATGCAAGACAGAGTATCCCAAGCTTGGGTCATTTGGGAAACTCTTTGTGTGCTCTGAATTATGGATCTGCCTTTCCATTATATTTAGGCCTACATATCTTATAAAAACCTAACTCGTGTCCTGAATACAACTGTGGCAAGTGATTGGAACTTATGCCTCCCTGTAGAGAAGGAAACTTGAACTTGCTTTAGGAAGAGACCCACTCTTCTTCAAGAGAACTTAGTAAAAGGAAACCAGAATTTGATATGTAACTTAACCTTGCCTTAATGATGGCATTGCCCCTTTTTCTGTCTTCTATTCAGTATTTCTGTGAATTTAGCATGATGAAAATTTTAATGAGTATTGTACCTCATCTTTCTTGCTGTTCTTCAAACTTGAGTATAAACACTAGTCATATTTAGTCCATTTTGTGTTTAAGAAAATTCTTGAGTACTCTATGTAACAGAATACTTGAGACTGGGTAATTTGTAAGCAATGTAACTTTATTTGTCTTATGATTCTAGAGAATCCAAAATCTTGGAATCTTGGAATCTTGAATTTCAAGACCATGGTGACAACACCTGGTGAGGGCATTCCTGCTGTGTCATCCAAGGCAGAAGGTGGAAGGGCAAGACAGTATGAGAGTAAGAGAGAGCAAGAAGGGGCAAAACTTACTTTTATAACAACCCACTCTTGTAATAACAAATCCACTCCCTCAATAATGACATTAATCCATTAATGAGGGCAGAGTCCTCATGACCTAATCAATTACCTCTTATTAGGCCCTGCCTCCCAACACTGTTGCATGGGGAATTAAGCTTCCAACACATGAACTTTGTGGGACATATTCCCACCATGGCAATCACCTATCACCTTCTCACTTGTTAGACATAATTTTTGAAATTCTATTTCAGTAAGATTGAAAGGGAAGCTGGCAATTTTTCCATCCATAGAGTGAGAATCTGATTACTATTGGACCAGCTGGATAGTTGTTTCTCTGTAAGGGATACTAAAATACCTCCCCGGTAATGAAACATCACTGAAAATGTGATGAGAGGGATAACGTTTGTAAGGAATACTTTGATAAACTACATCAAAAGGAAAATGGAGAAATGAACAGGTAAAGCATGCTAGGTTTTTAGGACAGTGAAATTATTTTGTATGATACTATAATGATGAATGTATGACATTAAGCATTTTTCAAAACCTATAGAGTTGTGCAACAAAGAGTTGATTCTAATTTAAACTATGGCCTTTAGTTAATTATGTATCAATATTGATTCATCATTTGTAACAAATGTACCAGACTAGTGCAAGATACTAATAAGGGAAACTATACTGGAGTAGGCGAGGGGGTATATTACTCTATACATTCTGCTCAATATTTCTATAAACCTAAACAGCTCTAAAAGTGAAGTCTATTCTTTATAGTCTACAGTTTAAAGTCTATGTAAAAGAGGAAATAAGAGGGGTATGCCTTGGTCACAGTAGAGTCATGTTTTAGTAACAATATATGGCCCTTATTCCTAAAGTACCTTCTCAGGAGGATGGGAATATAGTTGGAAAGCTTCAGTTTTGCTGGGTGAGGTTTTAAGCGTGTTACCAGAGCTAAATTGCTCTGAGCAATAGAAGAGAATGTCCTGTCTCTTACCATGTATTAAAGAACATTGATTTGAAGGGGCACCAAATGCTACACCCAAGTGGCCACATGTTTTGGTCTCGGTAGCTCCTGTGCTCTGAGTCAGATTTGGAAGTGAATTCTGGCTTATTATCCTGGCTCATGACTCAGCTCTCCAAGGCTCTCCCCGGTGCAAGAGCCTGGTGGGATCTCAGCCCTGTGAGTCATCCTTGCTGCCCAGACGACAGCTGCTACCAGGCTAGGACACAGAGGCTGGGGGGCCTCCTCCCTACCCTACCCTTGCAGGATGCACTGGAGAGCCACCTTAGAATGATTCCACCATGGACCTATATTTTGACATGGTTTTTAAGAATTAATGTCCCATAAAGTGTTTCTGTATATTTTGTCAGTGAAAGAGAGACATACAGGTTCACATCATAACATGAATCCAAGATTATCTATATTTAATATTTATTCCCTAATCAGGATGAAAAGTTTCATTCCATCTTGGAGTAAATTGAAGACATAGCTGGTTCTTTATTCATTTTTCACAGATTTCCTGCGTAGCTCAAAGCACTTCACGAATATAAAATTACTCAGTAAGTGGCACGAAAGCCACCTTATAAAGTAGGGATATGTTTGAGTAGAAGAATTATTTGCCTACATATCTGTATTTTTTAAAAAGCCTAAGACAAAATAGTAATGTTAAATTCAGGAGGGGCTATTTAGTTTTATAATGTCATAGAAAATAGCCTGGACAGAAATTTCATGATTGTTTCCCATTTCAAAAGTTTTGAATTTTTTATTTTCATCTATGTTTTAAATAATATTAGCTCATAATTTATAATGGACTTATTAATGGTAATATGGTAGTTTTCCTCTTCTACCTGACTTAAAGGGAGACTCAGCAACACACACACGGACACACACAGACACACACACACACGGTGGGGGGAAGAGAGAGAGATAGAGAACAGAACGCAGAGAAAGCAGGCATATTTAAATCTAAAAAACAGTTAAGAAACTAAAGTCAAATTTGGGAAAGCATTATTTAAGGAGGGATTATAGACTAGAAAATGTTCAAATGAAGGGTAAAGATCATATAGCTTAACTTTTTAATTGTAAATGTTCATCGAAAATCACAAAGTTAAAGGCAGTGCAAGATTGTGAATTCTCCATATGTTAATTACTTTTCCTGCTACACACCGGAAGTAACAAAAGGGATCTCCCTGCCTTTCCAGTCACCCTAGAAGGCCCTCCCATCAGACTTTTGTCCCGTGCACTGCTCTGAAGGCCTCTTGTTAATGTCCCAAAGACTTTTCTGTTACCAGAATCAATATCGTTGTCATCTTGCCTACCTATTTCGGTACTTGTTCAGTTGATCACTCTTCTTTTTTAACACTTAATTTCTTGAACTTTTAGCATATCCCTATCACTGACCTGTTTTTCAGTCTCCTTAGCTCATTCATGCTCATCTTTAGGTGTCTAAAGGCTGGCATGCCTTGGGGCTCAAGCATTTTACCTCTCCTTCACCCCTCTCACCTTCTCACCTGAAAATTACTTGCTGACTATAATCCTCTTTTGGAGAAAACACCCATTAAGGTGTTTGGAACTTAACATGTCAGAACTGAACTTTTAATTCCCTCTGCTCCTTAAATTTGTTCTCTTACCATAAATGACAGCTCTTTTCTTCCAGTGACTTGAACTGAAATCTTGGTCCTCTGACTGAAATAAAAACCTCAGGGAGCTTGTAAAAGGCAAAACTGTGTTGTTGCTTAATGCATCTCTCACTGTTAATTCTCTAGCATTGTCATGAAGGTTTCAACCCTCTTTCTTGTCTATTTCTGGATTGAATGGTGTTTCCCATAGAACTGGAGCACAGGCCTGGAATGTGGATGGAATTTGGATGGTTGCTAAGTTACTTGGTACATTCTATCCCCTGCTTGCTCTTGACAGTGAAGACTTGAATGTGAGATCTTCAATAGGAAAACAAACCCTGTCGAGGCTTCTTTATGAAAAATCAGATCGTGAATCAAAAGTACAAATCAGAAAAAAAACTTTAACATCCATCCTTTTTGCTTCTGGAAAATAAATGTCTCAGTATAATGAATAGAATTGAAAGATAAAAAAATGAAGGTTTTCAGAATCTTAGTATCAACACACACAGTTTTGGCTATAGACTGAGCCTCCACAAAAGTATCACACTGAACATAGGCCCTGAAGTATGGCAGATTTCATTTAGATAAAAATGCACGAAAAAGAAAGGAGCTGCTATTTTAATTCCATGATTTTTTGATACTGTCATTTACCATTCAAAAAGAAAAAAAGAGAATAATGGTGTTACATTGAGAGTGTTTAGACAAGTGTTTTTTACTTTACAAGGAATGAAAGCAGGGTGCTTGGCTATCAGACTGCATTGTTGTGAGATATTTCCCTGGTCAGCTATGACTCACTGAACTCTTCATACAAATGATTGCTAAGGATGAGAGTTATTAAAAGTTCCTCATCAAATGTATTGTTTTCAAGGGGTTTATGGGACCAGGCCTCCTCATTCCTAGATCCTGATATCATTAGATTGAACCTTTGGGGTATATATATGTTTTTTTCTTAATGTTGGATAACCTTGGATTTATCAGTCAAATGTATCTTTTCTTTAGACACTGCCTCATAATGACATAGAGAAATACAAAAGGGAAGAATAGCTTTAACAGGTTAACCACAAACATGAAAGTGCATAAAAATGTTGTTTATAGAAATATCAACTGCCTTAAATGATGTAGCTAAAAGATACCACATAAGATCCAGTTATTTCAGCTTGCTATACAGTTTATGCCTATTGATAAAGCTAATTAACAAAAGTGACAGGCAAAAGTAATGTATTTCCATATAAGATGAATAAAACAAGAGGAAGATAAGTGTCATCTAAATAACCCGTCTTAAACTTTTTCTCAAACTTAGAGTCTAAGGATCAATAAATTGATGTAGAAACCTAAGTAAATGACCTATAAATTCATATCAAGTAATATATTCTCATTATTTCAAGGCTTTTTGAGATGGATTTTCACACATTTTCTACATGAGCACACTTAAAAAGAAATATGAAAAATATTGTTTCATTGAATATGTTTCATTCTCTATTAGTGTCTTTTTTTTTAAGACAGGGTCTCACTTTGTCACCCAGGCTAGAGTAAAGTGACAGGAACGTGGCTCACTGCAGCCTCAACCTCCCAGGCACAAGAGATTCTCCTGCTTTAGTCCCCAGAGTAGCTGGGACTACAGGCATGCACCATCATGCCCAGCTAATTTTTTTTTTTTTTTTTTTTTAAATAGTGATGGGGTTTTGCCATGTTGCCCAGGCTGGTCTTGAACTCCTGAGCTCAAGGGATCTGCTTGCCTTGGCCTCTCAAAGTGCTGGGATTACAGATGTGAATCACTGCTCCTGGGTATTAGTGTCTTTTTTTTTTTTTTCTTCCCTTTTTTTTTTTTTTTTTTTTTTTTTGAGATGGAATCTCACTCTGTTGCCTAGGCTGGAGGGCAGTGGTGCAGTCTTGGCTTACTGCAATTTCCACTTCCTGGGTTCAAGTGATTCTCCTGCCTCAGCCTCCCAAGTAGCTGGGATTACAGGCATGTGCCACCATGCCTGGCTACTTTTTATGTTTTTAGTAAACATGGGGTTTTGCCATGTTGGCCAGGCTGGTCTCGAACCCTGACCTAAGGGGATCCGCCCATGTCGGCCTCCCAAAGTGCTGGGATTACAGGCATGAGCCACTGTGCCTGGCCTATCAGTGTCTTTTTTAGTAGTATTTAATAGCTATGGAAAAGATCACAATTTTTATATGATCTCTGTGATTATTTCAAATAAAAAATAAGTATTGGTGTATATGTGAAGGTGGTATTTCAAGATGTTTAAGAGCAAAGAAATACAGGTCTTCAAGAGCTGTACCCAACTCTACTGCCTGCAGCTTAACAGTATTCCAGAAAGCTTGTCTCCCTGCAACAGATCCAAAAGATATTTTTTAAAAAGGTCAGATGCACTGTACTGTATAAATATAACAGCTTTTATATGGCAAAAGTACCAAGCACACAAAACATATAGCTATATATTTATATAGATACTATAAATATAAAAACATTCATATAGCAAAACTAAAAATATTTGCAAGGCAATAGACAAAAATATTATTAGTACTCTACAGATAGTGCTTACAAACTGATAAGGAAAAGACAATAAAAATTGTCAAGGTTATGAATAAATCATAGAAGATCAAGTGGTCAAGAAACACATGACTAAAATGATATTGATTTATATCAGGTCAGTGGGATTTCAGGCCATTTTTACTTTTTAAAATTGCTTGATCTAGGGTGTGAGTTGTGTATAATGAATGTGTAGTCATTGAATCTTCAAAAAAGAGCTATTTTTATTGTGGATGAGAAAAAATATTTCAAGGACTCTAAACTATGCAAGAGTGCATGGGGAGACACAAAGAACTACAACAAAGAACGTCAGCTAACATCACAGCATGCAAATCAGTTCTCCTGGTGATCCTTGGACAATTGTCAGCAGTTGGTAAAGTCCAGCTCAATTCTCCTATTGCTCTTATAATTTTCTATTCCTTTACTAATTTATCCCTGATCACATATGCTGCTTCTACAACTTTCTAAATGTTCCCCTGCAAGAAGTTCAAAGATACCTTGGAAAACTTTAGTTATCATCTCCAATTGATCTATTCTTAAAATATGCTCCCAAAATTATTCTAGCACTTCTCAGTATATCTCCTTCACATCAGACCACAGGCAGGGAGAGGCACCTCTCTGATGCCACAAGGCTAGCTCTATCCCTATATGCACGCCACGGTGTCTCCACAAGCCACATGCATAAGGAGACAGATACACGGACACACAGACACCTGGACGGGAAGCCACACAGATACAGGAGAGTGGATGGACAGAAGTCATGGAGTGGATGAGAATGTGCACACGCATCAGGCAGTAGGCTGGCTGCTTAGGTCTTGGGGGTAGAGGTTGAGAGGAGACCTTAATTCTCCAAGACTCCAGGCAACTCTAGAGAGGCCTGGCTCTCCCTGTCCCAGGACCCAGGGGCAGTATTGAGGCTGGGAAGGAAATGCCACCTTCAAAGGGCCTCCCCACAGGAATCTTGGAATGCTGGCAGCATCCCCAGGCCCAAAGTTGGCAGCGAGCAGTGGGGACATGCAGGATGGGTTAGATATCCTTGCAAGGAATTTCTGAATATATGCATAAGAATTTTCTCAATCATTCTAGAAGTAAAATCGCTACAGTGGTGCTGAGTGTGGGGAGTGGGGAGGAGAGAGGAGTGATAGGGGACATCTGGGGGACTTTTTTCCTAAGTTAAAATTACATTTTCCCTTTTATTTCTTGTTACTTATTAAATTTAGCTTGATCAATTCAGTTTAATTCAATAAGTATGTATTAAGTGGTTATCATGTCATTAAGATTGTGTTGTATATAAATAGGGCTTTGTAAGTGCTATGGAACATTGCCCTAACACTCATGAAATTTGAGCTTATTGGGAGACAAGAACTGTACCCATAAGACATTAGACGTCAATGCATAATAGTCCATAACAATTTATGTACCAAGAGCTGCAGGTGATATCATTCTATGACTTAATTCTGCAAATCAGGCTCCCCAAAAAGGATTTACTTCCCTCTTGTTTCCTATATTTGGGATATGCTGTTAGCAGGGGACATAGTATTACATGATATAAAGGAAAGGAATTTTGAAACTAATCTGGGAATCTGTCCTGAAGCTCTTTGTCCTTTACCACTCTTCTCTGGTCCTTAGTCAGTGTGTGTGCCTTGCAGGGTGAGGGGGGAGAAGAAAAATATTTTTCTCCATTAAATATTGTATGTGCAATAAAGACTTGTTTTATGAAATCATACTTGACCTTCAAATATAGAGCAAATTTGGAAAGTCAACAGCCCTAGGATATCATTAGACAACTGCCATGTTTAACTACTGTCAACTTCATTTCTTTCCTGTTTCCTTGATTTTGTCTTTTCTTATTAATCTTGACATAAAAGATACCAGGATTGTTTTGGTTCATTATTTTTGAGATATTAATAGAAACTTTTCTGTCACTTTACCTTGAACTCAGGTTCTGTTCTTCTGTGATTCTTTCTGCAATTCTCTCTCTCTTTCAGATAGCATGAAGAAAAGCCTCAGAGACAATGGTTCTCACTAATAATATGCAATTAATAATATACATAATCACATAATACATAAGTAATAGTTAATACTGTATTGATTATTTTTTCTTTTTAGTTGACAAATAATTGTACATATTGGCTGTGCACGGTGGCCCACGCCTGTAATCCTAGCACTTTGGGAGGCTAAGATGGAAGTATTGCTTGACCCCAGGAGTTCAAGACCAGTCTGGGCAACAGGGCAAAACCCCATCTGTACAAAAAATTACAAAAATTATCCCTGTGTGGTGGTGCATGCCTGTGGTCCCAGCTACTCTGCAGGCTGAGGTAGGAGGATTACCTGAGGTAGGGGAGGTCAAGGCTGCAGTGAGCTGTGATCATGCCACTGCACTCCAGCCTGTGCAACAGAGTGAGACCCTGTCTCAAAAAAATTGTACATATTTATGGGAGAAAGAGTGATATTTGATATGTGTATACAATATTTAATGATCCAATCATGATAGTTAGCATATCCATCACCTCAAACATTTAACGTTCCTTTGCATTGTGAACACTCAAAATTCTCTCTTTTAGGTTTTTGAAAATACACAATAAATTGTATTTAACCATATTCATCCTACAGTGCTGCAGAACGCCAGAACTCACTCCTCCCATCTAGCTGTAATTTACTATCTATTAGCCAATCTCTCTTCATCCTCCCCTCCCCCTACCCTTCCCATCCTCTACTATCAATAATTCTACTCTCTACTTCTATGACATCTTTTTTATTTTTTAAACTCTCACATATGAGTGGCTGACTTATTTTACTTAACATAATGTCCTCCAGGCTTATCAATATTGCCCTGAATGACAGGATTTCCATTTTTCCTATGGCTGAATAGTATTCCATTGTATGTATATGTATACATATGTGTGTGTGTGTGTATATGTGTGTGTATGTGTGTGTGCCACATTTTCTTTATCCATTCATCTGTTGATGAACACTTGGTTGGTTCTGTATCTGTGTCTTGGCTATTATGAGTAGTGGTGCAATGAACAGGGGTGAGTACAGGTATTCCTTTGATACGTTGATTTATTTTCTTTGGGTAAATACTCAGTAGTGAGACTACTGGATTATATTGTAGTTCTATTTTTAGCTTTTTGAGAAACCTCCATACTGTTTTCCATAGTGGCTACACGAATTTACATTTCCACCCACAACATACAGAACAGGAGTTAGCTTTTCTCTGCATCTTCACCAGCATCTGTTATTTTTTGTTTTTTTGATAATAGCCATTCTAACTGGGGTGAGATGATATGTTATTGTGGTTTTGATTTGCATTTCCTTTATGGTTAGCGATGTTGACAATTTGTCGTATATTTGTTGGCTATTTGTATGTCTTCCTTTTTCTTTCTTTTTCTTTTTTTTTTTTTTTTGGTCAGAGTCTCGTTCTGTGTGTTACCCAGGCTGGAGTGCAGTGGTGCGATCTCGGCTCACTGCAACCTCCACCTGGTTGATTCAAGTGATTCTTCTGCCTCAGCCTCCTGAGTAACTGGCGTTACAGGTGCATGCCACCATGCCGGGCTAATTTTGTATTTTTCCATGTTGGCCAGGCTGGTCTCGAAATCGTGACCTCAAATGATCGACCTGCCTCGGCCTCCCAAAGTGCTGGGATTACAGGTGTGAGCCACTGCGCCTAGCCTGAATGTCTTTTCAAATTTTTTATTTTTTATTTTATTTAAAATTATTTTCTTTAAATTTGCTACGGGAGTAGATCTTAAGTGTCCTCACCCTCCTCCACACACGCACAAGAGGTATTTGTGTGGTGATTGAAGTTAATTTTATGTGACAGTCATTTCACAACATAAATGTATATCAAATCATGCTGTATGTCTTGAATATGTAAATTTTTTGTCAATTATACTTTAACAAAGCTGAAAAAAATTCCAGCCACATTTTCTCCCAATATCCTCCCACCCCTGCCCCTTGCAAAGAATGTGTCTGTACTAGATAATCCAAAATCTCTAAAATTGTGTTCTCAAGCACACAGGGCTTTCCTGCTTGCTTTACATCTGTGTCTGCTCTTTATGAAGGATGTTTTCTTTAACTTCTAAATGTTTTTAGACCAGGAGCTGTTGGCTTGATTTACATGCAATTCAAAGGTTAACCAACTTTCCAGCAAATGTCCCTTGGGAACCAACCTAGTGATGGAATTCTTCATGCCTGAGAAAGAGGTAGTAAGATTTAAAATACAGTGCAATGCATGTGAAATAAAAATTTAAAGAGAAGATTTGTATGGATCACATGAGATTAGAGATAGCCCACTGATGATTGGTAAGCTTTGAGTAGATGAGGAAGTGGGAGTGGAACATTTGGGAAATGTTTGGAAACTGAAAGATTTTTCTTAGTCATCACACATTGATTTCAGTGGATAATTGATCGCTTTTTTTCTTCAGTCTGTTAGTGCCTAGGTAGCTTCAGTGAATTGGCAGTTATAATTTGTACCACCAAAAATAGTTCAATGAGTTTCAAAGTCTTCACAAAATGAAGGTAGTATCATCATAGTCTTAGCCTCCTTTGTAAGTGAACCGAACACAGATGGTTATTATAGAACAAAAATTTGTTTTTTATGTGTGCAAGACTTTATTTAAATGCACCAGCACCACCAGACTCAAATGCCAAGAGGGGAAGAATATTCTAAATAAAAGACAGGATTCAGTTATACTGTGAGAGTGCCCAGTTACTGACTTTGCTACTGGGGACTTGAGAGAATGGCTAGAAAAGTTGTAGTCTTTACAATCTGACCTTGATTAGCAATTGGGAAATTTCAGAAAGAGAATTTTCTAAAAATACATTTGGCAGTTGTCAGTAACTTTTTCATAGGTGAGTAAGCACAATTTTTACATTAATATGCTCAGAATGGCTCAAGCTAAAATTGTAAAGTAGAATAAGCTGGTTGTTTCTAAGCCATTAAATGAATATGCAGCTAATAACATCATAAAGTCTTACTATGGCAAGTATATGGTGATTTAATATTCACTGGATTATATTTGATGTGAAAATCTTTTGGTATTCGTGTGGATGTGTATTTTAGATGGTAGGTTTAGCAAACGCAGCATCTCTTCCCTTCTGCTAGAAACCCACTATTGTATATGTTCATTGTCATTTTCTCAAAGCCTGTGTAGAATGGAAAATATATATTTAGATCTAATTCAAAACGGAGTAGTTTCTGGCATAGAAATTCCACCTACCTTAGAATCATTTGAACAATAAATTTTTTCTTAAACACTGATCTTAATCACTTATCCACAGTCTTTATAATTTGCTAATCTCAAGACTTACTCCTTTTGTGAAAATTTTTCCCACCTTGTTAGTCCACAGTATACTCACTTTGTTTCCTTTCATTGTTTTATGGCACTATGAGATAAAAATTTGAAAGTATACTTTGCCTGAAAAAAATAAGATTTGGATGATTACAAGTCAGTTTGTGCTTGTATCCATTAGGGGAATAACTGCTGAAAAATATAGATAGGGAAAATGTCCCTCAATTTTAAGAAGGGGAAGTTCTGAAAGTTGAAAAGAATGAGACACTAGTCAGTGGGTTAGTGGACTCTTGTTTCCTGATGGAATTGATACTGTATGAGAACAGCTAAGTTTATGTGTTCAGCTTAATGGGGACCCGTATGACCATCATAGAACTGGCGGGTCAAACCTCCAAGAAAGGCCAGGAGTCAGGAATGAAAAATGGCTACCCAATGTAAACTGCTACTTACATGCCTTTGGAACCTATCTCTATGGGAGTGTTCTAGAAAGATCAGGGATCTCTTAGTAAAATTCCTTCTGTAGGCTTGAGTCTCCTCAATTCTCTTCTAATAATTTCTTGCCCTTTCTCGCTGGAAACACAAAGAATGAGCAAATTATGACTCTTACCTATCATTTATACCAATGTCTGTGTGTAACTTCCGTAGAATACTGTCATATGTATTACCACAGGTGAACCATTTAATATTTAGAAATTCTCAGCAGATAGTCCCTTTATCAACAGTTTTTTATATTGCTCTTAGTGAATAAAGGGGTTCTGCCCTTTAAAATAATGAAATTATAATTAAACGTTACCCATAATTTGCTATCCCTGCAAATATGGAATAGCAAAGAATGATGCTATCCCATAGCATCAAAAATGATGAACCATATTCATCATCTGTTTTTCAGGGAAGTAATAAAAGGTGCATCTTTTTCAGGGATCTTTCAGTTATATCCCACCTTTTGGCTAACGGATGCAAACAATCTCAGTGTGTTTGCTCCTCAAGACAGACACACTATGCCAGCTCAAAATTCTACTCCTGAGACTTTTGGAATGAATATATCTTTGTCAGTGGCCTGTGAAACAGGGTATGTAATACATGTGTGTTGTCTAGCATTGTCTTGGTAAAGGCTAGAGGGAAGTGTAGGGGACCACTTTGACCTGACTTGTACACTGAAATATCCATCCTAAAAACATAGATAAGGGAGCTATGCCTGATAGGGGCAACCTACTTTAGAAACATTCGATCAATAATTTTGTTCTTAAACACTGACTTTAACCACTTATCCACATTCTTCATAATTGGCTAATCCCAAGACTTGCTTCTTTCAGGAAACTTTATCCCACATTCTTAGTCCACAGTGTGATCACTTTGTTCCCATTCATTGTTTGATGGCACTGTGAGGTAAAATTTGAAAGTGTATTCTGTCTTTTTAACTAAGATTTGGATTATTATAAATCAGTTTGTGTTTGCGTCTTTCAGGGGAATAACAGTTGAAAACCACAGATGGGGAAAATAGCCCTCCATTTTAAGGAGGGGAAGATCTGAAAGTTGAAAAGAGTGAGATAATAGTCATCCCTGATATGGGCAAGCAGCTAACAAGTTGCTTGGTAACAGTCAGGTAACAAGTCAGTTAATTAACTCCCTCCCCATCCCTGCTTTTTTATATCACAAGTTTAAAAGCGACACACTGATGAAAACAATATGTCTTTGCACTCTCCAGCACACTTCCCTGTTTGATTCCCAATCCAAGGAAGCTTGTCTACTTGGCCTTTGTTACCATTCAGACATGTGTGGAGATGCATGAAGCCCCAAGGGGCAAATCGTAAATTCTTCTAGGGTTTATCCTGAAGTCTCAACTTCTTTAACAAGTACTGCCATCACCAATTAATTTAATACTTTAAATATTGTTTTGCATTGCTCTTACTGTTTCAAATGTATTAAGGTGGTTTCTCCAGATTGTTTTCAAGATATATAATTATATAGCATTCTAGCAATATTTAAGAATTACAGCATATAATGGATGAGTGTTGTTCATTTAACGTAGTCACTTTGGGAAGCCACACCTTTATTTTGGTTATGTAACTTGTCAAAGTTTAAAACATCATAAAAAATACTCTAGAGGCAGGCTGAGCTGTACAGTGGTCACCATATTGTAAAGTTTGTTCTTTGGAAATTTGATTTTATTTCATACAAAAAGTTTATTGTGAAAATTTTTGATATTTGTTCAATCATAAAACTGAAAGGTGGTTCCTAGAGAAAATTTGGAACATCTGAAGAATTAGAAAGGGAACTACAAGATCAAGTATTGATGCACTGTGCACTAATAATCTCCCTGGATCTTCCTGACCCCAGTGTGACTCCATAGAGTGGGTTCAGACACTCTCCACTTTACCCTCCCACCTGCACTGGCCAGCCTCAGCGAGCCGCAGCCAGGCCACGCTCAGCCTGGCTTCTTGCATTTCTGTGCTAACTGCAGTTGCATGTGTGGTGAAGATACAGGAGGGAAAAACAGCTGTGCGTCAAATTTAAGCAAATAATTGGAAGGGACACGTTCAAGTGTGTTCATTCAACATTAACTGAGTACTTCTATTTTTGAGACACAGTGCTTGGCTTGGAGGTGCAAGGGAGAACAGGACCATCAAATCTCTCAACAGTTTAATGGGTATTCACATAAGCAGGTTACTGTGAAGTAGATGTGAATCAATAGGAAAATATGCAAAGTGCTACAAGAGTTAAAAGATGGATCATTTCATAGATGAAGTGGTATTTAGGATGGATCTTGAGATACCAAAGCAGTATATTTTTCTCAGGTCTTTCAGCCATTCACATCTCAGCTTTAACAGAGAGAGAAAGATAATGAGATCCTCCCAAAAGGCAGAGCCAGAATTATTCACATATCTATAAAGGGCCAAACATAACCTTGGTGCAATGTTGTGGCTTATAATGATAGCAATAAAAGTTGATGGCCATTTAATTTTTAAAAAAGTTAGTTATAAAGCAAAAGCTCTAGGTCTTTTCAAAGACTCCAGAGCGGTGATGCTTCTTCAGTGGCGAAATAGCCTATAATTTCTGTAACAGATTCTGCTAAATGGTTCCCTGAATCAGTTTTCCTAACACACAAACGAAAAATGAGCCTATAAGAATTGTGAATACCTCCAACACAGGCACAACTTTGTAGATAAAACAACAAGACTTCTGAATTCTGGAAGGAGTTATGAGGCTAGCAAGTCATTTGGGAACAAAATGCACTGTCCCTGTCACTTGCTGACTGGACCTGAAGGGAATGGACATTTCTATCACACATCTGACTCTCCAAGTATACTAAGAACTGGAGTCAATTATGAAGCTGACATATCCAGTTTGTCTGGAATTCTTTGAGAACATCAAGAATAATAAAGTCATTGTTACCCTCACTTTACCCACTGGAATTCTCTAGCATTCTTGATATTCTTCTAGGGGCTTGTAGTGAAACTCAGAAGGTTGTTGCAAGATTATCTAGTGTTACTGATCATCCCCAGATTGAAGCAATTGCTCCTTCTTCTGAATGTTTATTACTATTACTTCTAAGTGACTCATTTAGTTAATGTAATCTTAAGTACATTTAATATCTTTTTCAATTTTCTCCACTTGAACTCTCCATTGGGTTGTATTACTTAAGCTTTCTTATGTCTATGCTTCATATAGCTGACAAAATTATAGTTACGATGATGCCCAAGATCTCGGTCTTACACTTTCTAAAATGCCCTTTGCTTATGGCCTTTCAATTTCAAACAACTTGATGTTATTTTAATTGTTTCTATTGGGAGACTTTTGTCTCAGAGGCTTTTTAACACAATGATTGTAGAGATCTAAACCCCAAATTTTATTTGGGCTGCTAGTCTGTGTAGGGTTTAATGTGAGGGCATCCCAAGTAGGATGAGGGCAGTAAGCATCCTGGGTGCTGGCACTGAAAATGGAGTTGAAAAGCATCAATGCACACTTGTTCCTCCTCAACTAGGACAGCTCTGTCCATTGTGTAGAGGATAGATAGGCTAATCCAGTGGAGAGGAGTTCTCTCCAGGACAACTGGCTGAGGATGAGGTGGACAGAATGCACAACCTCTCTAAGTGCCTTTTCTGTCACTCTGCTGTAGCATGGTCCCGGAGCTGAGCTGTAGTTGAGAGAGGCTCAGAGGGGAGGCAGAAAGAGCAGGCAGCATGCAGCTGAAAATACTCTGAGATAGGGTTGAAGAGGGAAGGCTTTTTGGTTTTCAGGGCACCAGGAGCTTAAAAAGCATATGTTCAACTTCTGATTTCAGCTCTGACAAGTCAAGAGTTTGGATGTCCTCACTCCCATCCTCACAACAAGATATAAGTGGAATAATCTGAAAATCAAGGACTTTTCTTGGATCTATTAGGGACCTGAGATTGTAGAGCAAATCACCACCCCGATCTGCAACGACAGGAGAATGCAGAGAATCACAGTGAAATCAGCTTATCTGGAGTAGAAGCCACTGAAGCCATAAACCAGTAGGAACACTAAAATGATCATTTTGACAACTTGCTAAAGGCTGACTATGAACTAGCATGAGAATAGAAAACTTCCAGAGACCACATTCTTGGAGGAGAAGCACACTTTTATGACTTTTATCTCCAGGGACCCCAATAGGTTCTTATGATGAATAGCCAAGAAAATCTCTTTCATGTTTCTGGGGGAGAGATGGGGAGAAATGACCACTTCGAAGTATACCCAGAGCATTTGCTGCAACAAAGGCCCACTGCTTATGGGAAAAGACTTTCAGAGGCTTATTCACCCCTGGGAGGAAGGCAGTTACCCAACTTCAGCACCCTCTAGACTTCCCTCTAGACTTCCTGTCTTAACTAATTGTAGATTACAGTTAAGACACACTTGTGAAGCTCACATCCTAGGGACATAGGCCTCCAAAAAGACTGGGATTTAATCATGAGATTAGAGAAGGCTTGCTTTCTTCCACACTTTACCACCAAATCAACAGGGTTCCAAAATCATAACAGTGGATTGCAGCTGAAAGAGCTATAAGGCACAGACTTTATTTAAGAAGGAGTCTTTAGGGAAATTTAAAGACTACAGAAGAGGCAAAAATAAGGACCCTAGAGAAAACTGGAGTCTCTGACACCTTCAGTTACAGCAAACATTAACCCAGTCCAACTTCTAGCCAGATTAACATAAAACATCACACTAAAGATGTATTCACCTCAGTACCCATTACATCTGGCTTTTAACAACAAAATAATTACAAGATGTGCTAAAAAGAAAGACAAATTTTGAAGAGACAAAGCAAATGTCAGAATCAGATATGACACAAATTTGAAATCATCAGGGAATTTAAAATATAGTTCATATGCTAGGGCTGTACCAGTAAAAGCAGACAACATGCAAGAACTAATGAATCTGACATAAGCAGAAAGATGAAAACTGAAAAGAATAAAAAGGAAATGTTAGAAATTTAAAAAACTGTAGCAGAAATGCAGAATACCTTTGATGGGATCCTCAGGAGATTGGATACATCTGAGGAAATAGTTAATGAGCTTGAAGATAATGTCAATAAAATTTCACAAACTGAAATGGGGAGAAAAAAGAGTGGAACAAACAGAACAGAAAATCCAGGAACGTTGGGACAATTTCAAGTGGTGTAACACTTATATAATTGGAGTACCAGAAGGAAAAGAAAGAGAAGAAGTTTTGAAGTAATCATGGCTGAAAAGTTTCCAAAATTAATGGTATACACTAAACAACAGGTCCAGGAAGCCCAGCAAACACCAAGTAGGATAAATATCAAAAAATCTGTTCCTAGGCATTTAATTTTCAAGCTACAGAAAACCAAAGACAAAAAGAAAATATTGAAAGAAATGGAGAAAAAAAAAAACACACTTTACCTGTAGGAGATAAAGGATAATAATCACATGCAACTTCTTGTCAGAAGCCATGCAAGGAAGAAGAGAGTGAAATAAAATATTTAAAAGGGTCAAAAGAAAAAGACCACGGATCAAGAATTCTGTATCCAGTGGGATTATCCTCTACAAGTAAAGGAGAATTAAAGATGTTTTTGGATAAACAAAAGCTAAGGAAATTCATCAGTAGACCTGGACTGTCAAAAGTTTTCAGGAAGAAGGAAAGAATGTTGGTCGTAAATTTGGATGTGCATAAAGAAAGAAAAAAATAATAGAAAGAATGAATAAGACCTACTATTTGATAGCACAATATGGTGACTATAGTCAATAATAACTTAATTGTACATTCTAAAATAACTTAAAGGGTATAACAGGATCATTTTTACCTCAAAGGGTAAATGTTTGGGGGATGGATACCCCACTCCCATGATGTGATTATTATGCATTCCATGCCTGTACAACCTCATGTACCCCATAAATATATGCACCTATGTACCCACAAAAATGAAAAGAAATTAAAAATCATTTTAAAAAAGAGCATCAGAGAAGGAATAAATGAAGGTAAAATAATTTTTGTCTTAGTTGATCTAGTATTCAGAGTGGTAATAGTAACAACATATTGGGTAATTATAGGATATGGATAAATAAAAGAAGTAGCAGCAATGTTATAAGAAACAGGAAAGAGGAAGTAGGAATTCTTTGTTATAAGTTGCTTGCATTACCTGTGGGGTGGTATAGTGTTATTCAAAAGGGGACTTAAATTAATTGTAAATATATACTGCAAGCTCTAGGGAAACCACTGAAAAAGTAAAAAATATATATATATATAAATGATATTTTAAGAGAAGAGAGAAAATGGAATCATGTAAAGTGCTCAGTTAAAAGCAGAGAAAGTAGGAGGAGGGGGGGATATGGTGACACAGGATATTTCCTTGACCCCTTTGCGAGACTCACGACAGGGGTGCCTCATTTACTCAGCCCACCACTCTCAACTCCTTGATGGATGGAACGCAGGAGCAAATGAGTGCAGGAACTGGAGTGAACAAGCACTGGAACTAGCCAGTCGCTTTGGCACTGGCATGATCAAACTCCACTCACTCGGACCTGTTACTTTCCACCTGTTGTGGGAGGGAGCACACAGGTGAGTGGGTGCGGGCATCAGAGTGGCCACTTTTGGGCTCTAGCAGGAGCAAACCCTATGCAGGCCCCACAGCAGCATTCAGATGGGGCTGCCTGCAACCCCCAAAGCCCCAGAGAATATGTTACAGTGCTCTTTTAGCTCTGCCATCCATGGATTGCTTAAGTGTTAACAGCTCAGTGGGCCCTTTGCCTTTTTGCATGAGGTGGCTGCCCTCCACCAGCAAGGGCAGAGGGCCAGTGTGACAGCCTTTTGTATCCACACTAGTGGCTCCCAAGCTCTTGTCTAGCATCCAGGAAAAATGAGGTCACATGAATGAATTGAAGGATGGCAAATGTGGGAAATTTTATTGCCAACGAAAGAGGGTCACAGTGGGAAGGGGAGCTGAAAAGGGGACTGGGCAGGTAGGAAATCTTTCCCTGAAGTCTGGCCATCACCAGCCAGATTCTTCTCTGGAGTTAGGCCGTCAAGCTGTCCTTCTGAAGTCAAACCACTTCTCTTCGACATCCAGCTGTAGTCCCATCTACCGGGTGAGCCTGGGGTTTTTATAGGCACAGGATGGGGCAGAGCAGGGCCATGTGTGGTTTAGGAAAAGGCAACATTGAGCAGGAAAACAGGTATAGAAGTTATCACTTTGGGCTGTGGTTTCAAGCTTTTCAGCTTGAGGGTGGGGTTTTGCCAGGGACCCTCCCTTTTCTGCATAGAATTTCTCTGTCCCCTGTCCCTATCAAAAGGAAGCATAAGTTGGGGTTTTCTTTGTTCCTGACTTGTGTGCCAATTTCTTGAACAATATTCTGAACTCTTTCTGCCCACAATGACCTGGTTGAAGTGCTTTAATTCTTTAAAAACAATTAATGTGTTTGTTGTAATGTGTAAATTGTGTTTGTTGAAAGTAGGCATTTGCATTAGTCCATTCTTGCACTGCTATAAAAGAGCTACTTGAGACTAGGTAATTTATAAAAAGAAAAAGAGGTTTAATTGACTCACGGTTCTGCAGGCTGTAAAGGAAGCATGGCTGGGGAGACCTCAGGAAACTTATACAATCATGGCGGAAGTGGAAGGGGAAGCAGGCACGTCTTACATGGCCAGAGCATGAGAAAGAGAGAGTGAAGGGGGATGTGCTACACACTTTTAAACAGCCATAACTCATGAGAACTCACTCACTGTTCTCACTTGCTGTTCAAGAGAACTCACTCACTCACTTGCTGTTCAAGAGAACAGCAAGGGGGAAGTCTGCAGTCAAGATCCAGTCACCTCCCACCAGGCCCCTCCTCCAACACTGAGGATTGCAATTCAACATGAGATTGGGGTGGGAACACAAGTCCAAACCATATTAGCATTTAAATACATACCTTAAGATAGACTTTCAGTACAATTGACTTGTGAGCAAGACAGGTTTGAACTGCATGGGTCCACTTACATGTGACTTTTCTTCTGCGTCTGCCACCCCTGAAACAGCAAGACCAAGACCAACACCTCCTCTTCCTCCTCCTCCTCCTCCTCAGTCTACTCAACATGAAGACAGTAGGGTGAAGACCTTTGATAATCCACTTCCACTTAATTAATAGTAAACATACTTTTTTAAAATGATTTTCTTAACATTTTCTTTTTTCTAGCTTGCTTTATTGTAAGAATGTAGTATATCATATATATATCATACAAGATATATGTTAATCAACTGTTTATGTTATGGTAAAGTTTCTGGTCAACAGTAGCTAAATAATAGTTAAGTTTTGGGAAGTCAAAACATATACACAAGTTTTCGATTGTGTTGGGGATCTGCACCCCTAAACCCTGTGTTGTTGAAGGGTTAACTGTACTTTAAAAAGTTATACCAGCCACTAATTTTTGGAGAGTCACTTGCTCTTGGAAAATCATGTTAAAGCTTTGAGTTCACTCCCTAGTAAAATGCATAAATATCCAGCCTTATAAAATGTGTTATGTGATTTCAAGAAGCCCACACATCTCCTGCATCCACCCCTGAATCCTCCAGAGAACCATGAGCCCCATGTTATGAAAGCTTGCACTGTATTTTGTGCTTTTAAATAAAAATGTACATATGTATTCTCTCATGAGACTGGAAATGGGGAAGAACATATAGAGGGTCTGTCTCTTGAGAGGTTTCTGCTCGGTAAGATTCAAGCCTTCTACCTTTGGTGGCACAAGTCAGTTGTAATCCACTCACAGAGACGCAGGCAGGCTTCTGCCAGATAGTCATCAGTCCAATGGAAAGTTATTTTTTGTTCAACTAGAAACAGTTCTGTTGCCAAAGCATTCAATTTCAAGACAGGAAGAAATCATCCATTTCACTGGTCTCCAAACTTTTAAAAATCACACCCCATCAGTAAAACATTTTGATCAAATTTTGCCAATAAGTATATATTTATCTACAATTTATACCCAGTCTGGGTGTGGTGGCTCATACCTGTAATTTCAGCACTTTGGGAGGCCAAGGCAGGAGGATGGCTTTGAGGTCAGGAGTTCAAGACCAGCCTGGCCAACATGGCAAAATCCTGTCTCTACAAGAAATACAAAAACTAGCCGGGTGTGGTGGCATGTGCCTGTAGTCCCAGCTACTCAGGAGGCTGAGGTGTGAGGATCGCTTGAGTCCAGGAGGTCAAGACTGCAGTGAGCCATGATCACACTACTGCACTCCAGTTTGGGTGACAGAGCAAGACCATGCCTCAAAAAATAAATAAAATAAAACTGATACCCATGTGCTCCTGTCGTTTTGTGCAAAATTAGAAAAGCACGATTTCAATCTTATTTTTAGGTTTAAAAATAGGTATCAATAGAAGTTTTAATATTTTCTCCACCCAGCTTAGTGGATTGTCTTGTGCACTCCCTAAGGTGCATGGATTCCTTTCTGGCAACCACTGCGCTAGGTGGAAATGGGAGCTGGGTAGATGTAGGTGCATTAATAAAACAGAGCCCTTGTGCTATGAAGGTGCCCTACAAGGTATCTATCGTATCCAAGGGAGAAACTAAGTGAAAGTATCACAGCTCATTTTTCACTTAATTTCCAAAGAAAGCCAACTATTACTACAGATTTATTTCATTAAGTACATTGCTTAGCAAGTCCATTAGCACTTAGTATGTACCAGGCACTGTTTTAGTAGCTTTACAAATACTGGCTCATTGAACGCTTTTAATAACCTTATAAAGTAAATGCTATCATTTTCCTAATAACATAATAGCATACGAACAATTTTCAATGGTGTTCTCAAGTTTGTTGAGTCAATGCCATGCTTCTTGGGGCTTGAACATTTGCCTAGAGAAGTGGAGATGGAAGCAGAATGGCTGCTGGTTGGTGACAGTAGCTGGGTGCAGGGGTATCAGGAGGCCAACCCGCCTGAGGGCTGGTTTCCTGCACCTTTGTGGCTGTCAGTTGCATCATGGGGTACAATCATATGCTAGCACCCAGGGACCAGGCGTAGTCCACGTCAGCAACCTTTGCAGTTGCTTTTTGTTGACTACCAAGGCAGCAACAGCTCCAATTTCCCGGAAGGAATCTGTGCTAAGGTTATTCTTCACCTTGAAGTGTTTAAGTGTGATTTTTTTTTTTTTTTTTTTTTTTGAGATGGAGTCTAGCTCTGTCACCCAGGCTGGAGTGCAGTGGCACGATCTCGGCTCACTGCAAGCTCTGCCACCCGGGTTCACGCATTCTCCTGCCTCAGCCTTCCGAGTAGCTGGGACTACAGGCGCCTGCCACCATGCCTGGCTAATTTCTTTTTGTATTTTTAGTAGAGACGGGGTTTCACCGTGTTGGCCAGGATGGTCTCGATCTGCTGACCTCGGGATCCACCCGACTCGGTCTCCCAAAGTGCTGATATTACAGGCGTGAGCCACCGCACCCGGCCTAAGTGTGATTTTAAAACAAGGGCCTGCACCAAAAGGCTTGATTTCATCTAAACTTCAGTGCGAGAGTCACTGGAAAAAGCTGTTTCTTTTATTTATTTTTTTGTTTAGAAGGCTCTTCTTGAATATAAAAACATGCTAAAGGAAGAGAAGAGTAATGAAACACAGCTGAACAATTCTCATTTTCAAAACCTCTCCTCCCATCACCTCACACAGGTCCCTGAACAGAGGCCATGCCTTCATATTCTTCCTTCATTCCCCAATTGCCTAGAAACATTCATTTCTAACTCCAGTTGATAGAATCAGTGGCACTAAAAAACTAGATGTCAATGGATGGGGTCTGCATACTTTTGTATCCTGAAATTGCTTTTCTCTTTGCCATTTATTCATGTAGCAAAGTCAGCTCTGTTTGTACATCCTAAGTTTTTAGCGTCCTTGTTTCAAATGGCATGCTGAGAGAATTAGTCAATGTGCTGAGATCCTTTGAGTTGTTTGAAGGGAATAAGTGACTGTCTCTCTTATTTTATTTTTCTTCATACCCCATATAGCGATAATATCAGGAAACGTGTGTGTGTGTGTGTGTGTGTGTGTGTGTGTGTGTAGTCTGTCCATAAAAGCAAAGACTTTGTTTTGGTCACTGTTAGGTCTCCCAGATCCTAAAAAAGTTTCTGGCACAGAAATGTCCTCAATAAATATTTGTCACAAGAATGGGTGGATAAGTTAATTTAATAACCATGAAGCATGTTGATTGTGATCAACACTGTCTTCCCAGATGTGCTTTATGGAAAAGCAAACCCTTCCCCTCAAAGGATTTGACCGAAATTATATGACTAAAGCACTACTGCCTTCACTATGATGTATATGAAAAAAATAGGAAATACAAGGCATGCTTATGGTGATGTGTTTTCCCGTCCAAAATATAGAGGCTCATTGGAAATCTGTCAGAACTTGAATGGCATACACAGCAGTTCTTTTGGCCTCTATTAAGTAGCAATATTTAGATGCCAAGAACCAAGAATTGAAAACTTTATAAAGTCAAAGGTAAATAAAGATTGAAGCAGACTAATTTATTCTTCAGAAATGAATTTTAAAGAAATATTTGACTGGTTTACATCATATTGTGTATTAATGGTGTATATATTTTTAGTCTCCTGTAAAAAGTTGTTGTTTTGATTTGTGTCAACAGGTTTGACATATAGAGAAGTGTTTCCCTCTGGTACTTTTCAGATAGGTTTTCTTTGATTTCTTAAGTGCTTTTTTTGAGCTCTTAATTACATGGATAGGAGATAGGTTGCCTTGATATTTTTACTATATAAATCTCTTGTCCTGAAGGAGGAAAATTGATTTTTAGGAAATTTACAATGAGCTATTGATGAAGAGTCACTATAAAATGAACTTCTTACGTATTTGATAGTTAAAGGGAAAGTAATACCAGCTGTGTAACCTCATGAAAAATTGGTCCTTGCAATTTTCATTATACAAATTAGCAATATAATCCCCTCTTCTATCAAATATGATGCCATCTACCTATTTAATTTTCTTAAAGCTTTCTACATTCAAATTACCTTAACAATGTAGCTATTTTATGCAAAATAAATAACTTTGGAATGTTTAAAAGAGAATAGCAAACTTATAAAGAGATTTTGAGTATTCATAGATTGACTTCCTTTTTTATCAAAGCCTGTGATTTGGAGGATTTTTATATTCTAGAAGCCAATGTGAGTAGATTTCGGATCTTGGAATTTAATAGCTGCACAAATCATTTATTTTCTAAGTTTTCATAATCGCAAGCCCTATTGCTACCTGAGGCAGAACAGGCATGACAATAAATTACTGAAATACTTTCCCCACAGATGCTGGTAGCAAAAATAGGATGGAATGAAATCTAGTTTTTATAATATAGACCAGTTAATTTAGCCTAGTGGTGAAAAACAGAAGGTGTAATGTCTAGGGATCATGTATTAAGTATTACTGCATAACAAACTCCAATGCTTACTGGCTTGAACAATTATTTATTAGAACTTACACATTTGTGGGTTGACTGGAGATCAGCTGGTCCAGTGGGGCTTGGTTTACCTCCACTGGGCATAGCTGATTGTGGCTGGGCTCCTTCCTGTGGTCTGGGGATTGGCTAACAGTTCTGCTCTGGGGCAGGCTTGGTGGGCAGCTCAACCCCATGTGTCTCTCATTCCTCCTGGGGCTGGTGGGCTCACTCACGCTTGTCTTTCTCATGGTGTTGGAAGCAGAAATCAAGAACTGGCCCCCCTTCACTTCTGCCTCCATCTATTACCCAAAGCAAGTCACAAGCCAAATTCACAATCCAGGGGTAAGGAAAATCGATTATGCCTCTTTTTTTTTTTTTTTTTTTGTCTCTTGTAAAAGGCTTTTTTTTCCTACACAGCCTAGCAGAGAAGAAAATTGGGTTGCTGTATTCCCACCCACAGAGCATTTTTGTTTTCCAATTATTTGTCCCTAGTGTTTAATGACATCTGCCCTTCCCATTCTATCAGGTATTGAATTTAAGGTGCATAATCTATAATAACTATCACATATTTTCCTCTTTTCATAAAGAAAGATTTTACCATGTGACTTTTACCAAAAATAAATGTGTGACTTTTTTGGCAAAAAAAAAAAAAAAAAAAAAAAGAGCAAAATATGTTTAAAGGGTCAATGCCTTCACATCCATATCCCTTATTTATCTAACAAAAACATCTTGGTTCCTTTTACTTCCTTAGCCCTTCCCCTTTTTGTTCTCAGTGTAGAAAGGCTATATAACCACTTTTTTCCTTGGAGTGATTTTTCCTTTCACAAGATTTTCATGACAATGGTTGCTGTTCCGAACTTCTGAAGACTAAGTTAGAACAATTGAAAAATGGTGTGAACTGTGTTTCATTTCATTCCTTTTTCTTTAAAGTAAAAGGAAGAATATCTAGTCATTGTTCATATTCCTACTATTGTCTCCTGGACTTTTAGATTAGAAAGGACGTTTTCATGCTGGTAACTCTATAGTTTAAATATAAACCTTTATTCTTTAAGCCTTTCAGTATTTGTTGATATAATATCATGATATAGTTATTGTTTCCATTTATTTTATGAAAACAAATTCTATCAGAAAGCAAAGACTCCCTGGGAGTCAATGTATGTATCAAAGAATTAGTGATGGACTAATATAATATTTACAAACACTCGGTGAAATATTTATCAAGTCATTTATTCAGTTCTCTGAGAAGCAAATCATTTGCCTTCCATATAGAAGATTATTTCTAAGGGCACTGCATAACTGAAGGGAGAAAACCATTTAAAAAAACTATTAGGTACATTATTATAATTATCAAAGACCACATTTTCAGCTATATCAATCATGCAGTTAAGAGTAATTTGTCTGGGTGCAGTGGCTTACACCTGTAATCTCAGCACTTTAAGAGGCCGAGGCGGACGGATCACTTGAGGTCAGGAGTTTGAGACCAGCCTGGCCAACAAGAAGAAACCCCATCTCTACTAAAAATACAAAAATTTGCCAGGCGTGGTCATGGGCACCTGTAATCCCACCTACTTGGAGACTGAGGCACGATAATCGCTTGAACCCAGGAGGCAGAGGTTGCAGTGAACCAAGATCATGCCACTGCACTCCAGCCTGGGCAACCCAATGTGACTCTGGTAAAATAATAATAATAATAATAATAATAATAATAATAATAACTTGACAAGTATAATTTCTGAACCAGTTTGCAAAAAAGAAACAGGGAAAAAATTGTGTTAATTGATGTTGAAGACAATTCTTCTAAACTTGACCACAAGGCTTTGTTGTTTTTCTAAGAAGAGTGCATAGTATTTCAAATTGTTCACATCATAAAGCAGTTAATTCTCCTAAGACATATGATTATTTTCTGAATGTGCATCAGCTTCCAGTTTGTTTTTTTCCCCAGTTTTAGAATTAGATTGTTATGATTAGCCTATAATCAGTATTTTTAACTTTCGAAATACATAATATTTCATTTTATGGAAACATATTTCAATATTGCTCTTGTTCTACAGTCTTCTTCTAGATCTAGCTGGAATGGCTAGCCTCAGGATTACCTGATGAGGTTCCCTATGTGGTTTGATTCAACCACATAAAATTTGTACCTAGCTCTTCCCTTCCCCCTTTGATCACAGTGCTTGTTATTTTAGCTGCAGTAATTAATTCCTTTGGCATGAATTCCGTATTGGTCACTTTTAGTATGCTTTGAAGGTGTGACATATCAAATCAGTAACATGAGTATCGATTACATTCAGATAACTTTACCACAGGGGTACAACTGCAGTAAAGAGAATTTGTGGGTAAGCAAGAAGGTTAGATTACCAAGAAGGTTTTTGAAACGGGTAAAAATGTGGGGCAAGCTAGCTTTCTTTACAGTTTCACCTACAGCTAAAATAACTTATGAGGAGAAGGAAGTGATCCCTGGTAACAAAACAAACAGAAACCTTGCCACAAAGCACCAACTAAGGCCCTGGGGATCCTTGCTTGGCCCAAAGGTCACCTGTGATGAATCTTCTGCTCCACTTTTTGCCTGCAAAGTTGGTCCTAGATCTAAAGGCCTGATTAGCAATAACTGGGCACATCATTCAAGGGCATCGTCTTTATTTCTGAAATTGCACTTGGTGAAATGTATTATTCTTTATTTATTCAGATAAATTGTGGAGCAAAAGGCTAAATGATTTGTTTTCATTTTGGAAGCCCATGTTGTTACATAGGCGCTTACTCTTTGGAGGTGTGTTAAATGTCATTCACAAAATAGTTATTTCAGGCCAGGTGTGGCGGCTCATGCCTGTAATCCCAGCACTTTGGGAGGCCAAGGCAGGAAGATTGCTTGAGATCAGGAATTCAAGACCAACCTGGGCAAAATAGATCTTGTCTCTAATTTAAAAATACAAATAAAATAAAGAAAATAGTTATTTCACATGGTTGTATCTATGTGTTTATGAGTTTGTTTTCCATGTGAGACTGTAAACTTCCTGGGAGACAGGGACAATGTTTTCTGTCCTCTTTGTAACCCTGCCTGGCTCATAGCAGGAACTCAGAATATGACTGCTGAAGATGGAAGAAAAGGTTTGAATGAACAATATTAGCAGGTTTGCTGGGCATCTCAAGATGCTACCATATATTATCAGTATTAATTTCTGATTGCTGTTGTAACAAATTACCACAAACTTACTGGGCTTGATTTTAGCTCATTGAGAACCAATTGAAAAGTGTCTTATTTAAAACTATCCTATATTTTATATTTAAACTATTTTATAGTTTTCGATTAGGTCCCAATGAGCTAAAGTCAAGTTGTCAGCAGGATTGTGTTCCTTATGGAGGCTCTAGAAGAGAATCTTTCCTTGCCTTTCCCACCTTTTAGAAGAAATCTGCATCCCTTGGCATATGGCCCTTTCCTGCAACTTCAGAGCCAGCCACGTGGCATCCTCAAATCTCCCTCTGACTCCAACTCATCCACCGTCCTCTTCTATTTACAAGTACCCTTGTGACTGTATTGGACCAGAATAATCCCCTCAACTCAGTGTCAGCCAGTGAGCAACCTCAACCCCACTGCAACTTAAATTCTTCTTTGTCATGTCACCTATTTAGAGATTTCAAGGATTAGGACACAATTTTGGGGGGCTATTCTGCCTACCACATTGTACTACCAACAGCACTTTTTAATGAAAGGGTTTTCTGTTAGGGTTTTTTTTTTTATTGTACTTTAAGTTTTAGGGTACATGTGCACATTGTGCAGGTTAGTTACATATGTATACATGTGCCATGCTGGTGCGCTGCACCCACTAACTCGTCATCTAGCATTAGGTATATCTCCCAATGCTATCCCTCCCCCCTCCCCCCACCCCACCACAGTCCCCAGAGTGTGATATTCCCCTTCCTGTGTCCATGTGATCTCATTGCTCAGTTCCCACCTATGAGTGAGAATATGCGGTGTTTGGTTTTTTGTTCTTGTGACAGTTTACTGAGAATGATGATTTCCAATTTCATCCATGTCCCTACAAAGGACATGGACTCATCATTTTTTATGGCTGCATAGTATTCCATGGTGTATATGTGCCACATTTTCTTAATCCAGTCTATCATTGTTGGACATTTGGCTTGGTTCCAAGTCTTTGCTATTGTGAATAATGCCACAATAAACATACGTGTGCATGTGTCTTTATAGCAGCATGATTTATAGTCCTTTGGGTATATACCCAGTAATGGGATGGCTGGGTCAAATGGTATTTCTAGTTCTAGATCCCTGAGGAATCGCCACACTGACTTCCACAAGGGTTGAACTAGCTTACAGTCCCACCAACAGTGTAAAAGTGTTCCTATTTCTCCACATCCTCTCCAGCACCTGTTGTTTCCTGACTTTTTAATGATTGCCATTCTAACTGATGTGAGATGGTATCTCATTGTGGTTTTGATTTGCATTTCTCTGATGGCCAGTGATGATGAGCATTTTTTCATGTGTTTTTGGCTGCATAAATGTCTTCTTTTGAGAAGTGTCTGTTCATGTCCTTCACCCACTTTTTGATGGGGTTGTTTGTTTTTTTTCTTGTAAATTTGTTTGAGTTCATTGTAGATTCTGGATATTAGCCCTTTCTCAGATGAGTAGGTTGCGAAAATTTTCTCCCATTAGGTAGGTCGCCTGTTCACTCTGATGGTAGTTTCTTTTGCTGTGCAGAAGCTCTTTAGTTTAATTAGATCCCATTTGTCAATTTTGTCTTTTATTGCCATTGCTTTTGGTATTTTGGACATGAAGTCCTTGCCCATGCCTATGTCCTGAATGGTAATGCCTAGGTTTTCTTCTAGGGTTTTTATGGTTTTAGGTCTAACGTTTAAGTCTTTAATCCATCTTGAATTGATTTTTGTATAAGGTGTAAGGAAGGGATCCAGTTTCAGCTTTCTACATATGGCTAGCCAGTTTTCCCAGCACCATTTATTAAATAGGGAATCCTTTCCCCATTGCTTGTTTTTCTCAGGTTTGTCAAAGATCAGATAGTTGTAGATATGTGGCGTTATTTCTGAGGGCTCTGCTCTGTTCCATTGATCTATATCTCTGTTTTGGTACCAGTACCATGCTGTTTTGGTTACTGTAGCCTTGTAGTATAGTTTGAAGTCAGGTAGTGTGATGCCTCCAGCTTTGTTCTTTTGGCTTAGGATTGCCTTGGTGATGCAGGCTCTTTTTTGGTTCCATATGAACTTTAAAGTAGTTTTTTCCAATTCTGTGAAGAAAGTCATTGGTAGCTTGATGGGGATGGCATTGAATCTGTAAATTACCTTGGGCAGTATGGCCATTTTCACGATATTGATTCTTCCTACCCATGAGCATGGAAAGTTCTTCCATTTGTTTGTATCCTCCTTTATTTCATTGAGCAGTGGTTTGTAGTTCTCCTTGAAGAGGTCCTTCACATCCCTTGTAAGTTGGATTCCTAGGTATTTTATTCTCTTTGAAGCAATTGTGAATGGGAGTTCACTCATGATTTGGCTCTCTGTTTGTCTGTTATTGGTGTATAAGAATGCTTGTGATTTTTGTACATTGATTTTGTATCCTGAGACTTTGCTGAAGTTGCTTATCAGCTTAAGGAGATTTTGGGCTGAGACGATGGGGTTTTCTAGATATACAATCATGTCATCTGCAAACAGGGACAATTTGACTTCCTCTTTTCCTAATTGAATACCTTTTGTTTCCTTCTCCTGCCTAATTGCCCTGGCCAGAACTTCCAACACTATGTTGAATAGGAGTGGTGAGAGAGGGCATTCCTGTCTTGTGCCAGTTTTCAAAGGGAATGCTTCCAGTTTTTGCCCATTCAGTATGATATTGGCTGTGGGTTTGTCATAGATAGCTCTTATTATTTTGAGATACATCCCATCAATACCTAATTTATTGAGAGTTTTTAGCATGAAGGGTTGTTGAATTTTGTCAAAGGCCTTTTCTGCATCTATTGAGATAATCATGTGGTTTTTGTCTTTGGCTCTGTTTATATGCTGGATTACATTTATTGATTTGTGTATATTGAACCAGCCTTGCATCCCAGGGATGAAGCCCACTTGATCATGGTGGATAAGCTTTTTGATGTGCTGCTGGATTCGTTTTGCCAGTATTTTATTGAGGATTTTTGCATCAATGTTCATCAAGGATATTGGTCTAAAATTCTCTTTTTTGGTTGTGTCTCTGCCCAGCTTTGGTATCAGAATGATGCTGGCCTCATAAAGTGAGTTAGGGAGGATTCCCTCTTTTTCTATTGATTGGAATAGTTTCAGAAGGAATGGTACCAGTTCCTCCTTGTACCTCTGGTAGAATTTGGCTGTGAATCCATCTGGTCCTGGACTCTTTTTGGTTGGTAGACTATTGATTATTGCCACAATTTCAGCTCCTGTTATTGGTCTCTTCAGAGATTCAACTTCTTCCTGGTTTAGTCTTGGGAGAGTGTATGTGTCGAGGAATTTATCCATTTCTTCTAGATTTTCTCGTTTATTTGTGTAGAGGTGTTTGTAGTATTCTCTGATGGTAGTTTTTATATCTGTGGGATCGGTGGTGATATCCCCTTTATCATTTTTTATTGTGTCTATTTGATTCTTCTCTCTTTTTTTCTTTATTAGTCTTGCTAGCGGTCTATCAATTTTGTTGATTCTTTCAAAAAACCAGCTCCTGGATTCATTAATTTTTTGAAGGGTTTTTTGTGTCTCTATTTCCTTCAGTTCTGCTCTGATTTTAGTTATCTCTTGCCTTCTGCTAGCTTTTGAATGTGTTTGCTCTTGCTTTTCTAGTTCTTTTAATTGTGATGTTAGGGTGTCAATTTTGGATCTTTCCTGCTTTCTCTTGTGGGCATTTAGTGCTATAAATTTCCCCCTACACACTGCTTTGAATGCGTCCCAGAGATTCTGGTATGTTGTGTCTTTGTTCTCGTTGGTGTCAAAGAACATCTGTATTTCTGCCTTCATTTCGTTATGTACCCAGTAGTCATTCAGGAGCAGGTTGTTCAGTTTCCATGTAGTTGAGCGGTTTTGAGTGAGATTCTTAATTCTGAGTTCTAGTTTGATTGCACTGTGGTCTGAGAGATAGTTTGTTATAATGTCTGTTCTTTTACATTTGCTGAGGAGAGCTTTACTTCCAAGTATGTGGTCTATTTTGGAATAGGTGTGGTGTGGTGCTGAAAAAAATGTATATTCTGTTGATTTGGGGTGGAGAGTTCTGTAGATGTCTATTAGGTCCGCTTGGTGTAGAGCTGAGTTCAATTCCTGGGTATTGTTGTTGACTTTCTGTCTCGTTGATCTGTCTAATGTTGACAGTGGGGTGTTAAAGTCTCCCATTATTAATGTGTGGGAGTCTAAGTCTCTTTGTAGGTCACTCAGGACTTGCTTTATGAATCTGGGTGCTCCTGTATTGGGTGCATATATATTTAGGATAGTTAGCTCTTCTTGTTGAATTGATCCCTTTACCATTATGTAATGGCCTTGTTTGTCTCTTTTGATCTTTGTTGGTTTAAAGTCTGTTTTATCAGAGACTAGGATTGCAACCCCTGCCTTTTTTTGTTTTCCATTAGCTTGGTAGATCTTCCTCCATCCTTTTATTTTGAGCCTATGTGTGTGTCTGCATGTGAGATGGGTTTCCTGAATACAGCACACTGGTGGGTCTTGACTCTTTATCCAATTTGCCAGTCTGTGTCTTTTAATTGGAGCATTTAGTCCATTTACATTTAAAGTTAATATGGTTATGTGTGAATTTGATCCTGTCATTATGATGTTAGCTGGTGATTTTGCTCGTTAGTTGATGCAGTTTCTTCCTAGTCTCGATGGTCTTTACATTTTGGCATGATTTTGCAGCGGCTGGTACCGGTTGTTCCTTTCCATGTTTAGCGCTTCCTTCAGGAGCTCTTTTAGGGCAGGCCTGGTGGTGACAAAATCTCTCAACATTTGCTTGTCTGTAAAGGATTTTATTTCTCCTTCACTTATGAAGCTTAGTTTGGCTGGATATGAAATTCTGGGTTGAAAATTCTTTTCTTTAAGAATGTTGAATATTGGCCCCCACTCTCTTCTGGCTTGTAGGGTTTCAATAAAAGGGTTTTCTATATGTACTGGATGACTGCATCTTTTTTCCATTTTACTATAAACCATGTAGAAGTATACAAATGGCACATAATTATTTTGAGAATGAGAGCCTCAGTATATAAATGAATCCCACTCAGCTTTCTTTCAGGCAAATTGTTTCCTTCTGCTTTATGTCTGTATAAATCATAAGGACCTGGCTGGGTGTGGTGGCTCACGCCTCTAATCCCAGCACTTAGGGAGGTCAAGGCAGGCAGTTCACTTGAGGTCAGGAGTTCGAGACCAGGCTGACCAACATAGTGAAAGCCTGTCTTTACTAAAAATACAAAAATTAGCCAAGCATGGTGGCTGGCACTTGTAATCGCAGCTATCTGGGAGGCTGAGGCAGAAGAATCACTTGAACCCGGGAGGCAGAGGTTGCAGCGAGTTGAGATCATGGCACTGCACTCCAGACTGAGACGACTCCTCAAAAAAAAAAAAAAAGGACTGCAGGAAGAACTCAGAAATCTGATGCAAATGAGAAAGCCCCATTTGAAACAAGTGTGAGCTTTGAAAATAAACCACGATTGTGTTTCAATAATAGCCCATTAAGAAAGGTTAATTTTACTTAAATCCCAGAACATTTTGATTTTCAGGAATGAACTTCAAACAATTACAATCTGTGGGGTAAACTTTTCAAACAAAATCTCAACATATTGTTCTGAGTAATACTATAAAAATATTTTCTAATTTAACATCAATTTTTTAAAGTAAAAAATCAGTAAGAAACCTATTTAAGCAAATAATAAGCAAACTGATAAACTTTTGAATTTACCAGAGAAAACCACAATGCTCAATTTTAGCTTATAAACTAATGAATACTAAATTGAGACCATTTCTGAGCAGAATGAACTTTGTTTTTCTTTTGTGGGAAATGGAAAGGGTACTAATTAAGAATATGAAACATTATCGTATAATGAAGCTGCTGAATTGCTCCAAATTTGTCCTGAGTTTTCTTAGCTTCAGGGCTGTGTTGGTAATTTTATTCTCTATCTTTTGTCCAAGAATCAGCCACCATCTGCCTCAAAGTAAGTTTACCTAAACTGGCACTTTTGCTATCATTCTAATGGTTTATTTATTTAACTAATGGATTCTGTCCTCATTACAGGCTGTTATATTAAAATTGTATTCTGAGTCCAGAAAGAAATATATTGTATTCCAAAAATGTTAAGACTATCTTTTGGGTCTTTTCAGACTGCTGTCTTTCTACATCTATATAAACAAAATTAAATACCACAAGTTAAGAGAGAAAACCCTTAATGTAAACCTCTTCTATTTTGAATTTTAAAAAGATGAAAATTAGGGGAAAGAAAAGAAATTTAGCCCATGCTCTCCTGGCCGAGTCTGAGTTCTACAAATATGCTCATAAAATAATTCGTGATCGCAACCTACATTCCCCTACCCAACTATTGAATATCAAAGCTCTATCTCCTGGATTTTTCCCTAAGAGTCAAAGACAAGATAGTAGCAGTACCTGCCCAATGGGGGTGTTCTCTGCTTCTAAATGACTTGTGTCATGTGAGGCTCCTTCTAGAGTAAACTCTGTGCATGGGTTTGCATCTTCCTGGATTTTATCTTTAGAATGTGCTTCTAACTTGGTTCTGATATTATTGCCAATTTCCTCCTAAGATTGGGTCATTTTTGGATCTAGGTCTGGTGATTAGACCCTGACTTCCTATCTAAATCCTGATAGCTTTCTTCCCCAAGGGACTTCAGCCTCTAACCTCCTCTCCTGTCATTGCATCCCTTCAGGGTAATTTCTCTTTTGGAAAATTAAAGAGTGATCTGTCTGATACTGAGCACCAAGATTTCCCAGGGACTCCTTCTTTTTGTCTTCCTCCCTGGATAAGGTGCAAGAGAATTCCTTCTCCTGGATGGTGGAAGAGGGGAGAGGCCACATGAGTAAAGAGAGGACAACCCTGGGCATAATTAAGGTTTACTTCAAATCACTTTCTTAACGTACAGACTTGCTGCCAACAGTTGAAATTCACTGACTAAACATTTCTTCTGGCTTAGGAGTGGGAGGCAGTAGGGAAGGAGCTACACTAAATTCCTGCTCCATTCCCAGTATCTACATTCTCCATTGCCTGCCAATCCCCAGTGAAAGCAAATGCTTTAAACACTTCCAGTTCATAAGGTGCAGGTTAAATCTTCTAAGAAGCAGAAGGATTCTCAAATAACAAGCAATTATTCAGCATATCCACACTACTTAGAACAACAGAATGATATGATAGTTGATTTTTAGCATTTTGCTTATACTGGGACTTGTTCTCCCTTTAAATGAAATGTCACTAATCCAGTTTAATTACTCCCGGTAGTGTGAGTTATAGGAAAATGCAGCAAAAAGAATGTGACTCTGTGACCCATTTTCCCATTGTTTGTGTTTCATAAAGGCAAGAGATTTGATTTTTCATTTTGATTAACTTTTAGCGTGATTTCATTCATTATTTTATTTTCTTGGCTAATGTAACTGAAGCACCAAATACAGAAGTGGCAAAAATATATCTTAAACGTCTTTTTTCACAGCATTGTTGAGGTTTAAGTGACATGAAATACAATTTCATAAATGTCGATATGTGCATAAACCCATAAGACCATATCCACAATCAAGATAATCAACATTTTTTACTCTAGGCTGTGTTTAGAATGCTCACAGAACATTACCTAAAAAAAGTGGGGCCCAAAGCCTCCCGGTTCTGAAGTACGGCTTGGACTACAGCAGAAAGCCTTGGCCTGTGGGGACAGTGTGCGCTTTGGGCACTTTTTGGAGGAAGAAGCTGTGAACTGCTATTATTGGCATTCCTGGTCTCAGGTATCGGAGAAGTTTTCCACTTTGTAAAGGTAAAGATGAACTGAAATGGGAACACAGAAGTCTTTTCTTCCAATCTTCACTATTTAATGGGAGTCACTTCAACTCAGGCAACTAAAATGAAGCATAAACTCAAGCCCACTGGGTATTCTGTGCTTTGGTTGATGTGTTCCTGGGATCCACAGATGGGGGCAGAGCACCTGCCTGGGCCCAGAACCAGGGAAGGCCATGGAGACACAGGTATGGTGAAGCATAGATGGGGCTAGAAGCCTCAAGTGAGTTCTGGCTCTTCCCATTCTCTCACTAGATTTGGAATAAACATGATGTACAGTGAAATCTGACCCACTCACCTCCCCAGGCTCACCTCCCACCACCCTCTCTGGTATCCAGCTCACAGACTCCTTCAGTTCCTAGGAAGTGCCAAGGGTTCTTGCTCCACAACTCCTTCCTGCCCACTGTCTCCTGTAATGCACTCATTTCCCTTCTTAACTTGGCTCACTCCTATTCAGCCTTCAGTTCTCCCTGAAACTTCATGTGTTCAAGAGGCCTTTCCTTATTCCCCAGGTGAAATTTAGCTTCACTGCTATCTCTTCTCATAGCATCACTTACCTTTCTATACTGGGACTTGGAGTTTCTGCCTACATATGTGTATAATTCTTTATTTTCCACCTACTGCCACTCTTCCTTTTTTCATCCACCCACCCAGCCACCCTCAACGCAAGCTTCATGAGGACCAGGCAAGTTTTGTTTACTGAACTAGTCTGTTCTCACACTGCTAATAAAGACATACCAGAGGCTGGGTAATTTATAAAGGAAAGAGGTTTAATGGATTCACAATTCCACACAGCTGAGGAGGTCTTACAATCATGGCAGAAGGTGAAAGAGGAGCAAAGTCATGTCTTACATGGTGGCAGGCAAGAGAGCATGTGCAGGGTACTCCACTTTATAAAATCATCAGATCTCGTGAGACTTATTCACTATCATGAGAACAGCATGGGAAAAACCTGCCCCCATGATTGATTTACCTCCCACCGGTCCCACACACAATATGGGATTATTACAATTCAAGGTAGGATTTGGGTAGGGTCACATAGCCAAACCATATCATTCACTGTTGTGTCATCAGCACTGGCTGATGTGTCTGACTCTTAATAAGTGCTCAACAATGTTATTTTGCTCCTTCCGCTCTTGCCTGCATTCTCTGTCCCTTACAATCCATTCTCCATTCATTCACCTAATGCAGCAGAGTTAGGACTCTAAGATATGCAGTTGATCTCTCATTTGCTCACTCAAAAGCTTGGAAAGACTTCTAATGGCCTAAAGGGTAAAATCTGAATTATAATGTAGCAGGGTGTTCAAAACTCTTCACAACCTGAACTGGGGAGTTTTATTATTATTATTAAATATGTTTATTAAGCATACACTCTGCACCAGGCACTGTGTAGTCCCTAGGAATTCATCAGCAGACAAAACAAAGATTCCTGCTTTTGGTAGGTGGAGACAGAAGAAATAAATACTTTTTATGGAGTGGCAGAAGGAGATACATGCTGTGGCAATAAGGAGAAGTTGAGCAGGAAAAGTTGAGTAGGGTGTGGGTGAAGGGGAATGTTAACGGGTTCAGGGAAGATTGTAATTTTAAATAGGATGGTCAATGTAGGTCTAATTGAGGGGGTGTTTGAGCAAAACTTGAAAAAAAGTGAAGGAGTCCTCTGATTTCTGTGGAATGGCTTCTAGGAAGAGAAAACAGCCAGTGTAAATGCTGTAAGGTAGGAGCGTGCCTGGTGTGTTGGAAGAACACCAAGAAGGTCAATGTGGCCTGAGCAGAGTGAATCAGGGGGTGAGGATTAGGAAATAAGGCCAGAAAGGCAACAAGAATCAGGTAAGAATGACAGCCATTGTAACAACTTAGACCATCACTTTGAAGAGCATGGGGAACCATCGCAGAATATTGAGCAGATAAATGATGTAGTCTGATCTAAGTTTTAAATGCATTTTCCTAACCACTCCGCTGAGTTCCTCTGCAGATAACTGGGGAACTAAGATGAAAGAAGGAGGCAAGTCCATGGCCACTGCAGTAATCTGGGAGGCTTGGACCAGGATGGGAAGTGTGGAGATCTGCCTGGGTGCTGTTCATTCCTCACCATGGTCAGCCTGCTGTGTACATGGGCAGAGCAGCTTTCTATTTGGAGAAAAGCCATAAGCCAAAGAGTACAGACACTGGCAGATGGAAGGTGGACTAAAGGGGAAAGGCCCAAGGAACATGACCAGGGCATTTAAACAACATGTACATTGAGGTGTCTTGAAATAAAGAAAGCATCCAGTAAAGAAAGCATGTTCTAGGAGAGTAGGACAGTGGATGGACTAGTGCAAGATGGAAAGATTGCTGAGTCAGTTAAGGTTCAGAGACATGAGAGTAAAGTCTGTTAGTGTGGCTATGAGCTTTGCTACAGCCAAGTTCAACTGCATGGGTGTCGCACGGACTGGGCAGGGAATTGACAGAATGTGCACCAGTAGTGATTATAGCAATTGCCCATGAAACTTAACCCAAGTAAGATGAAGAGAGATGGCATCAGAAAGACAAGAGAGAATGGGAGATGATAGGATCAACGGAAAGCTCTTAGGGGTCACAGGACTGGATGAACTGAGGCACCAGGAGGGGTGAGCTGAGAAGGTAGCAAGTTTTGGTCAGAGTAGAGTAAGTGAAATCGAGATTAGAGATGGGTGGAGACTACTGAATAAATTCTAGAATATGACCATGAGAACGAGGAGTGGAGGGAATGTGGAGGACAGATCACTGGCAGAGAAGAGCTCAAGGAACAGAGAAGCCTGGATGTTAGGAGGATCATCTATGAGAACATTGGAATTTCCAAGAATGAAGCTATTCTTGCGATATTATAGAGAGTGACAATGAGCCAGATGCTAAAATTGTCAAGAAATGAGGGGAAATGTCCTAGAGTGAGTAGTAGAGTAGTGGGTGATATAATTTAAAGACTCTAGAGCCAGAGCTAGATTATTAGCTTAATTTCTTACCATTCTTCCCCATCCAAACTATAACCATGAATTAAAACAGACATCTTTTTTTTTTTTTTTTTTCCTGAGATGGAGTCATGCTCTGTCGCCCAGGCTGGCGTGCAGTGCCGGGATCTCGGCTCACTGCAAGCTCCACCTCCCGGGTTCACACCATTCTCCTGCCTCAGCCTCCCAAGTAGCTGGGACCACAGGTGTGTGCTACCATGCCAGGCTTTTTTTTTTTTTTTTTTTGTATTTTTAGTAGAGACGGGGTTTCACCGTGTTAAACAGGATGGTCTCGATCTCTTGACCTCGGGATCTGCCCGCCTTGGCCTCCCAAAGTACTGGGATTACAGGCGTGAGCCACCATGCCCAGCCAGAAACAGACATCTTTTGAGAATTTACTCTGAGGTAGGCTCCCCTGTGCCACCAGGTACTTTACATGAATGACCTCAATCCTCTTAACCTAAGAAACAAGTATTATTATTATGATTCTGATCTTACACTTAATGGTACCAAATAAAGGAGTGGCTACGTAACTTCCCAGTGTCACACAACTACAGTAATGAGGAGAGCCAGGATTCAAAACTAGGCATGGCTCCGCTAATCACAATCTTAGCTGTTACACTTTAATGCCTTTCTCAACTAAGACCTCGGTAAACAGAACCATTAGAACAAGTCATAGGCTGGATAATACAACAAAATTAAAGTTGATGTTCTCTAGGGCAGTGCTACCCAAGTGTAATCCATGGACCAACAGCATCAGCATCACCTACGATCTATCCAGAAACACAAATTCTCACCCCCAACACCAGATCCCAGGAATTAGAATCCCAGGAGCAGGACTCAGGAATCGCTGTTGTACAAATCCCACCAGGTGATTCTAATGCATTCTAAATGAGAAGCCCTGTAGGAACTCTTCACAAGTATAACACCTTGAGTATGGATATGACATAACATGAAATTCAAAGCAGGCATGACCTCCTTGCCATTTTATATCTATTTCATTATCTGATCTGACCCTGATTTTAAGAAATCAAACCAGTCATCCTTCTGTGTACAGTTAGACTTCTTTTTTTATTTTTTTATTTTATTATTATTATACTTTAAGTTTTAGGGTACATGTGCACAATGTGCAGGTTTGTTACATATGTATACATGTGCCATGTTGGTGTGCTGCACCCACTAACTCATCATTTAGCATTAGGTATATCTCCTAATGCTATCCCTCCCCCCTTCCCCCACCCCACAACAGTCCCCAGTGTGTGATGTTCCCCTTGCTGTGTCCATGCATTCTCATTGTTCAATTCCCACCTATGAGTGAGAACATGCGGTGTTTGGTTTTTTGTCCTTGTGGTAGTTTGCTGAGAATGATGGTTTCCAGTTTCATCCATGTCCCTACAAAGGACATGAACTCATCATTTTTTATGGCTGCATAGTATTCCATGGTGTATATGTGCCACATTAGCTTAATCCAGTCTATCCTTGGACATTTGGGTTGGTTGGACATTTGGGTTGGTTCCAAGTCTTTGCTATTGTGATTAGTGCCACAATAAACATACGTGTGCATGTGTCTTTATAGAAGCATGATTTATAATCTTTTGGGTATATACCTAGTAATGGGATGGCTGGGTCAAATGGTATTTCTAGTTCTAGATCCCTGAGGAATTGCCACACTGACTTCCACAATGGTTGAACTAGTTTACAGTCCCACCAACAGTATAAAAGTGTTCCTATTTCTCCACATCCTCTACAGCACCTGTTGTTTCCTGACTTTTTAATGATTGCCATTCTAACTGGTGTGATATGGTATCTCATTGTGGTTTTGATTTGCATTACTCTGATGGACAGTGATGATGAGCATTTTTTCATGTGTTTTCTGGCTGCATAAATGTCTTCTTTTGAGAAGTGTCTATTCATATCCTTCACCCACTTTTTGATGGGGTTGTTTGTTTTTTTCTTGTAAATTTGTTTGAGTTCATTGTAGATTCTGGATATTAGCCCTTTGTCAGATGAGTAGGATGCAAAAATTTTCTCCCATTTTGTAGGTTGCCTGTTCACTCTGATGGTAGTTCCTTTTGCTGTTCAGAAGCTCTTTAGTTTAATTAGATCCCATTTGTCAATTTTGGCTTTTGTTGCCATTGCTTTTGGTGTTTTAGACATGAAGTCCTTGCCCATGCCTATGTCCTGAATGGTATTGCCTAGGTTTTCTTCTAGGGTTTTTATGGTTTAAGTTGAACATGTAAGTCTTTGATCCATCTTGAATTAATTTTTGCATAAGGTGTAAGGAAGGGATCCAGTTTCAGCTTTCTACATATGGCTAGCCAGTTTTCCCAGCACCATTTACTAAATAGGGAATCCTTTCCACATTGCTTGTTTTTGTCAGGTTTGTCGAAGATCACATGGTTGTAGATATGCGGCATTATTTCTGAGGGCTCTGCTCTGTTCCATTGATCTATATCTCTGTTTTGGTACCAGTACCATGCTGTTTTGGTTACTGTAGCCTTGTAGTATAGTTTGAAGTCAGGTAGTGTGATGCCTCCAGCTTTGTTCTTTTGGCTTAGGATTGACTTGGCGATGAGGGCTCTTTTTTGGTTCCATATGAACTTTAAAGTAGTTTTTTCCAATTCTGTGAAGAAACTCATTAGTAGCTTGATGGGGATGGCATTGAATCTATAAATTACCTTGGGCAGTATGGCCATTTTCATGATATTGATTTTTCCTACCCATGAGCATGGAATGTTCTTCCATTTGTTTGTATCCTCTTTTATTTCCTTGAGCAGTGGTTTGTAGTTCTCCTTGAAGAGGTCCTTCACATCCCTTGTAAGTTGGATTCCTAGGTATTTTATTCTCTTTGAAGCAACGGGAGTTCACTCATGAGTGAATGGGAGTTCACTCATGATTTGGCTCTCTGTTTGTCTGTTATTTGTGTATAAGAATGCTTGTGATTTTTGTACATTGAATTTGTATCCTGAGACTTTGCTAAGGTTGCTTATCAGCTTGAGGAGATTGTGGGCTGAGACAATGGGGTTTTCTAGATATACAATCATGTCATCTGCAAACAGGGACAATTTGACTTCCTCTTTTCCTAATTGAATACCTTTTGTTTCCTTCTCCTGCCCGATTGCCCTGGCCAGAACTTCCAACACTATGTTGAATAGGAGTGGTGAGAGAGGGCATCCCTGTCTCGTGCCCATTTTCAAAGGGAATGCTTCCAGTTTTTGCCCATTTAGTATGATATTGGCTGTGGGTTTCTCATAGATAGCTCTTATTATTTTGAGATACATCCCATCAATACCTAATTTATTGAGAGTTTTTAGCATGAAGGGTTGTTGAATTTTGTCAAAGACCTTTTCTGCATCTATTGAGATAATCATGTGGTTTTTGTCTTTGGTTCTGTTTATATGCTGGATTACATTTATTGATTTGCATATGCTGAACCAGCCCTGCATTCCAGGGATGAAGCCCACTTGATCATGGTGGATAAGCTTTTTGATGTGCTGCTGGATTCGGTTTACCAGTATTTTATTGAGGATTTTTGCATTAATGTTCATCAATGATATTGGTCTAAAATTCTCTCTTTTGGTTGTGTCTCTGCCAGGCTTTGGTATCAGGATGTTGGCCTCATAAAGCGAGTTAGGGAGGATTCCCTCTTTTTCTGTTGATTGGAATAGTTTCAGAAGGAATGGTAAAAGCTCCTCTTTGTACCTCTGGTAGAATTCGGCTGTGAATCCATCTGATCCTGGACTTGTTTTGGTTGGTAAGCTATTGATTATTGCCTCAATTTCAGAGCCTGTTATTGGTCTATTCAGAGATTCAACTTCTTCCTGGTTTAGTCTTGGGAGGATGTATGTGTCAAGGAATTTATCCATTTCTTGTAGATTTTCTAGTTTATTTGTGTGGAGGTGTTTGTAGTATTCTCTGATGGTAGTTTGTATTTCTGTGGGATTGGTGGTGATATCCCCTTTATCATTTTTTATTGTGTCTATTTGATTCTTCTCTCTTTTCTTCTTTATTAGTCTTGCTAGCGGTCTATCAATTTTGTTGATCTTTTCAAAAAACCAGCTCCTTGTATTCATTGATTTTTGAAGGGTTTTTTGTGTCTCTATTTCCTTCAGTTCTACTCTGATCTTAGTTATTTCTTGCCTTCTGCTAGCATTTGAATGTGTTTGCTCTTGCTTTTCTAGTTCTTTTAATTGTGATGTTAGGGTGTCAATTTTAGATCTTTCCTGCTTTCTCTTGTGGGCATTTAGTGCTATAAATTTCCCTCTACACACTGCTTTGGATGTGTCCCAGAGATTCTGGTATGTTGTATCTTTGTTCTCGTTGGTTTCAAAGAACATCTTTATTTCTGCCTTCATTTCGTTATGTACCCAGTAGTCATTCAGGAGCAGGTTGTTCAGTTTCCATGTAGTTGAGCGGTTTTGAGTGAGTTTCTTAATCCTGAGTTCCAGTTTGATTGCACTGTGGTCTGAGAGACATTTTGTTATAATTTCTGTTCTTTTACATTTGCTGAGGAGAGCTTTACTTCCAAATATGTGGTCAATTTTGGAGTAGGTGTGGTATGGTGCTGAAAAAAATGTATATTCTGTTGGTTTGGGGTGGAGAGTTCTGTAGATGTCTATTAGGTCAGCTTGGTGCAGAGCTGAGTTCAATTCCTGGGTAGCCTTGTTAACTTTCTGTCTTGTTGATCTGTCTAATATTGACAGTGGGGTGTTAAAGTCTCCCATTATTATTGTGTGGGAGTCTAAGTCTCTGTATAGGTCACTGAGGACTTCCTTTATGAATCTGGGTGCTCCTGTATTGGGTGCATATATATTTAGATAGTTAGCTCTTCTTGTTGAATTGATCCCTTTACCATTATGTAGTGGCCTTCTTTGTCTCTTTTGATCTTTGTTGGTTGAAAGTCTGGTTCATCAGAGATTAGGAATGCAACCCCTGCCTTTTTTTGTTTTCCATTTGCTTGGTAGATCTTCCTCCATCCCTTTATTCTGAGCCTATGTGTGTCTCTGCACATGAGATGGGTTTCCTGTATATAGCACACTGATGGGTCTTGACTCTTGATCCAATTTGCCAGTCTGTGTCTTTTAATTGGAGCATTTAGCCCATTTACATTTAAAGTTAATATTGTCATGTGTGAATTTGATCCTGTCATTATGATGTTAGCTGGTTATTTTGCTCATTAGTTGATGCAGTTTCTTCCTAGCCTCGATGGTCTTTACATTTTGGCATGTTTTTGCAGTGGCTGGTACCGGTTGTTCCTTTCCATGTTTAGTGCTTCCTTCAGGAGCTCTTTTAGGGCAGGCCTGGTGGTGACAAAATCTCTCAGCATTTGCTTGTCTGTAAAGTATTTTATTTCTCCTTCATTTATGAAGCTTAGTTTGGCTGGATATGAAATTCTGGGTTGAAAATTATTTACTTTAAGAATGTTGAATATTGGCCCCCCTCTCTTCTGGCTTGCAGAGTTTCTGCTGAGAGATCAGCTATTAGTCTGATGGACTTCCCTTTGTGGATAACCCGACTTTTCTTTCTGGCTGCCCTTAACATTTTTTCATTCATTTCAACTTTGGTGAATCTGACAATTATGTGTCTTGGAGTTGCTCTTCTCAAGGAGTATCTTTGTGGCCTTCTCTGTATTTCCTGAATCTGAATGTTGGCCTTCCTTGCTAGATTGGGGAAGTTCTCCTGGATAATATCCTGCAGAGTGTTTTCCAACTTGGTTCCATTCTCCCCGTCACTTTCAGGTACACCAATCAGATGTAGATTTGGTCTTTTCACATAGTCCCATATTTCTTGGAGGCTTTGTTTGTTTCTTTTAATTCTTTTTTCTCTAAACTTCCCTTCTCACTTCATTTCATTCATTTCGTCTTCCATCACTGATACCCTTTCTTCCTGTTGATCCCATCAGCTCCTGAGGCTTCTGCATTTTTCACGTAGTTCTCCAGCCCTGGCTTTCAGCTCCGTCAGCTCCTTTAAGGACTTCTCTGCATTGGTTATTCTAGTTATCCATTCGTCTAATTTTTTTTTTTCACAGTTTTTAACTTCTTTGCCATTGGTTTGAATTTCCTCCTGTAGCTCGGAGTAGTTTGATCATCTGAAGCCTTCTTCTCTCAACTCATCAAAGTCATTCTCCATCCAGCTTTGTTCTGTTGCTTGTGAGGAGCTGCATTCCTTTGGAGGAGGAGAGGCACTCTGCTTTTTAGAGTTTCCAGTTTTTCTGCTCTGTTTTTTCCCCATCTTTGTGGTTTTATCTACTTTTGGTCTTTGACGATGGTGTAGTACAGGAGGGTTTTTGGTGTGGATGTCCTTTCTGTTTGTCAGTTTTCCCTCTAACAGACAGGACCCTCAGCTGCAGGTCTGTTGGAGTTTGCTAGAGGTCCACTCCAGACCCTGTTTGCCTGGGTATCAGCAGTGGTGCCTGCAGAACAGCGGTGGGTGTAGAACAGCGGAACTTGGTGAACCGCAAATGCTGCTGCTTGATGGTTCCTCTGGAAGTTTTGTCTCAGAGGAGTACCCGGCCATGTGAGGTGTCAGTCCACTCCTACCGGGGGGTGCCCCCCTGTTAGGCTGCTCGGGGGTCAGGGACCCAATTGAGGAGGCAGTCTGCCTGTTCTCAGATCTCCAGCTGCTTGCTGGGAAAACCACTACTCTTTTCAAAGCTGTCAGACCGGGACATTTAGGTCTGCAGAGGTTACTGCTGTCTTTTTGTTTGTCTGTACCCTGCTCCCAGAGGTAGAGCCTACAGAGGCAGGCAGGCCTCCTTGGGCTGTGGTCGGCTCCACCCAGTTCGAGCCTCCCGGCTGCTTTGTTTACCTAATCAAGTCTGGGCAATGGCAGGCGTCCCTCACCCAGCCTCGCTGCTGCCCTGCAGTTTGATCTCATAGTACTGTGCTAGGAATCAGTGAGACTCCCTGGGCATAGGACGAGCTGAGCCAGGTGCGGGATATAAACTCCTGGTGTGCAATTTTTTTAGCCCTTTGGAAAAGCGCAGTATTAAGGTGGGAGTGACCCGATTTTCCAGGTGCCGTCTGTCACCCCTTTCTTTTACTAGGAAAGGAAACTCCCTGACCCCTTGTGCTTCACGAGTGAGGTGATGCATCACCCTGCTTCGGTTCGCACACAGTGCGCTGCACCCACTGTCCTGCACCCTCTGTCTGGCACTCCCTAGTGAGATGAACCTGGTACCTCAGATGGAAATGCAGAAATCACCCGTCTTCTGCGTCGCTCGTGCTGGGAGCTGTAGACCAGAGCTGTTCCTATTCGGCCATCTTGGCTCCACCCTGTGTCCCAGTTAGACTTCTTAATCCACATTATGCTATTAATGAAGACTGAATATAGGAAAGAAGAAAATGGTGTATGAGACAGATGAGGAGTTTGACCTCAGATGTGTTAAATGAGAGACATCTTCAGAGTCCTGGGGAATTTTGTAGGAATCAGTTGGAAATAGAGGTCCCTGGTTTGGTAGTGAGGTCAGGTCTTTGAAAATAGATTTAGGAATGATGAGCCCACACTAATTGAAGCTGTGATTTCAGATGAGGTCATCTAGGTAGAAACCAGAGAGAAAGAACAGAAAAAAAATGAGGCCAACAGAGCAGTGAACACTAACATTTGAGAGATGGGCTGAGAGGGAGTAGACTGCAAACATCTGAGAAGAAATCACATCAGATATAGGAGAAGAAGAAAGTGCTGTTTTAGAACTCAAAAGAAGAAATTTCAAGGAGGAAGGTATGGATAACAATGCTAAGTCTCAGAGATCAGTGGACTGAAAACTGAAAACAGCAATTTGATGGTCTTTGGTGGTAACTATTATCAGAGAGTAGAAAGGACTGCAATATGTTGAGGAGTTAATAAAATATGAAAGCATGTCTTCAACAGTTTTTCAGGAACTACAGTGGCAAAGGGAAGAAAGTGAGTAGAGTGCTGGTCTGAGAAGGAGAAGGATGAAGGGAGACATTTTTAAGTAAAGTAAGCTTGAAAATGTTTATAGGTTGAAAGAAGGAGACAGAGGAGAGACAGAGTAAGGATGTAGGAAACAAGATTTATATTTTTTTGAGACTTGATCTTATAAAATTCTAAGCACTTTTTGTTCACTAGACCCATAAGAAATATTTAATAGATGAATGAAATAATGGTTGGGATACAGTACATTTCAGAAAGAAAAGGAATACCTCTTCTGTTAAGAAAGGTTCTAGTTCCCTTCAAGATGTACCCACTTCTCCAGCCATTGTGTACCTGTTCACTCCAAGAGCTCCATACCCTCCCCAAAATATGTTGTGCCTTCACTATCTCTTCACATTTGACTTTACGGTTTTACTGCTTTCTAAATTGTCCTTTCACCCACTCATCCTGCAAGAGTTATTGCCAATGTCATTTCCATCATGAAGCCTGCTTTTCTGTAAGGCAGAATCCATCATGGCCTCCCAAAGGCCACTACAACCTTGTGTTCTTATGCTTTCTGGAGCATTTAGCAAATTCATTACCATTACACTGTATGCTTGTCTGAATTCCCCTCACTGGACTGGAAGCAAACCTTGTATCTGCCTGTATCAAGCTCCTAGAACAGTGCTCAGGACATAGGAGGCAGTGAAAGACCATTTACTAAATGAATGAGTGAAAAAACTATTGAATATTGCTTTTCCAAAGCTAGATAAATTTTTACGAAGTTCAATTTTAAAAAATCAGCCTATAGGTTAGTCTCAGGAAATATATAGGCCCATTTGAAGGTGTTGAAATGTCAAACCCTAGAGCAATGAGAATTATGGTCACTCAATTAAAGTTACAAAAGGATTTTAATTAGCTCTGCTCTAACATAAGCACAGTAACAAAGTGAGACAATAGTCCAACACCTCTCAGAAACAGAAATGTGGGACTTGGATAATTTACAGATTGAACAATTAGAATTTTTCTAAATACATTCAATAACCAAAAAAAAAAAAAAAACCCTTCTGTTATTATTGCCTGATACCAAGGCAACATTGATTGAGGTAAAAGATGTACCAGCTGCAATCAGAACCATGTTGACAGGTATTTATAAACACACTGACACTGAAGGCATCTCCTGATAGCTTTTCAAATTAAGATATTTTGTTATTGCTGATGCATCAGATAGAATTTTTTTTTTGCCTCTCCAGCAGCCATTTCCATTCTCCCTCCCTTGGTAGCTTACAACCAGTTTTGTCCAAACCTTTGCCACCTTGTGCTTCATGGGAGCTGATGTCTTCACAGCCCTAGATAATGAATCTTAATTAACATTAGTCAGTCATGGGAAGTCTATTATTCTATCCAGTGGTTGGCCTACGGAAAGGCAGACAACAGAATTCTGGCCAATGAGACAGAAGGAATTATCTTCTTCTCATTCTTGCAAGGAATCTGAGAAAAGGGCCTACTTTCTTCCATTCTTTGGACACGTGTGAAGATGTGATGCTTGGATCTGTGGTAGCCATATTGTGGCAGCCATATTTTAAGCAGGAGGTGGTAGCCATACTGTGACCAGGAAGTGACAAGTCTGAGTGCAAAAGCCAATGCAATGACAAAAGAGAAGGGTGGAAAGAACTGAGTCCCTGGTGGTGTATTTGAGCTACTGAATCAACCAACGCTGTGAGGGCCTTACTGGTAGACTCTAAAAAAAAAAAAAAAAAAAGAAGATAATAAGTAAAGTTCCTGTATTGGTTCAGCCACTTGAATTTTGTCCTCCATAACCTTCAGCTGAATTCATCCTAAGTGAAGCTATTGATTTCAAGATTTAAGGAGAGCTTTTCCAGCATTACAGGCTACTTTAATGTTATACTTTACTGTGACTTCTCAAGCTACTGTTAAAAGATGTTGTAAATTCTGTTACTGATTTTTAAAGATGAAAATGCCCAGGCTAATAAGAAATGATATCAAGTGCAAATTTCTTTATTCAGTATAGATTTATTTTTTAAAAATAAGCACTCTTGAGAATTTGACCTGGTTAACGTTACCTCTCCAAACCACAGACAAGCTTTTTTTTTTTTTTTTTTTTTTTTTTTTTTTAATAGCTTTCAGTTCCAGACCCGACCTACTATCATGATTGATGACAGAGGATTTTTCTAGCATACTTGCTTTGTGGGTCACATGAGCTGAAGAAATTTCCACATCGGCTTTCATTTTGAAATATGTTGCAGGAAGAATGTGGCAAGTGTTTTCAGCTATTCTTACTTGTATATATTTAACACCCATTTTAGAAAAGATATATTTAGTAATTCCAACTTATTTATGACTGAAAGAATAATGATAGTGAGAATAATTATTCTGACTTTAGTAAATATTTGTTGGATACTTGTAATGTACCAGGGATTCCAGGGAGGAAGTGTAACATAATGCCAAAAAATAAGGGCTCCAGTCTCAAACAGATGTGGATTGTGGCCTTGAAAGGTATTGTGCATTTCCCAGAAAGGAACACTGAAATGGGAGAATGTGTTCCCCACTTGATTCCAAGGGTGAGTAGCCGGGATTTCCTTTCCTTTGCAGGAATTTCTCCTGGGAGAAGGTAAAGCTCCTTGCCCACACCCTATTTCTCTCCAGGTAAGTGGTTTTCCTGACATGGGAAGAACTATGCCATGGTTGAGTAAGTCGCTTCTACTCTCCTTTTGCTTGGAGAGGGCTCTAAGACTCAGTGCATGAGAAGTCCTGCTGGTCAATCACAGCCCCGGAGAGTCTGACCAGGGCTATGGTTGACCAGCAGGATTTCTCATGGAGTGAGTCTGTCCAATTCAGCCTAGATTTTATCAGTTATAAAGCTGACTTTTTAATCTTCATAAATCTAACTCCTGCATGCCTTTCAGTTGAATCTGAACTCCTGTGAGGGTGGAGCTATTGTCCCTAGAAGCCCTATGAAACACTAGATTAGATGCCATGCTGCTTTTTTTGCACATAATATCAGGTGGCAGGGTTGCCATGGGAAGGGGGCAGGTATCTTTCTCATTTTGATTTTTTTCCCTAAAAATGTGTACAAAATCCCTTGTCTCTGTCTCTTGGAACCAATAGTTCTCTTACAAATTGACTCCTGGAAACCTTACCTTCCTATTCATTAGATAGGATCTGAAATCTGCCACAATGGCAACAAAAGCAATTGCTGCTGTTTTCTGCAACCTCACTAAATGCTAGGTAGGGGTGTCTCACAATTGTATGTGAGATGAAGTGACATGTCAAAGCCAAGCAGAATTCTGCAAAGTTCTCACTGCATGTGCAGCTAGTTCTGCTAGTGTTCTGAAAGAAGCACAGGCATAGGAACATTGTTCCACAGAGCCTAGGCAGGAGTGAAAATGTCAAGCACTGCCCTCGGTAGCTGTGACTGCAAGGATGTTAACTAATGGGCAAAGAGGGGAAAAATATAAAAGTGGAATGTTGGTGAACACATATAAAACACCTCACTTACATCCAGCAATACTTGGAGGAGAAATTTTAGGAGGTGATTTTGGGTTATGCAATTTAAGAGCTAAGATCAGCATGATATTAATGTGACCCCAATATGACTCATGGGCTGGAAAGAATAAGGGAGGGTGGACTGCAGTAAAAATTGTCATGTTGATATGCTGGTGTCATAATGCTGGGTATGAATTCAATTTTGGAACATTATCATGAGTTTTTGTGCTTAGGTTTGAACATAACTTTTATTTATTTCCTATTCTTAGAAAGTACCTTAAATTGTATCACTAGAGCATCAGGGATCTTTCCTCTTGCCTACCGGCAAGTCTTGTAAAAGAATCATTCGGATCATAGGCCTTGAGAATGGTTCTGATCCATTTCCTGAAGCCCAGCCTGCCATACTTTTTGGAGGGGATGTGGGGTAGGATTCCCAGCTAACCCCAGCACAAGTGCCTTCATATCCACCATCACACCCCCATCATACTCGAATCACACCTGCATCATGCCCACATTGTACTCTCATCACACCTGTCATCATACCTTCATCATACTCCCATTACACCTGCCATTGTACCGCCATAATACTCCCATTACATTTACCACATACTCACATCATAATCCCACCACACCTGCCATCATATACCCACAATACCACCCATGACATCTGTCATCATACCCACATCATAGTCTCATTACATCTGCCATTGTACCGCCATAATACTCCCATCACATTTGCTATATACCCACATCATAATCCCACCACACGTGCCATCAAATACTCACAATGTTACCTTAACATCTGTCATCATACCCACATTATACTCTCATCACACCTGCCATTATACCTTTGTCATACTCCCATCACACCTGCCATTGTACCACCGTAATATGGCCATCACATTTACCATATACCCACATCATAATCCCACCACACCTGCCGTCATATACTCACAATTCTACCATGAAATCTGTCATCACACCCACATCATACTCTCATTACACTTGCCATTATACCTTCATCATACTCCCATCATGACTGCCATTGTACCACCATAATACTCCCATCACATTTACCATATACCCACATCAAAATCCCACTACACCTGCCATCATATACCCACAATGCTACCATGACATCTGCCATCATACCTACATCATACTCTCATCACACCTGCCATTATACCCACATCACAATCACATCACACCTGCCATTATACATTCATCATACTCCCATCATATCTGCCATTATACATTCATCATACTCCCATCATATCTGCCATTATATGCCCATCATACTACCATCAAATCTGCCATTATACCCTCAGTATACCCCTATTACATCTGCTATCACACTCCCATCACACCTGCAATTATACCCACATCATAATCCCTTGCACCTGCCATCACATCCCCACCATACTTTTTTCACACTTGCATCATAATCCCATCATACCTGCCATGGTACCTCCATGATACTCCCACCAAACCTGTATTATAACCCCATCATACGCCCATCACACCTGCCATTATACACACATCATAATCCCATCTCATCTGCCATCACACACCTGTGATACTCCCATCATACCTTCAGTATGATTTTAAGATTATCTCTTTATCAGGGTTTTTATCATCAACTTCTGGGATTTTTCAAGCTTAAAAAAACCTCTTTTCCACTTAAAGGTATTGTTCTTAGGGCTGCCATAACAAAATCCCCTAAACTGGATAGCTTAAAACAACAGAAATTTATTCTCTCACAGTTCTGGAGCTAAGCAGTCTCACATAAGAGTGTGTTGTCAGGGTTGCTTCTTTCCCGAGGCTCTGAGGGAGAATCTGTTCTCCTCTCTCTCAGCTACCTGTGGCTGCTGGCAATTCCTGGCTTTTTTTGGCTTGTAGCTGTATCACTCCAATCTCTACCTTCATCTTCACCTAGCCTCCTCCTCTCTTGCCTCTGTCTCCTTTTCTCTTCTTACAAGGATACCTATCATTGGATTCAGTGCTTACCCTCAATCCAGGATGTTCTCATCTCAAGATTCTTAACAATTATATATGCGAAGACATAATTTCCAAGTATGGTCAAATTCACAGTTACTAGGAGTAGGACTTGGACATATCTGTTTTGGGGGCACTATTCAACCTGCTAAAAATGAACAAGTATAATTGATATGTCTCATTTTTCTCTTCAAGTGGCTCAGAGTTGAGTCTACTCTTTAAGTCTCCCATCTTGGTGATTATTTTCTTTTAAACACTAGTCCAACAGAGCTGATTCACATAAGGTGCAAATTGGCATCTCCCAATACATCCTTCTTTGTGCCCAGCTTCTGATGTTCACCTACTGCTCATAAATATTAATCAATCATGACACCTACTATCTCATGCTTCTTAATGTAACTTGTGGCTTGATTCTTTTGGGAGTTCCGAAGGATTGCTAATTAGTAGCAGACTTCCTAAGTTTCTAATGGCAGCTGGTGGGTCCGGGGAGCTTAGCTCTTTGGTGAGGCTCTCATTTTAGGAATTTACTCAGAGTTTACGCAAGTAAATTCTGTACAAGTTCACAAGATGTCTACCCTTAGCTCAGGGCCCAAGGTCATTTACAATTGTGTTGCCGCAGAATTCTGTTGGTCCTCATATTTTCCTAGGCTTCTTCTAGCCAGTAAGATCTCAACTCAGGAATATAAGTGTGACAAACAGTAATGTTGTTTTAACAAATATTTCTGGCTCTCTTGATGTTATGTGATCGTAGGATTGCATTTCCTAGCCTCCTTATCCATAGGTGGAGCCATGTAACGTGTTCTGGTCTATAAATGGTCAGCAGCAGTGATGTTTGTCACTGCCACTTGGGAGTGAGTATTTGGCAGTGTAAGACCTTCAGAGTATTCTGACCCTCTGCCACAGTGACCAGCAGTGTTCAGATGATGGTTGCACCATCACTGTAGTTTTGGAGTGAGATCGTGAGTGCAAAAACTGGACCCCATCTGAGCTTCTATCAGAGTCACTCAGATTTTGGGATTGCATGTAGTTTACAAGGAGATTTAATAACAACCCCAAACTCTGTCATATTGTCCCCACAGTAAGTGAAAATCTTTAGGCAAGTTGATCATTGAGAATAGCTTTGGACATCTTAGGCAACTGGTGGTTAAAAGTAAAATAAGTTATGTTATTGACTATAAGTCAAAATATTAGAGACATCCTTTATTATACTGTTATGAGATTGTATATGTAAAATCACTTCGACAGTTTTGGTTGGACAAGATTAATAGTGTTGTGGGTGCATTAAATAAACTGTTTATAGAAACAATAAATATCTCCTGGGTAGACCATACTTGCTCCAATTCAAAAGCACCTTTCTCTCTGAAAGCCATGCCACTACCAGCCCAATCTCCTCCTTAGGGCAATGCTAATACTTATTTTTTTTAAAAAAAAATAGTATATAGCTACCATAATTCAGGATCTGGTGATGAAAAGGCCAAGATCCAAGAGACTTATGATCTGGAGGAGGAGGAACTTGTGTATAAACCAGCATATCTGGTAAAGTGCTACAGGTTCTGTGATCAGTCTTTATGAGGTGTAGTGAGAAGCTCAGGTAGGATGCAGATGTGTCTCAGAAAAGGAAGTGAGCCTGTGGTCCAGGCATAATTAATAATAGTGCCCTGTTCACCTTGGACACTGTATGTATTTAGATGATAAATTGTGTGGCCATTCTGGTCTAAGAAAGGGTGATCTACTCTACCTGAAACTTCAAAAAACATCAGCAGCATCTTACGGGTGAAGTTAACATCATTAATGTAAAAGTGACTACTCATTTGTGAGTTGCCTGAGGTCTGAGTTGGTGACTTATGGTCTTCGGTGCTAAGCCTATGATGAGTGTGTGTATGCATACATTTTTCACCCCATTCCTTCTTTAATTTCAATTCTTCAATCTGATCATTGGTCAGTCCTTGCATATTAGGAGAGAGAAATATGTCATGTTGTGCTAATTCTTCCATTTCCAAGCAGAGGCGCTGCACGTTGAGCCACCCATTATAGACCTGGCCCACTTGCACCATAAGCTCCTCCGGCTTGGTGCTCCCTGGCACCTGCAGCAGGAACTGGCTCTTGTCGCCCCACTTCATGTGCAGCAGAACCATGGCAGTTCTATGTGAGAGTGAAAGTTAAATGAATATGCAAATTCAATGAGTGTTATTCAAATTGAATAAATACTATCAACCAACTAAATGACTAAAATAATGAAATTACTAAATAACTAAAGTGATTTTTAAAAGATCACCTTTCTGAAATTTCAGTAGGTTTTTCTGGAGGCTTCAAATAAAACCATTTAGGAGAAAATAAAGTGGTTTTACAAATAACTTTAAAAGTCAATTGGCCTTAGAAAAATCCCTTGAGTACTCATTGTCTTCATCCACTATGAGATAATGACATGAGGATTCATTTGATGGAAATCTCCGAGAAATTTCTGGAAGAAATTTGCTATAAATTTAGAGCTATTGTGCTTTGGGCCCAATGCAGTGGGAACTTGGGAAAGAAAGTGCAAGACGTATCTGAGAATTGTAGATGGAACTGGAAGGTAGGGCTAAGAAGGAAAAAGAAGCAACCATGTTTCTAGCTTTCTATGAGTTAACAAGTAATCAATAATCCACACTTTTTAGTTTCAGACTTTTTTTTTTCTTTGAACCTTCAGGGAAGTCTTCACAAATGAAGGGGATTGGTCACATGGATGCCATTACCTTTTCTTTTTCTTTCTTTCTGTCTTTTTTTTGAGATAAGCTCTAGAGTCTCACTCTGTTGCCCAGGCTAGAGTGAAGTGGCATGATGATAGCTCACTGCAGCTTTGAAGTCCTGAGCTCAAGTGTTCCTCCTGCCTCAGCCTCCTGGCTTTTATATATATATGTATATATGTATACATATATACGTACGTATATACGTATATATACTATATATGTATATATACACGTATATATACGTATATATACATATATAGTATATATACATACTATATATGTACATATACACGTATATACATATATATACATATATACTATATATACGTATATATACATATATAGTATATATGTATACATACTATATATACATATATAGTATATATGTATACATACTATATATACATATATAGTATATATGTATACATACTATATATACATATATAGTATGTATACATATATACACGTATATATGTGTATGTATATATACATGTGTATGTGTATATATGTATGTGTATATATGTATATATACGTATATATGTATATAGGTATGTATATATATATGTACATATGTGTGTGTATATATGTATATTTGAGATGGGTTCTTCCTATATTGACCAGACTGGCCTTGAACTCTTGGCCTCAAGCAATCCTCCTGCTTTGGCCTCCCACAGTGTTGGGATTACAGGCCTGAGTCACTGTGCCTGGCACCATCATCCTTTCTGAAGCATGGAATCATCTACTACAAGACTTTCTCCTTCTTCCATAAGCCTAGCCTGGGGAGTCCATATACAAGCTGATTGATTGTGTATTTTGTGTGATTTTTAGCAGCCCCAGAGACCACCACTTAAAGAAGTTCTCCAACCTCTTGCTGGTACTTGGAATTCCTTCATCAGAGATAATTTTACTCTGTACAGGAACAGGTGATAGGCTTAAAGTACAAATAGCTGCTAGAAGAGCTAATATTCTCATCCGAACAATTTCAGATGACTGTAAAATTGGCACATCCAATCCTCTAAAGTGAATAGGTTTTGATTAGTATAAGGCAGTGGAATGCAAAGATACTGAAAGATCTAAGAAAGAGATGGTTGAGGAAAGGACACATGGAGTTTTTTACTTTACAACTTTGCTTAGAACCAGCTCTGTTGTTCTTCCAAAGTATTGCCTCGAGACAGTCAGGAAAAGATAATAAGGGAAATGAAGACAATCACTCATATAATAGCATTTTACCAAACAAAAATATTACTAATTGAGGTTTTCATGGAATACTAAAATATTACATCTTGAACTGCAAAGGGGGAGAAGGGTGTGAGTGCTTTGCACAAGTTGATATATGCAAGTTTTCTGTATTTGCTCTAAGAGGCCTCAATTCCACTCACCTTACACTGCTGCCAACTCCCAAGAAAGACACTATTCTCTACATTTTTCAAGCACATGACTGTTTTGACAAAATAACACGATTATAAATTCTGTATGAACAAGCCGCAAACATTTGGGGGACAATGGGACTATTTTAATGTTAAAATCTAAAAATCTAATAAAGACTTCTAGCTTATTAAGATGCTTATTTCATTTTTAGAATGAAATATAAATAATAAAATAAAAATGGGGTCTTTCAATAAGGAAGCCATAAAATTTTTAAACAATTTCTTTCTGTAGTTAATTCCTTACTCGAAATTATTGTTACACGTTTTATGGTAGAGGCTTTGCATTTTGATCAAGCAGGATTTAGTTGATTTTTTTTTCCCAGAGAAGAGCTATCACACTTCACTGCCCCAATAACCTTCCCATGACATTCTCCCATACAAAATATTGTCAATGCAAAAGCTGCAATGGACTGAAGCCTATCTGTAACTCCTTCGGAATTGAAAATGGGAAGATTAACATGTTTCTTATTCATAAAACTGGAGAAAAGGCAAAACCAGAAACTTTGGTGATCAGCATAGGTCCTTCTTATTACATCCCAATTCCTGTTTCTATCAATCAGCAGAGCATGAATAATTTGTCTCACAAAATGTTCTTAAAACAATCCACTATAAATATAAGTAGTACATTTTTCTCAGCTTTTACTAGTATGCCTGTGAAAAAAGAGTGGAGATGACTTCTATATCTTTGGATAGTAACAGTGTTTGGAAGGTAACATAAGGAATGTACTTGAGATGCACCTGTTTCAGTATTCTCCAGTAGCACTGACATAACTGACCCAGCTGGGCAGAGACTGGCTAGCCACTCACTGAAACTATTTCCTATTTTTTTTTTTTTGGGAAGATAAGAACCTGCACTATCCAATATGGTAGTTTTTAACCATACGTGGCTATTTAAATTAAATGACTAGTAATTTAATAAAATTAAACATTCAATTCCTCAGTTACAATAGCCAGATTTCAAGTGCAACATCGCCACATTTGATGAGTATCTACCATTTTGATTTGATGAGTATCTACCATTTTGCACAGAGCAGATATAGAATATTTGCATCATTGCCAAAACTAATGGACAATATTGAGCAAGACTTCATTTATCAGTTTCCTTTCCAGTTATTGAGCTGCAGTCAAAGAAATATGGGAAGTAAAACCTCCCAAATACAATTATTCGGTCTCTTTCCCCTTCTGTCAAAAACTTGGAAGTGCCCTGTTGCAAACAAAAGAGCCACAAATTAGTAAGAGCCTTAGTAAGTAACAAAGGCCAAGAAGAAATCACAGATGACTTGACTCAGCTTTCAGCAAACATCAGATTAACGAGGTGGCCTATGCACCTATTTTTTTGAGATGATGGCTTCTAAGTAGCTGTCATTAACTTGATTGAGAGGCATGGGAGGCTGGGCACTAAGAAAAAAAATCAGGCTTCAGTATTGTGTCTAGGTAGAAATTTGGGAAGTCAAAAAATACATTAAAAGTCTACTAGCTTTTTAGGAAACCATTGCCAAGAAATGAGAAGCCTGGACTAAAAATTGAGATTGAAAAATACTCCTAAAATCTCAAACTTGCACTAGTGCCTGCAGGTTCTTCATTGGGGCCCCTTTCCAGATCCCAGTTTCAGCTGTGACTTCAGTGGACAAAAGATTAGATCTTCCCAGAGGGCAGAGCCAGAGGCACAGAGAAGAATAGGTAAGTGAGTTCCTTTCAGAAAATAAGAATCAGAGTCTAATCAAGAAGCTTCCCGCAATAAACATACATGTGCATGTGTCTTTATAGCAGCATGATTTATATTCCTTTGGGTATATACCCAGTAATGGGATGGCTGGGTCAAATGGTATTTCTAGTTCTAGATCCCTAGGGATCGCCACACTGTCTTCCACAATGGTTGAACTAGTTTACAGTCCCACCAACAGTGTAAAAGTGTCTCTATTTCTCCACATCCTCTCCAGCACCTGTTGACTGGGAATTGAACAATGAGAACACTTGGACACAGGAGGGGAACATCACACACTGGGGCCTGTTGTGGGGTTGGGGGAGCGGGGAGGGATAGCACTGGGAGATATACCTAATGTAAATGATGAGGTAATGGGTGCAGCACACCAACATGGCACCTGTATACATATGTGACAAACCCGCACGTTGTGCACATGTATCCCAGAACTTAAAGTGTATATATATATATACGTATATATATATGTGTGTGTGTGTGTATATATATATATATATATATATATATATATAAAGAAGCTTCCCTCACCGCTAAAGCAGGGTCATCACACAATGCCTGGCCATCAGGATTCCATTATTGCTAAGGGCCAGGGACTGCTGTGCAGGCCCCATTCTTTCCTTTTGCAAATGAAAGCATTTGCCATCGTCATCCTAGCTTTGATTTGCCACTGAATTTTGAGCATGTGTAAGGGCAGAGGGACAAGTGGGGACAGATAAGTTGCCATTTTAATCAGAAGTCACCGGATAACATAGAGTCCCTTCCAGAGCTGACAGACAAAACCAAACATCACCTGAAAATGCCGGACTTTAAGCTGGATTCAGTAACTGAGGGGGATTTTGAGTTGTCACCCTTCAAAATCCTTACTCCATTTGGTCTAATGTCATTTTAGCAATGAGAAAACGTGGCACTTACTTAGAAGATGAAAGTGATGGGTCTAGGATCACATGTCAGCGTGAGAAATAGAGCCCAGGTCCCTGGACATCCAGTCCAATATGCTCTTCACAGTTCAGGGTGTCCGCTCATTCTAACCTTACTAACAGAGGATTTCAGATTTTTCCAGCTGTATGTAAACATGATATTGGCACTGAGGAAACAAACTTACAAATTGATGCAATATTTTCTAAAAAGCATTCATTTGAACCAGTAAATATTTCCACATTAAGATAAATTAATTACAGGCTGATATTCTAAGCATGTGTAGAATATTTGGTGTCATCACAAATTACAATTATTGCTCATTTCAAAGCTCCATGGAAATGTTGTGGGGAATTTTAATATCTGCATTTATTCTCTCATGATACATTTCTCAAAGAGCCCTGTTCAAAGAAATATTTTCTATTACTTAACTAATCATGTTAATATTTGTGTTTTGTGTTTTTTATTCTTCTCTGTCAACTTTCTACGCACACAATTGGCATTTATAACTGGAGATGCTATTGGCAAATTCATCATGCTTTACTGCTGTGCTGTTCTGAGATAAAGAAAATAAGGAATTACTATGTTAATTAACATTTTACATGAAGATTCTTAGTACATGAAGATTCTTAGAGTTGGAAGACATTCAGAAACCATTTAGCCCATCCCACTCACCATACAGATAAATAAACTGGATAATGGCCAATAATAACTATTATATAAAAGGAATCAATAAATATTTGCTGAAAAGAGTGCATAGAGCTTCTTCTCAATCCAAATCATTTAACCAGTTAATGAAAATGTTCCAGGCATCTGACTCTCAAATTGATACTCTTTCCACTACATCATGAAGATCCATTTGACATATTTGATCTATTAATGATAATAATTTATATTAAACATATTTTCACTTGGGAAAGTCAGGCCATTAACTGCTGCTAGACATTTCTCATTTTGAACAATCTCACATTTTGCTCTGGCCCCCAAAATATATTAATATAGTTGTAGTTTTGTATATTGTCTTTCTTCACTGGAGTCTCTTCTGTCTGTTTTGTTATATTTAGAGGCAAATCAAAGAGGGATGTTGTAAAATAGAAAATGAAAATTGGATGTAACTTTTTAAACCAAATTTTACGTATTTCACCTTATTCTTTTATGCGTGGTAGTATTTTCATCTTTATCTTACTCACTATGGATGGCATCTTTAAACTGAGGACAGGAAAGTCAGGCTTCATGAACCCCGAGAACTTTTCCTGAAAAGTTGGCTCTTGTTTGTTGACTGACAGTTGGAGTTTTGGTGTACAGTTCTCAGTTTATATTAGTATTTTTTTGTCATGATAATACTTTATGTCAACTTTAATAAATTATTCATTGAAACCCATTTTCCTAATTTATTATTATCACTTCTCAAGTTTTTTCTTCTGGAAAAAGATGAATCCTTATATTTTATAATGTCTCGTGTATTTCTAACTAGTCCTTATTTCTTATTTTCCTGCCTTATTAGAGTTTGTATTGTTCTCTATCACTTAAATTCATTTTATTTTATTCTCTCTGTCCTGGGCCATTGGAGCCATATAATCTTATTACTCTGGAGCTAAGAGGAACTTTACAGAGTTCAGAATCTCAAATTCTCTACTATTTAGGATTCCTTTATTAATTCTCCTTCTCCTTTGGGTTCTGTATTTTGAAAGACTTTCGTCTAAAAACAATGCATTTACTTTAGTAATCTTTAAGTTGTCTTTCTATCTTTTGCTACCAATGACTTATGCGGTTGCTATTCAGAATTTCTCATCAGAGCAAGACTGGTTGTCACTGGTTGTGTTACTCCACCAAGGTGATAACATTCTTGCCAATGGAGAAAAATAAACAAACAAATAAACAATAAAACTTAATGTTTCCATAAGCCCCCACAGTGTTATCTCGAGTGAATGCAGTTTTCCATTTGGAGATTTAAAATGCTAAAAATAGTTCACAGAATACTTCTTTTTAGAAACCCTTTTTTTTTTTTTTAAATTATACTTTAAGTTTTAGGGTACATGTGCACATTGTGCAGGTTAGTTACATATGTATACATGTGCCATGCTGGTGCGCTGCACCCACTAACTTGTCATCTACCATTAGGTATATCTCCCAATGCTATCCCTCCCCCCTCCCCCCACCCCACCACAGTCCCCAGAGTGTCCCCTTCCTGTGTCCATGTGATCTCATTGTTCAATTCCCACCTATGAGTGAGAATATACAGTGTTTGGTTTTTTGTTCTTGCAATAGTTTACTGAGAATGATGATTTCCAATTTCATCCATGTCCCTACAAAGGACATGAACTCATCATTTTTTATGGCTGCATAGTATTCCATGGTGTATATGTGCCACATTTTCTTAATCCAGTCTGTCATTGTTGGACATTTGGGTTGGTTCCAAGTCTTTGCTATTGTGAATAATGCCGCAATAAACATACGTGTGCATGTGTCTTCATAGCAGTATGATTTATAGTCATTTGGGTATATACCCAGTAATGGGATGGCTGGGTCAAATGGTATTTCTAGTTCTAGATCCCTGAGGAATCGCCACACTGACTACCACAAGGGTTGAACTAGTTGACAGTCCCACCAACAGTGTAAAAGTGTTCCTATTTCTCCACATCCTCTCCAGCACCTGTTGTTTCCTGACTTTTTAATGATTGCCATTCTAACTGGTGTGAGATGGTATCTCATTGTGGTTTTGATTTGCATTTCTCTGATGGCCAGTGATGATGAGCATTTTTTCATGTGTTCTTTGGCTGCATAAATGTCTTCTTTTGAGAAGTGTCTGTTCATGTCCTTCGCCCACTTTTTGATGGGGTTGTTTGTTTTTTTCTTGTAAATTTGTTGGAGTTCATTGTAGATTCTGGATATTAGCCCTTTGTCAGATGAGTAGGTTGCGAAAATTTTCTCCCATTTTGTAGGTTGCCTGTTCACTCTGATGGTAGTTTCTTTTGCTGTGCAGAAGCTCTTTAGTTTAATTAGATCCCATTTGTCAATTTTGGCTTTTGTTGCCATTGCTTTTGGTGTTTTGGACATGAAGTCCTTGCCCATGCCTATGTCCTGAATGGTAATGCCTAGGTTTTCTTCTAGGGTTTTTATGGTTTTAGGTCTAACGTTTAAATCTTTAATCCATCTTGAATTGATATTTGTATAAGGTGTAAGGAAGGGATCCAGTTTCAGCTTTGTACATATGGCTAGCCAGTTTTCCCAGCACCATTTATTAAATAGGGAATCCTTTCCCCATTGCTTGTTTTTCTCAGGTTTGTCAAAGATCAGATAGTTGTAGATATGTGGCATTATTTCTGAGGGCTCTGTTCTGTTCTATTGATCTATATCTCTGTTTTGGTACCAGTACCATGCTGTTTTGGTTACTGTAGCCTTGTAGTATAGTTTGAAGTCAGGTAGTGTGATGCCTCCAGCTTTGTTCTTTTGGCTTAGGATTGCCTTGGTGATGCAGGCTCTTTTTTGGTTCCATATGAACTTTAAAGTAGTTTTTTCCAATTCTGTGAAGAAAGTCATTGGTAGCTTGATGGGGATGGCATTGAATCTGTAAATTACCTTGGGCAGTATGGCCATTTTCACGATATTGATTCTTCCTACCCATGAGCATGGAATGTTCTTCCATTTGTTTGTATCCTCTTTTATTTCCTTGAGCAGTGGTTTGTAGTTCTCCTTGAAGAGGTCCTTCACATCCCTTGTAAGTTGGATTCCTAGGTATTTTATTCTCTTTGAAGCAATTGTGAATGGGAGTTCACTCATGATTTGGCTCTCTGTTTGTCTGTTGTTGGTGTATAAGAATGCTTGTGATTTTTGTACATTGATTTTGTATCCTGAGACTTTGCTGAAGTTGCTTATCAGCTTAAGGAGATTTTGGGCTGAGACAATGGGGTTTTCTAGATGTACAATCATGTCATCTGCAAACAGGGACAATTTGACTTCCTCTTTTCCTAATTGAATACCCTTTATTTCCTTCTCCTGCCTAATTGCCCTGGCCAGAACTTCCAACACTATGTTGAATAGGAGTGGTGAGAGAGGGCATCCCTGTCTTGTGCCAGTTTTCAAAGGGAATGCTTCCAGTTTTTGCCCATTCAGTATGATATTGGCTGTGGGTTTGTCATAGATACCCTTAGAATCAGGAAAGCTTCAGTTGTGATTCACATATTTAATCCCAGGTAGGCAAAACAAGATCTGCCCTTTAAATAGGGGATGGGTCAGACCCTAGTTTTATTTTGAGTCCTAATTCATGTCCCTTCCATTATTCCACACTTCCTAACTTCAATAAGATACTGGAATAAGAAACCACCAACCACATTCACATACGTGCCATAAGTCCCTGAAATGCAGTATGAATGTATGCAGATTCTGCAAACCCTAGGATACTGGATGCTAGCGTCACTGTGTGTTAAGAGGGTACTAAGTCAGGAAACAGAACTTTTGGTTAGGCAATCTCAAAACATCAGATGACTTTAAGACTCTCTAGAAATATTCTTAAAATATCTGATTAAGTCTGAAATGTGTGTAGGCTGGACTGGTTTAAAAATTTCCTGAATCTGACCTACTTCCACACAATACAGGGTAATTCTGAAGCTAAGGATGTCACAGTTTCCCCTAGGAAGTCTTTAATTTAAGCTTCTATCTGTTTTAATAACTGCATTAAAGCAGGGGCCCCAACCCCCTGGCCATGGACCAGTAGCAGTCTGTGGCCTGTTAGGAACAGGTCTGCACAGAAGCAGGTGAGTGGCAGGCAAGTAAAGGAAGCTTCATCTGTATTTACAGCGATTCCCTATCACTCACATTAGTGCATGACCTCTGCCTCCGGTCAGATCAGTGGCAGCATTAGATTCTCGTACAAACGTGAATCCTATTGGAAACTGCATATGTGAGGGATCTAGGTGTCACGCTCCTATGAGAATCTAATGCCTGATGATCTGCATCTCCCATCACCCCCAGGTGGGACCATCAAGCTCATGGCTCCCACTGATTCTCTGTAATGGTGAGTTGTGTAAGTATTCCATTTACAATGCAACAATAAAAGAAATAAAGTGCACAATAAATGTAATGCTCTTGAATCATCCCAAAACCATCCCTGGACCCCAGTCCATGGAATAACTGTCTTTCACAAAATGGGTCCTGGTGCCAAAAATGTTGGGGACTGCTGCTTTAAAGGCATCTGGTACTATTCTAAGTATTTCATAAACATTAACTTTTTTAATTTTCCTAACAACCCCAAGGGGCAGGTATGATTATTATTGCTACATTACCAACAGAGAACTGAAGCTCAGAGCAGGTGAGTATCACTGGAGATCGCACAGCAAGTTAATAATAAGGTGAGTTAGGACTCCAGGCAGTCTGGCCCAGAGTTTATATTTCTGCACCAATACATCATAGTGTCTGGCATCTTGCAGACACTCTGCAAGTTAATACTCTGTGGTTAAGGGGTAGTGAAAAGATGCCCTGGAGCGAGCTTCATCTTTGGGTTTAAGGCTTCATCTTTGAGCTCAAGGTCATGGATTGGGCAGTTGTGTTTGTGTTTCCTGCTACTTATTTCTTGGGGTCAATACAATAAAATTGTTACCAGGAGGGCAATTTGGGGATACCTAGGAGGGCACATCAATATGTACATATTTTATGATTACCAAGTTAAATATGGTTAAATATGGTTTTATGATTAATGTTAAATAACATTACCATGTCATTTAATTGTTATTTAATTAACTATAAAGGGATTTTGATGGATTTAGGAGGCTGGTCATATATTAGCCATGGACAATGGGTGTCCCTCCCCTTCCTTTCTCCCTAGCAAGATGTAATTACTATTCATTCATTTTAATTCTGGCATGCCAATCTGTATTCATGAGGAAGAAATGTTACTGTTGAGTCATTATTTTTCTGGTTTAACATTACACATTGTAAGGAAAACAAGGCAATATTTTTCCTCCGTCAACAATAAATCACAGAAAAGTAACATTAGCATCCACATCACATCAGCACCGTAGTAGGCAATCATCAAACTAGGAAAACACAGAATTCATCTTCTGTATACTAGCAGGACTGCTGTGCTGTTGGTGAAATTATCCATGATTAAAAAGAGGAGAGTTCAAACTGGAGTAACCTGCTGGGGATGGAAATGTTGACCTCATTTTGGATTTTATTATTTAAAGGGAAACTTTTTTTTTTTTTTCCTTCCCTCAGGCAACATACATGTTAGAGGAAAGCAAAATAGATTATTGATGCTTGGGTCAAAAAAGAAATGTATTCCTCTAAAAGTGTTCCTTTAAGTCAGACTTTGTAACATTCGTCTCTAGCAATCCCCAGGGGCTGTAGACACATTTGCTTGGAGACTATTCCAGCTGCCCAATCTTTAATAAAACAACTGGTGGACAGTTGTTTCATTTACCTCCCACAGTTCAATGACATTGATTCCTGGGGCTTACCGGCTCAAATGTACCAAATTGGAGGAGATCGTGGCAGTGTATAATGTGGTCACAAGGAAGTATATTGTTTATTCTGTAAAGTGCATCGGGAATGACAGCTTCCTCTCGTGAGGATGTCTGTTCAGCTGCACAACTAGTCAGGATAAAGGAGAGTATAGTTCCCTGGGGCCTATGTTTCAAGGAGGAAGAAAAAGTGCTAATAGAAAAACGCTGTGTGGAAATGTTCTTTTGTTTCATTCTCTGCAGTGTATCTTTTGGTATCTGTTTGCAAATATCAATCACTTTCCAAACTATTATATAAGTGATCTCTTACAATTTAAATACAGTTGTAAGAGATCACTTATGTAATAGTTTGGAAGGTGATTGATATTTGCAAACAGACAGTGAACTTATTTAAATACCAAAATGCAATGCATTTTAAATTAAATAACTGTTGAGGAACCTAAAAGGAAAATACGTTGTATTTTTATCTGTTTGGGATCATTATAATTCCATTCCAAGTTCAGTCAATTTAGAGAAAAAATTATGTTCCTATAAATTTCATAAGTGCCCAAATGATCCCAGTTGGTCGTTATCATCTCACAGCATCTACTGAACAGCATACATATGTCTCTAGTGGGAAAACAGAATGCGCCAAGGGTATGAAATGAGCAACTATTAACTGCCTGAAAAAGACTTTTTACTTTGGCAGTTGGAAGGTTTTTGCAGGATAAATGAGTAACAATTATTATAATCAAGTTTCATTTTTTCGAATAATAGGCTACCAACCTAATTAGTAAACATTTACTCCTGCCTGCAATCTGTAGAAAATGTGTATGAATTATGCAAGTCTCTGAGCATTTTCATCCATTTTGTCATATACACAATTACTTAAAATTGCCTTCATCTTAGTTCTTTATTATCTTGGGAGATATTTAACTCCAGAAGCTGTTTCCCTAGATAGAAAATGCAAGGTCTTCTTATTAAAAGGCAAAATAATTGTATTTTTCCTTGGCAGTATAATTTTGTTTTGATGAACAAACACTTCAACCATCATCTGGGCCAAGGTTGGTGTAAGATCATCTGGGCCAAGGCTGGTGTAAGAAAAGTTACAACAGGAAATTATTCTTTCTGGAACCCTGTTCACCAATGCTCACTGGCTGATTCTCTGCTCTTCCTCTAATAGCCATCACTTTAGATTTTAATGGAAAATAGAAGATGAAGAGAAGAAAGGTTCCCAGATTCAGTAATAATGATGAAAACAGCAGGCTATGAACTTATTTTTAATTCTCAATGCCTAACTAGGGTAATGAATTTATAATCCACTTTGCCAAATTGTGGGCTGAAAATTAAAATTTTTTAAGGTGATTGTGGATGTCACTATGTGGTCAAGAAATAGTGAGGTGATAATTAGGATAATGGTTTCAAACTCTATGTGGATCAAAATCGCCTGGGGAGCTATTGGAGTTGGGATATATTTGGTTATTTTTTTTTACAAAAAGACCCTATTAACAATCACTTAAGCTATAAGGAACTCTGGCATTGTAACGGACTCAACGACATGATAGGAGTTTAGCATCCAGAATGGTCTGACCTCTGTGCTTTTCTCTGATCTCTGTATAGCCATTCCATCTCTGTCTTCAGATGACTTTCTCTACTTCTCAGTCCAAATGGCAGAAAACCCAGCAAACATTTAATCATAGAGAAAGAGGAGTGGAGACACAGAGAGAAAAGAGAGAGAGAGAGACAGAATTTCTTTCTCCTAATCCCAGTTGTGACATTTCTGGATTAACTCAACTGCTCAACCCTAGACCAATTCTGGTCTTAAGGGAGATGACAACAGGTTGCAAAATGGTTGTTCCTACACTAACTATGTGAGGGGAGGGGTGAGATGTGGGCAGAGTTCACAGAAAATGGGTCAGGAGCTGGGCAGGCCCAATAGTAAGGACTAGTAGAGGAGCTTTAAGAGACATATCTGGCCAGGCACCATGGCTCAGGCCTGTAATCTCAGCACTTCAGGGGACCAAGGTGGGCAGGTTGGTTGGCCCCAGGAGTTCAAGACCAGCCTGGGCAACACAGTGTGTCTTCATCTGTACAAAAAATAAAAGTAAAGTTAGCTGGGCATGGTGGCACACCTGTAGTCCCAGATACTTGGGAGGCTGAGGTGGGAGGATTATTTGAGCTCGGGAGGTTGAGGCTGCAGTGAGATGTTATTGTACCACTGCACTCCATCCAGCCTGGGTGACAGGGTGAGACCCTGTCTCAAAACAAAACAAAATATCCAAACATTTCTAGTTTCCACTTAGATGTAGATAGCTGGAAATACCCTCGCTCCCAAATGTCAGTTTTTAAAAAGCTAGAAAGACAATACCTTTGAACCTGTCTTGAATGTTCCTTTTCCTAACCATTGGAATAGTGGAGAGGCAACCAACCGTCCCAGAGTCTAGGGAGAGACGGGTGCCTGCAGGGAGAGACAAGAGCTGCAAACACTGGCTTTTCTGGGCAGATGCAGCGGACTCCATAAGCAGACTCCTGCTAGGGCTGGTGGGTAAATAGGTGGAGCCTGGTTGAGTGTGTACTTCAATGAGAGGGTGAATCCCCTGGGGGAAGTGGACTATAAATACAGGGGGGCCCCCCATGCTTGCAGGCTTTTCCTTCATGAACTCCTCTAGGTGGTCACAGAAGACTGGGAAAATCCTAGGAAAATCTGCAGGATGGGGATGGAGGCATCAGAGGCAAGAAACTCAGAGTGAATTCTTTTCTTTCTCCCCTATGAAACAAAATCATTAATCTGTGGGGACAAAAGCAAGAAATCGTCACCTGTAGAGTACTGGTGAAATTTCTTTGCAGTTCAGGGAGAGAAATTTTTTCTAAAAAATCTTGAGCATCAAGGGAGGGGTAGGAATATATTTTTGGGTTTAGAATGACACCAGGATTATCCAGCATTGGGAAATAAACCTGTATCATGAGGGTTTGTCAACCCTACCTGGGCTGCCTCATGGGAATAGCCAGGATGCTATCTAAGGATCTTGATACCCACAGGTCAGAGGTGGTGCCTCAGTCAGCTCAGACTGCTAAACAAAGTACCACAGACTGAGTGAGTTATGAACAACTGGTATTGATTTCTCATGGCTCTAAGGTCTGGGAGTCTGAGATCAGGATGCCACCATGGTCATGTTCTGGTGAGGACCCTCTTTCTGGTGCTGACTGCCCAACTTCTTCTTGTGTCCCTAAATGGAGGAGAGAGAGCTCTGTGGGTTTCCTTTTATAATGGTATTGTATTAGTCTGTTTTCATGTTGCTGATAATGACATACCTGAGACTGGGGAATTTATACAGGAAAAAGGGTTAATGGACTTAAACAGTTCCACGTGGCTGGGGAAGCCTCACAATTAGAGGGTAAGGCAAGGAGGAGCAAGTCACCTCTTACATGGATGGCAGCAGACAAAGACAGGTTGTGCAGGGGAATTTCTCTTTCTAAAACCATCAGATCTTGTAAGACTTATTCACTATTACAAGAACAGCACAGGAAAGACTTGCCTCCTGGGAGAATTACCTCAATTAACTCCCACTGGGAGAATTCAAGATGAGATTTCGGTGGGGACACAGCCAAACCATATCAGGCACTAATCCTATTCATGGGGGTTCCACTCTCATGACCTAATCACTTTCTAAAGACTCTGCCTCCACTGGGAACAGTGGCTAAGGCCAGTAATCTCAGCACTTTGGGAAGCTGAGGTGAGCAGATGAGTTGAGGCCAGGAGTTCAAGACCAGCATGGCCAACATGGTGAAACCCTACCTCTATTAAAAATACGAAAATTAGCCAGGTGTCTTGGTGCATATCTGTAGTCCCAGCTACTTGGGAGGCTGAGACATGAGAATCACTTGAACCTGGAAGGTGGAGGTTGCAATAAGCCAAGATTGTGCCACTGCACTCCAGCCTGGCTGACACAGCAAGACTCTGTCTTAAAAATAAATAAATAAATAAATATAAAAATAAAGACTCTGCCTCCTAACATTGTCCCAGTAGGGATTAGATGTTAACCTATACATTGTGCGGAGACACAAACATTCAGTTCATAACAAGGAGTGTTAATGGAAAAACCCTGGCCACTACTATTTGTGTGGCATCAGAAAGGAGTGAAGTTCTTCTCAACTATATTAATATCTCTTGACCTCCAAATTGGAATATTTTGTATTGGTGGATCTGAAGCACGCCTTAAGAATCTAGATTACAGGAGAAGTGAGCCAAGATGGCCGAATAGGAACAGCTCCGGTCTACAGCTCCCAGCGTGAGCAATGCAGAAGACGGGTGATTTCTGCATTTCCATCTGAGGTACCGGGTTCATCTCACTAGGGAGTGCCAGACAGTGGGCGCAGGTCAGTGGGTGCAGCACACCATGCGCGAGCCGAAGCAGGGTGAGGCATTGCCTCACTCAGGAAGCGCAAGGGATCAGGGAGTTCCCTTTCCTAGTCAAACAAAGGGGTGGCAGACAGCACCTGGAAAATCGGGTCACGCCCACCTTAATACTGTGCTTTTCCGACAGGCTTAAAAAACGGCCCACCAGGAGATTATGTCCTGCACCTGGCTCGTAGGGTCCTACGCCCAAGGAGTCTCGCTGATTCCTAGCACAGCAGTCTGAGATCAAACCACAAGGCGGCAGCCAGGCTGGGGGAGGGGCACCCGCCATTGCCCAGGCTTGCTTAGGTAAACAAAGCAGTCTAGAAGCTGGAACTGGGTGGTGCCCAACACAGCTCAAGGAGGCCTGCCTGCCTCTGTAGGCTCCACCTCTGGGGGCAGGGCACAGACAAACAAAAAGACAGTAGTAACCTCTGCACACTTAAATGTCCCTCTCTGACAGCTTTGAAGAGAGCAGTGGTTCTCCCAGCATGCAGCTGGAGATCTGAGAACAGGCAGACTGCCTCCTCAAGTGGGTCCCTGACCCCTGACCCCAGGCAGCCTAACTGGGAGGCACCCCCCAGTAGCGGCAGACAGACACCTCACACGGCCGGGTACTCCTCTGAGACAAAACTTCCAGAGGAACGATCAGAGAGCAGCATTCGTGGTTCACGAAAATGCACTGTTCTGCAGCCACCGCTGCTGGTACCCAGGAAAACAGCGTCTGGAGTGGACCTCTAGCAAACTCCAACAGACCTGCAGCTGAGGGTCCTGTCTGTTAGAAGGAAAACTAACAAACAGAAAGGACATCCACACCAAAAACCCATCTGTACATCACCATCATCAAAGACCAAAAGTAGATAAAACCACAAAGATGGGAAAAAAAACAGAGCAGAAAAACTGGAAACTCTAAAAAGCAGAGCGCCTCTCCTCCTCCAAAGGAATGCAGTTCCTCACCAGCAATGGAACAAAGCTGGATGGAGAATGACTATGACGAGTTGAGAGAAGAAGGCTTCAGATGATCAAACTACTCCAAGCTACTGGAGGAAATTCAAACCAAAGGCAAAGAAGTTAAAAACTTTGAAAAAAATGTAGACGAATGTATAACTAGAATAACCAATACAGAGAAGTGCTTAAAGGAGCTGATGGAGCTGAAAGCCAGGGCTGGAGAACTGCATGAAGAATGCAGAAGCCTTAGGAGCTGATGCGATCAACTGGAAGAAAGGGAATCAGTGATGGAAGAGGAAATGAATGAAATGAAGTGAGAAGGGAAGTTTAGAGAAAAAAGAATAAAAAGAAATGAACAAAGCCTCCAAGAAATATGAGACTATGTAAAAAGACCAAATCTACGTCTGATTGGTGTACCTGAAAGTGACGGGGAGAATGGAACCAAGTTGGAAAACACTCTGCAGGATATTATCCAGGAGAACTTCCCCAATCTAGCAAGGAAGGCCAACATTCAGATTCAGGAAATACAGAGAAGGCCACAAAGATACTCCTCGAGAAGAGCAACTCCAAGACACATAATTGTCAGATTCACCAAAGTTGAAATGAAGGAAAAAATGTTAAGGGCAGCAAGAGAGAAAGGTCAGGTTACCCACAAAGGGAAGCTCATCAGACTAACAGCTGATCTCTCGGCAGAAACTCTACAAGCCAGAAGAGAGTGGGGGCCAATATTCAACATTCTTAAAGAAAAGAATTTTCAACCCAGAATTTCATATCCAGCCAAACTAAGCTTCATAAGTGAAGGAGAAATAAAATACTTTACATACAAGCAAATGCTGAGACATTTTGTCACCACCAGGCCTGCCCTAAAAGAGCTCCTGAAGGAAGCACTAAACATGGAAAGCAACAACTGGTACCAGCCACTGCAAAATCATGCCAAATTGTAAAGACCATCGAGGCTAGGAAGAAACTGCATCAACTAATGAGCAAAATAACCAGCTAATATCATAATCACAGGATCAAATTCACACACGACAATATTAACTTTAAATGTAAATGGACTAAATGCTCCAATTAAAACACACAGACTGGCAAATTGGATAAAGAGTCAAGATCCATCTGTGTGCTGTATTCAGGAAACGCATCTCACGTGCAGAGACACACATAGGCTCAAAATAAAAGGATGGAGGAAGATCTATCAAGCAAATGGAAAACAAAAAAAAAGGCAGAGTTTGCAATCCTAGTCTCTGATAAAACAGACTTTCAACCAACAAAGATCAAAAGAGACAAAGAAGGCCATTACATAATGGTAAAGGGATCAATTCAACAAGAAGAGCTAACTATCCTAAATATATATGCACCCAATACAGGAGCACCCAGATTCATAAACAGGTCCTGAGTGACCTACAAAGAGACTTAGACTCCCACACAATAATAATGGGAGAATTTAACACCCCACTGTCAACATTAGACAGATCAACAAGACAGAAAGTTAACAAGGATACCCAGGAATTGAACTCAGCTCTGCACGAAGCTGACCTAATAGACATCTAGAGAACTCTCCACCCCAAACCAACAGAATATACATTTTTTTCAGCACCACACCACACCTATTCCGAAATTGACCACATAGTTGGAAGTAAAGCTCTCCTCAGCAAATGTAAAAGAACAGAAATTATAACAAAATGTCTCTCAGACCACAGTGCAATCAAACTAGAACTCAAGATTAAGAAACTCACTCTAAACTGCTCAACTACATGGAAACTAAACAACCTGCTCCTGAATGACTACTGGGTACATAACAAAATGAAGGCAGAAATAAAGATGTTCTTTGAAAGCAACGAGAACAAAGACACAATGTACCAGAATCTCTGGGACACATTCAAAGCAGTGTGTAGAGGGAAATTTATAGCACTAAATGCCCACAAGAGAAAGCAGGAAAGATCCAAAACTGACACCCTAACAGCACAATTAAAAGAACTAGAAAAGCAAGAGCAAACACATTCAAAAGCCAGCAGAAGGCAAGAAATAACTAAAATCAGAGCAGAACTGAAGGAAATAGAAACACAAACAACCCTTCCAAAAATTAATGAATCCAGGAGCTGGTTTTTTGAAAAGATCAACAAAATTGATAGACCGCTAGCAAGACTAATAAAGAAGAAAAGAGAGAAGAATCAAATAGACACAATAAAAAATGATAAAGGGGATATCACCACCGATCCCACAGAAATACACCTCTACGCAAATAAACTAGAAAATCTAGAAGAAATGGATAAATTCCTTGACACATACACCCTCCCAAGACCAAACCAGGAAGAAGTTGAATCTCTGAATAGACCAATAACAGGATCTGAAATTGTGGCAATAATCAATAGCTTACCAAGCAAAAAAAGTTCAGGACCAGATGGATTCACAGCTGAATTCTACCAGAGGTACAAGGAGGAGCTGGTACCAATCCTTCTGAAACTATTCCAATCAATAGAAAAAGAGGGAATCCTCCCAAACTCATTTTATGAGGCCAGCATTATCTTGAAACCAAAGACGGGCAGAGCCACTATCAAAAAAGAGAATTTTAGACCAATATCCTGGATGAACATTGATGCAAAAATCCTCAATAAAATACTGGCAAACCGAATCCAGCAGCACATCAAAAAGCTTATCCACCATGATCAAGTGGGCTTCATCCCTGGGATGCAAGGCTGCTTCAATATACACAAATCAATAAATGTAATCCAGCATATAAACAGAACCAAAGACAAAAACCATATGATTATCTCAATAGATACAGAAAAGGCCTTTGACAAAATTCAATGACGCTTCATGCTAAAACTCTCAATAAATTAGGTATTAATGGGACATATCTCAAAATAATAAGAGCTATCTATGACAAACCCACAGCCAATATCATACTCAATGGGCAAAAACTGGAAGCATTCCCTTTGAAAATGGGCATGAGACAGGGATGCCCTCTCTCACCACTCCTATTCAACATAGTGTTGGAAGTTCTGGCCAGGGCAATCAGGCAGAAGAAGGAAATAAAGGGTAATCAATTAGGAAAAGAGGAAGTCAAATTGTCCCTGTTTGCAGATGACATGATTGTATATCTAGAAAACCCCATCACCTCAGCCCAAAATCTCCTCAAGCTGATAAGCAACTTCAGCAAAGTCTCAGGATACAAAATCAATGTACGAAAATCACAAGCATTCTTATACACAAATAACAGACAAACAGAGAGCCAAATCATGAGTGAACTCCCATTCACAATTGCTTCAAAGAGAATAAAATACCTAGGAATCCAACTTACAAGGGATGTGAAGGACCCCTTCAAGGAAAACTACAAACCACTGCTCAATGAAATAAAAGAAGATACAAAGAAATGGAAGAACATTCCATGCTCATGGGTAGGAAGAATCAATATCGTGAAAATGGCCATACTGCCCAAGGTAATTTATAGATTCGATGCCATCCCCATCAAGCTACCAATAACTTTCTTTACAGAATTGGAAAAAACTACTTTAAAGTTCATATGGAACCAAAAAAGAGCCTGCATCGCCAAGTCAATCCTAAGCCAAAAGAACAAAGCTGGAGGTATCATGCTACCTGACTTCAAACTATACTACAAGCCTACAGTAACCATAACAGCATGGTACTGGTACCAAAACAGAGATATAGACCAATGGAACAGAACAGAGCCCTCAGAAATAATGCTGCCTATCTACAACCATTTGATCTTTGACAAACCTGACAAAAACAAGAAATGGAGAAAGGATTCCCTATTTAATAAATGGTGCTGGGAAAACTGGCTAGCCATATGCAGAAAGCTGAAACTGGATCCCTTCCTTACACCTTTTACAAAAATTAATTCAAGATGGATTAATGACTTCAATGTTAGAGCTAAAACCATAAAAACCCTAGAAGAAAACCTAGGCAATACCATTCAGGACATAGGCATGTGCAAGGAATTCATATCTAAAACACCAAAAGCAATGGCAACAAAAGCCAAAATTGACAAATGGGATCTAATTCAACTAAAGAGCTTCTGCACAGCAAAGGAAACTACCATCAGAGTGAAGAGGCAACCTACAGAATGGGAGAAAATTTTTGCAACCTACTCCTCTGACAAAGGGCTAATATCCAGAATCTACAATGAACTCCAACAAATTTACAAGAAAAAAACAAACAACCCCATCAAAAAGTGGGCGAAGGATATGAACAGACACTTCTCAAAAGAAGACATTTATGCAGCCAAAAAACACATGAAAAAATGCTCACCATCACTGGCCATCAGAGAAATGCAAATCAAACCACAATGAGATACCATCTCACACCAGTTAGAATGGCAATCATGAAAAAGTCAGGAAACAACAGGTGCTGGAGAGGATGTGGAGAAATAGGAACACTTTTTCACTGTTGGTGGAAATGCAAACTAGTTCAACCATTGCAGAAGACAGTGTGGCGATTCCTCAGGGATCTAGAACTAGAAATACCATTTGACCCAGCCATCCCATTACTGGGCATATACCCAAAGGATTATAAATCATGCTGCTATAAAGACACATGCATATATATGTTTATAGCGGCACTATCCACAATAGCAAAGACTTGGAAGCAACCTAAATGTCCAACAACAATAGACTGGATGAAGAAAATGTGGCACATATACACCATGGAATACTATGCAGCCATAAAAAGTGATGAGTTCATGTCCTTTTTAGGGACATGGATGAAACTGGAAACCATCATTCTCAGCAAACTATCGCAAGGACAAAAAAACAAACACTGCATGTTCTCACTCATAGGTAGGAATTGAACAATGAGAACACATGGACACAGGAAGGGGAACATCACACACAGGGAACTGTTGTTGGGTGGGGGGAGTGGGGAGGGATAGCACTACGAGATATACCTAATGCTAAATGAGTAGTTAATGGGCGCAGCACACCAACATGGCACATGTATACATATGTAACAAACCTGCACGTTGCGCACATGTACCCTAAAACTTAAAGAATAATAATAATAAAATAAATAAATAAATAAATAAACTTTGACATACTACACATTCATGTTGCCAGGTTGGTAGGAACTGTTGAGTTTTATAAACTTTCATGGACCACACATCAAACAGATGTTTATTGAGTCCCATCTATCTGCTAGGAAATGTCCTGAAATTTGAGGAAATGAACAAAACAGCTAGAACTATATTCCAGCAGATGGAGGCAGGCAAATAAAATTGCAAATCCACGTGGAATCATATCTATGGATAAAAGTAAAGCCAGGCAAGGGGAGAGAAAGTTGTTAAGTGATGTTTAATCAGAACTCCAAACAGATAGAAGCAGCATGAAATCTTCTAGTAAAGAGCATTCTGAGTGGGGCAAACAGCACGTGCAAAGCCCCCGAGGTTGGAACGTGCTTAATATGTTTGAGGCATTGTATGGGAGCCAGAGCAGCTAAATCAGAGTGAATGAGGGGATCAATGAGGAATAGGAAGGCCAACAGGATAAGCGGGTAAGGTAGGATTTTGGCTCCAGCCCCATCAATCTTATTGTTACTGCTTAAACCTTGTTCTCACCTCTGGGCCCCTGCCCTTCATCTTCACTGGAAAATGATTCTACGAGATTTTCAGATGATTTATTCCCTCATTTCTTTCAAATGCCACCCTCAGGTGCCATCTCTTCAGTGATGCCTCTCCTCTGCTCACTTTCTTTCTTCCTTGCTTCATTATCAGTAGTATTATTGCTGTTATTATTTAGCATTCATTTAAGGCCAATGGTCTGTCTTCTCCATAAAATGTAAGCTCCATAAGGGCAGGAACTTTCACCATTTTGTTTTGTTCATAGCTTTTGGCTCAGTGCCTTGTACACATAATAATTATCCCCCTATGTTTGTTAAATAAACATGAATGAAGGCTATCATTGTATGAAAAATAATAGAAAATTGATTAAATCTATAAATAGTCATGAGAAAGGGGATTAAGGCAAAATATTTAGAAGAAAATAGTTTGAATCCTGAAGTATGTAATAGATATGTCAACTATAAAGTAAAGAGAGGGTAATACAAATTAGAAAAGAAACAGAAACAAACTGTCGAAACCTTGAAAAATTATGTTTCATCAGAGTGAGTTATTTGGACTGGCTTCCTGAGAGGGACTGTGAAGGAATAATCAAAGACGGGCTAGAAAGTTATTAGAAACTCAGTCATTGGAAGTCTTATATTCTACAATAAAAAAATCTAGATTGATTAGGTTCTGCAGTAAAGAGTCCTGGTTTCTGAGAGCAGAGTACTTAGAAATACAAATGGTGTTTATAACAGAATGTTGTAGTGTCACAATCGAAGCAGGGAGTAAAAGGTGGATGCTATTTTTGGACACACTTGCAATGGTACCAATGAGATGTAATTGCAGAAATTTAAAGCTAGGAAAGCCTCTTAAGCATTGCTTAGCCTGAAATTTTCGTTTTACAGGTGAGGAAAATGGGTTTCTTAAGCGATGCTTAGATATTTAGCTGGGTATGGTAACTTGAGACATGGGAGGGACAGGAAAGTGTTAAAGGGGAATAAAAGAACAATGATTAGAACCAGCTGAGAGCAACTCTGTGCACTAGCTAGCAAGAGCATCTGATATTTACAAAAAATACATCTCTCAGAAGAGTCATATATATTGGAAATAAAATAATGCCGATTTGGAAGAAGAATTGTTCTTAAGGATCCTGTGTCAGGGTCACCCAGAAAATTTGCTTTCTGATAAGCAATGGAAGTGTATTATCTAATTTCATGACGGCTAATTTCCTGATTCAGAGCTTTCTGGCAAATACAAGATACCATCACGTACAGAGCGAATGCAACGTTTGCTGTTTGTGTTAGGCTAAGAAGCATACTCTTCTCACGGGAGATGAGTTCAGAAATTTCTCATTCATGAACAGTGGCAGTCTAATTACCATGTTTCTTTTTTAACACTGCTTCTTTGAACTATCCTATGAGCAAAAGAAAGAATGTAAGAGAGATATCCTGGAAGTTCAGCATTTTCTTTGGTAACAGGTGTAAGAATGAATTTAAGTGATGTAGGTATTCTTCCTCATTTTATGGTCACACATTGTCAAAGTAGTCATTCTAGGTGTCTGTAAATCACGTACAGGGAAGCTCCTTTTTTGGTGTAACTTAAAGAGGTCCTAACATCATTTTTTATTGTTTTATTAAAATTTTTTTTGAGATAGAGTTTCTCTCTTGTTGCCTAGGCTGGAGTGCAATGGCACAATCTTGGCTCATTGCAACCTCCACCTCCCAGGTTCAAGGGATTCTCCTGCCTTAGCCTCCACAGTAGCTGGGATTACAGGTATATGCCACTATGCCCGGCTAATTTTTGTATTTTTAGCAGAGACGGGGTTTCACTGTGTTGGTCAGGCTGGTGTTGAACTCCTGACCTAAGGTGATCCGCCCTCCTCAGCCTCCCAAAGTGCTGGGATTACAGGCATGAGTCACCGCACCTGACCCCATCATTTTTATTGTGTATGACATTTGGTTATAGATTGGGTGACCCTATATCCAGGTTTGTCTGGGACAGTTCCAGTTTATACCTTTTGTCCTGCTATTATGATTAACAGCTCCTCAGCTTTTCACTCTCAAAAGTGTTCTAGTTTGGATAATGAATTATATGGTTGTTGGAGTCTACAGATGTTCCCAACTGCTCTGTAGCTCACCAGCGGTCTTGTCCTGACTTTTAATTACAGGCCATTTATCTCTCCTACTCCATGTCTCTCACATATAAAAATCTGACCTTTAATTATGCAAGTCTTTTTCCAATAAAAATAGTAGAAATGACTCTAATTAATTGAAGTTGGTAGAGGGCTGTGGTGGGAGGAGATGGGAATAATTAACGGGTACAAAAATAGAATAAATAAGGTATACTATTTGATAATACAACAGAGTGACTATGTCAATAATAATTGTACATTTTAAATAATTATACATTTTAAAGTAAGTAAGGGAGTGTAATTGGATTGTTTGGAACACAAAGAATAAATGCTTGAGGGAATGGATACCCTATTCTCCATGATGGGATTATTTCTCATTGCATGCCTGTCTCAAAACATCTCATGTACCTCAAAAACATATACAACTACTATGTACCCACAAAAATTAATACATTTTTAAAAATTGAAGGCATATATTTTTTTCTGGCATAAATTGTTTCCAACAGTGAATAAAAGGAAAGCAAATGATCTTTATCCTTAGCATACTGGGTATGAGAACTCACTAGATGAAATCTGACTTGAGAGAGCAATCTCTAGACATGCATGTGGCCAACAGGCCTATGAAAAAAGCTCAACATCACTGATCATCAGAGAAATGCAAACAAAACTCAGTGAGATACCGTATTACATCAATCATAATGGCTGTTATTAAAAAGTCAAAAAATAACCGATGCTGGCAAGGTTATGGAGAAAAAGGAAGGCTTACACACTATGGGTGGGAATGAAAATTTAGTCCAGCCACTGTGGAAAGCAGTTTGGAGGTTTCTCAAAGAACTTAAAGCAGAGCTACCATTTGACCCAGCAATCCCATGACTGGGTATATATCCAAAAGAAACTAAAACATTCTACCATAAAGATAGCTGCGTTCATATGTTCATTGCTCCACTATTCATAATACCAAAGACATGGAATCAACTCAGGTGCCCATCAATTGTGGGTTGGATAAAGAAAAAGCCATAAAAAAGAACAATATCATAGCCATTGCAGCAACATGGATACAGCTGGAGGCCATTATCCTAAATGAATTAATGCATAAACAGAAAACCAAATACCACAGGTTCTCACTTATAAGTAGGAACCAAACATCGGGTACACATGGACATAAAGATGGCAACAATAGACACTGGGGACTACTAGATGGAGAAAGGAAGTGGGGCCAGGGCTGAAAAACTAACTATTGAGTCCTATGCTCACTACCTGGGTGACAGAAGCATTCATATCCCAAACCTCAATGTCACACAATACACCCACGTAATAAACCCGCACATGCATCCCCTGAACCTAAAATAAAAGTTGAAAGAAAAGAAAAACAGTCTCTAAGTTGGTTTTAACACTTCAGGCTTTTCATAGTAGGTGGGTACGCAGAACATCCTAGGTCAGTTGTTTCTTCTGCCCAGTAATTTAGGGTGTACATCAAGAAACACCATAGCTGGGAGAAATAAAGATGCTATGATATATTATCGAAAAGCAGTGAGTGAATGATTTCTCTAAAGATTTTGAAGTAAAAGATGAATAGCTGTTTTTCAGCAATCTTTTGAATGGTACGTGTGGGAGTGATAACAAAGGAGAATCTTTGACGTTTTGTTACAACATATATAATTACATGTCACGCACTTTCAATGTCAATCAACGTTGAAACCCTCTCTGAAGGTGAATGATTGTTTTGTCTTGAGACCTCCTAGACAAAAAATGTAAAACTTTCCTAAGAATTTCTTGTGCTTTAGCACCTCTGTAGTTTTTCATTTGGCTCATCAGGAATCATTTTTTCTTCTTGTTTTATTTGTTTACTTTTATGTATATGTATTTATGGGGTACAAGTGCAATGTTGTTGCATGCATAGATTGCATGGTGGTGAAATCAGGGCTTTTAGAGTATTCACCACCCAAATACTGCATATTGTATCCATTAAGCAATTTCTCATCATCCACCTCATTTCCGCTCCCTCAACATTTTGAGTCTCCGGTGTCTACCATGCTGTACTCTATGTCCATATGTACACATGATTTAGCTCCCACTTATATGTGAGAACATGCAAGATTTGTCTTTCTACGTCTGAGTTGTTTCTATCACAATAATGGCCTCTAGTTCCATCTGTGTTACTGCAAAAGATATGATTTTATTCTCTCTTTATGGCTGAATAATATTCCATTATGTCTATATACAAATTTTCTTTATCCAATCATCAGAAAAATCTCTCACTCTCTTTAGGTCAGTTTTATTGTCTTGACTTTACAATGATAATTAAAAACCTTTCATTTCTTTTCTCATTGAAATCCTTTATATTTTGAAACCAATTCTGATTTATTCGTTAGCCTTCTCTTTTTGAGGCTAACCTATAAAAATCCTTTATTTTCTCCTATCATTGTTAAGACAAGGAATCCCTTAGTAAGTCTATTGGATTCCATCTTCTGTCAAGGAATCACTGCCTAATCTGGATACAATATTATATTTACTAATTACAGATGCTTCCCACCTGTTTAGTATATGCATGGTGTTCAATGCCTGTAAGTAATTCTTGGATGAATGAATGCTGAGGCTCTTGTAAGTACCTGTCATAAGGTAAAACACTATATAATTATGTCTTGCACTTTACATCTTATTAAAATTTTGATATCCTTTTCTAATGAGTCTCCAATGCTGGCCTTGTAGTTAACACATGGCTAAATTAGATCACACAAAGATTTCCTGTTAATTTTTAACCTTGTAACCAGCAAGCCTTCTTCCTTCTTGTATTTAAATTTGCCCGTTTAGAGAAGAGCATAATTTACTTTGATGGCATCACTCTGATTAATAAATTATGTTTCAGTATATATTGTAATTTTCATAAACTCAGCTTTCATTTCATTCTATAGATGACTCAAAGGAAAAACAAATATTTGTCAGATTAATAAATGGATGAAATAAATATCCAACAATATTTAAAGTACCTCTGTGGAGAGAAATTACAAATGGGATTCAAACCAAATAAAAACATCTTCTTGAGAGTCCACATCCTTTTGGAGGAAAAGTGGGCAGATTCCATAGATTCTCACATCAGAAGGGTAGAAAGGAGGGGAAGGGAAAGGGAAAATGAGTAATAGCTACAATTTTTTTTTAGTACTTATAGTTTACATATACCTTTTAATTCTCTTAATGCTTCCATTAACTACATATTACAATCCTCATTTTACAGGTGAGAAAACAGAAGCTCCAGAAATTAATTAGTCCTCCCCAGCTATAACTGCTGGTAAGCAGTACTTTGTATGAAGCCGATGTTCTCAAACTGTGTCTTGCTGCCATCCATCAATTGCAACAGCCCGGAGTTGTCATAATAGCAGCAGTACTTTAAAATTTGGACAGCAATTTGAACTATAGACAAAAGTCACTATAGCCTATAATGGACTGATACAACAAAAACTTCCACAAAGGACACATTGGACATGGTTAGGGAAGAAAGGACATGAATCAAAACAGAAGTGGAGTTTTTTTGTTTCAACACATAGACATTTCTCAATTTCCTCACACAAATGGAAGCCACTTATGGGCTATAAAATTCAAAAAACATATCACACATGCACATGCATGCTTATAGCAGCACAACTCGCAATTGCAAAGATATGGAACCAACCTAAGTGCCCATCAACCAACGAGTTGATAAAGAAAATGTGGTATATACACACCATGGAATACTCCTCAGCCATAAAAAGGAACAAAATAATGCTTTTTGCAGGAACCTGGATGGAGCCGGAGGCTATGTTTCTAAGTGAAGTGTAATAACTCAGGAATGGACAACCAAATATTGTATGTTCTCACTCATAAGTGGGAGCTAAGCTATGAGGATGCAAAGGCATAAGAATGATAAAATGGACTTTGGGGACTTCGGGGAGGTGGGGATGGGGATGAGGGATAAAAGTCTACACATTGGGTATAGTCTACACTGCTTGGGAGATAGGTGGATCCAAATCTCAGAAATTACCACCAAAGAACTTATCCATGTGCCCCCAAAACCACCCATACCCCAGAAATTATTGAAATAAAAATAAAAAATAATTATTAAAACCAAACCAAAACAAACCAAAATATGACACTGTGGTACATAAATAGTTTGGTTTAAATTGGATTCAGTTTAAGATTTTTGATATTAGAATTAAATATAGTTTCCTTTCTGATATAACAGAAAGTGTAAATACCTCAAACAAACAAGATGATGAAGGCAGCTTATGAATAAGTAACACAAAAATCCTCCCAAATAATTTCACCTATCAGGGTCTTTTTTCTAGAGCCAGTGTGCATAGAAGAATACCTCAACTTGACTGGTTAGAATAAGCCTTATGTCCAAATACACGTGTTTTCATCTATATTTGTTGATTGTGCCCTTCTTGAATTGGGGTGAAAGAAAGATCGTAGATGACTTCTTGCTCCATAGCCAAATATATGGAGAAGTAAAAATAAAAAAAGAATTTATTGGATAAACAGATGATGATCATTATATCAATAGAAATTGGAAAAGAAGCTTTGATGTAATTTATTCATTCACCCAATTCACTGTATTCTGAGTTTAGAAAAATAGTACAAGATAAAAATTATTTCAATATATAATCATTCCCTCCAGAAACTTAAAATAACATTAAACAGTAGCTTAAAAGAGCCCATAAATATGTTCTAAAGAGAGAAAAGAATCAAAGTACAAGAGGAAGTTGAGTCCAAAAGAAGACATATGTGTGGGAAGATGGAATCACTCCAGACACTCAGCACTGAGGAAGGACACTTGAGCTGCACACCTCAATGATTTGCAAAGATCAGAGCTGCTTATTGGGGATTTAATCTAGCCTGCAGGTATGTTTTCTTTAGCTAACTCAATTTTTTTTAAACATTTTAAATTAGTTTTACATATTTAAAAATTAGGAAACTGCACACCAAATTCCAGTGTCCCAGCTTCTCTTAAAAAATTATAAGATCCAGTCACTCTGGGTCTGCATTTTGTCATGGCCTGGAGCTGTAGCATTGGAGTTTGTCACCTGGGTGTAGAAATAACAGAAAAGCAGGTGCAGTGATAAGCACGAAGGAAATTCGCCAGGGGCCTTCAGACTAATCTGACTAGGACACAGGGCTTTCAGGGAGAAAACTTTGAAAAGATCAGTTGGAACCAAACTAAAGGCATTTGGAAGTTAAAGGCAGGCAATTTGGATTTATCTGAAAGGTTCTTCCCACTATGTCCCCATAGATTATTCTTATTTTATGACTTGAGCTGAAGTTTCTGAGGTTAAAATCAAATAATGTCAGAATTTTTCAACTTGTTCAAAACATAATTAATAGGGACTTTTCTTCACCCCATTTTTTTTTTGCAATTTTTCTATCCAAAATACTTTTCTTGAAATTTGGCACCCACTGCTTGTGTTCATCTGCTAGCAAATGTTAGTCCATGTCAATATGTGAAGATAGCCAAGGATGATTTATTCCAAAATATAGACTTAGTTGATTGCGTTTAGTCTAACAGCTTTTGCTTTCTTGAGATCTTTCCCTTAGAGTTTATATTTTATAGTACATATCACACAGTCTGTTAAAAAATATTGCTTCTAATTTGAATAATTAACATTTCATAGTTTTCTGTGAACAGCACGGTATTTATCTAAAGGAGAGAGAAGGATATAAGATTTTTGAGCCTCTATCAAGTGCCAGGTGTTGTGCTAAATGCTCTATATGTAATATCTGATTTTATTCTCTCCACAAATGCTTCAGATTAGGGGACAAAGTCTCCAAGAGGACATGCACTCTACCCAAAGATGCATAGATAGCTACTAAGGGCAGGATCGGGATTTAACCTCAGGCATGTCTGAAGCTAAAGTACTTGCTTTTTTTTTTTTTTTTTTTTTTTTTAATTTATGACATTCCTGGAGCAACGTGACTTAGTTATTCTTGAACTTGAATACATTTGAGAATCATGACTGTAGGCAATTGGGAGCCACTGACTGTCTTTGTTCCTTATTGTGTGTGCATTTTTTGTTGTTGTTGTTAAATAATCCAGTATCCTGTATTTTGAAAGGGTGGATTTGGTATTGCAGTGTAGGATTGGTAACACAGAACAACTGAGGCAGGAATACTGACACATTGAAGATAAATGGTGCCCAAAGACAATGCAATGCATTTGCGCTGTCTCTCCCTATCTGGTGTTGATATTTGCCCAGACATGAATAAATACAGAAATAATATTAGGGACACTTTTATATGTTTCATGGACAACAAACATAAAGTTAGTAACTCAGTACAAAATTGCAATAAAAACATTCTCTGGCATCTTTTGACAGCCTCATAAATTGGTGCCCATAGAATGTGTATACTTCTCAATATCACTTTTGCTTCACCTCTGAGCCAGCAGACCAATTAGGAGGCAGTTAGATTAGATGTGTAAGGAAACAGAGCTGGCTTAGGATGCTAGCACTAATTTTAAAAAAAGAAAAGAAAAAGGATGGGAGTGTAGTAGTCTAAATAATGGCCCCCCAAATATGTTCATACCCTACTCCCTGGCTCCTGTGAATATAACCTGATATGGCAAAAGGGACTTTACAAATGTGATTAATTTAAGGATTTTGAGATGGAACAGTTTAGCTTGCATTACCCAGGTGGGCCTAAGATAACTACAATGGTCCTTATGAGAGGGACACATGAGAAGCCAGAGGAGATGGTGATGGGATGTCAGAAGCAGAGATTGTAGTGATGCACTTTGTCAATGGAGGAAGGGGCCAGGATCCAAAGAATGCAGATGGCCACTAGATTATGGAAAAGGCAAGGAATTGGATTCTTCAGAAGGAGCCAGTCCTGCCAACACCTTAACTTTAGCCCAGTGAAACTGATAATGGTTTTATTCTTCTTTATTTTGTATGTATATATAAAGTATTTTTAAAAACCAATTCTGAGTGATGGAGAGAATGATGTCACCAACAATAGAAAAATGGAGATTTCTCAGTGGGAAAATTGGTACACATCTACATTGCTTAAGGTACATGTTATTCATCACCTGTGTTGTACTTATTAAACTCATTTATAGTAGAGACTTAATTATCATTCCCAGGAAGTTTGTGTGGATGACAATTATATGTAAGAATTTGAAGTACTTACTATATGCCAGACACTGGGTTATGCGCCTGACCAGCATTTTCTCACAACTTCCTGACCACCTAAGGAAGTGTTGTTGACAGAGAACCTAACACAGTCATCAGAAGTCAAGGTGTCAGAGCTGCCTACCTGGGTTCAAATCTTTGCTCTATCACACAGTACTCGGACCTCAGACAAATGACCTGATTTTTGTGAATCTCCGTTTCCTCATCTGAAAAAAATAGAATGGTGATAATAGTAGTTATCTATCTGATATAGTTTGGCTGCATCCCCACCCAAATCTCATACTGAATTGTAGCTCCCACAATTCCCACGTGTTGTGGGAGGGACCCAGTGGGAGGTAATTGAATCATGGGGGCAGGTCTTTCCTGTGCTGTTCTCGTGATAGTGAATAAGTCTCATGAAATCTGATGGTTTTATAAAGGGGAGTTTCCCTGCACAAGTTCTCTTCTCTTGTCTACCACCATGAGAGATGTGCTTTCATCTTACACCATGATTGAGAGGCCTCCGCAGCCACGTGGAACTGCGAGTCCATTAAACCTCTTCCTTATGTAAATTGCCCAGTCTCAGGTATGTCTTTATCAGCAGTGTGAAAATGGACTAATACACTATCTCATAGAGATGTTATAAATAATGAATGAACTTGTGCAAAACGCTTTTAACAGTATCCAACACGTTGTAAAAATAATGATAAATAAATGATTATTTATTTATTAATAAAAATAAATTAATGAGTTAGTTCTCTTAGTATAATGGCTCTCCTAAGTGTTTCTCCCTTATAAAGGAATCTAAAAATCTTCCAAGCTGCAAATCAGGAGCTATTATTTTGGTCTTTTTCTTCTCCTGGGGCAGCTACCTCCTGAGGTTGTAAACAGCATCAGACCAGGTGGAAATTAGATGTACTAGGATATGAGTTGAGGTTCCTGAATCAATATCACATTATGGTCCTAGAGGCAAGAAGGCAAGAACTTGTCTCATTCCACTAGTAAATCCTTGGGTGTTCTTAAAGCTGCCAATCATAAACTAAACTTTGTAAAAATCATCTGGAGTGATTATAGCATCAGTTCCTTTTCATTCTAAATTAGTAATAAATTTTAATATTATAAAAAAGTTGAAGAACCTGAGACTTACAGAATTAATCAAGGCCATACAACTAGTAAATGGTAGATAGGACAGGAATGTCAACTCAGGCAGGCTGGGTGAATGCCAGTAGATAGAGCTAATTCAATTAATAATCAATAAATCTAGTGTGGACAAACTACACAAATCAGGATTTTTAAAAAATCCTTTGGACCAAATTACTTTCCTTGTTTGCTGACGTGAAAAATCTTTTTTTTGCCTACTATGTTGTGTTTGATCAGTTAGACACACTGTATTTTCTTGATTCATTTAGAAGAACAGAAAAATGGTGACCCATAACCTGCTGAAAAATATACGTAAAAACTCACCATTATTGTTAAATAACTTTCATTGTATTCCTCTACTATAGAGAGAAAAATTGGAAGGATCCTCATATATCTCTACAGGGCAGTAAAAAATGAGTTCATGCTATTTTGACCTTTCCTATAGCAACTAATAATAGTTAAAATTAATGTTGGGAACTGTTCGTTATTTTTATCAAAAATAATATCTGCTCCTGAGTTCCTTCTGCTTTTTCCATGCAGTATGAGGAACTGGCCAAGGTCAGAATTATCAAGCCACATAGTATGTGCAAAAAGAATCTTGATTATCTGATAATTAACACTGATATTAAAGACTTAGTTAATTTGTGTGCTCTTTTGAGTTATTATGGGAATATTGCTCAAACTAGATATGTTTGAGTAAAACTAGCTTTTCATTTTGAATTAAAGCAGGATTAGATTCCAATCCACAGAGTTTTTATGATTATGTTTTAGTTTGTAAAAAATTTCATTTTTGTGAGGCAGATACATGTTGAAGAAATTCAGATACCATTTTAAACTCACTTCAAGTAGCACAAGTCACATTTTTCTTTAACGGATTAAAAGAGCTGTGTGTATTTATTTCCCCATCATCCCCAACATACACACAAATATCCATATCAAATCAAATGGTTAACTAGCTGTTGGTGTTGCAGAGACTTGAAAAATAATATAAAGCCTGTAGGTAGAAATGAAAAACCATAGCTCTATGGATACTTATTCCAACATTGTCTTCAATCAACCATCATTTGACCTTCTTCTTGTTATAGTAGTTTTCAAGGCAATATAGTATCGGTTTCTTTTCATTCTGCAATCTCTCCACGTGATTTTTACAAACTTTAGTTCATGATTGACAGCTTTAAGAACACCCAAGGATTTACTACTGGAATGAGACAAGTTCTCACCTTCTTGCCTCTAGGACCATAATGTGATATTGATTCAGGAACCTCAACTCATATCCTAGTACATCTAATTTCCACCTGGTCTGATGCTGTTTACAACCTCAGGAAGTAGCTGCCCCAGGAGAAGAAAAAGACCAAAATAATAGCTCTTGATTTGCAGCTTGGAAGATTTTTAGACTCCTTTATAAGGGAGAAACACTTAGGGGAGCCATTATTCTAAATGAAATATCTCAGAAACAGAAAATCAAATATTGCATGTTCTCACTTACAAGGGGGAGCTAAACAATGGGTACCCATGGACATACAGACTGGAATAATTAACACTGGAGACTCCAAAAGGTGGGAGAGTGGGAGGGAGGGCCAGGGCTGAACAATTACCTGTTGGTTACAATGTTCACTATTGGGGTGATAGTTGCAGTACAAGACCAGACTTCACCACCGTGCAATATATGAATGTAAGAAAGAAACCTGCATTGGTACCCCCTAAATATACAAAAATTTTAAAAATGAAAAATTAAAGAACGGAATCATCAGATATCCCCACTAACTAAAATTGTCCAGCCAGTGGGTAGAGGGTGGAGAGAGGGCAAATGTGCTTTCCCTTGGAGTTTCGTTTTGGTGCTGGTGTTTGGAAGTTACGGAGGATGCTTATCTGTTCCTGCACATCCCATTGTCTCTCTCGGGGGAGGGTATTGTATGCACTCTTCATTAAGAGAAGCTGCGGTAAAGAGGTTTTTATTGCTAAGGGAATGCTTCTTAAACGATAAGCACAGAATTTTCAGCTGCTGATTAGTGAGAGCAACGATAAGTTGAAGACTTTAATGTTTCTTATTTACTACTGCAGTAATGAAACCAGAGCTGTGGAAAATATCTCTAATAACCTCCTCTTTTCCTCGAACCGTACCTGAAAAAAGGGGCTCCAAAAGAACTTTGCCAGCAAGTATAAGACACATGAATATTTCAGATGAAGGGAAACAAATTACTAATGTGACTTAGGAGTGAAGCACAATAGTTGCTAATGAAGTCAGTCAGGTGACAATCTAAAGAGATGTTTTATAATCAATCTTATTTCCATTTCTCTTCCCTAATGCATTTGCCTGTTCCTTTCACCTTTTTATACAGACATGTGTTGCTTAATAACAGGGACACGTAGTGAGAAGTGTGCCATTAGGCAATTTCATCGTTTTGCAAACATCATAGATTGTACTTACGCAAAGCCTTCTACACACCTACACTATATCATATAGCCTGTTGCTTCTAAGGCTACAAACTTGCACAGCAGGTTACTGTACTGAATACTGTAGGCAGCTGTAACACAATGGTGAGTGTTTGTATATCTAAACATAGAAAAAGTACAGTACAAATACAGTATAAAATATTTTAAAAAGGTATCCCAATTAAGGCACCCCTATAAGTGTCCTATATGGGGGTACTTATGAATGGAGCTTGCAGGACTGGAAGTTGCTCTGGGTGAGTAAGTGAGTGAGTGGTGAGTGAATGGGAAGGCCTAGGACATTACACTATTGTAGACTCTATACACACTACATTAGGCTACAATAAATTTATTTAAAAATATTCTTTCTTAAATAATAAATTAACCTTGGCTTAGTATAACTTTTTAACTTTATAAACTCTTCAATTTTTAAAACTTTTGATTCTTTTGTGATAGCACTTAGCTTAAAATGCAAACCTATTACACAGCTGTACAAGATATTTTCTTTATATTGTCATTCCATAAGCTTTTTGCCATTTTTAAAATATTTTATTTTTTAAACATTTTGTTAAAAATTAAGACACAAACACACAGCGTGGAGCTGCCATCTGTTATAACAGTGCTTTCTTCTTCTGGAAGATCTCCTAAGAGACCCGCCTGAAGCTCTTTTTGTGAACAGTCACTCTTTCCGGAAATATGTCCATGGTGGTTTGTTTGATTGGCTTCTCTTTTTTTCTGTCATACATTCGCCTGTAAGCAGATAATGCACCATGAATGTTCTCTATTAATGAAAACATTTTGATGTTGGGATCCATGTTTTCAAACTTTCAAGGAATTTGTTGAGGTCTGCAAAAGCTTCTGCTAAATTCGTCATTGTGAATTTTCATGAGGTTCTTCTTTATCTTCTCATGTGCTTTTCTTCTCTTTGGCCTCTCTTTTCAGCTGTGTATTCCTGTTCCAGTTCCAACAACTCCTCATTAGTCAATTCATCAGGAACCACCTTTATTTGTGAGCTCCTCAATTTCATCCTCATTTACAGCTAGCTTAATAAAATTGTTTGCCATCTCAACCACACAGCCTTATTGATTTTTGCACCCTCCTCATCCTTTGCAAAATACTTTGAAGTCATGAACAAACCTCTTGAATATCTTCTTCCAAATGCCATTTACACACTCCTTGGTGACATTATGCCAAGCTCATGCAAGTTCCTGAGGCAATTATATATGTCATAATCCCTCCAAAATTGCATCAGTGTCTTCTGATTGTCCAATGGAGAAACACTACTTCCATACTGGGATGAAGATCACCAATAAAGGAGGATGTGTGAGGATTATCAACAATAAGCAAAATCTTGAAAGTTCCCATTTGTGCTTCTCCATTTCTCTGGCATAGCAATTTGAGAGGGCACTTAGGAGAGGACGTGGGTCATTCATGACTTCTTATTATTCCTGTAGTCCACTGCCAGTGGGTGCCTACTTATATACTTGAAGACCTGGGGTTCTCACTGTGCCATATCACAAAAGAATTCAATTTATAGCCTGCTCCACTGCTCCCAATCAAGACTGTTATCCTGTCCTTAAGAGCCTTGAAACCCAATATTGACTTTCCCTCTTTACAGATGAAAATATTTTCAGGCAGCCTTTTCCAGAATAGAGAAATTTTATTCCTACTGAAGATTTGCTCTGGCAAGTAATTTTCCTCCACAATTAACTTACTTACAGTTTCTAAAAATTCTTCAGCTGCCTTCACATTATCTCTTGCAAACTCACCATTCACTTTTACATTAGGTAATAATAATAATTCTTGAAATATTTATATCATCCAGAGCTTGCAGCAAATTCAACATTGTAATGGGGTTCGGCCTTTTTTTTCAACATCCCAGGCAAACTTTTTCTTTGACCATAATTGTCACAATGCCGTGAGAAATACACCTGTGTGTCTGGTGTTCATTCCAGGTCGTTAGCAGTTTCTCCATGTCTGATGTAGGCCCTTCTTAAAATTGTGTTAGTCTCTTTGCCTTCAATGAAGCAGATCCTCTAACAGCTTCCATCATTTTGTTCTTGTTCTTCCAGATTATAGTTACAGTGGAATGGGACATGTCTGACTGGCAAGCAATAACCATCACTGACTTTCTACCTTTGTAGTCCTTACTTCACTTTTAATTTCATTTCGAAATCAGTCACTTGATGTGGTCTTTTGCTGGCAACATTAGCAATGGATTTTGTATGCTTAGGGGCCATGTTGAACAAAGCAACATGAGTTTAAAATATGCAGAAGAGAAAATGATGCAATCAGCAAGCATGGTAAACACAAGATGTATGAGGCTGCTGCTGGTGTAAAACAGCATACTGTTTCACAGTAAACCTATTTTTTATAATTTGAAGGAGTACATTGTAAAATCACGATAAAAAGTATAGTATAATAAATACATAAACCAGTAAGATAGTCACTTATTATCATTATCAAGTATCATGTAGTGTCCATAATTGTATGTGCTATACTTTTTTATGACTGGCAGCATAGTAGGTTTGTTTGTACCAGCATTACTATAATCACATGAGTAATGTGTTGCTTTATGATGTTATGACAGCTACAGCATCACTAGATGTCTTTGTTTTGTGTTGCTATAACAATCTTTGAGGCTTGGTGATTTATAAAGAAAAGGTTTATTTGGCTCACAGTTCTGCAGGCTGGGAAGTTCAAGGGCATGGCTCTGGATTCTGGTGAGGGCTTTCATGGTGCATCTAAACATGGCAGAGGTCAAAGGAGAAGTAGATATGACCAAGGAGAAACAGCAAAGGCTTTATAAAAACTCACTCTTCAGGAACTAATACAGTCCCATGAGAACTAACCTAGTCTTGCCAAAGTGATAGCTCAATCACTACCACAAGAACAGTACTGAGCCATTCATTGGAGATGTGCCCCCATGACCCAACACCTCCCACTAGGGCCCACCTCCCAACACCACCACACTGGGGATCAAATTTCAACATGAGTTTTGGTGGAGATAAACAAACCATAACCAAACCATAACACTAAATGTTAGGAATTTTTCAGATCCATTATAATCTTATGGGAACACAGTCATATATGTGGTCCATAATTAACCAAAACATCATTATATGGTACATGACTGTGTCTATTTGTGTTGTAGGCAAATTCTCCATAGTGTTTATAAAACTTTTGTTCTGTTTACATAGCAGATGGCCTCAGAAGGAAGAGATCTGTCCTCTGGGTCAGAAGGCTTACTTGTCTCATGACTAGTATAATAAATACTATGCCTCTCTCTGGGGCAATGCTTGGGCAGGTTTGCTTGCAGACCACTTTATAAGATTCAAGCATTCCTACACTTAGAATTCCTCAGCTGTGACACAGACCCTCTTGTATACACAGCAGGTATGTGGACCTGCCTCTTCATTGCCCCTGTGGAACATGAGGGACAAGAGGAGCCAAATGTGGACCTGAAGCTCATGCTGTCTGCTGTGCTGAGAATGAAAACACCCTTCCTCTCTGACCTTGGGGTCTCATATCTCCTAACATCTATGAAACAGTGGAAGGCTAACTTTTTAGCTTGAAAAGAGAGTAGAATTTCAGAACCTTTTCTATTTTATTGTCTTTGTTCTTGTTATACATTATTCATCTTTCCCTGATTTTAGGATGGAAGTTGGTATGTTGACTACCCTTTGCTAAAGAACTCAAGGCACTCTTAGGTCCCTTAAAATGAAGGGTGACAACTAGAGGGTAGTGATGGTGTAAGTGGAAAACTTCAAACATGATTGTGTTAGGAATAAGTATTAATAGAATACGTAGAACCAAGTGGAAATTTCTCAACAAGCCAGAGCAGTAGTAAGCCCCACCCTTCCTTCCTGTAACAAAATAGATGATGATTATCTCTTATAAATGGACCATTGCAATGCTGTAAAATACTAAGAAGAATGTACTTTAAACTTGAAAATCTGTTAATAGGAACAAAAAAGAACTACGAGTTCTTTTAATTTTGTTGTAACAATTTCGTTGTAGATTGATGTCCATAAGAGTAAAATTCATCCAATATGAAAGCCTACTGCTTTTGGGGGGAACATATTTAATATTAAATGACCAGAGGATAGTAGAGTTATAGGAAGATATTTATTTTTAATTTTTTAATCTTTTGTAGAGACAGGGTCTTACTCTGCCACCCAGGCTGTAGTGCAGTGGTGCAACCTTAGCTCACTGCAGCCTTAAACTCCTGGGCTCAAGCAATCCTCCAACTTCAGCTTCCCAAGTAGTTGAGACTACAGGTGCATGCCAGCACACCTAATATTTTGTTGTCTAATATATTAATGGTAGAGATGGGGTCTTGCTATGTTGCCTAGGCTTATCTGAAACTCCTGGCCTCAAGTAATTCTCCCACCTTGGCCTCCCAAAGTGCTGAGATTATTGGGCATACAATATTTAAAAATGATATTTACTCAACTCCCAAATGAGTTGGTAAGCAAGGGGGCCATTTATGTTACTTTCTTATAAGGGCTTAGTACATTTCCATCTGTTACATGCTTGTTCTTTTTGTAAAATTATCTTTACTAAAGATTGAATACATAGAAATACATATTTCTAAAATATGTGAAGTGTCTAAAGATTAAGAGTAATGTACATACCCTGCAAGTTTCTCATTTAGCTTAAGAGACATGACAATAGGAATTGTCTAGGAGTCCCACATCTCCTTCTTCAGTTCTATCCTATTCTCTCCACTACCTCTTTGCAGAGATAACATTGACCTGAACTTTGTATCTACCATTTCTTTCTTTTCTTTATAGTTTTCTGGTACATGCATCTATCAATCCACAGACAGTTTGAATTTTTAAAAATGGGAATGAACACCTGTTGCAAATTAACCATCATTTTAACTTCACTATCAAAAAGCAAAGCTGATGAATTTTACAAGCATGTTATAGATGCATCATGAAAATTGTATTATTAATCTGTATCTAAAATGAAAACTGATTAAAGAAGCTAACATAAAACTATCAAGAATTAAAACTAAAAGAATATTACAATTAAAGGGAAAAGTTAAAGGATTTTGAAGGAAAAAGTCATACATTTATATTTGCCTAATGTGGAATTTATAACAAAAATGTGACAAGCTGAATAATTTTTTTCTTCTTACACAGTACTGGAGTTATACAAAAACTTTTGAAAATAAAAGAGCCCAACTATGAAGCAATTATAAAGCTTTATTTTCTTGCTTAAGTGTTCTTAGTTAGTAAGGCAGCTAAATGAAGCACAAATAATGAAATAAAACATTGGCATTTAATGTTCTAAGCAAAGTGTGATCTGTTGTAAATGAAGAACAAGAAAACCATTAAAATTCTTTTAATAAGAAAGCATGTTTCTTAGAAATGAATTTTAAAAAGCAGTTCTCTTTGAAAATATTTTAAATTATTTGTCCAAAATTTAAGCCACTCTGTCTCTGGTCTGCAAAACTCTCTAAGTGAACAGAACTACTCTTTTTAACTTGAAATTTAATTCTCACAAAGAGAAATGGCCATTATTATGGAAATAAAATGCTGTACATTTTTCTAAAAGTGAGTATATATATATATATCATATTCACTTCCCTTTGATGATGTCGCATTTTTTTTGACGTGAAATTTTAAGCATTTAAATGTACTAATTTGAATGCAACTGGAAGTTTCATTATGCAGCTGATAAATGCTAGGTGTTTATGCCAAGAATGAGGAAGGGAGTAGTGTAATCATTTTATGAAGCTCTGTCAATTATTTGTTCGTATAAACAACTGATCAGAAGGCATAGACATGTATGTGAAACAGCTACACAAGAAAGTTCCTCAGGAATCAACCTGTTTTACAGTTTACATCAACTGATATTAATTGTTTAAGCTACTTCATATTGATACCCTCATCCAATGATTGACATAGATTAAAATAGACATGATTTCCATCACTGGTTTAGCAGTTGCCCATTAGTTTTTATTTTATTTTATTTTTATTTATTTATTTTTGAGACAGAATTTCACTTACTCTGTCGCCCAGGTTGGAGTGCAGTGGTGTGATCTCGGCTCACTGAAACACCTGTCTCCTGAGTTCAAGCAATTCTTCTGCCTTAGCCTCCCAAGTAGCTGGGATTATAGTTGAGCACCACCATTCCTGGCTAATTTTGGTATTTTTGGTAGAGAAGGCATTTCACCATTTTGGCTGGGCTGGAACTCCTGACCTCAAGTGATCTGCCCTCCTCAGCTTCCAAAAGTGATAGGATTATAGGCGTGGGCCACCATACCTGGCCATTAGTTTGAAACCAAAAAGCATGTTTAAAATGTATTAGGTTATTTTCTAGACCTAGTTAGAATATGTTTGTGTGTCTAAGACTGAGAGGTACAAACAGTTGTGGAAAGAAATTCTCAGCTCCAATGATACCTGTCCATGGGGCTTTGCTTACTTCTGTCAAGCAGAAACAGCCTTGAAGCCAATGACCCTTGACCAAGTCTCTCCCATGTCACAGTGTTGTCTCCACTGACTCCCTGGGCCATCAGTTTTTCTTCATTCTAATCCATCCTCCTTTTAATTTCTATGGTCACAAAACCCCAAGGGAATCAAATAATGCCACTTGTTTGCTTAAAGTGTTTTCCCAGCCTCATCTCCACCTGGCCACAGCACCACAAAACCTCGCAGCTTACGTGAACAGCTCACCTCCTCCAACTGTGTTGTGGCACCACGCCTTGCATGTGCCCTCTGTAGTTGGTTGAATTGTGACCCCCAAAATATATTTCCACTAGGAACCTCAGAATGTGGACTTATTTGGCATTAAGGTCTTTTGGATGTAATAAAGCTAAGGATCTTCACCAGGTGTGGCAGATCACACCTGTAATCCCAGCACCTTGGGAGGCCAAGGTCAGTGGATGTATCACTTGAGGCCAGGAGTTCGAGACCAGCCTGACCAACATGATGAAACCCCATCTCTACTAAAAATACAAAAATTGGCTGGGCACGGTGGCATGTGCCTGTATTCCCAGCTCCTCTGGAAGCTGAGGCAGAAGAATTGCTTAAACCTGGGAGGTGGAGGTTGCATTGAGCTGACTGCACCACTATCCTCCAGCCTAGGCAACACAGTGAGACACCATCTCAAAAATTAAAAAAAAAAAAACAAAAAACTAAGGATCTCAAGTTTCACCCTTGATTAGGTAGGTTCTTAACGCAATGACAGGTATCCAATAAGACAGAAAATAGAGATGCCCAGAAGGAGAAGGTCACATGAAGACAAAGGCAGAGACTAGAGTAATGCACCTAACAACCCAAAGAACACCAAGGATTCCCAAGAGCCATCAGAAACCAGGAGAAAAGCATTGAACAGGATCTCCCTCAGCCTTCAGAAGGAACCGCCCCTGCCAACACCTTGTTCTTGGACTTCTGGTCTCCAGATCCATGAAAGAATAAATTACCAAGGTATTATGGCAGCCCTAACCAACGAACACATCTCTCCTCTGCTTCGGATGCCTGCACCTTTTTTCCATTAGGCAAATGCCTTCCCCAAGACTCAACTTAAATGTCTTATTTACCTAGCAGAGGAGGCAGAGGTAGAGGTTAAAAGCCTGGGCTACCTGGACTCAGATCCCACTTCTGCCCCTTAATCCATTTATGCCTAGTGTTCCATTATTGGAACGCTGAGCTTGGGAGAGTTAATTATATCCTACTGCTCAAGGTCATCACCAAGTTCTGATTTTTCACAACAAAATTTTGCAGCTTCCAACATAAATGGGTAAATGAGTTTTTAAAAACTTTGGTCCAGGTGATTTGACCTCTCCGGACTTCAGCTTTCTGTGTGCAAAAATGGGGATAATTGTGGAAGTTTTAATAAACATGCTGGAAGATATAAAGCATGTGGAATAATTTCCAATACATAAAAAATCCTCAAAAGATGTTAACTATTATTTTTATGGGCAAATGTCCCTACTTGAGGAAAATATTTGTCACTCACTCTTTAATGGGAATAATAGTATAACCATAAAATACTTAATAAATGAGCTAATGCATGATGGGCTTCAAGGAGGGTCTGGTCGTGGAAAGTGGGGAGCAAACATTCACTACTGTGATTATGTGCAACATTCTCTAAATTCTTCCAGATGAAATCATTCTTTCCTCCAGACTTCTTGTAACAGATCCGTGTATAGATATATGTCCCCATTGGAATATTGGGGGAGTATTAGTCTGGTCTCATGCTGCTAATAAAGACATACCTGGGGCTGGGTAATTTATAAAGGAAAGAGGTTTAATGGACTTGCAGTTCCACGTGGCTGGGGAGGCCTCACAATCATGGTGGAAGGTGAATGAGAAGCAAAGTCACATCTTACATGATGGCAGGCAAGAGAGCGTGTGCAGGGGAACTCCCCTTTATAAAACCATCATATCTCATGAGACTTATTCACTATCATGACAACAGCACATGGAGACGTGCCCCCATTATTCAATTACCTCCCACCAGGTCCCTCCCATGACACATGGGAATTATGGGAGCTACAATTCAAGATGAGATTTTGATGGGGACACAGCCAAACCATATCAGGGTGTATGAGATTCACACTGACAGGATCTTGCACACAGAATGAAGCTTATTAGGCAGGCAATCAGTGCCGAATAGATGAGTGCACTAATGGGCATGCACATGAATCAGCTGGCACTGCTGCCTCCTGGCAGTTTGAACCTGCTTCTATTAATACTCCAGCCGTTTACTTGGATGTTCAATGAGTTGATTACTTGTCTGTGTCTCCTACAATCTGAGAAGCTCCTGGAAGATGGAGACTCTTGAATTTCCCGGAGATCCCAACATCCTGCTCTTCATGTTGCAGTCCCTCAGCGAGTGCTTCTTGCTGGTGATATCTGTGTGATGAGCAGAGACCTACTTGGCTGTGGTCACTTCTCACACTTGGATTCATTCCTTCTCTCACATCTTTGCTTCCTCCTATAGTGACTGGCTCAGGTGCACACAGAGGTTTATGGCTTAATTGGCAGTTTGTTTTATCATCAGTTTTATGGTTTATGGTTTAAATAAATGAAGCGAGGAGGTTATTTTTTTAAAAAAATAAAAGCAGTATTCCTGCCTATATCTGCCCAAATGCCAGTTGAGAGATGGCAGTTCCAAGCCACCTGCCATGTCCCAATTGTTGTGCCAGGGGAATAGTTTTTCTAGAGGCCAGGGCAGTGGGCTGTGGTTCTTTTCAATTCGAATAGAATGTTTAACTAATATTTGTTTAGCACTGAGTGCATGCATCTAGTCCTGTCTGACATATTTTCTAGCCTGCTGCAAGCTATCCCTGAGGTTAGCTAGAAGAGAGTACAAAAAAAGAATGGGATGGGGAACTCATACAAATTGTGTGCCCTACTTATGTGTCAGAAACGCTGTGAGATGCTTTTCCAGGAGCCATGTTAAGTGTGCTTTTACATTTGGATCCTGTCAGTGGGGTTCTTTAACTATAAGTATCAGAAACTTAAACTCTTTAACTTAAATGCAAGAAAACCAAGAGTAAGAGAAAGGAAATGTGCTGGAAAAACAAAAGGGAAAAGCTCAACAACAAATGGGATTTCAGAAAGGACAGGAATCAGGGCAATTCCAGGGATTTAGTAGCATTTATTTAATCTTTCATTCAATACATATGTTTTTATTATCTACTATGTGCTAGGCAAATGTCTTCTTCATTAACAAGCCAAAACAGGTACCTACCCTCTCCCATAGGAGTGAGAGAGGGAGAAAACAAGTAAACCAATAACAGCACATAGAAATTTCACATGACAAAAACAGCAATAAAAAACAATAAAGAAGACTGGGCATGGTGCCTCATTCCTGTAATCCCAGCACTTTGGGAGGCCAAGGTGGGTGGATCACCTGAGGTCAGGAGTACAAGACCAGCTTGGCCAAAGTGGGGAAATCCCATCTCTACTAAAAATACAAAAATTAGCCAGGCTTGGTGGCAGGCATCTGTAATCCCAGCTACTCAGGAAGCTGAGGCAGGAAAATGGCTTGAACCTGGAAGGTGGAGGTTGCAGTAAGCCAAGATTGCCCACTGCACTCCAGCCTGAGTGATATGAGTGAAACTCTCTCTTAAAAGAAAAAAAAAGGAAAAGAAGTGGAAAGAAAGTGGCAAGACAGGGAGATGGAGTTATTTAACATGGTATTCTCTGGAAAGTTCTTTCTGAGAACATGACTTTTGAGCAAAGATGGAAATAGAATGGTAGAGGAAACCAGGTAAGTGTCTGGAGAAGAACATTCTGGTTAGAGGGACTGACAATAGCAAAGGTATTGGAGGCAGAAATGAACTTAAGAAGTCCCAGAGGTCCTGTGTTGCTGGGCTGGGAAGGAATAGATAGTAGACCACTTGTTTTCAATTTTTCTGTAGCTTAGCTCAGATAAACATCCCTGGAAAGTGCAATTTTATTGACCTAGCTTGGGTTGTGTGTCCATACCTTGGCCAGGGGAGACAAAAACATTAGGAGTGACAGTCCTACCCAGTTTGCAAGCTAGGGAAGCAGGAAAGTTTGTAGAGGAAAGTGTAGCCTCTAATTCTGTTACTAGAAGAAAGACGATGGTATGGAAAGGTCACTATACAAACCTCTTAGGGAGAGTCAAATGATTTTGGTGTCTCCTCTCCAGTTTAATACTATAAATGATTACTGAGTATGTACTATGCCCAAAACACTGGGTCTGTGTTGCGGGGCAGACGAAAGTGGAGATCCAGCTCCTGAATGATCAGGGAATAGTGAGGCATCCGGTAGATATGGGACAGTTTTAACACTGATGCAGAGAAGACAGAGGGAGAGGAAATCTGTCAAGGAGGCTCTTGGAGAGGTTTACAAGCAGAAAGGCATTGAATATTGCATATATTGTGAGTTCTTAATACTCACTCTAGTAAAACACCCATTCATTTTATTTTCTAAAAAAAATCATGCAGAGATTCTTGCAGTGCTGGGCTGCTCTGATACTCCCTAAGAACAAACTGGAAAAAGCACATGTAAAAACTCAGTAAAATTTCAGTATTTTGTCTTTTCCAGGGGCCAAGGAGAAGTGAAATAACAGGAAGATCTAAACTAAAGAAAATTAACAAACGATCAAGAAGCATTTGTATTGCATTTAAATATCAATAGTAATAACACTATGTGTTGCAAATAATTAAATAATTCAGTCATTCGAGTTTTCTCTATTCCAGACAGCATGCACACCATGCCTATCAAGAATACTAAACACCTCTCCATGCATTTTATCTTGAGCTTTCAAGATATTTAAATTGCCTACAAAGATTTTTCTTTGAAATTCTTGGTGGGTGGAGCCAAGATGGCTGAACAGGAACAGCTCCAGTCTACAGCTCCCAGCGTGAGTGACGAAGAAGACGGGTGATTTCTGCATTTCCATCTGAGCCACCACTGCTCTGCAGCCACTGCTGCTGATACCCAGGCAAACAGGGTCTGGAGTGGACCTCTAGAAAACTCCAACAGACCTGCAGCTGAGGGTCCTGTCTGTTAGAAGGAAAACTAACAAATAGAAAGGACATCCACACCAAAAAACCATCTATACGTCACCATCACCAAAGACCAAAAGTAGATAAAACCACAAAGATGGGGAAAAAACAGAGCAGAAAAACTGGAAACTCTAAAAAGCAGAGGGCCTCTCCTCCTCCAAAGGAACGCAGCTCCTCACCAGCAACAGAACAAAGCTGGACGGGGAATGACTTTGATGAGTTGAGAGAAGAAGGCTTCAGACGATAAAACTACTCCAAGCTATAGGAGGAAATTCAAACCAATGGCAAAGAAGTTAAAAACCTTGAAAAAAAATTAGACGAGTGGATACCTAGAATAACCAATGCAGAGAAGTCCTTAAAGGAGCTGATGGAGCTGAAAGCCAAGGCTCGAGAACAACGTGAAGAATGCAGAAGCCTCAGGAGCCGATGCGATCAACTGGAAGAAAGGGTATCAGCAATGCAAGATGAAATGAATGCAATGAAGTGAGAAGGGAAGTTTAGAGAGAAAAGAATAAAAAGAAACGAACAAAGCCTCCAAGAAACATGGGACTATGTGAAAAGACCAAATCTACGTCTGATTTGTGTACCTGAAAGTGACAGGGAGAATGGAACCAAGTTGGAAAACACTCTGCAGGATATCGTCCAGGAGAACTTCCCCAATCTAGCAAGACAGGCAAACATTCAGATTCAGGAAATACAGAGAATGCCACAAATATACTACTCTAGAAGAGCAACTCCAAGACACATAATTGTCAGGTTCACCAAAGTTGAAATGAAGGAAAAAAAGTTAAGGGCAGCCAGAGAGAAAGGTCGGGTTACCCACAAAGGGAAGCCCATCAGACTACCAGCGGATCTCTCAGCAGAAACTCTACAAGCCAGAAGAGAGTGGGGGCCAATATTCAACATTCTTAAAGAAAATAATTTTCAACCCAGCATTTCATATCCAGCCAAACTAAGCTTCATAAGTGAAGGAGAAATAAAATACTTTACATACAAGCAAATGCTGAGACATTTTGTCACCACCAGGCCTGCCCTAAAAGAGCTCCTGAAGGAAGCACTAAACATGGAAAGGAATAACTGGTACCAGCCACTGCAAAAACATGTCAAAATGTAAAGACCATCAAGGCTAGGAAGAAACTGCATCAACTAACGAGCAAAATAACCAGCTACCATCATAATGACGGGATCAAATTCACACATAACAATATTAACTTTAAATGTAAATGGACTAAATGCTCCAGTTAAAAGACACAGACTGGCAAATTGGATAAAGAGTCAAGACTCATCAGTGTGCTGTATTCAGGAAACCCATCTCACATGCAGAGACACACATAGGCTCAAAATAAAAGGATGGAGGAAGATCTACCAAGCAAATGGAAAACAAAAAAAGGCAGGGGTTGCATTCCTAATCTCTGATGAACCAGACTTTCAACCAACAAAGATCAAAAGAGACAAAGAAGGCCACTACATAATGCTAAAGGGATCAATTCAACAAGAAGAGCTAACTATCCTAAAGATATATGCATCCAATACAGGAGCACCCAGATTCATAAAGCAAGTCCTGAGTGACCTACAAAGAGACTTAGACTCCCACACAATAATAATGGGAGAATTTAACACCCCACTGTCAACATTAGACAGATCAACGGGACAGAAAGTTAACAAGCATACCCAGGAATTGAACTCAGCTCTGCACCAAGCAGACCTAATAGACATCTACAGAACTCTCCACCCCAAATCAACAGAATATACATTTTTTTCAGCACCACACCACACCTATTCCAAAATTGACCACATAGTTGGAAGTAAAGCACTCCTCAGCAAACGTAAAAGAACAGAAATTATAACAAACTGTCTCTCAGACCACAGTGCAATCAAACTAGAACTCAGCATTAAGAAAATCACTCAAAACCACTCAACTACATGGAAACTCAACAACCTGTTCCTGAATGACTACTGGGTACATAACGAAATGAAGGCACAAATAAAGATGTTCTTTGAAAACAATGAGAACAAAGACACAACATACCAGAATCTCTGGGACACATTCAAAGCAGTGTGTAGAGGGAAATTTATAGCACTAAATGCCCACAAGAAAAAGCAGGAAAGACCTAAAATTGACACCCTAACACCACAATTAATAGGACTAGAAAAGCAAGAGCAAACACATTCAAAAGCTAGCAGAAGGCAAGAAATAACTAAAATCAGAGCAGAACTGAAGGAAATAGAGACACAAAAAACCCTTCAAAAATTAATGAATCCAGGAGCTGGATTTCTGAAAAGATCAACAAAATTGATAGACTGCTAGCAAGACTAATAAAGAAGAAAAGAGTAAGAATCAAATAGATGCAATAAAAAATGATAAAGGGGATATCACCACCAATCCCACAGAAATACAAACTACCATCAGAGAACACTACAAACACCTCTATGCAAATAAACTAGAAAATCTAGAAGAAATGGATAAATTCCTCGAGACATACACCCTCCCAAGACTAAACCAGGAAGAAGTTGAATCTCTGAATACACAAATAACAGGCTCTGAAATTGCGGCAATAATCAATAGCTTACCAACCAAAAAGAGTCCAGGACCAGAAGGATTCACAGCCGAATTCTACCAGAGGGACAAGGAGAAACTGGTACCATTCCTTCTGAAACTATTCCAATCAATAGAAAAAGAAGGAATCCTCCCTAACTCATTTTATGAGGTCAGCATCATCCTGATACCAAAGCCAGGCAGAGACACAACCAAAAAAGAGAATTTTAGACCAATATCATTGATGAACATTGATGCAAAAATCCTCAATAAAATACTGGCAAACTGAATCCAGCAACACATCAAAAAGCTTATCCACCATGATCAAGTGGGCTTCATCTCTGGGATGCAAGGCTGGTTCAACATATGCAAATCAGTAAATGTAATCCAGCATATAAACAGAGCCAAAGACAAAAACCACATGATTATCTCAACAGATGCAGAAAAGGCCTTTGACAAAATTCAACAACACTTCATGCTAAAAACTCTCAATAAATTAGTTATCGATGGGACGTATCTCAAAATAACAAGAGCTATCTATAAGAAACCCACAGCCAATATCATACTGAATGAGCAAAAACTGGACGCATTCCCTTTGAAAACTGGCACAAGACAGGGATGCCCTCTTTCACCACTCCTATTCAACATAGTGTTGGAAGTGCTGGCCAGGGCAATCAGGCAGGAGAAGGAAATAAAGGGTATTCAATTAGGAAAAGAGGAGGTCAAATTGTCCCTGTTTGCAGATGACATGATTGTATATCTAGAAAACCCCACTGTCTCAGCTCAAAATCTCCTCAAGCTGATAAGCAACTTCAGCAAAGTCTCAGGATACAAAATCAATGTGCAAAAATCACAAGCATTCTTATACACAAATAACAGACAGAGAGCCAAATCATGAGTGAACTCAAATTCACAATTGCTTCAAAGAGAATAAAATACCTAGGAATCCAACTTACAAGGGATGTGAAGGACCTCTTCAAGGAGAACTACAAACCACTGCTCAATGAAATAAAAGAAGATACAAAGAAATGGAAGAACATTCCATGCTCATGGATAGGAAGAATCAATATTGTGAAAATGGTCACACTGCCCAAGGTAATTTATAGATTCAGTGCCATCCCCATCAAGCTACCAATGACTTTCTTCACAGAATTGGAAAAAACTACTTTAAAGTTCATATGGAACCAAAAAAGAGCCCGCATCGCCAAGTCAATCCTAAGCCAAAAGAACAAAGCTGAAGGCATCATGCTACCTGAGTTTGAACTATACTACAAGGCTATAGTAACCAAAACAGCATGGTACTGGTAGCAAAACAGAGATATAGATCAATAGAACAGAACAGAGCCCTCAGAAATAATGCTGCATATCTACAACTATCTGATCTTTGACAAACCTGAGAAAAACAAGCAATGGGGAAAGGATTCCCTATTTAATAAATGGTGCTGGGAAAACTAGCTAGCCATATGTACAAAGCTGAAACTGGATCCCTTCCTTACACCTTTTACAAAAATTAATTCAAGATGGATTAAAGACTTACATGTTAGACCTAAAACCATAAAAACCCTAGAAGAAAACCTAGGCATTATCATTCAGGACATAGGCATGGGCAAGGACTTCATGTCTAAAACACCAAAAGCAATGGCAACAAAAGCCAAAATTGACAAATGGGATCTAATTAAACTAAAGAGCTTCTGCACAGCAAAAGAAACTGCCATCAGAGTGAACAGGCAACCTACAAAATGGGAGAAAAGTTATGCAACCTACTCATCTGACAAAGGGCTAATATCCAGAATCTACAATGAACTCAAATAAATTTATAAGAAAAAAACAAACAACCCCATCAACAAGTGGGTGAAGGATATGAACAGACACTTCTCAAAAGAAGACATTTATGTAGCCAAAAAACACATGAAAAAATGCTCATCATCACTGGCCATCAGAGAAATGCAAATCAAAAATCACAATGAGATACCATCTCACACCAGTTAGAATGGCAATCATTAAAAAGTCAGGAAACAGCAGGTGCTGTAGAGGATGTGGAGAAATAGGAACACTTTTACACTGTTGGTGGGAATGTAAACTAGCTCAACCATTGTGGAAGTCAGTGTGGCGATTCCTCAGGGATCTAGAACTAGAAATACCATTTGACCCAGCCATCCCATTACTGGGTATATACCCAAAGGATTATAAATCATGCTGCTATAAAGACACATGCACACGTATGTTTATAGCAGCACTATTCACAATAGCAAAGACTTGGATCCATCCCAAATGTCCAACAACGATAGACTGGATTAAAAAAATGTGGCACATATACACCATGGAATACTATGCAGCCATAAAAAATGATGAGTCCATGTCCTTTGTAGGGACATGGATGAAACTGGAAATCATCATTCTCAGCAAACTATCGCAATGACAAAAAACCAAACACCGCATGTTCTCACTCATAGGTGGGAATTGAACAATGAGAACACATGGACACAGGAAGGGGAACATCACACTCCGGGGACTGTTGTGGTGTGGGGGGAGGGGGGAGGGATAGCATTAGGAGATATACCTAATGCTAAATGAAGAGTTAATGGATACAGCACACCAACATGGCACATGTATACATATGTAACAAACCTGCACATTGTGCACATGTACCCTAAAACTTAAAGTATAATAATAATAAAATAAAATAAAATAAAAAAGAAATTCCTATAAGAGAGTCCTGTAACTTCAACTCTAATTTTAATTATCTGTTTAGAGTTTTCCAAGTAACCACTGTCTTATCTGTAAGTTTCCCAAGACAATTTCTCTAAGTTTATAATTTCTCCAAATATAAATGCAGTAGCATGTATACTGGCAACATAAGACTGGTATAGAGAATGAAGAGAAAGATGGTGAAAGTAGTTTAGAAATAAATTCCAAACAGGTAAATGCAGCATTTAACTATGAGTCATTAAACCCAGGAATTGGATATCATAAAATTTTACTGGAAGTAGCTTTCTTGAGAGCACTAGTTAGTTTAAGTGCAATACATTAAAGTGGGAATGAGAAAGACAGGTGTTTTATCTTAAATAAATAAAAGGCAGGTGACACATTAATAAAAACCATTCCAACAAATGCATTCTCTAAAAATTATTTCATCATCTAACATATATCATTTCATCAGTTAACAAACATTATGTGTTTGTCATTAAATGTTTGTCATAAACATTCCATTTTGACAGTGCTTACTCCATAAAACTTAAAAATATAGCTTTAATAAGTCTATGAAATTTAAATAGAAATCATGCCAAAACATATCTCATGTTCAACAAATTGATATAATATCAAACATCTTTTCTCAGGTATAATCCTCTGCAAATCTCAATGTTGGATTTCAGCATTTATTGCTTTTATAATAAGTATAGTTTCTTTTAAAAACACTTCTTTTTCTTCAAGCTCACTGACTTTCCTTGGCCGTGTTCAATCTATTAATGAGCCCCTCAAAGATATTTGTCATTTCTGTACAATGTTTTTGATTTCTTGCATTTCCTTTCAGTTCTTTCTTAGAGTTCCTATGTCTCTGCTTATGTTACTCATCTGTTCTTGGAATTTCTGTGTCTCTACTTATATTACTCATCTGTTCTTGCATGTTGTGTACTTTTTCCATTAGAGCTTTTAGCATATTAGTCATAGTTGTTTTAAATTTCCAGTCTGATGATTTCAACATCTCCTCCATATCTGAGTCTTGTCCTACTGCTTGCTGTCTTTCTTCAAACTGTTTTTTTGTCTTTTAGTATGCCTTGTAATTTTTTTTGTTGAAAGCTGAATGTGATGTACTGAGTAAAAGGAACTGAGGCAAATGGACCTTTAACATGAGATTTTATATTATTAAGCTAAGGGTTAGGCTATCTTTACTGTTTGCTTTAGCCGTAAGGATTAGAGACTAAAATTTGTTCAGATGTCTTTTTTTTTTTTTTTTGTCTCCTGTGTTGTCTTTGGGTTTCCCTAGAGAGTTCTTCTTAAATAAGGTCTGCGCCATGCAGCTCTTTCAGTTGTTTTCCCCTTACTGCTGGTTGCAGTGGTGTTTTCTTCTCCTGGGCTTGTGTTTCAGGAAGTTGTGATTCTCTGTATTTGCCTGTCTCTTTAACTTTTGGTACAGTGGTTTTCCTTGTGACCTCAATTCTCTGTTAGATGTAAAAAGGCTTGTTGATTTTCACTTTGTTTAGGTTGTTTCTTGTTGTGAGGATGAAACATGATTTCCAAGCTCCTTACATGTTGAACTGAAAATGAGAAGTCTAGGAAGTCTCCCTTTTTAATTTGGAAGAGTTGAAAAAATATTTATAAATCATTATATAATTTCTACACTCTGTGCTCAAGGTCATCCTCACCTCTCTGGGTTAGTCCTAAATGATAGCTCTTGAGGTATGGAATCTTGACATACCCTAAAATGAAACAAACTATTAAGTATCTTATGAATTAATCTACTTTCATCCTATTTTTTTAATATAAATGTGTCAGAATTCAGGATGATATGATTTTCTGAAGTCATCTTATTCTAGAGTAACATCAGTTACTCATGCCTACCCGAAAGGGGTTTCCACATTGTGCCTTGCTGGAGAGGCAGAGCAGATATTCCATTTTTAATAATGTCACCTCTTAATGTCAGAATGGTAAGAATTTTTAGAAAATGGCTATTCACAATTTACCAGCCTAATATATGCCTGGCCACTTGCTGGTATTCTTTACGTGTGATATGTCATTTTTCTCCATAATTACCATAGAAGATGGATGTTATAGATCCATCTTTGTTTACAGATGAGAAACGTGAGGGTCAGAGAGGTGAAGTGACTTTCCCAGGTTTCCATTGCTAGTGAGTGATATCTTACATTCATTTTTTTTTTTGTGGTACTGTTTTTGAAAGCCTGTGTGTGCTTCGCACTTGCAGCTCATCTCAGTCCAGACTAGCCACATTGCAAGTGCCCATGAACTCATGTGGCTAGTGCCTACCGTATTGGACAGCACAGGTCTAATAGGTATGCAACACATGGGGCCGGCAAGTACATGATTCAGCAACAAAATGCCATGTTTGTGTTTCAGATACGGCTACATTATAAGAAAAGCTAACATATACATAGAGCTGACTACATGCCAGGCACCGTTCTGAGCACTTTGTTTTAACTCCTGAGAAGTCCATGAGTAATTTACTTTTGCTACCCACGTATTCATGATGAATAAACTGAGGACTGAGAAGTTGTGTAAATTACCCACAGACACGCAGCAGGGACTCAAAACTGTGATTCAAATAGTTTGGCTACAGGGTCTATTTTTCCACCACCTTGCTGTTCTCCTTATGTGATAATAGTTGGGCTTCCACATTTTTACTGTGTCATTTTTAAGTTCCGAGCAGAATGTCTGTACACCTGGCTGGAGTGAAAGAGGGTAAATTAATTTTCATTTGAAATTGAAATCGCCAACTGTGTTTCTATCTGGATTTCTTTTAATCTCCCATTGATCTATGCCTTTAAACCTGGGAATGGAATTTTGAATAAGCAGGGCACATGATGAACATGGAGTGAGGTCTAGCATATACTTTAGCCACGCCAACAAGAAGCCAAAATGCCCTGTGGGGGCTATTAGTGCCCTTATCTCTTTGTGTGTTTGCAGTAAGTCCGGTTATCTCAGAGCTCAGACTACTTCTAGGAGATAATTAGGGGCTGCTGAAAGCTGCATTAACTCTGCCAGGCCACAAGGGCATTGTACATCACTGCTTCTCAAAGAGACTCATCCACTTTCAGTAAGTTGCAACATCTCAACCCTAATCCCCAGAAGGGTTGAACATGGAGAGTTTGAATTATTACATTCTCATTTGGAGGTTTTGAATATCTTTTTACAGAGGCTGACATCATTTCTGTGTTTTAAAGGTAAATTTGGCAACGTGAGGAGTTAATACCACCCATCCAGAGAAGCCTGGTTAAAAGATGAGGACATTGTTTAAAGGCTGGGAAAGAGAATCATTGACATTTTTGATTCATGACTGTTTGTATTTATTTTACAGCCAGCTTCTCACTCCATCTATCTTTCTCATACAAATTGTCAAGTTTTGCTGGGGCTGAATAGTGGTTGTTTATAAAACCCTTTTTAAGTATCCCACATTTTCCTCGTATTAGTTCTAATCCTACAATAACTGTGTTAAAATGATTATAGTAGCAAACACATAGTAAAGAGTAAGAATGTACCAGGTATGATTCTGAGTACCTCATGTATGTTTACCCATTGAATACCACAACAATGTACAAGGTAGGTACTGCCCATAATGTTTTTCTTATAGACTAGGCATAGCCAAGAATGAAGATAATGAATGATGTCCTCAACTGTCAAGCTGTGCATCCAACGTCAAACCCAGGAGTCTGCTCAGGAATTTGCTTTCTTTCTCCCTACATGACATGGCTTTTATATGAATTATAATTATAACTATTCATATACTTTAGAGCAAAAAATTAAGGCACGGAGAGATGAAGTTACTTGCCCAAAGTCATGTAGTTTGTGAGGAAATTGAAGCAAGCCTGTCTAACTCCCAAGCCCACTCTTTCTTCTAAGCTGCAAGGGAAGAAATAATCCTTTCCACTAGGGGAGAAGCTTAGGAGTACACAAATCCCAGTAATATTTGGCTGTGAAAACATTGTTTTTTCCAACTTAAGGAAAATATGTATTGTATATAAGTCGTGCTATTGAAGATGGTGGCTTCCAGACTCTTGTGTTTCTCCTATGTATTGGATGAGTGGGGGGAAAATTAATATGAAAAAAGACCCTAAACACAGTTATCACACTTTCTGTAAATCATCAAACAGTGCAAAAATAAATGTTTTATTTCATGGCAGCCTTTCCTCATTTTCTACTTAATTAACAAGTATGCTATCATGGCAAAAGTTTCAGGATTACCATTAGAAATCTGTAAGACTCAAGTGGTTCTCAAGAAAGTTGATTTAGATATATGAATATCAACAACAGAATAAAAACAAGATGAAAAATCTCTGATAACCAGAATGCTCCTAAAGTTTTATTGGCCAGGACATTATTTTATAAATTTGTTTAAATCACTTGTGGTATGATGAAAATTAAAAAAATCTATATGCTTTATGCAGTCTCAATAATTTTTGGACTACTCATGTCTTCTACCAATTAATATATTCTTTTTATAAGAATATCTTGATGTTGAGAAATTTTAAAAAGGAGCTCAAAGAAAAATTAATGAATGCTTATATATCTACCACCCAAAATGACAGTATTAGCATTTTATATACATTTAAAGTCCTTTTAATATTAATTTTAATATTCCAGGTAAGCTCAAATTCCCATTTCTTTCCCATGCACAGATACCTTTCTTTCTGTCTCCAGAAGCAATCCCACAGAACAGTGGAAAAACCACATCATATATTTATATGAATTTATATATATGTTGTATTCATATGTATTTTAAGTTCATATAAGTGATTTCATACTTTGCAATGTATCGTTCTTTAACTTTATGTCACTCAACATGGTTTTTGAGATCTATCCATATGAATGCATAAAGATCAAGCCTTTTCTGTTTAATATCCTTACAGGGTTTTATCATATCAGTATACCACATTTGATTTATTCATTCTCCTATTGATGGCTCTTGAATTTGTTTCTAAGAGTTCACTCTAACTCACAGTATAATCCTTTGTATCTCTGTAAGTACCCATATTGGTTTGTTAATTACAAAATATTTTGCCATTACAAAATACCATGAACTGCATGGCTTGAATAACTGTTCTAGAGGCTGGAAGTCGAAGATCAAGGTGTCAGTGGGTTGTATTTCTCCTGAGACCTCTCTCCTTGACTTGTAGAAGGCTATTTTCTCATTGTATCCTCACAAAACCCTTCCCCTGTGCACAAGCATCCCTGATGTCTCTTCCTTTTCTTATAAATACACCAGTCCTATTGCATTATAGCCTACTGTTATGACCTCATTTAATCTTAACTTTTCTCTTTAAAGGTCCTATTTCCAAATATGGACATACTGGGGGTTAGGACTTCAATATAGGAATCTTGAAGGACACAATTCAGTACGCAACAGGACCATAGAAGGCAGTCTAAACTGAAGGTTAAGAATATGGGCTCTGGCATCGGGCTGCGAGTGTTTGGTCTTGACTCACCACATTCCAGCCATGGGGCTTTAGCAAGCAGCTCAACATTGCAGCAGCTCAGCAACAATAATACCTATCTGTTGTAATTATTAAGGGAGCTACACATAAAGCACCAAAACTGTGCCTCACTCAAAATGAGCTATTGTTATATTAACAAGAATCTAAGTAAACATGTACCTTGGCTGGTTTAGGTGGCTCACGCCTATAATTCCAGGACTTTGGGAGGCTGAGGCCAGAAGATCGCTTGAGGCCAGGAACTCAAAACTAACCTGGTAAACAAAGTGAGACCCTATCTCTACCACAAATTTTTTAAAAATTAGCTGGGCAAGGTGGTATGCATCTGTTATCTTAGCTATTTGGGAGGCTGAGGCAGGAGGATCACATGAACCCAGGAGTTGGAGGCTGCAGTGTGCTATGATCGTGCCACTGCACTTCAGTCTGGGTGACAGAACAAGACCCTATCTATAATAAATGAATGAAATGTACCTAGTCATAGAATTTCCAAGGCATAGGGGACACATTAACAATTTTTCTATCTACTGCCAAATTTCTGTCCCTGGTGGTTACACCAATGAACACTCTCACTAGTTAAGTACAAGAATTCATTTTTCCTCATTTCCTGGCCAAGAATTCGTTTTTCCATACTTCAGAATTTCCATCCATCAGATATTTGGGAAAAAAATGTATGTCATTAATACACTTTTTGGATATAGATTTCTTTCAGAGGATCTACAAACCATAAGGAAAAAAGTACACAGGTGCTCCTGTACATGTCTAATAACCACCTCATAGTATAGTCCAAAACAGAAAAAAACACACAATACAAACTAAAACTCCCTTTGGCTAGAGTTGGATGAAAGCAGAAAGCCAGTTTATAGAGTGAAGTACCCATTTAGCTGTGACGATTTTCTTTTGGCTGAAGCATTGCTTCCCAAATTTCATTTTGCCCAAGAATCATCTGAAGCACTTGTTAATAGTGCTGATTTCTGGACTGTGCAGTCGGAGATTCTAATTTAACCCTAATTTAACCCTGATGTGACGACAAGAATCTGAATTTGTAACTAGCACCCCTTGTGATCCATTTTAGATATCTAACCTACAGTTTGAGGGATACAGCTTTAAAAATAAAATGTTCTATGGACATATTTCTAAGTGGTAGGCTGTGATTTAAACACTTACTTGTATCTTAACCTAAATAGACATCCAGCGTGCAAGTAAACTCTGTCATAGGCTTTGGAAATTCATCTTCCCAAGCATGTTTCCTGTGTTTAATGTGAAAGCCATTGACTAGGGAAAAATTTCTAAGGTCCTGTCCTGTTCCTATGTTTTATGTTCTGTTTCTGTTACATTTCTGTCATCACTCCCATTCACTGCCAATCCCGAGCAAGGACATGCTATTCACGTACTGCAGGTCATTTAGCAACAATAGTGAATTGATCTCAGAAACTTGCAACTGAGGGAAATCAGGCTGCTCACTTAACATTAAATTTATAATTTGATCTTATAATTTAACATAACAGATAAGATCATTACATTTGTCAATGTCTCGTTAGAAGGTGGAAAATCTCCCAGATAAAAATCTGCACTCACAGGATCTAAATGTAATTGGTGTTTAACTAGTATGAAATAAAGCTATTGGGGTAAAAACATATGTGGAGGAAATAATGTGAGGACTGAGAAGGCATTAGAGAACATGGAGTCAGAATATCAAAGACAGCCTGAAGAACCGGCATGCCTCTAGGCCCTGTCCAAAGAGGTGATTGTCCAAATTTCAGCTCTCATTTATCCCCATGATAAAAGTAATGCCTTAATCCAAACAATGATAGATGCCATTTTTAATGTTAGTTTTGTTTTGTTTACAGTACCATTTTTAGCCAATTGACTGGACAAGTAAAGAGATTATATCTTGTGCTTGAGGATTTATTCACCATCATACACTACTAGCAAGATGGTAAATTGACACAAACTTTCTGAAAGCAATTGGCCCATATTATCAACAGCTTCAAAAATGTGTATTTTTATAGATTAATTTCAAATTTAAGAATCTAAGGAAATAACTAACCCATGTAATTTTTTTCTATGAAGATATTTATTGCATTGTTTCTATTACTATAAATATATAATAAAAGGAAATAAATTATGTACATTTTTATATATCACAAAAATGAAGCCTTAATTCAGAAATAACTCTAAGAATTATAAATGTTATTTTCACATGGAAAGCTAGAAACAATATATTTTCAATTAAAACAATCACTTTACAGTGCAGTAACTTTTAGTTAGAAAACATCTATCTAGTCTCATAGAAAAAGAGTGAAGATAATATACCTCTATATCAAAAAATTCTTGACCAGGCACAGTGACTCACACCTGTAATCCCAACACTTTGAGAGGCTGAGGCGGGCTAATCACCTGAGGTCAGGAGTTCGAGACTAGCCTGGCCATCATGGTGAAACCCCATGTCTACTAAAAATACAAAAAACTAGCCAGGTTTGGTGGCACATGCCTGTAGTCCCAGCTACTTGGAAGGCTGAGGCAGGAGAATCATTTGAACCCAGGAGATGGAGGTTGCAGTGCGCTGAGATCGTGCCACTGCACTCCCACCTGGGTGATAGAGTGAGACTCCGTTTCAAATAATAATAATAATAATTATTATTATTAGTGGTTACATCTGCATAGTATGACTATTAGTGTGAGGGTCTTTTTCTCTTCATTTATGTTTCCTCATTTTCTATAATGAAGGTATTCTTTATTTGTAATATGATAGGTAAAACTTATTACCCATTTTTAACAGAATTTTGGTTTGTGTAATTGGTTTCTTTTGAGTGTCATTAAGGTCAATCCTTCATTTAGCAAACACTGTTAAAGTATGGACCATGTGCCTTGGACTACTTGAGTGAACAAATAGAGAATCCTACCCCTTTGAAGTTGACCTTCTAGCTTGCATTCTAGCTGTTCCTCTGAGCAAGATCCATGCTGTACATTGACCTTGCCTGGAGTTTGGACAGTGAGGGTGGTCCCATCTCACTCCCTGTGAACCTAAGGTCCCCTCCAAGGACCTGAGCCACCAAGAGGCCCTAGAGCCCAGCCTTGTCTGGGATACCTCAAAGGGTCACCACGGTGGTTCTGTTTTCCAAGATGAATAAACACCTCCCAGCCCCTCCCTGTGTGGTCAGGTCCCAGCTGCCAGGCTCCCTCCCCAGCTCCTGGCTTGGCTGATGGAATCACAGCTGGAGTCTAAGCTAACCTAGGTTTGAGGACCATGGTTGTACACAGAAACATGTGTGCTTGCAAGTCTATGCTTGTGGGTGGGTACACAGTGTGCCCCCCCAAAATCCATTTGAATCCTACAAAATTAACAACTCTACCAAGATAATGCTACTGATGTGCCAGTGGCCTCTCAGGTGGTCTGACTATTCTCTCTCTCACTCTCTTTTTTTGTCTCTCTGTTTCTTTCCCACCCCTCTTCTCTCTGGCCAGTAAGTCCAGTGAAATATCCTTGTGAAATGTTGTGATTATTTTTAATCCAGGGGTGTCCAATCTTTTGGCTTCCCTGGGCTACATTGGAAGAAGAATTGTCTTGGGCCACACATAAAATACACTTTCACTAACAATAGCTGATGAGCTAAAAAAAATAGGTCAGAGCATAAATCTCATGTTTTAAGAAAGTTTGCAAATTTATTTTGGGCCGCATTCAAAGCCATCCTGGGCCACATGCAGCCATGGGCCGCGGGTTGGGGAAGCTTGATCTAATACAATAAAAACTTGTTTCTTTTTCTGGCTGCTTCTGCCTGGTACAAAGACAAAGAAGAGACTAAAACATTCTGTTAAAATTTATCTTGATTCACTTCCATGCTTGATGATTGGTTGAGATCTTGTTTTTCATAAACAGTTGATATTTTATCAAATAGCAGTGGATCAGGCTTAAGAGTGATAGGCCTCTAATCTTTTAGTCATTATCCACACTGATCAGATTAAATAATCACTATAATGGCTCTGCAAACAGATGGTGGTGAGTGATTTTGGTGGTGGTAGAAGGAATGAATAAATTGGAACGAGTCTTATATCTTAATAACAGATTAGATTCACCCAAAACCCCATTGTATATTGAGGTACTGAGTCATTTTTTTAGATTCTCTGTGCACAGTTGCATTTTCCGATATTTCCACAAAAAGATACATATATACACTTTTAGAAGAAAAATAAAACCAATAAATGCTATTAAGTTAAAGAGGATGTGCAATTTTCAACATTCCACATGCTTAAAACCTGGCAAGTTTCATTGAGTTCTAACCTCCACTAATAATTTTATTTATATTAAGGGTGGGACTGCTTTGCTGCTCCAAGTCAGAAAACAAAATAGATCATTAATCCCTGACACAGCATTTCATTTACTGATGAAATCCTCAAGTGCTTCTAATTTAGTCGGTCATTTTGCCCAGTGCTGAGCAGAGATTAGTAGGCTAAGCCAGTCAGTCTGGGTCTCCCATTCGATCACTGGGAAGGAAATATTTTCTCTTATAGCAGAAAAGTACCCTAAGCAAACCTTTAAGAGGTTTGGAAAGTGATATTCCTTTGCAGACTGTCGAGTTTTAAGTGCTTCTTCAGCATTTATAAAGCCTCATTGCTTGAGAAGGGGTTCATTTCCCTGGCTTTCTTTAGTCTCCCCGCCACTGTCCCACTTTGCTTCACAGTCCTGAAATTCAGCTAGCGGAATCTTTTTATTAGCAATTGAAACAATGTCCAGTTCAGGAGAGAAGGCTTCTATTTGCACTTACAGTCTAAAATGCCCTCATTAGGGATAAAAGTCCAGAGTTCCTCTTCTATATCTTAATTCTTATGGGAAAACTCCTCTGCCCTCACTGTCCCATCATTTTGTAGTTAAAAGTCTCAACTCAGTCTTATCTCCAGCTCTGTCACTTGTGTTTGACATATTTCAGCAGGTTGTCAAAAATGCTCAGACCTCAGGAATAATTAAGCTGCCAAAATTAAATTGGATTTTAAAATTTTTCATAGATACTGATCACTCACCCAAGACCCCCTTTGACTCCCCTCCTGTATAGATCCCCACTTCTCCTAGGTGGGGAGAGCACAAGGATCTCTTTACAGGAAGGACACTAAGTTTATATAAAAACAAACCCTGAATTTGAGCATCATTAGGAAGAAGGAAGTCTTTCGGCTGACTTCCTTTCAGCTCAAGTTAATCCATCAGGCTTCCCTAATGATCTGCGTTTTCTTTCCAAATAAAATCTTGGTTGTGAAATAACATAATATGTAGATTTAAAACTTCCACGAGTGGCACAAGTTCAGACATAACCAGGTCCATGCACATTTGTGTCTTTCCACAAGGTAAGACTTGTATTGATGCTATTTTAATTATAAAACCCGTGAGCTACATTGAGCTCCCAAGGAGGCACTTCTCCTTAGTATTAGCCATACACTCGGTAGCCAGGGCTGTGCGTATACATGCTCAAGCCACTCCACAGGTCAGTCAGTATTACAAAGTGTAGGTAATAGTATACTTAACCAATACATAAGTAAAATAGATCAAACATTCCACATCAAACAAACTAACATTTAACATCAAAAGAAAAGGGAATAGGAAAAAGGGGTTAATGAACCAGTCTAAGGAGAGTCACACGGACAAGGAGAGTGTCCTGGCTTGGTCCAGATGGATGTTAATATCTTGCAAGGAAACGTCTTTGATTTGGTCAGAACCTTGGATGGCAGATGCTGGGTACTGATCACCAGTGGCAGCAAGACAGGGTCAGTCAAGACGGCCATGTGTAGCTGGTGAAGTCCTGCTCATTTTATGGCCCTTGAGCCCTCTGACAAGGACTGGTAGTAAATGGTTACACCACTATCTGGTTGGGTGTTGTCTCTATTGATTAGGTGAGCACCTGGACCCGATGGCTTGATGCCTTTTAAAATGTAAGATGGAGTATTTTTCTAAAATGGAGTCACTTAGGTCAAGGGTATACAAAAACAATGGATTCAAGAAAAAGGAAGGACTATCTAAGATTTCAGGTGGCTTAGTTTTAACTCCAGAATGATGGAGTAATAAGAATGGGAGGTACAGTGAGGTATTAGGATGGCATTTTCCTAGAAAACTGCTGAACACACTATTGAGTCTCAGAGATGTTTGGCTCCCCCTGGGAAGGCGCTCAATTTTCCTCACTTACCCTACAGTGTGTCTCAGGCGTGGTTGCAGACAGAATAGATTTCTTGTGCCTCATGCCCACTTGAGGAATCCCAAAGCCAGTCTCATTCCAAAGGGAAAAGAGGGTCACAAACACCTCTAATAAGAGGTAATCCTATTAGAACAATCTGAAATGCTAAGGGTAGGTGCATGCTAAGTGTGCACTCTGAACAATAGAATCATACATTTCAGTGTTGGAAATACATAAAACCTATTGTTTTCATTGTGTTTAATGTTCTAAGCATTTCACATGTTTAACAACCCTTAAGTTTGATAACAGCTAATTTAGATTCTTGATTTTAAGCATGAGAATACTGAAGTGAAGACATTTTATAACTTGGCTTAAGTCACACAGGGAGTTAAGGGCAGAGGTTGAACTAGAATCCAGGTTTCCCAGTTTCAGGAAACTGGTAGATACTTTTAATACACCACGGAATGAGCACATTTTGAGCTACCATCTCTAATTCAAAAGTCCACTGTAACAGGGAGATGTTTGCAATCAACCAAAACTAAGTGACATTATTTAGTTACTTGTTATACTTATGTGCTTATAATGGATTATGATACTTCCCAGAGGCAAGATGTACCCATCCGTAAGAAAAAGAGTGCAGTGAACTAGGTTGACCACTCTGGGTTAATGCTTTTCAGTGTTTTTCTCCTGTTATCTCCACATTTCTCAGCTTAGCCAAGCTAACTCCACTACTTTATGTTTTCTAGGCTTATTAATCATGCCATTCAAAGCTTTTGGCTGAACTATGTATTGCTTTCTTTCTTTTTTTTTTTTTTTAATCTCAGCTATATGGATCCTACAACATAGGTGTTTTTACGTCTGTTCGCATTTATCTCATAAAACTTCTTGAAACTCTTCAGACTATAAACTGTGCCTTGTAATAAATGCTTAAGAAAGTAGCACATACAAGCACATTTATTTTAGGTATGCTGTTGCTGTTCTGCATAACGTATTGCTGTAAAAGAAGTAACAAGCCATTTGGTTCTAGTAGCAAGAAAGAACTGTAAGTATTAACTGCTTTGCATAATCATGATTTGGGGCTTATGTGACGATGTTTAATCTCACAACCTGACATCCAGCAATTATATAACTTTTTAATTTTTATGCAAAATAATAAGATGCCTTTTTACAGGAAAGGTCCAGACTCTACTTGTCAAATATATATTTTATAGCAGCTTTGTGTGGTAGAGAGGCCTGACTCAGGCTTGCTTATAATTAAATGAGTAATGTGGGTTAAAATTGGATCTATAATTGAATGACGAGATGACTTCTTGAACTTTCATTTGGTGTGTTTCGAAAACAATGTTTGGGAAATGAGGTAGCCTCAACAATTAAAATTGTAATTTATAAATATGAAAATGATATGAGATATAAGTTGCTCTGATAATTTTGTCAAAACAACTACCCTCTAAGTTATTATAGAGCTAAAAAAAAAAGGTAAATTAATGGGATACTAATAGAAAAACAAAAGGCAAAACATAAGATTAAATAATGTAGTCATCACACATCCATGAAACAGTAATGGATTATGAAACAAATAATACCCAGACACTTAGCTAAATGTTTAGATCTACTTTTCAGAGTATGCATTAAAATGAATTTCTACATCATGAAAAAATAAAATATATTAATAAGAATCAGTATTTAAAAATTAAACACAAATGTTCATGAGTATTTTATGTCTAAATGGGGACTGGATGGGGACAAATTAATTGATAGAATACCATAAAACATTGATGAAAGAAATTGAAGATGACACAAATAAATACATCCCATGTTCACGGATTGGAAGAATTAATATTTTTAGAATGTCCAAACTAATCCAAGCAATCTACAGGCTCAATGAAGTCATAATTTCAAATATCAAAATATCAGTGCCATTTTTTCACAGAAATAGAAAACAATTCTAATGTTCATATGGAACCACAAAAACTTCAAAAGCAATCTTGATTTAAAAAAAGATGGAGACATCACACTTCTGGATTCAAATTATATTACAAAGCTATAGTACCCAAAAAAGCATGGTACTAACATAAAAACTGACACATAGACAAATGGAACAGCAGAGAGAGCCCAGACATAAACCCACACACAGAAGATCAATTGATCCGCACCAAGGGTCCCAAGAATACAAAATGGTGGAAGTATAGTCTTTTCAAAGAATGTTGGGAAAACTTGATATCTGTATGCAAAAAAAATATATATCGTATTGCACACACACACACACACACAAATCAACTGAAAAATGATTAAAGACTTAAACATAGGACCTAAAATCATAAAACTCCTAGAAAAAAATCGTAGGTAAAATGTTCCTTGACATTGGTCTTAGCAATGATTTTCTGAATATGACACCAAAAGCACAGGCAACACAATTCAAAATAAACAAGTGGGATGACATCAAACTAAAAAGCTTCTGCATAGCAAAGGAAATATCAAAATGAAAAGGCAGCATACAGCATGGAAGAAAATATTTACAACCATATACTTGATAAGAGGTTAATATTCAAAATATATAAGGAAATCCTACAACTCAATAGCAAGAAAACAAAGAACTTAATTAAAAATGGACAGAGAACCTGAATAGACATTTTTTCCAAAAAAGACTAATGACAGTCAACACGTATAGAAAAGATTCTCAACACTATTAATTATCAGGAAATGTAAATGAAAGCCATGGTGAGATGGTGAGATATCACCTCATACTTGTTAGAATGGCTATAAATAAGTTTTTAAAAGATAACAAGTGTTGGTAAGGATGTGGAGAAAAGGGAACCCTGATACACTGCTGGTGGAATGTAAACTGATAGTCTTTATGAAAAACAGCATACAAGTTTCTCAAAAATAGAACTACTGGCCAGGCGTGGTGGCTCACACCTGTAATCCCAGCACTTTGGGAGGCTGGGGCAGGTGGATCACTTGAGGTCAGGTGCTCGAGATCAGCCTGGCCAACATGGCAAAACACTATCTCTACTAAAAATACAAAAATTAGCCTGATGTAGTGGCAGGTGCCTGTTAACCCATCTACTTGGGAGGCTGAGGCAGGAGAATTGCTTGAACCAGGAGATGGAAGTTGCAGTGAGCCGAGATTGTGCCACTGCACTCCAGCCTGGGGGACACAGTGAGACTCCATCTCAAAAATAAAATAAAATAATAAAATAAAATTAAATTAAATTAAATTAAAATAAAATAAAATAAAATAAATAAAATAAAATAAAATAAAAAATATAATATCAAATAAAATAAAATATAAAAAATAAAAACAGAACTACCACATATTTCAGCAATCCTTTTTGGTACTTATCCAAAATAATTAAAATCTAGATCTTGAAAAAATACCTGCACTTTTTTTGTTCATTGCAGCATTATTCACAGTAGCCAACATATGAAACAGCCTAAATGTGTCCATCAACAGATGAATGGACAAAGAAAATGTGGCATATACATATAATGGACCATTCAGCCTGAAAAACAGAAGGAAATCCTGCCATTTATGATACATCGATGAACCTGGAAGACATTATCCTAAGTGAAATAAGCCAGTGAAGAAATAACAAATACTGCATGATCTTACTTCTATGTGAAATCTAACATAGTGAAACTCATAGAAGCAGAGATTAGAATGGTTGTCGTTTAGAGCTAGGAAAGGAGGAGATAATGGTCAAAGGGTACAAAGTTTGGGTGACATAAGTTCCGGAGATCTACTACAGCAGGGGTCCCCAAGCCCCAGACCAGAAACTGGTACCAGTCCATGGCCTATTACGAACCGGGGCCACACAGCAGGAGGTGAGCATTACCGCCTGAGATGCGCCTCCTGTCAGATCAGTGGTGGCATTAGATTCTCATAGGAGTGGAAACCTTACTGGCAACTGCGCATGCCAGGGATCTAGGTTGCACACTCCTTAAGAGAGTCTAATGCCTGATGATCTGAAGTGGAACAGTTTCATCTGGAAACCATTCCTCTCACCCCTGACCCCACTGTACCCTGGTCCATGGAAAAATCATCTTCTGTAATACTGGTCCCTGGTGTCAAAAAGTTTGGGGACTGCTGTACTGCTGTACTACACAGCATAGTTTCCATAGATAACAATACTGTATTGTGTACTTAAAATTTGCTGAGAGGATAGATCAGATCTTATGTTAAATGTTTTCAGCACACTCATGTGCTTGTGCACACAGAGAATAATAATAAAGGGGGCAGGAGGGAACTTTGGCAGATGATGGATGTGTCAAAGGCCCTGATGGAGTGATGGTTTCATAAGTGTATACTTATCCCCAAACTCATAGAATTGTACATATTAAATATGTATAGCTTTTTACATGTCAGTCATATCTCAATAAGTCATTTAAAAATAAAATCAACCAATAAAATCACAAAAAAGTGATAAAGATAATGATTGCACTATAGAAAACATACACTAGCCATTAAATTATTATTAGATTTAATGAGCTAATAATTCAGTGCTAAATTTCAGGTAGTTTTCTGAATGCATTACATAAATGCATAATTAACCCTTTAAAATCTCACAACAACCCTATGAGATAGTTTTACTATCTTCTTTTACAGATGAGCAGCTGAGACACAGGAAGTTAAATCACTTCCTCAAATAAATATGATTAGATCTCGATGAACAGAAGATCTTAATTTTAATACATTTAAATTCATCATTTTTTCTATTATAGCTAATGCTTTTTGAGTCTTGCTTGCAAAACCATTATCCTCCCCAAAGTCAGCAAGATATTTGCCAATTAAACTAAATGTTTCCAAAGGTTTTGTACTTATCCGTTAAGTCCTAATCCATCTGGAATTGATTTTTGGTTTTTGAGAGAAATAGAATCCTATTTTATTAAAATATATATATAATTATTTACCTAGCTTTATTTTGTGAAAATTCCTTTTCCTATGGATGTACCCTTCACTGCCATCACTTCAACTCTTATATATTAATGGGTTTATTTCTGGGCGGCCTATTTAATTGGTTAATGTGGCTATCTCTGCAATACTCCCACATTATTTCAATCCCTTGAGCTTCAAAATGAGTCCTGTGCTAGGACACCCCTTTCTTATCCTTCTTCTTCTAAAATGTTTAGACTCATCTTCGCTCCTTATTCTTCCATCTACATTTTAGAAAAAGTTTCTTTAGTGCCATGAAAAAACCCAATTGAACTTCTATTGAATTGCTCTGAAACTATTGAGAGATCTTCAAAAAACAGATACCATTTTAATAAATATTCTTCTCACCCACCAAATTAGCAAATATTTTTAAAGGGAGAAGACTCAATGGAGAGGGTGGAGAGTGAAATTGTCTATCCTCATACATTGCTTGTGAGAGTTTAAATAAGTATAATTTTTCTGAAAAGTTATTTGACAAATGTGTATGAAGAACATCAAAGATAAAACATTTTCAACAATTTTAATTCAGTATTTGGAATTCTGCAAATCTATATACCATAGGGAAAAAATTTGAGTATTTGTCATGGTTTTATGCCTAAAGATATTTACTAAAGATTGTTAATAAGTGAGAAAATTATTACTAAACTAACAATAGGATCAATTAATGACTTCTGATGCATCCATTTATGAGATAATAAGTAGTGTTTTTGAAATGTTTTTAATGGTATGAGTAAAAAGATGATATGATGTAATGTTACATGCAAGAAAGCATGCATCAAAGTTTCAAAGGCATGCCTCAGAGATATTGCCAGTGCAGTTTCAGACCAGTGCAATGTAACAAATAATGCAATAAAATGAGTTGCATGAATCTTCTGATTTCCCAGTGCACATAAAAGTTATGTTTACACTATAGTGTAGTCCATTATATGTGCAATAGCAGTATGTCTTAAAAATTTATATATCTTAATTTAAAAATCCTTCACTGCTAAAATACTCTAATGATCATCTGAGTCTTCAGTAAGCTATAATCTTTTTGCTGGTGGAGGGTCTTGCCTTGATGTTGATGGCTGCTGACTGATCGGGATGGGTGGTTGTGGCAATTTCTTAAAATAAGATATCAATGAAATTTGGCACATTGGTTGACTCTTCCTTTAATGAAATATTTCTCTGTAACATGTGATGCTGTTTGATAGCATTTTTACTCTCTATAGTTTCAAAGCTATTCAATAGACATTTCAGTAAAATTTCTTCTCAAATTGGAATCGATCATGTCAAACCCTGCTGCTGTTTAATCAAACTAAATTTATGAAATATCTTAAATTATTTGTTGACATTTCAATAATGTTCACAGCATCTTCACCAGCAGTAGATCCTGTCTCAAGAAACCACTTTCTTTACTTATCCATAGGAAGCAACTCCTCATTCATTCAAGGAATCTCATGAAATGTGGGATTCAGTCACATCTTCAGGCTGGATTTCTAATTCTAGTTCTCTTGCTATTTTCACCACATCTGCAGTTACTTCCTTCAGTGAAGTGTTGAAGCCCTCAAAGTCATCCATGAGCATTGGAATCAGCTTCTTCCAAACTCCTGTTAATGATATTGTTACCTTCTCCCATGAATCATAAAAGTGCTTAATGGCATCTAGAATGGTGAGCTTTATGAAGAAGTTTTCCAATTCATTTTTCTGAGGTCCATCAGGGGAATCACCCTTTACAGCAACTATATCTGTACACAATGTATGTCTTAAATAATATACTTGAAAGTCTAAATTTTCCTTGATTCATGGGCTACAGGAGAAACATTGTGTTAGCAGTCATGGAAACAACATTATTCTCCTTGTACACCTCCATCGGAGCTCTTGAGTGACCAGGAGCATTGACAATAACATTAATATTTTGAAAAGAATCTTTTTTTCTGAGCATTATGCCTCACGTATATCATAGGCGATATATATCATATATATCATAGGCGATATATATCATATATATCATAGGTGATATATATCATATATATCATATCGTGTGTGATATATATCATATATCGTGTGTGATATATATCATATATATATCGTGTGTGATATATATCATATATATCATATGTGATATATATATGGGAGATTATTAAGTACTATTAACACACATGATCACAAGGTCCCACAATTGGCCATCTGCAAGCTGAGGAGCAAGGAAGCCAGTCCAACTCCCAAAGCTGAAGAACTTGGAGTCTGATGTTCCAGGGCAGGAAGCATCCAGCACAGGATAACTATGTAGGCTGCAAGGCTAAGCCAGTCTTTATTTTCATGTTTTTCTGTCTGCTTTACGTTTGCTGGCAGCTGATTAGATGGAGCCCACTCAGATTAAGGGTTGATCTGCCTTCCCCAGCCCACTGGCTCAAATGTTAATCTCCTTTGACAACACCCTCACAGACACACCCAGGAGCAATACTTTGCATCCTTCAATCCAATCAAGTTGACACTCAGTATTAACCATCACACCTATCTTGGCTTTCAACAGGTTTTCCTCACTAAACGTAATCATTTCTAGCTTTTGATTGAAGGTGAGAGATGTGGGACTCTTCCTTTTACTTGAAAATTTTAGAGGCCATTACAGGATTATTAATTGGCCTAATTTCAATATTTCTGTCTCAGGGAACAAACAGCCTGGAGGACAGAGAAAGAGATAGAGGAACTGCCAGTTAGTGGAGCAGTCAGAACACACACGTTTGTTGATTATACTCACTGTATTATTTGGGCAACCCTCATGGTGCCCAAAACAATTACAATGACATCAAGATCACAGATCGCAGATCACAATACACATAATAATCATGAAAAAGTTTGAAAGATTGTGAGAATTACCAAAATGTCACAGAAAGACACAAACTGAGCACCTGATGTTGGAAAAATGGCACTGATAGACTTTGCTTGATGCAGGGTTGCTACAAACCCTCAATTTGTAAAAGCATGGTATCTGTCAAGTGCAATAAAGCAAGTGCAATAAAACGAGCTGTTTCTGTATCTGCTGTATGATTTTAATCTTTCAAAAAGATCATTGAAAAAGACTAAAAAGAATGTACTTAAATGTCAGAGGTTTCCCTTGGATAATAAAACTATAGGTAATTATTTTCCTATTTCTTATTCTTTCCTGTACTCGCCCAAGTTACCTTTTAAAAAGTATCACAGATGCTTTTTCATGAAGAAAGTAAATAGAAATCTGTTCCTCAGCAGCCTTTCAAAATTGTGATAATATAAAAGTCTAAATGGAATGATGCAAACTTTGTGTTTCAAACAGTAAAGTGAACATCTGGTATCAACCATTCTAAAAGAGTGACATTTCACTTGACTATGTCCAGGATAGGTCCCTGGTCTCTCCTTTTGATGTACCACTGGAATATCTCAGAAGGAAACTCATTTCCATGAAGGCAGCTTTGTATACTTCATCAATATTCCACTGCCCCATTTCTCCCAAGACAAAATTCCTCAGGGTCAAAATGTCCAAGCCTTTGAATGGCACTAGAGTGTCAGAAACTGTTTCATTTTGAAATCAGATGTGTGGATTCCAAGCTGAAGGAGCTTAGATACACAATGAATTTTTAAGCTATGTGGAGAACCCGCGAGAGTAGGTGGGTGTATCTTTGAAGTTTCTGTGTCCAACTGTCATTCTGCAGATAATCAATAGTGAATGCTTGAGAAGCTCAGCTCCCAGAATCTTGCTGTGGCTATGCAGACACTCCTATTTGTTATCCAGTGAAGTGACTGCTACACACTGCCTTATAATAAAGCCACTCAGCTGAACTGAGTTGATCAGATGGTGAAAACTAGTAAGATAAAAATCCTGAGGAACTTGCATCAAAAACAGCCGAAGCAACACTGTGTACATGTGTCGGGCACATAAAATCATTCCAGATGCCTCAACATACGAGATGCAGTGCTGCAATGCCCTTGTGAACAGGGTCTACTCTTGCAGGAGAACATGGTAAGTGTGAAGGAAAACCCCTCAAAGATTCGATGTACGCATTGTGGGAAGGATGGTGTGAGAGAAATGATTACATTGGTTATACCTCATTTCATAACTACTTAATAGTTTCTTATTTAATGACTGCATTAGTCAGGGTTCTCTTAGAGTGACAGAACTAATAGGATATATATCCTATATATATGATATATATATGGGAATGTATATATATTTATAGGAGCTTATTAAATATTAGCGTGCATGATTACAAGGTCCCACAATAGGCTCTCTGCAAGCTGAGGAGCAAAGAGAGCCAGTCTGAGTCCCAATCACAATGACTAAACCATCACAATGACTAAAGAGTAGAGTCACCTTTGCATAATTATTATTATTAATGAGGCACTACATTGGCTTTAACACTGCTCATGACAATAATTCTGGAATGCTGTGCTGAACTAGAAGTGTTTGCAATGTTAGCAAGCAGCTACAAGTTATGCATTTGTAACACAGCTTCATCAGGCTTGGCACCTTACATAACTCATTACTCCTTATTTACATGCCAACCAGTTTGGGCATTTTAAAGGCATAAAGTAAAGCCAAAGGCTGAGGGACCTTGCAGTATATAATAGGCTTCCTTCCTTTAAGGGAATATAGTTTCTTTGAAAAAAAATACTTCCTCAAAAACTATTTCAAGTAATACTTTCATTGACCAAGGCTATGGAGCCGTCAGGTTGTCTTAATCTCGGGATTAAGACAGGAACCCTCCTTCAGCAGTTCTGGAGCCTCAGACTAGGACAGTTTTGCTCTTCTCCTTTGCACATCTGTGGTTTCTTTTTTTTTTTTTAAGTTTTATTTTCACATTCATTTTCAGTTTAGGGGTACAAGTGCAGGTTTGTTACATAGGCTAACCTGTGTCATGGTGGTTTGTTGTACAGATTATTCCATCACCCAGGTATTAAGCCTAGTACCAATTATTTTTCCTGATCCTCTCCCTCCTCCCACCCTTCCCTCTCTGAAATGTCCTGGTGTGTGTGTTGTCCCCTTCTACGTGTCCATGTGTTCTCATCCTTTAGCTCTCATTTATAAGTGAGAACATCCTGTACTTGATTTTCTATTTTCTGTGTTAGTTTGCTAAGGATATTGGCCTCCAGCTCCATTCATGTCCATACAAAGGACATGATCTCATTCTTTTTTGTGATTGCATAGTATTCCATGTTGTATATGTACCACATTTTCTTTATCGAATCTATCACTCATTGGCATTTAGGTTGATTCCATGTCTTTGCTACTGTGAATAGTGCTGTAATGAGCATACACATGCATGTGTCTTTATAACGGAACAATTTATATTCCTTTGGGTATATACCCAGTAATAGGATTGGTAGGTTGAATGATACTTCTGTCTTTAGGTCTTTGAGGAATCGTCACACTGTCTTCCACAGTGGCTGATTTACATCATCACCAACGATTACAATCCAGGGTTTGTTTTCAAGTGCTTTGTTTCTGTGAAGTGACTTCTGGGCTGTCTTATGAAATTTGGCATGAATTGATCTACACAGGATGACCAAGCAGCTGTCCGTAATTTGAGCTTGCACTGGATATGTAACAAGCAGAATATGTACAGTGAGTGTTTCCTGTGATAAGCTATTATTGAACTTTCTTTTTATTCTCAGCAGATTCCCTCACCGAAGATGCTATGCATGTTTGGGAGAACAGTAAATATTAGGGCTAAGCAGCTTCCAAACCAGAACTTCATTTCATCTGAGAACTGTCACACATCACTCTTTCCAGGAAGCAAATTTAAAAATCTAAGAGGAAAGTCAAAAGAAAAAAATAAGCACAGTGAGAAAATGAGGACTCTACCCTCACAGTACTTTGGACACACAGCAGAGGATAGCTTTACCACTTAGTTATGCTCTGCCTTACGACAGAAAGAATGTTTTGTTTAAAAAAAAAAAAAAGACAGCTGACCATGCACATTTGGGCCTATTTCTGGATTCTCTATTCTGTTCCATTGATTTGTTTATCCTGACATCAACACCACACTGTTTTGATTATTGTTATTATATAATCAGTCTTGAAGTCAAATAGTCTCATCCTCAAATTTTGTTCTTTTTCAAAGTTTTTTTTTTTTTTTCGTAGTATTTTAGGTTCTTTGAATTCCACCTGAGTTTTAGAACTATTTTAAATATTTCTACAAAATCATGGCTGGAATTTGGATTGAATCTAGAGATCAGTTCAGAGAGGAAAATGTCTTAACAATATAGAGTTTCCTAATCAATAAACACACTATATTGCTATTCTTTTAGACATTTAAAATGTTTTCTTGAAAATTTTTGTAATTTTAAGTGTGCAAGTTTTGCACACCTTTGTGAGATTTATCACTCAATATTTAATATTCTTTATGTTATTTTAAAATTTCTGATTGTTCATTGTAGTATATAAAAATAAAGTGATATTTTATACAGATTATATTCTGAAGCTTCCTAAATTCGTTTATTAGTTCTAGTAGTTTTTCTGAAAATTACACAGCGTTCTCCACATATATCATGAACTCTCAGTTCCTGGGTGTCATGATAGCATTTTCTAAATAGTCCCAAATTTGATAAGACAGCCCAAAAGTCACTGTGAAGTTAATATGTCCAACAATGTTCATACAACTGAGAGGTGCTTCTTCCTTTCTAATCTGAGTGCATTTGATTTCTTATTCTTGCCTTACTGAAGTGGCTAGAACTGCCAGGAAAATCTTGAATGGAAGTGGTAAGAGCAGAGAGAGACTCTTGTCTTCTTCCTGATCTTACGAAGAAAGCATTTCATATTTCACCATTAAATATAAAGTTTGCTGTAGTTTCATACCGCCATTCATCAGGATGAGGAAGTTTCCCTCTGTTCCTAGTCAGCCGAGAGTTCTTATCAGGCATGCATACTGGATTGTGTCAAATGTTATTTCTACGTCTACTGAGATGACCTGGTAATTTTTCCTTTAAAGTTTATTATTATGGTGAGTTACATTGATTGGTTTTCAAATGTTTAATCAGCCTTGCATTCCTTGAGCCTGCGTAGGATGTGTGACCAGCAGATTATATACAGTGAGTGTTTCCTGTGTAGAGCTAGTATTCAACTTTCTTCTTATTCTCATTTAAATTACTTAAATATTAAATATTTAAACACCATTTGGTTCTAAGATAATATCACCCCCCACCCCACCACTCCCACCCCCCCCCTTTTTTTTTTCAGACAGAGTCTTACTCTTTCATCCAGGCTGGACTGCACTGTCACCATAAGGGCTCACTATAGCTTAAAATTTCTGGGCTCAGGGGCTCCTCCCACCTCAGCCACTGAGTAATTGGGACTACAGGTATGCACCATCACACTCAGCTGATTTTATCTTTTTTGTAGAGGCAGAGTCTCACTGTGTTGCCCAGGCTGGTCTTGAACTCCTGAGCTAAAGCAGTCTGCCCAACTCAGCCTCCCAAAGTGCTGCAATTACTGGTATGAGCCACTACACCCGGATCAGATATTACCTTTTAATATATTAAATTTAATTTGCTAAAATGTTAAGAATTTTTAAATCAATGTTCAAAGAAAGTATTAGTCTGTGTTTTTTCTCTTTTTCTGAGTCTTTATCTGATTTGGGTATCAGGGTAATACTGGCCTCATAGAATAAATTGAAAGTTATTTTCTCTTCTTCAATTTTCTAGAAAAGTTTATATAGAATCAATAACATTTATTTCTTAAATATGTGGTAGAATTCATTAGTGAAGCCATCCGATTCTGGATAATTCTTTGTGGAAATTAAAAAAAAATCTTTTCTGCCTGTTTGTTCTACTAGTTATTGAGAAAATTATATTGAAATCTCTGACTATAATTATCATTTGTGAATTTATCACTGCAAATCTGACTTTTTAAAGATCTGGTAGTATTGTTTGCTCTAATTCCACTTTGTCTAATACCAAAATAGATTTTTCCCCTTTTAAGAACTTTCAGGGTTTACATGTTTAACAACAAATTAACAACATTTAACACATGTCTGGGAGTCTATTTCATGTTAGCATGTTGAAACATACAAAAATAGTATTCCAACTCTTTTAGAACAGTGTTAGCATGCATGGTTTATCTTTTTCCATCCTTTCACTTTTAACCTATTATTTCTTTATATTTAAAGTCCATTTCTTGAAGGCAGCGTATCGTTGGATCTTATTTTTTAATCTAATATTTGCATTTTAACGGGGATATTTACAGGATTTTAATCTTAAAGGGTTATTAACATAATTTGTTTTAAATATACATTTTTGCTCTGCATTTTTTTTAGTCTATTCTTCATTTTGTTTTTCTTTCCTGTGTGCTTTTGGATTAATAGAGTTTTGTTTTGTTTTTGAGACGGAGTCTTGCTCTGTTGCCAGGCTAGAGTGCAGTGGTGTGAACTCAGCTCACTGCAACCTCCGCCTTCCAGGTTCAAGCGATTCTCCTGCTTCAGCCTCCCTAGTAGCTGGGACTACAGGTGCATGCCACTATGCCCAGCTAATTTTTGTATTTTTAGTAGAGAAGGAGTTTCACCAAGTTGTTCAGGATGGTCTCTATCTCCTGACCTCGTGATCCACCCACCTCGGCCTCCCAAAGTGCTGGGATTATAGGCATGAGCCACTGTACCTGGCCCAGTTGAGTATTTTTTATGATTTCATTCTACTTTTTGACTTAGCAGCTAAATTTTTTTTGTTTTGTTAGTTCTTGCCTTAGGATTAAAGTACATATTTTTAACTTATCATAGTTCTACCTTCAGGTGGCTTACGTGTATTTTTACAAGACTATATTTCCATTTCACACTTTTCAGTGTTAGTGCTATTATCATATTTTTTAACTTCTACCTATCTTAAAATCCACACTTAATAAATACTTTCTTTTAAGTTTTGCTCTGATCAGACTATTTAAACAGCATGACTTCAACATTAAGAAAGAAACATCCTATATTCACCCACATCATTACTGTTTCTTGTCCTCTTTATTTAAATACGTAGACCTATATTTCCATGGCATTATTTTCTTCTATTCTGAACTTCCCTTAACTTGTCTTATAGTACAAGTCTTCTAGTAATACATTATTTTAGATTTTATGTGTCTGATAAAGTTGTAATTTCACCTTTGTTTATGAAAGACATTTTACTTGGTATAGAATTCTAGGATGGCAGTTTTTTACATTTCATTTGTTTAAAATGCTGCTTCAGTCCCTTTGTACTTGCTTTGCTTCCAGGGAGAAATCTGTTGTCATCATTTTTTTGGTTCTTCTGTATGTAATCTGTTTTCTTTTTTCTTCTGGCCACTTTTAAGATTTTTTTTCTTCATCACTAGTTTTGAGCAATTTGATTATGCTATATCTTAAAATTGTTTACTTCATATTTTTCCTCCTTAGGATTCATTGAGTTCTTGGATCTGTGAGTTTATAGTTGTTATAAAACTTGTAATATTCACCCATTGTTTATTTAAATGCTTTTCACGTACATCCACTTTTTTGAGGATTACAAGTATTTTAGGGTGCTTTAAATTGTCACAAAAGTTACTGGTGCTCTGTTCATATTTTTCCCCAATTATTTTTTCTTTTTGTGTTTAGTTCACTACTTCTTTTGTAGTGTCAAATCTGCTGTTAATCCTATCCGTGTATTTTTTACTTCAGAAATTGTGTTTTTATTTTTAAATTTTTTTATTTGCATTTTTTGTATTTTCAGTATCTCTAATTGACATGTTTAATAGTTCCTCTTATTTTTTCGATGTATGGAATATTTTAAGTTTTAATGTCAAATGTTACTAATGCTATCATTTGTTTTGGTTCTAGGGCTAGAACCAAAAAAAATTCCATACGTTGAAAAAATTTATATATATATATATATATTTATATATATATATATAACTCCTTTGTGAGTCATATTTTCCTGATTCTTTGACATCCTGGTAATTTTTTATTGAATGCCATTCATTGCCATTATTAACTTGATGGGTGCTAGATATTTTTGTCTTCATAGAAGCTTTGTTGTGGAATACAGGTCAGTTCATTGGAAGCAGTCTGATCTTTTTGAGTTTTACTTTTAAGCATTGTTAGGTGGGACCACAGCAACATTTAGTGTGGAGCTAACTCAGGCCCTCTACTAAGCAAAAGCCTTCTGAGTATTCTCCTTATGTCGTATGAATTATGAATAGTATTTCCAGCCCTGTGTAAGTCCTTGAATTCTTGCCTGTGGTCTTTTTCAGTGATTTTTTTTTTTTTCTCTAGAGGCGAGTAGTTTCCTGTCATGTATGTTCTTGCCGAGCACTCCTTATGGGTGCAGGTTTTATAATAGCTATGAAGTTTAATTGATGTAGTTTAAAATCCCAGCTTCATTATTTTTTAGCTATTTGTTCTAGGGCAAGACCTTTACATTTTTCAACTTCAATATCTTTTTTCAGTATTATTGTGGTACTGTTTTCAAAAGCAATTCCATGAAAATTAAGTGAAATATTTAGCTTGATGACTGCTATATAAATTTCAGAAAATGTTTTTAGAAAAATTAATGTGCTTTGAGAACTGTTATCTTTAAAAAAAATAGATTTTTCCCCTTTTAAGAACTTTCAGGGTTTACATGTTTAACAACAAATTAACAATATTTAATACATGTCTGGGAGTCTATTTCATGTTAGCATGTTGAAATATACAAAAAGGCATGCGATATAGTCATTAAAAAAAAGAGCCTGTACGGGCTATAACTTTAGAAAAACACCTCAGTCCCATGGCCAGGCGTGGTGGCTCACACCTGTAATCCCAGCACTTTGGGAGGCTGAGTTGGGCAGATCACGAGGTCAGGAGATCGAGACCATCCTGGCTAACACGGTGAAACCCCGTCTCTACTAAAAAAAAAAATACAAAAAAATTAGCCAGGCGTGGTCGTGGGCGCCTATAGTCCCAGCTACTCGGGAGGCTGAGACAGGAGAATGGCGTGAACCCGGAAGCCAGGGCATGCAGTGAGTCGAGATCGTGCCACTGCACTCCAGCCTGGGCGACAGAGCGAAACTCCATCTCAAAAAACAAACAAAAAACAAAAGACAAAAAAAAAAGAAAAAGAAAAGAGAAAGACCTCAGTCCCTAATTAATTGTTACCTAACTTCAAGAAGACTGTTGGAGGTATACTTTCTGTATTTCCGAAAATAATTAGCTCTTTGTAGTCCATTAGTGCTTTCAAATTCCTGTCTTCTGGGATGTTAGATTTCTAGACTGATAGGGCAGCTAATTGCCCTTTCACGGAGCTCTGCAAATATGTTTACATCCAGTGATGCTGTAACCATAGTAAAGCCTATGAAAAAGTTTTCAAATGAATGATGCTAAAATAAATTAATTAATTAATTAAAAAAACAAAACAAAACAAAACAAAAAAAGCCAGCATCAAGGCCCAGGCACAGTGGCTCATGCCTGTAATCCCAGCATTTTGGGAGGACAAGACGGGTGGATCACCTGAGGTCAGGAGTTCAAGACCAGGCTGGCCAACATGGCAAAACCACATCTCTACTAAAAATACAAAAATTAGCTAGGCATGGTGGTGCATGCCTGTAATCCCAGCTACTTGGGAGGCTGAGGCAGAAGAATTGCTTGAACTCAGGAGGTGGAGGCTGCAGTGACCTGACATCGTACCACTGCACTCCAGCCTGGGTGACACAGTGAGATTCTATCTCAAAAGAGAAAAGAAACAAAATGAAAAGAAAAGAAAAGAAAAGAGAAAAGAGCCTCAAGTGTTAAAGAAAAAACAGATAGGAAGTCATAGGTATTTTTTAAAGTCTTTCTCTTTTACTTAAATCAATGAAATTCTACACAGCGGGGGTGGTTTTTGCATTTACAAGTATCACTACTAAAATTTTACCATTCACTGAGAAATAGATAGGTAGTCAAACAAAGAGGATTATTTTTCTCACAACATGAATAAAGGTATTTTCTTGAGACATCTTGTTTATACTCTGAGAGTTATATTCCACAGAACACATTTTCTATTGCAGGCAGTCCAGTGGCATTCTGGTGCAATGTCATTTGGGACACTGCATTCAAATGAGACATTTCTAACTGCAATCCCTTTGGTCCTTGTTTTAGACTTTTCCTGCTGGCCCTCATGGGGGATCTCAGTGCCAAGGCTTTACACTAGATGCTGCACTACACAACATGGCAGGAGAAAGAATTCCAAGTCACTGAATCACAGTGAGTCATGAGTAAAAAGAATCCATTGCCCTAGAATGAAAAAACAACCAACCTACCTTAGAGATTCAGGATCTAGAGGGCATTCCAAGTCTGAAAAAACTGTATTTGTCTACCTGAGAAAAGATGATAGTAAATATCATCATGAAACTTTAGAAGACTAGTCCTGGGAGAACTGTTACATTTTGGTATGATTTATTTTCGTCTATTTTAGCGGACTTCCACAGCAATGGTGACTCCTACAAATTCCAAATTATTTCCTCTCCCCTCTGATCTCACATCTTTGTATCACTCTAGTAATAATTTCCTATTTCAAAGAATTAAAGTATACTGACATGGAAAATTAGTGAAATGAATCCTTTACAGGATCCTGTCATCAAAACCTATGAGTTAATCATATTTAATGTTCAGTCAATGGCCTGAGCAATTGTGTCCTGACATTTATCACAATTTATGGACCATTCTTTTACCGGTCTGTATGATGTTTTGAAATTCCTAGGTGTTTAATTCTTCTCGGGTTTACATAAAGACTTAATATCCATTGGGATGACACTGCATCTCACCCAAGTACCTGTGACTGAATAACGATGTAAACGTCTTAAAACATATTCCTCGCCGGGTGCGGTGGCTCACGCCTGTAATCCCAGCACTTTGGGAGGCCGAGGCAGGCGGATCACGAGGTCAGGAGATCGAGACCATCCTGGCTAACATGGTAAAACCCCGTCTCTACTAAAAAATACAAAAAATTAGCCAGGCGTGGTGGCAGGCGCCTGTAGTCCCAGCTACTAGGGAGGGTAACGCAGGAGAATGGCATGAACCTGGGAGGCAGAGCTTGCAGTGAGCCGAGATCGCACCACTGCACTCTGGCCTGGGCGACAGAGAGAGACTCCATCTCAAAAATAAATAAATAAATAAATTTGGGTGTTTTGCTCAGATTTTCTATGAACTATACGACTATTCTTTTTTTAGGATAAGAGGAAGCAAATTGACAAGAATAAGCCATTTTGATAAAACATCAGTTATTTTTCTGTCCCTTTTCTGTGGGCTTCCTAATCAGTACTTTTAAAGTTATGGTGGAGAAGCCAAGATGGCCAAATAGGAACAGCTCTGGTCTACCGCTCCCAGCATGAGTGATGCAGAAGATGGGTGATTTCTGCATTTCCAACTGAGGTACCGGGTTCATCTCACTGGGGAGTGCCAGAGAGTAGATGCAGGACAGTGGGTGCAGTGCACCGTGTGCGACCCAAAGCAGGGCTAAGCATCACCTCACCTGGGAAGTGCAAGGGGTCAGGGAATTCCCTTTCTTAGTCAAAGAAAGCGGTCACAGATGGCACCTGGAAAATCAGGTCACTCCCACCCTAATACTGCGCTTTTCCAATGGGCTTAAAAAAACAGCACACCAGGAGATTATATCCTGCACCTGGCTTGGAGGGTCCTACGCCCATGGAGCCTCACTCTTTGCTAGCATAGCAATCCAAGATCAAACTGCAAGGCGGCAGCAAGGCTGGGGGAGAGGCGCCCGCCATTGATGAGTTAGTTGTTCGATTAGGTAAACAAAGCCATGGGGAAGCTCAAACAGGGTGGAGCCCACCACAGCTGAAGGAGGCCTGCCGGCCTCTGTAGGCTCCACCTCTGGGGGCAGGGCACAGAGAAACAAAAAGACAGCGGTAACTTCTGCAGACTAAAATATCCCTGTCTGACAGCTTTGAAGAGAGTAGTGGTTCTCCCAGCACACAGCTTGAGATCTGAGAATGGGCAGACTGCCTCCTCAAGTGGATCCCTGACCCCCGAGTAGACTAACTGGGAGGCACCCCCTAGTAGGGGCGGACTGACACCTCACATAGCCGGGTACTCCTCTGAGACAAAACTTCTAGAGGAACGATCAGGCAGCAGCATCTGCAGTTCACCAATATTCGCTGTTCTGCAGCCACCGCTGCTGATACCCAGGCAAACAGGGTCTGCAGTGGACCTCTAGCAAATTCCAACAGACCTGCAGCTGAGGGTCCTGACTGTTAGAAGGAAAACTAACAAACAGAAAGGACATCCACACCAAAAACCCATCTGTACGTCACCATCATCAAAGACCAAAGGTAGATAAAACCACAAAGATGGGAAAAAAACAGAGCAGAAAAACTGGAAATTCTAAAAATCAGAGTGCCTCTCTTTCTCCAAAGGAATGCAGTTCCTCACCAGCAATGGAACAAAGCTGGATGGAGAATGACTTTGACAAGTTGAGAGAAGAAGGCTTCAGATGATCAAACTACTCTGAGCTACAGGAGGAAATTCAAACCGATGGCAAAGAAGTTAAAAACTTTGAAACAAAATGAGACGAATGGATACCTAGAATAATCAATGCAGAGAACTCCTTAAAGGACCTGATGGAGCTGAAAACCAAGGCACAAGAGCTACATGATGAATGCAGAAGCCTCAGTACCCGACGCGATCAACTGGAAGAAAGGGTATCAGTGATGGAAGACAAAATGAATGAAATGAAGCGAGAAGTTCAGAGAAAAAAGAATAAACATAAACGAAAAAAGCCTCCAAGAAATATGGGACTATGTGAAAACACCAAATCTACATCTGACTGGTGTACCTGAAAGTGGCAGGGAGAATGGAACCAAGTTGGAAAACACTCTGCAGGATATTATCCAGGAGAACTTCCCCAACCTAGCAAGGCAGGCCAACATTCAAATTCAGGAAATACAGAGATTGCCACAAATATACTACTCTAGAAGAGTAACTCCAAGACACATAATTGTCAGATTCACCAAAGTCAAAATGAAGGAAAAAATGTTAAGGGCAGCCAGAGAGAAAGGTCGGGTTACCCACAAAGGGAAGCCCATCAGACTAACAGCGGATCTCTCAGCAGAAACTCTACAAGCCAGAAGACAGTGGGGACCAATATTCAACATTCTTAAAGAAACGAAATTTCAACCCAGAATCTCATATCCAGCCAAACTAAGCTTCATAAGTGAAGGAGAAATAAAATATTTTACAGACAAGCAAATGCTGAGAGATTTTGTCACCACCAGGCCTGCCCTAAAAGAACTCCTGAAAGAAGCACTAAACATGGAAAGGAACAACCGGTACCAGCCACTGCAACAACATGCCAAATTGTAAAGACCATAGAGGCTAGGAAGAAACTGCATCAACAAATGAGCAAAATAACCAGCTAACATCATAGTGACAGGATCAAATTCACACATAACAATAGTAACTTTAAATGTAAGTGGGCTAAATGCTCCAATTAAAAGACACAGACTGGCAAACTGGATCAGGAGTAAAGACCCATCAGTGTGCTGTATTCAGGAAACCCATCTCACATGCAGAGACACACATAGGCTCAAAATAAAGGGATGGAGGAAGATCTACCAAGCAAATGGAAAACAAAAAAAGGCAGGGGTTGCAATCCTACTCTCAGATAAAACAGACTTTAAACCAACAAAGATCAAAAGAGACAAAGAAGGCCATTACATAATGGTAAAGGGATCAATTCAACAAGAAGAGCTAACTATCCTAAATATATATGCACCCAATACAGGAGCACCCAGATTCATAAAGCAAGCCCTTAGTGACCTACGAAGAGACTTAGATTCCCACACAATAATAATGGGAGACTTTAACACCCCACTGTCAACATTAGACAGATCAATGAGACACAAAGTTAACAAGGATACCCAGGAATTGAACTCAGCTCTGCACCAAGCTGACCTAATAGACATCTACAGAACTCTCCACCCCAAATCAACAGAACATACATGTTTTTCAGCACCACACCACACCTATTCCGAAATTCACCACATAGTTGGAAGTAAAGCTCTCCTCAGCAAATGTAAAAGAACAGAAATTATAACAAACTGTCTCTCAGACCACAGTGCAATCAAACTAGAACTCAGGATTAAGAAACTCACTCAAAACCGCTCAACTACATGGAAACTGAACAACCTGCTCCTGAATGACTACTGGGTACATAACGAAATGAAGGCACAAATAAAGATGTTCTTTGAAACCAAAGAGAACAAAAGCACAACATACCAGAATCTCTGGGACACATTCAAAGCAGTATGTAGAGGGAAATTTATAGCACTAAATGCCCACAAGAGAAAGCAGGAAAGATCCAAAATTGACACCCTAACATCACAATTAAAAGAACTAGAAAAGCAAGAGCAAACACATTCAAAAGCTAGCAGAAGGCAAGAAATAACTAAGATCAGAGCAGAACTGAAGGAAATAGAGACACAAAAAACCCTTCCAAAAATTAATGAATACAGGAGTTGGTTTTTTGAAAAGATCAACAAAATTGATAGACCACTAGCAAGACTAATGAAGAAGAAAAGAGAGAAGAATCAAATAGATGCAATAAAAAATGATAAAGGGGATATCACCACCGATCCCACAGAAATACAAACTACCATCAGAGAATACTATAAACACCTCTACGCAAATAAACTAGAAAATCTAGAAGAAATGGATAAATTCCTCGACACATACAAACTCCCAAGACTAAACCAGGAAGAAGTTGAATCTCTGAATAGACCAATAACAAGCTCTGAAATTGAGGCAATAATCAATAGCTTACCAAGCAACAAAAGTCCAGGACCAGATGGATTCACAGCCGAATTCTATCAGAGGTACAAAGAGGAGCTGGTACCATTCCTTCTGAAACTATTCCAATCAATAGAAAAAGAGGGAATCCTATCTAACTCATTTTATGAGGCCAGCATCATCCTGATACCAAAGCCTGGCAGAGAGACAACCAAAAAAGAGAATTTTAGACCAATATCATTGATGAACATTGATGCAAAAATCCTCAATAAAATACTGGCAAACTGAATCCAGCAGCACATCAAAAAGCTTATCCACCATGATCAAGTGGGCTTCATCCCTGGGATGCAAGCCTGGTTCAACATATGCAAATCAATAAATGTAATCCAACATATATACAGAACCAAAGACAAAAACCACATGATTATCTCAACAGATGCAGAAAAGGCCTTTGACAAAATTCAACAACCCTTCATGCTAAAAACTCTCAATATGTTAGGTATTGATGGGAAATATCTCAAAATAATAAGAGCTATCTATGACAAACCCACAGCCAATATCATACTGAATGAGCAAAAACTGGAAGCATTCCCTTTGAAAATGGGCACGAGACAGGGATGCCCTCTCTCACCACTCCTATTCAAGATAGTGTTGGAAGTTCTGGCCAAGGCAATTAGGCAGGAGAAGGAAATAAAGGGTATTCAATTAGGAAAAGAGGAAGTCAAATTGTCCCTGTTTACAGATGACATGAATGTATATCTAGAAAACCCCATCATCTCAGCCCAAAATCTCCTCAAGCTGATAAGCAACTTCAGCAAAGTCTCAGGATACAAAATCAATGTACAAAAATCACAAGCATTCTTACACACCAATAACAGACAAACAGAGAGCCAAATCATGAGTGAAATCCCATTCACAATTGCTTCAAAGAGAATAAAATACCTAGGAATCCAACTTACAAGGGATGTGAAGGACCCCTTCAAGGAGAACTGCAAACCACTACTCAATGAAATAAAAGAGGATACAAACAAATGGAAGAACATTCCATGCTCATGGGTAGGAAGAATCAATATCGTGAAAATGGTCAAACTGCCCAAGGTAATATATAGATTCAATGCCATCCCCATCAAGCTACCAATGACTTTCTTCACAGAATTGGAAAAAACTATAAAGTTCATATGGAACCAAAAAAGAGCCTGCATCACCAAGTCAATCCTAAGCCAAAAGAACAAAGTTGGAGGCATCACGCTACCTGACTTCAAACTAGCCTACAAGGCTACAGTAACCAAAACAGTATGGTACTGGTACCAAAACAGAGATATAGATCAATGGAACAGAACAGAGCCCTCAGAAATAATGCCACATATCTGCAAATATCTGATCTTTGACAAACCTGACAAAAACAAGAAATGGGGAAAGGATTCCCTATTTAATAAATGGTGCTGGGAAAACTGGCTAGCCATATGTAGAAAGCTGAAACTGGATCCCTTCCTTACTCCTTATACAAAAATTAATTCAAGATGGATTAAAGACGTAAATGTTAGACCTAAAACCATAAAAACCCTAGAAGAAAACCTAGGCTATACCATTCAGGACATAGGCATAGGCAAGGGCTTCATGTCTAAAACATCAAAAGCAATGGCAACAAAAGCCAAATTGACAAATGGGATCTAATTAAACTAAAGAGCTTCTGCACAGCAAAATAAACTACCATCAGAGTGAACAGGCAACCCACAAAATGGGAGAAAATTTTTGCAACCTACTCATCTGACAAAGGGCTAATATCCAGAATCTACAAAGAACTCAAACAAACCTACAAGAAGAAAGCAAACAACTCCATCAAAAGTGGGCAAAGGATATGACAGACACTTCTTGAAAGAAGACATTTATGCAGCCAACAGACACAAGAAAAAACGCTCATCATCACTGGCCATCAGAGAAATGCAAATCAAAACCACAATGAGATACCATCTCACACCTGTTAGAATGGCGATCATTAAAAAGTCAGGAAACAACAGGTGCTGGAGAGGATGTGGAGAAATAGGAACACTTTTACACTGTTGGTGGGACTGTCAACTAGTTCAACCATTGTGGAAGTCAGTGTGGTGATTCCTCAGGGATGTAGAACTAGAAATACCATTTGACCCAGCCATCCCATTACTGGGTATCCACCCAAAGGATTATAAATCATGCTGCTATAAAGACACATGCACACGTATGTTTATTGCGGCACTATTCACAATAGCAAAGACTTGGAACTAACCTAAATGTCCAACAATGATAGACTGGATTAAGCAAATGTGGCACATATACACCATGGAATACTATGCAGCCATAAAAAAGGATGAGTTCATGTCCTTTGTAGGGACATGGATGAAAGTGGAAACCATCATTCTCAGCAAACTATCACAAGGACAAAAAACCAAACACCTCATGTTCTCACTCATAGGTGGGTATTGAACAATGAGAATGCATGGACACAGGAAGGGGAACATTACACACCGGGGACTGTTGTGGTGTGGGGGGATGGGGGAGGGATAGCATTTGGAGATATACCTAATGCTAAATGACGAATTAATGGGTGCAGCACACCAGCATGGCACATGTATACATATGTAACAAACCTGCAAGTTGTGCACATGTACCCTAAAACTTAAAGTATAATAATAATAAAATTAAGAAAATAATAAATAAAGTTACAGTAATATATACATTCATCTGAATGGTCTGTCTTTTGCACAGTTATGATCTGAGTTCTAGATGTATTATTAATGGCTTCAAAAGTGTGAGGCTATGAACGCACTGAGATCATAATTACTGCGGTATAGATGATAAAATGCCCACTATAATATGGATTTAAGTAGAAAGCAGGGTACATTGGATCACAGCTATATGATTTTCTAAATGAAAATGTCAAATAGTACTCAATATCACAATCTCTTGTAGTGTAGCGCTACATCAAGGTAACTAAGCATACTGACAGCTGTATTTCAAGGCCCAGTTGTCCCACTTCTATCTGGGGTCTTTCAAAATGTTACCTACCACTTTATGTCTGTACTTCTCTCATTTGGTGGTGACATGAAGAATATTAATAACACAGATTTTAGCAGGCTTCCACAGCAGTGGTGACTCCTACAAATTCCAAATTATTTCTTCTCTCCTTTGATCTCACATCTTTATATCACTCTAGTAAAAATTTTCTATTTTGAAGAATTAAAGTCCTATGAAAAATTACTGAAATGAATCTTTTACAGTATCTTGTCATCAAAATCTATGAGTTAATAATATTTAATGTTCAGTTGATGGCCCTGAGCAATTGTCTCCTGATGTTGATCACAATTTATGGACCATTCCTTTACTAGTCTGTATGATGTTTTGAAATTCCTAGATGTTTAATTCCTTCTTGGCTTCAAATAAATACTTAATATCCATTGGGATGACACTGCATCTCACCCAAGTACATGTGATTGAATAAAGATGTAAATGTCTTAACACATATTCCTGGCATCACTTAACAGCTATTTTCCAATCCAGGGAAAAGACAGGAAGTTTTAAAGGCTACTAGTCACAAAATAAAGATGCCATGATTTGTAAACCAAGATCACAAACATATCAGTCTTGGATAAGTGTCCATGTCTTTTAAATTTCTTGTTCTTAGTTATTTAGGTATACCTTAACAGTCATTGCTATTAAAGGAACTAGTAGCTTCTGGTTAGAGGAATTTTACTTTAAGCCCCACCTTGCTCCTGTTTAAATTTGAGTTACTTTGAGCATCCACAGTAGTATACTGCCAGAGATAACGTATTTGGCGCATTCTATTATTGTACTTTAATTCAACATGCTTTTAGAGCAATTGATTGTGTCCAACAAATATAGCTGCATTATAAAAAAAAATTAAGAAAGTAAAAAGAGAAAAAAGAAAGCCTGTCTGTGTGGGGCCAGCACATTTTAAGCAAAATATCCCTTATATCCTCTTTTCAGAATTTCTTTCTCTGCAAGTCTTAGTGTCACTACTGTGACCTTAGCAACAGGCAACATCAATGCTCCTGACAGTAACTTGACAATGAGCTTCCATAGGCATTTTGATCCTTTTGTGCAGGGGGTTTCTTTTTCTATTATTTAGTGAAATCATAGGAATGCAGGGAGAAACGTGGAGACTTACTTCTCATTGGTGGGTTATAAATGAAGCTGATTGACCTCTAGTACTTGGTTCTGAGGATTTCACAGCAGGCATCTTGGAAGCACATATATTGATGGGGAGAGGGAGGGGCCCAGTGGGTAATATGTGGGAAATTTCAATCCAGAATTGCTGCTATTTTAAGTGGCCTCCAGAAATATGCACTTGCTTTGTAAGGTGTTTTTTTTTCCCCCAGAATTGAGTGGGTATCGGGATGGGAATGTGGGAGGATGGGAGAGTAGATTGGAAAAAGGAAAAATGCCTCCAACCTCATCTTTTGTTTCCAACCTGGAAGTGACATACAGATGGAACCCATTTTACCAGATAACGCTGAAATGTCACAGCAGGGTTTATGCTTTCCATGTGGAGCATATGGTTTTAAGAAAGAACACAGGCTGCTAGGAATCAGAGCAGAAGCTTATTTTTTTAAATCAACTTTTACTGATTTTGAGTCATTTTTAGCAGTTTCATGGGCCTTGAGTAGCAAAAGTTGGACTTTTAGCCTCTTGCAAAGATTAATGTAGCATGTTTGATTAAGAATTGCATTTTGTGTGTAACTCCATGCACCTTTGAACAGAAAAGTGATGGATTTGTAAACCTTTTGGTACATTTATGTCCTTTGTCAACATGTGTTGTAATAAAACCTAAGAACAATACTATAAGACATGTCCATTATTGTGTTTATTATTAAGAATATAAATGTTGTCAGCAACGACATCCAAATCTACCAAGTGTTTTCAGACATAGTCTGATAAATTATAAAAATATCATAAAACCAATAAAAGATACTGTATCATAATTTTTAAATCACTATAAAGCTCTGAAAAGCATCATCTGGAAAAGAAGACTACTTCAGAAACTCAATGTAAGGCGTCTGTGCAGTCGGTGGAAGTTAGTGGTTTTAATCACGAATTGAGGATAGGTTAACTTGGCCTGCACATTAGCTCACTGCATAACCTTAGTTAGTTTATTTGCTTGCACTTTCTTTCATTTCTCAGACTGCAGGTAAATTTCATCATGAGCTGTTTCTCCTCCGGTTTCACTAAGGTTTATGTGAGCGGTACTGGCTCTCTTCCTGTCAGTCACTAGTCACTATGTCTCATATTTCAATGTCACATGAGTTTTACATACTGTCCTTATACTGACTGGGTGAATGGTCAGGTGCCTCTTAAGCAAAAGGAAGGTATCTATAAAGGCACTCAGAACTTTGGGAAACCGAGGTGAGAAGATAACTTGAGGGCAGAAGTCCATGACCAGCCTGGGCAACATAGTGAGACCCCATCTCTAAAAAAAAAATATATATATATATATATATATATATATATATATATATATATATATATATATATATATATTTTTTTTTTTTTTTAAATTAGCCAGGCATGATGGGGTGCACCTGTAGTCTCAGCTACTTGGAAGGTGGGAGGATCACTTGAACCCAGGAGTTCAAGGTTATAGTGAGCTATGAGTGCACCACTGCACTTCAGCCTGAGTGACAAAGCGGAGCAAGACCCTGTCTTTTGTCATTATTATTTTTTTAAAGGCACATGCCTTGAGCAAGATACAGTGCTGGGCTCATTTCTTCACCTTATTTCAGTTATTTCTCTTTATGATTCTTGAAGTGGATGTTGTTTTTCTCATTTTACTTATGAAGTTCAGAAAAGTTAGAAGGAACCAAGGGTCTTCTCTTCCCAACCTCCTGCAAGAGATCTCATGTCTGTGAGCAATTAGAAAAGAATATTTATGACTATTCTAAAAGTTAGGGCTGTTTAAGATTTACTGAAGTAATTAAATGTCTTCTGTGGAAAAACAGTAATTGAGAATTGAGGAAATGTGTTTGATTTGGATCAAAAATAATCAATAGACTTATTTGGCTATTCGTTGTATACAGGCTGTCACATAAACTCAGTACATTTTCTTTACTTATAGGTAATTGTACATTTACAATTGTTAAATATATGTTATGACAGGGATAAGAAATCCTTTCATGATCTTCATATGTTATTGGATCAAATAGGAAGACTAGATGTAAACTCTATGAGGTAAAATTCTTGGCCCATATAGAAACTTAGTAAATATCATTTGACTGACTAATTGAATGCATGAATAAAACTGTGTCTACTCAGACTTTATGGAATATAACATAGTACCGCTGGCATTATCTAAGTCATTTGTGGTAATCTGCTAAGAGACCCCAAATCTGATTTTCTTTTATCTACCCAAAGGCAGATGTTGGATGTTGTATTAGAATAATTTAGAGTTAACATCCTTTTCATTTCTTTAATAATTATCTAGTTACCTGGAAAACTGCCATCACTTTGTGATACTCTTAGTCGCCATAGGCAACCTTGAAATGATCTTGAGAGCTGCCTCGGTGGTCCAAGGACTTTGCCGTCTGACATCATTGTCAGTTACACACACAGTTTGTTGCTACAGGCATTCTGCTTGCAGCCAACCTCCAGGTTGATGGCATAAACCTTGTGTTGCCATATTTGGACTGAATGTATTTTTGCTTTGTAAGGCAGCTGCGGGTGAGAGTGGAAAAGTAGACAGGTTTTTTTGTTTAATAAAGCAGCTAACCAGGGAATTCACGAGAAGCACACATTCCATTCCACACCCAGTTGATACAGGTCAAGAAACACAGAGCCCGTTGGTTTCTTTTGTATGAATTTCCTTTAGTATCTCATTATGGGAATAATTGCCATTTTGGTCAACAACTTTGCTTGATTATATGTATGAATCTGTTTTTCATTTTCCTTAAAGGAAGACATTATTATTAGAAGCAGCCACATCCTCTAATCCTTGAGAGGCTGTTCTTTTTAAAATTATGTTTAAGGCAGAATCCAAACACCTCAGGTTTTTAAATATTTTAAAAATGTATACACCAAAGATTTTTAGTTTTCAGAAATAAACATAACATAGCTTACATTATGCCTGGTAACATTCCTAAGACAGCAATAACAACATCCTTCAATTATAAAACAAGTATGAAACCCACACATAAAAGTTGTAACATTTTTTACATGAGTAATTTTTTTAAAGCTTAAGAAGTTCCTGAACTTAGTGTATTCTTACTCTTAACAGATCATTGCACCTTCTATAAATTCCTTTTTTGAATTTTGTTCACTTTTTCACATTCTAAACATGTGCTCTACAGAGAAAATTGGATTGTTGGTGATGGTTGTACAACTCTATAAATTTACTTAAAAATCATTGAATTGTATACTTAAAATTTTATGATACATAAATTACACCTCAAGAAAGACAAAAATGTAGGAAGGTTACCGATGTGCAAATGTTCTTTGTATGCTCTTTGCACATTAGAAACCGTGCCATATTTTTTAACAGCTTCATTGAGGTATAATTTATACATCACAGAACTCATTTGCTTCTCAGATTAATAATTAATGCTATTTTGAATTTGAAATGATTAGTCTGATGTAAAGATTTCTAAGGCAGTCTTCTAGCCATTCTAGCGATTAAAGCAAAAGTTCAATTCCACTCCCCTCCCTTGCCCACGTTCCGGAGTTTTGTAATCATTCATTAGCAGAAATTTTAATAAAGGGATTATGCCAGTGATAGTGGAGGGCTGTGATACATTTTGTTTCACTACCTTGACATTTGGCTTCTTAATGCTGTCTGTCCATCCGGTGCCTTGTGAGCACTGCATGCCCTAATGAGATAACCGTCAACATTCTTCACTCAGTCTTAGCTTTGTAGGTTTTTTCCCTGCTAATGAGGACTGTTGCCTTTGGGTAGATAAAAGAAAATCAGATTTGGTGTCTTAGCAGGCTTTCAGAGAAAGTTACAAGGAGTGAATAAGATTGAAAAGGTTTTCTTTATTATGTTTCTTATTTGTTTGTGAAGTCTACAAGGAATAAAAATCTCAAACATTTCCTGCAGTGTCTAAAAAAAAAAAAAAAACACCAAACTGTGTTGTACGTTATGTCAAAAATTTTCACTTATTTATGGTTGTTTAAGAAAGAAAGAAATGACTTGACTTGCTCTGAAGGAAAAATACGTCTGGAGAGCAACCTTCCAAGGTGAACATTCCAACCTCATTCTCACTTCAATAAATTATTGCAAAGAAAACTCAGCAGTGAAATATTTTCTAGCTAAAGATTACCAATTCCTCTGTACTCATGTCCTGTTTAAAATTAAACATTTTATATGCAGATGTTGACGCACAAGCCTCTTTGATTAACATATGTAGGTCCAGACCCCTCTAATGATTGTGCTCTTGACATCCTGCTGGTGTCCTTTGCACATTGGTACACTCGTCTTATTTTTTAACAGCTTGATGGAGATCATATTTGCATATCATAAAATGCATTCATCTTAAGTATACAATTTAATGATTTTTAGTAAATTGATAGACTTGTGCAACCATCTCCACAATCTAAGTTAAAACAAAAGAAATCTTGTACCAAATTAGCAGTCACTGCCTATTCTTCCTCCCTTCCTCTCAGCCCTACTTCCAGGAAACCACTAATCTATTTTCTCTATATATACATTTGCGTAATGTGCACATTTAATGTGAATGAATTCATTCAATCTGTGGTCTTTTGGCTGGGCGTGGTGGCTCACGCCTGTAATCCTAGCACTTTGAAAGCCCGAGGTGGGCAGATCATAAGAGGTCAGGAGTTCGACACCAGCCTGATCAACATGGTGAAATCCTGTCTCTACTAAAAATACAAAAATTAGCCAGGCATGGTGATGGAGGCCTGTCATCCCAACTATCTGGGAGGCTGAGTTAGAAGAATCACTTGAACCCAGGAGATGGAAGTTGCAGTGAGCCAAGATCATGCCATTGCACTCCAGCCTGGGCAACAAGAGTGAAACTCCGTCTCAAAGAAAAAAAAAGAAAAAGAAAAATGTGGTCTTTTGTGACTAGCTTCTTTCATTTATCATACTGTTTTCAAGGTTCATTGATGTTGTGTCAGTACTTCATTATTTTTGTTGTTGATGAATAGTGTTCCATTGTAAAGATACACAATATTATATTTATTCATTTTCTTGTTGTTGATGAATAGTATTCCATTGATACACAATATTAAATTTATCCATTCAACATTTGGTCACAATTTAGATTTCTTTTACCCTTTTGGCTATCATGCGTAACGCTACTGTGAACATTTATGTACAAGTTTTTGTGTGGACATATGTTTTTCCTTCTCTTGGGTATATATACCTGGGAGTGGAATTACTAGGTCATATGGGAACTCTATGTTTCACATTTTATGACATTGCCAAACTATTTTTCAAAAACGGTTGCATATGAACAGTCCCACCTGCAAGGTTTAAAGGTTTCAATCTATATACCCTTGCCAAATTACCTGCCTTTCAAATTGTATCCATTCTAGAATATTACTTTATTTTGGCTTTGTGTTTCCCTATTCATGACTTTAGCATGTTTTAAATATTCTTGTATATATACGATGACTCTAAAATAATCCAAAAACACTTTTAAAGTCAGGAGAACAGTGAGGTTCATAGCTCTTCATGCCAGGTCCCCCTTCAGTTATATTCAGTTCATCAAAGCTATAATATTAAAAAAAAGGAGGCTTAATTAAGTAACAGTATTTTCCACACTGTCAGGGATGCCAATTCAGGAATAAAAGTTATATAAGCTGTCACCTAAGTAAAGTCATTTTTAAAATATATTGAGATACATTTCAACTACTGAAATTCGGTGTAGCAAAAGCCATAAACAATTGCGGGGTAATAAACTTCAGAGTTTAAGAAAAATACTTCTTCTCTCCCACTGAGAAGTCAAATAAAAAGTTAGAAAATATTAATAGACTTTCTTCTTATTTTCTGCAGGCAAAGCTGGTCCCTAATAAATAAATGAAGGAAAGAAGCAATTGTTCTGTTTTTGCACTGATGCAAGGGTTTCTTACCACTCATGTATTTCCCTGAAGCTTCTTCCTAAAGGCATTACTTTTTCATTTAGGCAAACTTGGGCTGTTGCCAATACTGTGTGGTATGAAGTCAGTGAATCCAGACATCAAGGACTATATAGAAACTGGAATTATGATTATGACTTTATTAATACAAGCATTGCATAATATCTAACCATGTGAATATCTATGTATTCCCTCCCTCAGAGAGCCTTGAATCTCTATATCATTTAACTATAGTTGAACTATGCCACTCTGAAGTTAATTAGAATTTCTCGTTCTTTTAAAATACAAGGACTTGGGAGCAAGCAGATCAGGGCAAATCATAACTATATTAAAATAAATAAAATTTATTCCCAGATTCAAGTGATCCTCCTGCTTCAGCCTCCCTAGTAGCTGGGACTACAGGTATGCACACCCACACCCAGCTAATTTTTGTATTTTTAGTAGAGAGAGGGTCTTACCTTGTTGGCCAGGCTGGTCTCGAACTTCTGACCTCAAGTGATCCTCGCACCTCGGCCTCCCAAAGTGCTGGGATTGCAGGCATGAGCCACAAAGCTGGCCAGATTTCTCAAATTTTAAACCCAAATATTTGAAAGAAACAGAGTGCATGAGTGAGTTTATGTGTCTTTGTATGTGTGCGTGATAAAATATGATAAAATTGTTTATGTACAATGTGATCAAGTTATCTAAGTTCTCGCCAACTTAAAGTTGTGTGGGAAAACAAGTCATCAATATTATTAACTAATGAGCAAAACAATGATAAAATTAGCACTCATTCAAACATTCCTCCAAGCCTAACCTCTTAAACATCCAATTATTCAATGCACACAGACTGCAAAATGAAACTGAAAATCTTGTGGAAAAAAAATACAGGACTTAAGAATTTGATGGAAAGGAAGGTTGGTACACTGTTTCAATTACAAGCCAAATCACGGACACATGAGAAGTTGGCACCATTCACCAATTAAACTAAGGGGAAAAAATACACAATGACGACTACACAATAGCTACTTCGAAAGGGAATAATTAGATTATTCAAGGATTAGGCAAAACCCCTGGGAAATCTAATGCAACCTTCCAATATGACCCTCTCTATGCTGCAGAAATCAAACATGAAGTATATAATCAAGTAATTATATAAATTTGAGAAAAAAAAAGACCAAAATTGCCACTACTTTAATGTTCTCAATTCTCTACTCTCTAAAGACATAGCTCTAACAACATAGCTACATCTGTAACAGAAATTTAGTAATAACAATACATAAAATGAAATAAACTTATTTTATAATTCCAGTTCTTCTTTTTAAGATTAAGACTCAACCCAAACTGGATTTTGAGAAAACTGTTTATTATGAAATTTTGGTTCCCATCCAGTTACCAACTATTGGCATATAGTAAAAGCCTCCTATTATATATATATTTCCTTTAGGAAAGTCACAACAAACAAACCACAGCAACAATAATAACAACAACAATAAACAGAAATAGAATGACCATCCAGAGAACTCACTATTAGCATCTGACCTATCAACCTTCAAACTTTTTCTTCCAGGCAACTATATACATGTAATTAGAGAAGTGTTCTTCTATAGCTGCGATTTGTAGGTTTCATTTCTTACCAACTATATTGTTTCTATTAGAGTTTCCTAAGTCTTTTGCCCGTGGAATACTTTCTTAGTTATTCACTTTTAAGAATAACTCTATTTTTGCTAATTTTCTGATCTGCTCCAGATTAAAGCAACAGCTTTTGGTGCTGTAAAATTTACTCATCCAAACACTAATGCCATAAAATGCCTCCATTTTATGAAATTCTGCAGTCAAATAGCCTGCTTGTCATCTTCTAGAGCAATATTACTCAATTTGTTTTCATTATTGCCCCCCAAGGAGCCTTTTTAGACACATTTTTCCTAATTGGCCACCAACGACTTTTTAATACTACAGCTACACTATGTTTGTATTCTATGACCTTTGGGAAGGTATATTAATTGTCCCGCTATTTCTGCTATAATAAATTCCTACAAACTTAGCAGCAACAACACACATGTGTCATCTTACAGTTGTACAGGGATATCTGTCTGACACGGGTCTCATTGTGCTGGAGTGGGGGGATCACCAGGGTTGCATTTCTTTCTGGAAGTCTAGAGGCAAATGTGTGTCCAGCTTCTGGGGCCACCCATATAACTTTGCTTGTGATGGCCCTCCTCCACCCTCAAAGCAAATGTGGGATCTCTCTGTGCCTTTTTAGTCCATCTTTGTCTTCCACTTTTAAGGACTTTTGTGGTTACATTGGGCACACCTGGTGAATTAGTCCATTTTCGGCTGTTGATAAAGACATACCTGAGACTGGATAATTTATAAAGAAAAAGAGGTATAATGAACTCACAGTTCAAGTGGCTGGAGAGGCCTCACAATCATGGTGAAAGGTAAAAGGCACGTCTTACATGGCAGCAGACAAGAGAATGAGAGCCAAGCAAAAGAGAAACCCCCGCTATAAAATCATCAGATCTCCTGAGACTTATTCACTACCACAGGAACAGTATGGGGGAAACTGCCGCCATGATTCAATTATCTCCCACTGGGTCCCTCACACAACACATGGGAATTATGGGAGCTACAATTCAAGATGAGGTTTGGGTGAAGACATGGTGAAACTGTATCACCTGGTAATCCAGGCTAATCTCCTCTCTCCTTTCCAGGTCAGTTCATTAGCAACCTTAATTGCACCTACAACCTTAATTCCTTTTTCTCAGCTACCATAATGAGGTCACAGGTTCTAGGGAGTAGAGAATGGACTTCTTTGGGAGGGTGAGACCCTGGAAAAGCATTATTCTGCTTACTGAAAAGGGAAATAAACCACTGTAATACCTGAGGATTTTCTTGACCCCTAAGAATGAATGTTTACCCCCGTGGGAGCAGTGTCACCTCCTGCTGAGAATCCACGCTTACCAGTTGGTTCTACCATTATCTCTTCTTCTCTTCATTATTGGACTTCCAGGCCAGTGTACAATATCCCTCCAGACAAAAGTTCTTACTAGATTATAAAAATTTTTCTAAATACACATATGCATCTTAATGCACACTTTTAAAAATAAAATGAACAACATACCCATTTTTTCAGTATAGAAAATCTCATTGTTGACCAAATACATTTGTTGTGCTCTTTAAGAGCCTTTAAGCTATCCGGTTAGCCTAAGAGGCTCAAAATAGTGTCGAATGGAAATTTCTCCATGTAATCATTAGAAATACCAGGTACTGAAATGTAGACTGGAAAAAATGATACGTACTTAAAAGTTTCGTCTAGGTTGTTCAATATTTCTAACTCTTAAATCCACTTGCTATAAATAATCTATCTCTGGCACTTCTGAAAAATGGAATATAGAAACTGCAGCTAAAAATATGCAGTCTCCAAGGAAATGATCAACCCTATAGTTTCCTTTTGTTTTTTTAACTGGAGGTATAGCTGCAGAACCAGCAAGAAATCTGACATTTTGGGCCTGGAGGCTATTCTCACTAAAGTCTTTTTCCTTTTCTTTTTTTATTTTTCTTTCCTTTTTTTTTTTTTTTTTTAAGGCCTTGAGCCAAATCATTAGGTTTCTGTTCTCTCTCTTACATCAATTAATGGTACCTGAAAATCCAATTCAATTTAATTTTCTTGAAATGGAAACCTAGGGAAAAGTCCTTCTCTTGTTCAAAGGAAACCTATCTGAAAAACTGTCCCCACTATCAAAGATAATTGTACTCTGGGCTTCAGGACATCAAAAGCATGCTCAGAATAATGGTGTCTGGAAAATGGGACAATTTTGAAACACATTTATATCTATTTAGGTAATTACTTGGGAAGGAAGGCCCTGATTCTATGCATTAAAAATAAAATCACTTCCAATGGTTGGGGAATTCTTTCAGTGATAAAACTTCCCCATTTTGCCCTCAGTCATTTTAAAGTCAAAGGATTTGGTGATATCTTCTCCCCAGCCTCCAAAAGTGGTATTATTTTTCATCCATGAGTTTATTAAGTTTATCAACTAAGAATTCCAATTATTCATTAAAATGTGCAAAGGATTAAGTCTGTTTTCAATAAGCCTGGCTTGACCACCCACTTAAGCCTGGCTTCATATCTATGTAACCTGGATCCCTCCCGAGGCTGTGCTGACACAGTGGGCTCTTCCTTCTTTCATCCTAATTGTGTCCACACATTACTTAAAACATCAACCACCCTTTCTTCATCTGCTGGAGAAAAACCTCTGTTTTCTGAATTAACAAGTAGCCAAAATGACCCACCAAACCCTCTTGTTGGCTCTAATAGGAACAGTCACCACCGCCACCACCAGCCCCAGCTCCTAGGCAGAGCTGCTGCTCCTCTGGGTTCTTGCTGAAGGCTCTATGCTCCAACCAAAGAGTCCACCACTCCTGCCCTTCAGAGGAGTCCATGCAACCAGAGGGATCCGGTTGAAGTGGACTGTCACTCCCTTCAGTGGCTTCTCATCTCACTCAGAATAAACTGTAAAATTCTCACCTTGCCTACTGCTTCCTTCCTGATCCACCAACCAGCCTTGTTTCTGATGTCTTTTCCAGCAACTCTTTGCTTTCCTCATGGTGCTCCAACCATTCAGGTAGCCTCAATTTCCCTCGAATACATCAAACACATTCCCGCCCCTGGGCCTTGGCACTTGCTGTATCTTCCGCCTGGAATGCTCTTCCCCAGAGATCAGAATGGCTTATTTCTTCACTTCACTCAGGCCTCTGCTTAAATGCTACTACTGGGGAGAGCTTTCTCTGAACACCCTATTCACACACACAATATAGCTCCTCTCTGTCCCTCTCTCACTTTGTCTGCCTTTGTACCTTCTACTGTATAATTATGTGTTCATAAACCTCATGTCTCCCCTTGCTGTATGTAAATTCCATGAGATTAGGGTTTTTCCTTATTCACTACTGTATTATCTAGAGCTGTGCCTGGCACATGTACCTTGGTATATATTGTCTATTTAGCAAATATTTAATAAGCATCTCCTATGTGGACAGCAGAAGGGTGACTCAGACATGAAGGAGCCACTATACAAATTGTGGTACCACAAGAGAATAAACTGATGGGGTATGGGAGAATGAGAGAATGCTGACAGCACCAGAAATCAGATAACCTGAGTCAAGTTCAGTTAAGCAACTAGTAGATTTGGAACTTTATATAATGGTTCTACTCTCTTAGCCCTGATAGGCTCATCTGTAAAAATGGAAATGCCACATGAAGTCATTATAAATATTACATGAGATAATGTAGACAGAAGTGCTTAGCTTGGTGCCTGGAAAAATACAGGGAGAACAAAATATGTTTGCTTATCACAAGAACAAATAAACTAACCAGCATGATGACACCAGTTGGAACAGTGTCTTTGCTACAGGCCACTTTTTAATGTCTCTTTATTGTAAGGTCATACTTAGAGTTTCCTTATGGGGTGGGATATAGGATACATTTGAGGCTGAATTACATTTTCTTTTCCTCAATGTTTTTTCCACTCTAGGGAAGGGAAGATATCAATCATTTTATGGACTTTGGCTGAATTCTTCATTTGGAATTCCACTGTAGCATACTTAGAAATGAAAATAAAAGTTCTGTAAATGAGTAACTGAATCAGTCTTTATTGAAAGAAGAGAAATAATTCAAAGACATCAAAAATTCTCACAGCAAGCTCCAGTTATTCTTGGTAAAGCTTGAAAAATGCAAGGAAAATTTGGTCAGATTTCAGGGACTCTGGATTCTTCATACTTGCAAGATTGTACTTCTCCCTTCTGAGTATGAAGCATGGTGTTTGCCCAAAGGCAATGGGAACTAGAAGGCAAAGTCACTCTGTGTTTGGAAGAGTTGATGCTGATGATGCACAATGCTAACCAGGTAGAAATATTAGTTTCCCGCATGCTGGCAAAGATGAAATGACTGTGTGAGGAAAAATGACCACTGAATCTCACAAATAAAGGGGAAAATGTTAAAACTCAATTATTCTAAATTTCCAAAGAGTATTAAGATGTGGGACCTCAGATTGAATTTTCATAAAAGAAGATAAGCATTTACCAAACAACCAAACAAGGGTATGAGTGTATAGAGAATTAATGATAGATTTGGGTAGGGATTGAGGCAAGGAAGAAGTAAAAGTGATGAGAGTAGAGGGAGACAGAAACAATAGGATGTAAGCAAAATGTTTCTCACATTGAAGAAACAAATTTCTTACCAAAATCACAAAGATTTGAGAATTGAGTAATGGTTTAGGCTGCTATCACAGAATATCATAGACTGGGTGGATTAAGCAACCAACGTATGTTTCTCACAGTTCTGGAAGATGGAAGTCTGAGGTAAGGGGTGTCAGCATGATGGAGTTCTTGTGGAGGGCCCTTGTCTTGGTTTAAAGATGGCAACCTTCTCCCTGTGTCTTCACAAGGTATACAGAGAGAGAGAGAATTTCTTTGTGTTTCTTCTAATAAGGGAACTAATCCTGTTCATAAGGGCTCCATTTGCATGACCTAATTACCCCCCAAAGACTCCACCTCCACATACTATGATGTTGAAGATTAGAACCTCAACATATTAATTCTGAGGGGCACAAACATTCAGTCCATAGCAAGTAAGTACCAAGACAAGGAATCCTTGCTCCCTTCTCAGACTCTGTGGACTTCCTGAGTTGGTGTGGAGTGTGTGGGGTGTTGGGAGCGTTTGACCATTCAAGACAGACATAGGCAACCACCCTGCCAGAAAAAAAACCTCAAGGTACTGAGAAGTGGCATCATCTGGACTTGAACCCATTGTTTCTGACTTCAAGTTCAGCACTGTTTCAATCCCTAAAGATGCTTGGGAGAATCACAGAGCTGTTTGTTGAGAAATGGTTGAATCCAAAGAACATTTATACTCATAGTGGTGATTTCTGTTGTTGACACTGAGTGGTGGGTACAAATGGCTGGGTTTTAGATGCAATTTTTGAAGATAATTTTTTTGTTTTTTTCACTAATAGAACAGGTGTAGTCACTTACTAATAGGGTTAGGATTAGGGTATTTCATTCCTAGGCTTGCGTTAACTAATGTCCCACCATCACCACTACTTACTGTCACATTTTATGTCACTCATGACTGTTGGGTTAAATACAAGATGCATATACTAATATTTTCAAAATTTCAACTCTTGCATGTCATCAGTGTTGTGTAGCATGAAGACTACTTTTGGAATCTCTTAATATCAACTTCCTATGATCTCTCTCTTTTTTTTTTTTTTTTCTTTTGAGACGGAGTCTTGCTCTGTCAACCAGACTTGAGTGCAGTGGCGCGATCTCAGCTCAATGCAGCCTCTGCCACCCTGGTTCAAACAATTCTTCTGCCTCAGCCTCCTGAGTTGCTGGGACTATAGGTGTGTGCCACCACGCCCAGCTAATTTTCATATCTTTATTAGAGATGGGGTTTCACCATGTTGGCCAGGATTGTCTCGACCTTCTGACCTCATGATCTGCCCTCCTTGGCCTCCCAAAGTACTGGGATTACAGGCGTGAGCCACAGCGCCGGGCCCCTGTGATATCTTTTGCAGCTCAAAACATAGGGGTTTCAAAGTTCATGCCTTTGCCATGAATTTAACAATGAACACCTTGGAGCACTAATTGTTGCATATTCTCTTGTTAAGTAGTAATTTGTCCTTTTAGAAGATACAAGTTCCTGTGTCATTTCAAAAGGCCTAACTGTCTGAGGAACACTGAACATGGAAAGTCCAGAGTTCAGAAAAACATTTCATTTTTTTAAAAATTGGGAATAATTTGAAAATAGCCTGAGAAAGTCCTTTATGTAAAGTAAAGGACGTACCTTATTAGAAAAGATAACATACACACTTATGTTCTATCATTGTTCACACAGCAGATCTGTAGTATTTTAGCAGTTGTGAGTGTAGCGGGGAAGGGGGGCTGGGATAACAATTCATACTAAGAATATATTTATTTATTATTTCCTGATATTGATAATCAGAAAAGATTCAGAATTTGCACTACATCTATACACATATATGTAAAAATTACTATAAATATATATATATCTCTTGATGAAATTTTAATTTATGATGTTATTACACTCATATGGAAGAGTTTTATGCACTTTTAAAGTTTTAAAGTTACTTCTTGAAATGTGCTCTGGCTTTTATGCTAGATTACAGTAACAACTGCTACACTGGCATTTAAAATGAACCAATTAAATTATTATGCTACAAATGGATTTTTTAAGTAAAACAATGTAAAAAGCATTGCTTATAATTTTCACATGAGCTGTTAGAACTACCCAAACTTAATTTTAACAAATGGTTGTTTCCTTTTTTAAATAAACAAAACAGGAAAAATGGAGACTATCAATTAAATTTAATGGTATCATAAAAGCATAAACTTGATCTTGAGCGTAATATTTACAAAAAAGGAGAAATAATAACTCTCTTTCCCAAAGAACAAGCAGTTCTTATTTCTTATTTGTTACTTTAATTAATCTTTTTAATTGTATATGCATATAATAATGAATTGTTCCTTCCAACACCCATGAAAAGAGTAGTCATGTAAAACCATTCTAGAGAATTTCAAAGCGCGGTCCTGTTTCCATAGTTTGGAAGGGCACATGACTCTAAGTTAATAAATTATATTCATTTTACATTTTGTCTTTTCTGTTATAAGAGACCATAAGGACTCCTAAACTTTTCCTTTCTTGCTTTTTCAGAAAAGTTTTGTCATTTAAAAAAATTGTCAGACTTTTATCAAGCATGTCTATAAAACTCATACCAGTTGGTAATAAACTTACACATTGGAGCACTATTCTAATCTCAGATGTCTGTGTCTGGCTTCCCATAGAGTTTTGGCTGAGAGAAATATCAAAAAAAACCCTAGACTCTATTTAATCAGGTAGTTCTGCCTGTCTCTGCAGTGCCTTTTCAGGTCAATATACATGTAACATGATATCCTCATTTCCTTTGAAATGTGTTCTGAATGGCTCTGTTTGAGGACACTTTCCCTTCAGGAAATATAAAGTGCATTCTCAATGATAATGAAAAAAAAAATCTAGTGAAACACTGAAGGTTTTGAATGTGTGCCAAAACTGCATCAACTCATTTTTTATCATCTGATGCCCTTTATTGCCCTCAAGTTCATTTTAAAACTCTCCTCTTACCTTGGTAATGTCCTCTAGGCACTTAGAGAGGAATTCAGCTAATCTGCCATGATACAACTGAGAAAATTCCCATCTGACGCTCACCCCATCTCATGCTCCCTTGACATTTCAATAACTTCCATTAGATGCCACAGTGGAAAATTCTGGTATTCAGATTAGTCTGGCTGAAGCTACAATTTTATCAACCAAGAGTTGCCTTGAAACTCCGAAGAATAATATAACGGAAAGATTTTGTGTGTCAATTTGCTGCCACAATTCTAGGCAAACTTTTGGGTTCCAGGGAATCTTGATGTTGATTTTTGGACTTGTTGCCCTGAATCTTTTGGTCTTACTGGTCCAGCAGTGTTTGTGTTTGTGTTGTTTTGGCTTGAGAGATGCTGTTAAGTGGAAGTTAAAATATGTTATTTAACTTTTTCAGATATATTCCTTGTATATGACATGAAAGCAAAAAATAAGCAAACAGAAAGAAAAGACTAAAATGAAATGTAACAAAACAGTCACAATTTTTCGCTAGGTGATGGTAATGATCTTCCCTCTCTTCTCCTATTATTTTTACCCAACTTTTTGTAAAAAGAAGCAATATATTTTTATAATAAATATAGTAAAACAAAAACCCACCCACAAATTTTTAAAGCACACCGTTTCAGTAAGGGGAGAACTTTGCTCTTTAGAGATAAATGCTGAGATATTTCTGGTTAATCTCTGCAATTTCCTCTCAGGATTGTTTAGAAAACAAAGAATAAAAATTAAAAGCAGGGAGCCAAGATAGCTGAATAGGAACAGCTCCATTCTGCAGCACCCAGAGTGAGCGACGCAGAAGACGGGTGATTTCTGCATTTCCAAGGTTCATCTCACTGAGGAGGTACCAGGTTCATCTCACTGGGGAGTGCCAGAGAGTGGGTGCAGGACAGTGGGTGCAGTGCACAATGCGTGAGCCGAAGCAGGGCGAGGCTTCGCCTCACCCGGGAAATGCAAGGTGTCAGGGAATTCCCTTTCCTAGTCAAAAAAAGGGGTGACAGATGGCACCTGGAAAATCAGGTCACTCCCACCCTAATACTGCGCTTTTCCAATGGCCTTAACAAATGGCACACCAGATTATATCCTGCACCTGGCTTGGAGGGTCCTACGCCCACAGAGCCTCATTCATTGCTAGCACAGCAGTCTGAGATAAAACTGCAAGGCGGCAGCGAGACTGGGGGAGGGGTGCCCGCCATTGCCCAGGCTTCAGTAGGTAAATAAAGCCGCCAGGAAGCTCAAACTGGGTGAAGCCCCCCACAGCTCAAGGAGGCCTGCCTGCCTCTGTAGGCCCCACCACTGGTGGCAGGGCACAGACAAACAAAAGACAGCAGTAACCTCTGCAGACTTAAATGTCCTTCTCTCACAGCTTTGAAGAGAGCAGTGGTTCTTCCAGCACGCAGCTTCAGATCTGAGAACAGGCAGACTGCCTCCTCAAGTGGGTCCCTGACCCCTGAATAGCCTAACTGGGAGGCACCCCCCAGTAGGCGCGGACTGACACCTCACACGGCCAGGTACTCCTCTGAGACAAAACTTCCAGAGGAACAATCAGGCAGCAGCATAGGTGGTTCACCAATATTGGCTGTTCTGCAGCCACCGCTGCTGATATCCAGGCAAACAGGGTCTGGACTGGACCTCCAGTAAACTCCAACAGACCTGCAGCTGAGGGTCCTGTCTGTTAGAAGGAAAACTAACAAACAGAAAGGACATCCACACCAAAAACCAACCTGTACGTTACCATCATCACAGACCAAAGGTAGATAAAACCACAAAGATGGGGAAAAAACAGAGCAGAAAAACCGGAAACTCTAAAAATCAGAGTGCCTCTCCTCCTCCAAAGGAACGCAGCTCCTCACCAGCAATGGAACAAAGCTGGAGGGAGAATAACTTTGACCAGTTGAGAGAAGAAGGCTTCAGAAGATCAAACTACTCCAAGCTAAAGGAGGAAGTTCGAACCAATGGCGAAGAAGTTAAAAACTTTGAAAAAAAATTAGATGAATGAATAACTAGAATAACAAATGCAGAGAAGTCCTTAAAGGACCTGATGGAGCTGAAAACCACGGCACGAGAACTACGTGACAAAGAAAGGTGCACAAGCCTCAGTAACTGATGCGATCAACGGGAAGAAAGGGTATCAGCGATGGAAGATGAAATGAATGAAATGAAGCATGAAGAGAAGTTTAGAGAAAAAAAGAATAAAAAGAAATCAACAAAGCCTCCAAGAAATATGGGACTATGTGAAAAGACCAAATCTACGTGTACATGAAAGTGTACATGAAAGTGACGGGGAGAATGGAACCAAGCTGGAAAACACTCTGCAGGATATTATCCAGGAGAACTTCCCCAATCTAAAGAAGGCAGGCCAAATATTCAAAGTCAGGAAATACAGAGAATGCCACGAAGATACTCCTTGAGAAGACCACCTCCAAGACACATAATTGTCAGATTCACCAAAGTTGAAATGAAGGAAAAAATGTTAAGGGCAGCCAGAGAGAAAGGTCAGGTTACCCACAAAGGGAAGCCCATCAGACTAACAGCGGATCTCTCGGCAGAAACTCTACAAGCCAGATGAGATTGGGGGCCAATATTCACCATACTTAAAGAAAAGAATTTTCAACCCAGAATTTCATATCCAGCCAAACTAAGCTTCATAAGTGAAGGAGAAATAAAATACTTTACAGACAAGCAAATGCTGAGAGATTTTGTCACCACCAGGCCTGCCCTAAAAGAGCTCCTGAAGGAAGCACTCAACATGGAATGGAAAAACCGGTACCAGCCACTGGAAAAACATGCCAAATTGTAAAGACCATTGAGGCTAGGAAGAAACTGCATCAACTGACAAGCAAAATAATCAGATAACATCATAATGACAGGATCAAATTCACACATAACAATACTAACCTTAAATGTAAATGGGCTAAATGCTCCAATTAAAAGGCACAGATTGGCAAAGTGGATAAAGAGTCAAGACCCATCAGTGTGCTGTACTCAGGAAACCCATCTCACATGCAGAGACACACATAGGCTCAAAATAAAGGGATGGAGGAAGATCTACCAAGCAAATGGAAAACAAAAATGGCAGGGGTTGCAATGCTAATCTCTGATAAAACAGACTTTAAACCAACAAAGATCAAAAGAGACAAAGAAGGCCATTACATAATGGTAAAGGGATCAATTCAACAAGAAGAGCTAACTAACCTAAATATATATGCACCCAATACAGCAGCACCCAGATTCATAAAGCAAGTCCTTAGTGACCTACAAAGAGACTTAGACTCCCACACAATAATAATGGGAGATTTTAACATCCCACTGTCAACATTAGACAGATCAACGAGACAAAAAGTTAAGAAGGATATCCAGGAATTGAACTTAGCTCTGCACCAAGCAGAACTAATAGACATCTACAGAACTCTCCACCCCAAATCAACAGAATATACATTCTTTTCAGCACTACACCACACATACTCCAAAACTGACCACATAGTTGGAAGTAAAGCACTCCTCAGCAAACGTAAAAGAACAGAAATTATAACAAACTGTCTCTCAGACCACAGTGCAATCAAACTAGAACTCAGGATTAAGAAACTCACTCAAAACTGCTCAACTACATGGAAACTCAACAACCTGCTCCTGAATGACTATTGGGTACATAAGGAAATGAAGGCAGAAATAAAGATGTTCTTTGAAACCAAAGAGAACAAAGACACAACATACCAGAATATCTGGGACACATTCAAAGCAGTGTGTAGAGGGAAATTTACAGCACTAAATGCCCACAAAAGACAGTAGGAAAGATCTAAAATTGATACTCTAACATCACAATTAACAGAATTAGAGAAGCAAGAGCAAACACATTCAAAAGCTAGCAGAAGGCAAGAAATAAATAAGATCAGAGCAGAAATGAAGGAAATAGAGACACAAAAATCCCTTCAAAAAATCAATGAATCCAGGAGCTGCTTTTTTGAAAAGATCAGCAAAATTGACAGACCACCAGCAAGACTAAAAAGAATAAAAGAGAGAAGAATCAAATAGACACAATAAAAAATCATAAAGGGGATATGACCACCAATCCCACAGAAATACAAACTACCATCAGAGAATATTATAAACACCTCTACATAAATAAACTAGAAAATCTAGAAGAAATGGAGAAATTCCTTGACACATACACTCTCCCAAGACTAAACCAGGAAGAAGTTCAATCTCTGAATAGACCAATAACGGGCTCTGAAATTGAGGCAATAATCAATAGCTTACCAACCAAAAAAAGTCCAGGACCAGATGGATTCGCAGCCGAATTCTATCAGAAGTACTAAGGGGAGCTGGTACCATTCCTTCTGAAACTATTCCAATCAATAGAAAAAGAGGGAATCCTCCCTAACTCATTTTATGAGGCCAGCATCATCCTGATACCAAAGCCTGGCAGAGACACAACAAAGAAAGAGAATTTTAGACCAATATCCTCGATGAACACTGATGCAAAAATCCTCAATAAAATACTGGCAAACCGAATCATTGTGCAAAAATCACAAGCATTCTTATACACCAATAACAGACAAACAGAGAACCAAATCATGAGTGAACTCCCATTCACAATTGCTTCAAAGAGAATAAAATACCTAGGAATCCAACTTACAAGGGATGTGAAGGACCTCTTCAAGGAGAACTACAAACCACTACTCAATGAAATAAAAGAGGATACAAAGAAATGGAAGAACATTCCATGCTCATGGGTAGGAAGAATCAATATCATGAAAATGGCCATACCGCCCAAAGTAATTTATAGATTCAATGCCATGCCCATCAACCTTCCAATGACTTTCTTCACAGAATTGGAAAGAACTACTTTAAAGTTGATATGGAACCAAAAAACAGCCTGCATCGCCAAGTCAATCCTAAGCCAAAAGAACAAAGCCGGAGGCATCACGCTACCTGACTTCAAACTATACTACAAGGCTACAGTAACCAAAACAGCATGGTACTGGTACCAAAACAGAGATATAGACCAATGGAACAGAACAGAGCCCTCAGAAATACTGCCGCATATCTACAACTATCTGATCTTTGACAAACCTAACAAAAACAATAAATGGGGAAAGGATTCCCTAGTTAATAAATGGTGCTGGGAAAACTGGATAGCCATATGTAGAAAGCTGAAACTGGATCCCTTCCTTACACCTTATACAAAAATTAATTCAAGATGGATTAAAGACTTACATGTTAGACCTAAAACCATAAAATCCCTACAAGAAAACCTAGGCAATACCATTCAGGACATAGGCATGGGCAAGGACTTCATGTCTAAAACACCAAAAGCAATGGCAACAAAAGCCAAAATTGACAAATGGGATCTAATTAAACTTAAGAGCTTCTGCACAGCAAAAGAAACTACCATCAGAGTGAACAGGCAACCTACAGAATGGGAGAAAATTTTTGCAACCTACTCATCTGACAAAGGGCTAATATCTAGAATCTACAATGAACTCCAACAAATTTACAAGAAAAAAACAAACAACCCCATCAAAAAGTGGGCAAAGGATATGAACAGACACTTCTCAAAAGAAGACATTTATGCAGCCAAAAAACACATGAAAAAATGCTCATCACTGGCCATCAGAGAAATGCAAATCAAAACCACAATGAGATACCATCTCACACCAGTTAGAATGGCAATCATTAAAAAGTCAGGAAACAACAGGTGCTGGAGAGGATGTGGAGAAATAGGAACAGTTTTACACTGTTGGTGGGACTGTCAACTAGTTCAACCATTCTGGGAGTTGGTGTGGCGATTCCTCAGGGATCTAGAACTAGAAATGCCATTTGACCCAGCCATCCCATTACTGGGTATCCACCCAAAGGATTATAAATCATGCTGCTATAAAGACACATGCACACATATGTTTATAGGGGCACTATTCACAATAGCAAAGACTTGGAACCAACCTAAATGTCCAAGAACGGTAGACTGGATTAAGAAAATGTGGCACATATACACCAGGGAATACTATGCAGCTATAAAAATGGATGAGTTCATGTCCTTTGTAGGGACATGGATGAAGCTGGAAATCATCATTCTCAGCAAACTATTACAAGGACAAAAAACCAAATACCGCATGTTCTCACTCATAGGTGGGAATTGAAGAATGAGAACACATGGACACAGGAAGGGGAACATCTCACACCGGGGACTACTGTGGGGTGGGGGGAGGGGGGAGTGATAGCATTAGGAGATATACCTAATGTAAATGAAGAGTTAATGGGTGCAGCACACCAGCATGGCAAATGTATACATATGTAACAAACCTGCACGTTGTGCACATGTACCCTAAAACTTAAAGTATATTAATAATAAAAAAATAAATATATAAAATAAAATAAAATAAAGTAAAATAAAATGATATTAATTTAAAAAAAATTAAAAGCAAGTGAACTTGTCTAGAATAAAGTAGGTGAGGATATAGCAACTACATTCAATACATGATTCTTTACCCCACTGTTTATTTTTTTTTTAAAGTTGTAAAGGGCATTATTGGAAAATAAGGAAAATTTGAATATAGGGTAAATATTAAATGATGGAATTGTATCAATGTTAATTTTATTGACTTGAATAACTGAAGTATGTTTATGTAGGAAAATATTCTTGTTCTTTTGAAATAAAGGCTGAAATATTCAGAAGTGAGGTTGTCAAGATATAAACTGACTCTTAAGTCACAAATAGAAAGGAGAAACGTGGTAAAATGCTATTAATTCATGAATATAGATAATTGGTATATAGACATTAATTGTCCTTACTCTTACAACTTTCCTATAAATTTAGAATTTCTCAAATTAGAAAATTGAGGGGGAAACACCAACATAATAGGATATTATATAGGATATAATTTAAAATATCCTTGCTGCCAAGAACAAAAGTAATAAGGCATTTTGCTTAAATTTCTAAGATAGACTTTCTTTATTAATCAAGATGGATTAATTTATTAATCTATATTAATCCATGTGGAGAGTAGTCTATTACCTTTACTTATTAGCTTTGTTACTTTCAATTGCATCCCAGGACAGAATAGTTAAATAGAGGTAAATTAATTCAAGTCACTGAATTTGAATACTTATGAAGGGTTGCCTTTGAGCACTTTCAATTAAACAAAATAGTTTTTGGAGTGCAAAGTCTGTTTTTTGCTAATGGACAGATAATTTAAGGGGTTTAGATTCAAATTACATGCTCCCTACAACGTAGATTAAATGTGTATCTTCTGAAGTGATGTTTTGCTTTTTAATTGCCTAAAGGAAAATTGAGAAATAGGAAATAAAATTTGAGAAACATTTTTCTGAGACTGAACTTCAAGTAATGTGCTTGTTTTTTTTTTTTTTTCTTTCAGCTTACATTTTAGATTTGGATGCAATATCCCCAAAATACCTGAGCTATATATTATAGCTCAAAGAACAGGTACAGCAATTCCAAAGCTCAGTAGGACCGTCTTCCTGGTCATAAAGTAGACCAGTTGGGATTTTTCACATTGTAAATCACATACAACGTCAAATAAGTAGTCCATAAAATTGGTAAGTAGGTTTTAAAAAGTGCTGAAGGGAAAGTAAGCTTCTGGAAACTATGAAAACTTTTGCAATGCTCAGAGCAAGTGAAAGCAGGATGACTTTCTGCTAGTCTCCAGGCTGCTGGAGGGTGGAGATAAGGTCTCCAGTGAAAGAAACACAATCGTTGTCTCCCTCTCCTCCCACAGAGGGCATTCTCTAGGCTCCCAAATCACTCAACAACTTCCCTTCCCTTGGCAGAAAAATCTGGATGGTTCACCCAGAGTACTCCAGCTTCTGGTGCCAAATATCACCTAATCCTTGAGATAGGATGCAGCCTCGATTGGTTTTCATTTTAGCCTCCACCTTGATGCTTACACCAGGGGCTGGGAGTGACTTGGACCTGGTGGTTACTCCCATAATAACATCACTCACAGGCTTGCTGTGTGGTCATCATGACTTGGCCCCCATGCCATTTCTCCTTCCTTGGTTGTTCATGTTGGTGGAGTTGGACCCTCCCAAGGGTTATAAAGTAATTATTGAATTTCTTAATATATTGAGCGTATTAGTCTATTTGCCTTGCTTTAAAGGAATATTCGAGGCCAAATAATTTGTAAAGAAAGCAGGGTTAATTTGCTCACAGTTCTACAGGTGGTAGAAGCATGGCAACAACATCTGCTTGGCTTCTGGTGAGAGCCTCAGGAAGCTTACAATCATGGAGGAAGGTGAAGGGGGAAGCCAGTGTACCACATGGCAAGAGAGGCAGCAAGAGGCAGGGAGGAGGTCCCAGACTTTTATAAACAACCAGATCTCATGTGAACTCAGAGAGTGAGAACTCACTCATTACCCTGAGAGGATGGCACCAAGCTGCTCATGAGGGATCCCCCCCAGTGACGCAAACACCTCTCACCAGGCCCCACCTCCAGAACTGGGGATGACATTTCAACATGAGGCTTGCGGGCACACACATCCGAACCATATCAGTGGTCTTACTCCTCTTAGTTCTGTTTTTGTTGCTGTTGTTTTTAACATTGCAGTCGTTTGTGTTGTTTTACCATATCCTCAGGTTATGTTATGACTTTTATTTATTTCACTTTACTCCCTATTTTGAGAAAAGCCATGCCAGCTCTTATATCAGGATCATGGGACACGTGAGTGGCAGGACTTCACATGATCTCTCAGAGCCCTTTTTCCCTGCTATTAATGAGCCATCAGCCTTGGAGGGGCTCAAATATTTAACTCTCCCCTTCTTCAGAATGAGTCAGTTTCCCACCTCAGACTATCAAAAATTTATTTCTTGAGGCTCAGTAATTATTTCCTTTATAAGCTTATTTCTGTGAGGAAGCTTATCGGGAATTCTTTGAACAAAAAACGCCAGGAAGTCTAATAGTATCACTTATGAAATGAATAACCTTTTCAGCATGCTCATGAACAGCACAGAAAAATTACTGCCATAATTGTTCTTTTGAAAGGACAAAACTCTCAGGTATATTTAAAACAATGCACTTAACAAGGTGAATGTTTTTAAGAGATTAATAAGAAATCCTTTATCAAGGATGCTGTCTGCAATGTTCAAGAAGCTAAACTTGGTTGCTTAGTTTCTTTCTTATGAGTTTAGAAAATAAGTAAATTTGTATAGTTTGGAAAATAACTAAATTTGATTTTTTTTCCCTTTTGTCCACCAATTTTGGGGTTGCTGCCATGCTGACAGTGAAGATTCTGTGATATAGAAGAAGCATTTTTTCCTAAGAGGAATGAATTGGCTATCAGGGTCAAAAGTACCTTAGGTAATGGAAATTTTACGAACGTCGATCACCATTAAAGTATAACAGAATTAAACATGAAACTTCAGTGAATAATGTGGCCAATCTGTTTAATCTCTAAGTAACAAATAAAATCACAACTATGAATAATTAAGATTTGCATTCATTTTTATTCCTTCTAGAGAGGAAGAAAACTCTCCCTGCCATCTCCACAGTGTCTCAGTCTAATCACAGAAAAAGCACTTTAAATGTACTATGACTGTAAACATAGAGTAAAAACGAAGACAGAATGTATGCATTTTTGTTCATGTCTTTTTCTCACCGTTCTTTTGGATGGTTTGCTTTTTCTCATTGATTCATAAGTGCTCATATACTCACTTGAAATCCAACTAGTCTAAATTGAGATGTTTTGTAAAAGTAGCACAAAAACTAAATTTTGAAGACAGTATGAAAAAGTATAAAGTTCTCATTAATTTTTATATTTATTTACTGTTGATGAAATTCTGATGTATTGGCTTAAGTAACAATATATTATTAAAATTATTTTAAACAATTGTGTTAACATTTTTAAATGTGATTATTAGAAAATTTAAAATTACATAGGTGGTTTGCATTTTTTCTATTGGCCAGACAGCACTGTTCTAAACTTATAACAATTTTTGGTAGGCAGCAAATCTTTTTAGCTTTTATTTTTTTGCTTTTTGTGGTTTGTCTTTGCTACTTTCCTTATGGTGTGTTTTGATGAGCAGAAGAGACTGATGTGCTTGCAAGGGTTAGGAAACTGTAGAGGGGCCAAAGAGAAAAGTGAATGAATCCTGGAAAATCTTTGGAAAAGCTGCTGATGGATTGGATGTAGTGAGCAATGAAGTGGAAAGAGTTCAGGATGACTTCCTGGGTTTCTAGCTGGACCGAGGTGGCATTTACTGTGCTGGGAAACTGAAAGAGGAATTAAGTTCAGAGGCAGAAATAAAGTGTCCAAATTTTGACCTATTAAGTTTGATACATTCAAGGACACATTACTTTTACTTTATAATGGAAGTAATGGCTGCAGGTCTTAATTCTCTGTAATCATGATTTTCTTGTTACTTAGAGATTAAATAGGCTGACCATATTATCCATTGAAGTTTCATGTTACAAGCTGGATAAATCAATCTGGAGTGCTTATATTCTAAATTCCCCAGGAGGAAGAGAGTAAGGCTTGTCTCTGTTAGCTATCGTGGTGTAAACAACAACCATAAAAATCTCTGTGGCATGTACCATAAGTATTTATTTCTCATGCTCTTGCAGGAAAGTTGAAGATCAGCTGATCTAAGCTGAGCTAGGCTTCTTGGTGTGCGTTTGTCTCTGATGTGTTCCAACCTATGTTTATTGTAGGGCTCAGGCCGAAGATGTGCAGTTACAGAGCAACTTTTTTGAATAGCAATCATTAATATGCATGAAAGCATAAAGTGCACATGGACAGCATGCACAAGGAGAAACAGGCATTGCACCGTTAGCCTCAGTTGGAACTGTACATAGTTGCTTTTACCCTTATTCCATTGTTCAAAGCAAGACAATGGTCAAACCCAGTGTTGATGGGATTGGGCACTAAACTCTGCGCATTTTGGTAACTGGAATTAAAAGGGCAAGTGGTAAGGGGTGCAGATGTATAAGGTGTAAAGAAGGGGAGGCAAAAAAATTGCAAACAATGATTCAATTTGCCACAAGGCTTAACAATGTAAGATAAAAATAAGGGCTTTAAAATCCTATCTTTAATAAGGATTCTCGGGAGCAATTGCATATTCCTAATAGCTATTGTAATCTTACAGTGTATTGGGATAGATCTAAATTTGAAGAAGAAGAGTTGTATTGAGAATATATTAATAATCAATAGATAATGCAGACTGATGAGCTCACAGAATGACTGATGCTCCCGGAGCCACACTTTTCTTGCCACTGTATCATTAGCTTGACTAACAGGATAAGTGTAGTGAGCGTTTGAGGGTCTACATGACAGATTGCAATAAACACAGTTTTGCAATCAGGGGCCCTTGCTTTGGCTTTCTATCGTGTTACTTATTAGTTTTTCTAATCTTTTTTAAGTCCTTTAACTTTCCTGGGCCTTAATTTCCTCATTTATGTAGTGGAGATGGAAATATCTGATTTACAGGACTATTGTGTGTATTAAAATGAAACAATGTACATTAAGCACCTATATATTCACTAATATTGTTGTCTTTTGTTCATCCCCTGTACCCTATAAATACTCTGTTCCTGTAACACTTTATTATATTTATTGGTTTACATCTTTCTCCTCATCCTTCGCAAACTACAGTCCCCTTGATGATAAATAGATCACATTTTCCATTGTAATACCTGGTAAAATAAGTGGCACATAGTAGGCATTTAATATTTCTTTAAGACAAATTGAATGAATACTTCACTTTTCTGTTACAGAAACTAGAAAACAAAGGAGGCCTATATTTTGTGGCTGAAGAACTTCTCCTGAATGACTGTATTATGAATTATTTTTCCATTTAGTAAAATGCTTTATAAAGTCCCTGGCCCATATTATGAGCTTAGTAAGTCTTAGCTTTCTTTCTTTTTAATCTGAAGATTTTTAGAAGGAAGAACAAACCATAGTAAGCCACTGTACCATTGACATCACAATATTACAATATCTTTAATTAACAGATAAGTAATCTGACAGTTCCCTTTTGTAAAGATAATTCTGAATAGAAAAATCTAGTAGGTGCTTCAAGTTATAATGGCCAGAGAAGTTTTATTGCTTTGGTGAATTCTCAGAAGAGTAACTAAAAAATGACTATACCAGATAGTTACCCAGGAGCTGTTCCAAAATTTTTTTCTGTAGTGAATTTATCCTGGAAAATGTTTCTTTACTGTTAGTCAAAATTGTCATTCTTAGCTAACTCATCTATTTCTTTGTCATTGTGTCATACAGGCCTGATGTTCACTATGATGCTATTCATTTATCTTAATGATAAAGATTAATTCTTATAATAAAAATAAGTGTGGACTTCATAAAAATTAAACAATTTTGTGTTGCAAAAATACCATCAAGAATGTGAAAAGACAACTCAGACTGGGAGAAAATATTTGCAAACTACATATCTGATAAAGGACTTGTATCTTGAATATATGGAAAGCCAGACAACTCAATAATGAAAAAAAGCACAATAAAAATGGGCAAAGAATCTGAATAGATATTTATCTCAGAAGATATAGAAATAGCTAATGAACACATGGAATGATACTCAACATCATTACTCATTAGAAAAATGTAAATTAAAACCACAATATGATACCACTTTACACTGATTAGTATGGCTATTATAAAAAAGATGGACAATAACAAGTGTTGACAAGAATATAGAGAAATTGAAAACTCTCATGCATTGCCAATGGAATGTGAAATGTTGCAGGAACTTTAGAAAACTAGTTTGGCAGTTCTTTGAAATGTTAAACATAGAGTTGCTACATGGCCTAACTTGTAAATGCATATAGCAGTATTATCCGTAATAACTGAAAATTGGAAACAACCCAAATGTCTGTAATAAACACAATATGGTATACATATGCAATAGAATATTATTCAGTACTAAAAAAGGAATAAAGTATTGATACATATACTATGACATGAATGAACTTTGAAGATATTATGCTGATGGAAAGAAGCCAGTCACAAAAGATCACATATATGAATCCATTTGTAAGAAATGCCCAGAATAGGTAAGTCTATAGAGACAGAAAATAGACCAGTGTTTGCCTGGGAGGAGGAAGAAAAACATGAGAAGTGACTGTTAATGGGAATAGGGCATTCTGTGTTGCGTAATGACCTAGGAAACGTCTATGGTTTCAAGGCCACTTAGCTGGAAGAAAGGCTGGAAATACAGTCAGTCATTAGTTCAGCATCCACTTCCCACCTAAAACTGTGTGCTCTGAAAGAGACCAAAGGAGTTTTATCCACAACTGGCCACCCCTGCCAAAGTTTTATACTAACTTTTAATCCCATCAACATCCTCACCAACTCTTGATGCTGGCAGAATATAATTTATTGCCAATCCTATGGATAAAATGCAGCATCTCATTGGTGTTTTTTTTGTATTTCCCTGATTCTTATTCAGATGAGAAAGAAATATACAGTACATATTTTCTCAGAAAGTGAGAAAAAGGAGGACAAGTAAAGATGATTTTGAATAATTTCAAGATGAGCAGATGAAGATGCTCACATAAGTGCCCAATAAATGACACTGACTACTCAGCAAAACTGTGACAGAGTATCTGTGTCCTGTAGGCTCAGCAACAGGATGACATTCTATCTTGTCTACTGCGTGGTAGAATGAAAGCTTCTAAGCACAGAAAGACCAGGAAGTAAAATGGCTAGCATGACATACTTGAGTTTGCTGCCTCTGCTGTGTTTTGAAACAGGAAGTATTGCTGGTCTCAAAGATGGCAAATTTCATACAAGTTTTAATTGAGAATCAGTTTGTACTATCCACAACTCAACTAAAAAAAATCCATCTTAGACAGAAAAGATCCCATCATACTTAATGACCAAGTAGCAATCAGACCTTCAAACAAAGAGTCTTTGTTGCCACAAGGCTAATACTCCCCTAAATTATAGTTACTAATATCCAAGGAACCCTCCAAAAACAAAACACTAACTATAGTACTCTTTGGCATGTAAGACCAAACCAATTTTCCTCTGCAGTGTTACACTCATTCGTTAGGAGTGTATTTGGCTGCTTTAACACTATGCCATTGTCAATATCCATAAATAACTATTCATCATTGAGTCTTTAGATCATTGTATGCAATTCTACATCATTCTCTTTTTCATTTCCCAATTGGCCATGTAGCAAAAATGTAATATTTCTTCAAATACAATGAAGATGTCAGTAATCATTACAACGTGGAATCATGAATCTGTTATTTTACTTCTGTCGCATACAACAATTAAAAAATAATGATGATGATTCCCTGAGAAACTTTAATTAGATTAAGTTGGCCAATATCCTAGACTTCTAATTACTATAATATCAATTAGAGTTGAATATGAATGTTGCTTATTTCAAAAGAGACAAATGAATTTTTAGAATATATAGCACAATCATGTAATTTTGAGGTCCTGATGGGATTGGATAAGAAAGTAGCATGAAATTGAATGTCCCTGAACTTTTTATCTTGGGTTCACTGTGCCTGTTTTTCCATTTAAAAGTCATTGTCTTATTGACAGACATTTAAATTCTGTTGGCAATTTTACATCACTTTTAATTTCTTGCCCTGTAATTTCTTCTAAAGGGTAAGACTTTCCTTCTATATTTTTATTTTTTATTTTGTGTATATCTTTATGTGATTTTTGTTTCAGGAATAGTTTTATACTGCCTCTTTTTTAAAAAAAATACATTTTATTTTTTAGAGCAGTTTTTATTTTACAAAAAAATCGAATAAAACTACAGTGAGTTCTCATTTATTTCCTCCCTCCTGCCAGGTTATCTTCCAAAGTGGCTGTGCCATTATGCATTCTTACCATCAGTGAATGCGGATTCCTGTTGCTTCGTATTTTCACTAGCATTTGATTATGTCAGTATTTTGAATTTTAGCCAGTCTAATGGGTGCATGGCGGTATCTCAATGTTGTTCTAATTCATAATGCTTCAATGATATATGATGTTGAACATCTTTTCATATGCTTATTTGCCATCTGTATATCTTCTTTGATAAAATGTCTGTTCAGATATTTAGCTTATTTTAAAATTAGAATAGGGAAAGGAGCCAATATGACTGACAAGATGCATCTGGAAAAAGCTTCTCCCACTGAGAGACCAGATCATCAAGAAGACTAGCACACTCTCAGCAGATCTTTGGAAGGCAGACTTTGAGATTGAATGGTGAGAGGACTCAGACCCTGGGATGAAACAGAAGGAAATTGAGGTCCCAGCACAGGGTTGTCAAGCACCAGGATTTGTTCCTGGCTCCAAGTGGCTTTTGGGGAAGGAATGAGTTACATATGTGTGAAATGGCCCACTCTCACCACAAACCTCCAGAATCCTAGCTGCAGGAGACCCAGTGGCCACCATGGACATTTGAGCTGGAAGGGAGAACTGCTTGAAGGGGTGGCAGGGACAAGACTCTGGTCTGCATAGAACCCAGAGGGTTTGACGCAGGAATGCTGGCAGTGGAGCACTCTTCCAAGGCTTGCAATGCTCATGTAGGTGGTTGTGGCATTTGTTGAGTGTCAGACCTGTATAGAAAGGGGCTATCTTGCAGTTGGGATGGGACCAGTCTAATCTGAGTGCCCTGCTATCTGCTGGTTTTTCCCAGGGTCCCTGCCTGGCTGCAACTGCTTGCAGCACAGCCTCAGATGCTCAACCAGGGCACGTGCCAGTGGCCACTGCCGTAGCTCTTTTGCTGGTAGACTTTGCCTACCCATCAGGGAGCTTTGGCAAATGAGCTCCTACCAATGCACACCTGCCTGCAGCCTCCTCCCACTGCTTTGCCAATGTTCACTTGCCCACAGCCTCCCCCCAACTGCTTTGCCAGCATGCGTGAGCACATGGATGCCACTGCCACACCAATGTTGTCATGCATGCATCATGCATGCAGACCCTGAGCCCTGCCACCACTGCCATGCACTTGTGAGCACAGACCCCACTGCCGTCACCCCAATGAAGTACTTGTGGTGCACCTCCCATTAGACTGTTGTTGGCACTGGACCAAAAACACCTTGGCACCTCCATCACAGCAGGTGCTTAACCTCAAGAGGCCATAGAAGAGAGGCATGGACCTGGTCCCAGCACCAGAGGGTTAGGGCACACAGCCCAGGACTGCTGAGCTGAGCCTTGGTCCTCTGAAATAATCCAGAAATGAAGCTAGTTGACTAAACCCATGTTATACCATAGTCAATCCCTCAAGGACATCAAAGATTATAAAAGCAAAAAACCCCATCCAAAGGACAGCAGCTTCAAAGATTAAAAGAACATCAGTCCACACAGATAAGAAAGGACCAGCACAAGAACTTTGGCAACTCTGAAAGCCAGAGTGTCTTCTTACTTCCAAATGACTACACTAGCTCCCCAGCAATGGTTCTTATCCAGACTAAAATGGCTGACATAGAATTCACAATCTAGATAATAATGAAGATCATAGAGATTCAGGAGAAAGTTAAAACTAATCCAAGGAATGTAAGCAATCGAGTAAAATTATACAAGAACTGAAAAATGAAATAGCCATTTTAAGAAATAACTAAACTGATCTGATAGAGATGAAAAAATCATTACAAGAACTTCATAATACAATCAGAAGTATTAACAGCAGAACAGAACAAGCTGAGGAAATAATATCAGAGATCAAAGACCAGTTCTTTCAATCAACTTAGACAAAAATAAAGAAAAAAAGGGAAAAAAAACCTTGGAGGAATATGGGATTATGTAAAGAGAATAAACCTACAAGTCAATGGCATTCCTCAAAGAGAGGGAGAGAGAGCAGGCAACTTGGAAAACATATTTGAGGATACTGTACATGAAAACTTCTCCAACCTTGTTAGAGAGGTCAATATTCAAATTCAGGAAATTCAGAGAACACTTGCAAAGTACTATACAAGATGACCATGCCCAAGACACACAGTCATCGGATTCTCCAAAGTCAACATGAAAGAAAAAATATTAGCACCGAGAGAGAAGGGGTAGGTCACTTACAAAAGGAACTGTATTAGGCTTACAGCAGAACTTTCAGCAGAAGTCCTACAAGCAAGAAGAGATTGGAGCATCCTTAAAGAAAATAAATTCCAATAAAGAATTTCAAATTCAGCCAAACTGAGCTTCATAAGAAAAAGAGAAACAAAATTCTTTTCGGGCAAGCAAATGCTAAGGGAATTCATTACCGCCTGACATGCCTTAAGAGACATCCTTGTGGGAGTGCTAAACATGGAAATGAAAGACTGTTACAGGACACTACAAAAACACACTTGAGTACACAGACCATTGACACTATAAAACACTGACACAATTAAGTCTAAGTAACAACCAGCTAACAACGTCATGGCAGGATCAAATTTGCACAAATCAATATTAATCTTGAATGTAAATGTGCTAAACACCCCGCTTAAAAGGCACAGAGTGGCAAGCCACATAAAGAACCAAGACCCAACTGTATGCTGTCTTCAAGAAACACATCTCATATACTATGACACCCATAGGCTCAAAGTGAAAGAATGGAGAAAGATCTGATAAGCAAATGGAAAACAAAAGAGAGCAGGGGTTGGTATTCTTATTTCAGACCAAACAGACTTTAAACCAACAAAGATCAAAAAGGACAAAGAAGAGCATTACATAATGGTAAAGAGTTCAATTCAACTCAAAGGCTTAATTATCCTAAGTATAAATGCACCTAACACTGGAGCACCCAGATTTATAAAACAAGTTCTTAGAGACCTACAAAGAGACTCAGATAACCACACAATAATAGTGGGAGATTTAACACCCCACTGACAGTACTATACATATCATCAAGGCAGGAAACTAACAAAGATATTTGGGATCCAAAATTGACACTGGACCAAATGGACCTAACAGACATCCATGGAACAATCCACATAACAACAACAGAATATCCATTCTTCTAATATACACATGGCACATACTCTAAAATCAGCCACACGTTTGGCCATAAAGCAATTCACAGCAAAAAAAAAAAAAATGAAATTATATCAACCACACACTTGGTCAACAGCACAGTAAAAACAGAAATTGCTACCAAGAAGAACTCTTAAAAACATATAATTTCATGGAAATCAACCAGCAAACTGCTCCTGAATGACATTTGGGTAAACAATGAAATTAAGGCAGAAATCAAGACATTCGTAGAAATTAATGAAAACAAAGATACAACATACCAGAATCTCTGGGACATAGCTAAAGCAGTGTTAAGATGAAAGCTTACAGGGCTAAACATCCACATGAAAAAGATAGAAAGCTCTCAAAATTAACAATCTAACATCACACCTAGAGGACCTAGAAAAACAAGAGCAAACAAACCCCCAAGCTAGTAAGAAAAGAAATAACCAAAATTGATTTGAACTGAATGAAATGGAGATGCAAAACAATACCAAAAAATCAATTAAACTAAAAGTTGGTTCTTTTAAAGAATACATACAATTGATGGACCACTAGCTAGACTAATAAACAAAAACAGAAAGAAAAATCCAAATGAACACAAGCAGAAATGAAAAAGGGATATTAGCACTGGTCCCACAAAAATACAAAAAACCCTAGAGACTACTACAAATACCTATATGCACATAAACTAGAAAATCTAGAAGAAATGGAGAAATTCCTGGAAACATACAAGCTCCCAAGATTAATCCAGGAAGAAACTGACACCCTGAACAGAACAGAAATGAGTTCTGAAATTGAAACAGTAATTAAAAACCTACCAACCAGAAAAGGCCTGGATCGGATGAATTTACAGCCAAATTCTACAGACATATAAAGAAGAGCTGGTTCCAATCCTACTGCAACTATGTCAAAAAATAGAGAACAGGGAACTCCTCCCTAATTCATAAGGCCAGCATCATTCTGATACCAACCTGGCAGAGACACAACAAAAAAAAGAAAATTTCAGGAAAATATCCCTGGTGAACGTAATGCAAAAATCCTCAACAAAATGCTTGCAAAACTTAATCTAGCAGCACAGCAAAAATTAATCCACCACAATCAAGTAGGCTTTATCCGTGCAATGCAAGGTTAGTTCAACATACACAGATCAATAAAAGTGATTCATAAAGAACAGAAACAAAGCAAAAATGGTGTGATCATATCAAACATAGAAAAGACATTCAATAAAATTCAACATGCCTTCATGTTAAAAACACTCAACAAACTAAACATCGAAGGAATATACCTCAAAATAATAACAGCCATCTATGACAAACCCACAACCAACATCATACTGACTAGGCAAAAGCTAGAGGCATTCATCTTGAGAACCAGGAAAAGACAATGATGCCTACTTTCACCAGTCCTATTCAACATAATTCTGGAAGTTCTAGCCAGGATAGTAAGGCAAGAGAAAGAAATAAAAGGCCTCCAAATAGGAAGAGAGAGAGTCAAACTAGCTCACTTGCAGATGATATGATTCTATACACAGAAAACCCCTGAGGCTGGGCACAGTGGCTCATGCCTGTAATCCCAGCACTTTGGGAGGCCGAGGCGGGCGGATCACTAGGTCAGGAGATCGAGACCATCTTGGCTAACATGGTGAAACCCTGTCTCTACTAAAAATACAAAAAGCCGGGCGTGGTGCCGGGCGCCTGTGGTCCCAGCTACTCGGGAGGCTGAGGCAGGAGAATGGCATGAACCCGAGACGGGGAGCTGGCAGTGAGCAGAGATGGCGCCCCTGCACTCCAGCCTGGGTGACAGAGCGAGACTCCATCTTAAAAAAAAACAAAAAAAAACTCTATCCAAAGTTTTGTAGAATTGATAAATAACTTTAGCAAAGTTTCAGGTACAAAATCAAGGTACCAAAAAGCATTTCTGTACACCAATACATCAAAGCTGAGAGCCAAAACAAGAATGCAATACCATTTACAATGGACACAAAAAAATAAAATACCTAGGAATACAGCTAATCAGGAAGGTGAACAGTGTCTAAAATGAGAATTACAAAACACTACTGAAAGAAATTAGAGATGACACAAGCAAATGGGAAAACATTCCATGCTCATAGTTTCGAAAAATCAATATTGTTAAAATAGCCCTACTCCACAAAGCAACTTATATACTCTATGCTAGTCCTATCCCACTACCAATAAAATTTTTCACAGAACTAAAAAAAAAAAAAAAAACCAAAAAACTATTCTAAAATTCACATGGAACCAAAAAACAGCCCAAATAGCTAAGCAATCTTAAGCAAAAAGAACGAAGCCAGAAGTATTGTACTACTCAATTTCAAATCATTCTATAAGGTTATAGTTACCAGAACACCATGGTATTTGTACAAAAACAGATACATGGTGCAATGAAACAGCACAGAGAACCCAAAAGTAATGCGGTGTACCTACAATCATCTGATATTCAACAAAGTCCACAATAAAAAGCAATTTGGAAATGACTCCCTATTCAATAAATGGTGCTGGAATAACTGGGTAGCCATATACAGTAGATTGAAATTAGACCTCTTCCTTTCACCATATACAAAAATCAACTCAAGATGATTTAAAACCTTACGTGAGAACCTAAAACTATAAAAACTGTAGGGATAAAACCGCTAGGAAACACCATTCTGGACATAGGTCCTGGCAAAGATTTCATGATGAAGATTCCAAAAGCCACTGCAGCAAAACCAAAAATTGACAAGTAGGACATAATTAAATTAAAGAGCTTCTGCACAAAAAGAAACTGTCAACAGAGTAAACAGACAACTTACAGAATGGGAGAAAATATTTGCAAACTATGCATCTGACAAAAGTCTAATATCCGAATCTATAAGAAACTTCAACAAATCAACAAACAAATAACAAAAAATCTCATTAAAAAATGGGCAAAGGATACGAACAGACACCTCTCAAAAGAAGCCAAAAAGCGTATGAAAAAACGTTCAAGACCACTAATCATTAGTGGAAGGCAAATCAAAACCACAGTGAGATAGCATCTCACACTGGTTAGAATGGCTGTTATTAAAAAGTGAAAAAAAAAATAACAGATGCTGGTGACATTGTGGAGAAAAGAAGTGCTTATACACTGCTAGTGGGAGTGTAAGTTAGTTTAGCCACTGTGGCTATAAATCAGTTTAGCCACTCTGGCTAAAGTAATTTGTTATTAATTTTGAGGTTTCTCTAAGAATTTAAAACAGAACTACCATTTTACTCAGCAATCCCATTACTGGGTATATACCCAAAGGAATATAAATCATTCTACCATAAAGACATATGCATCATGTATTTATTGCAGCATTATTCACAATAGAAGAGACATGGAATCAACCTAAAGGCCCTCATCAGCGGACTGGATAAAGGAAATGTGGTATGTATGCATCATGGAATACTATGTAGCCATAAAAAGAATGAGATCATGCCCTTTGCAGCAACAAGGATGCATCTGGAGGCCATTATCCTAAGGTAATTAACACAGGAAGAGAAAACCAAGTACTGCATATTCTCATAACACAAAGAGGGGAACAACAGACACCAGGCCCTACTTAACGGTAGAGGGTGGGAGGAGGGTGAGGATCAAAAAACTACCTCTCGGTTACTATGCTTATTACCTGTGTAATGAAGTAATTTGTATGCCAAACCATAGCAACGTGCACCTTAACCATATAATAAACCTGTGTGTGTATCACCTGAACTTAAAATAAAAGTTGGAAGGAAAAACAAATAATTAACTTAATTACTGGTTATCTTCTTGTTTTTTTTTTTATTATACTTTAAGTTCTAGGGTACATGTGCACAACATGCAGGTTTATTACATATGTATACATGTGCCATGTTAGTGTGCTGCACCCATTAATTCATCATTTACATCAGGTATATCTCCTAATGCTATCCCTCCTCACTCCCCCCACCCCATGACAGGCCCTGGTATGTGATGTTCCCCTTCCTGTGTCCAAGTGTTCTCATTGTTCAATTCCCACCTATGAGTGAGAACATGCAGTGTTTGGTTTTCTGTCCTTGCAATAGTTTGCTGAGAATGATGGTTTCCAGTTTCATCCCTGTCCCTACAAAGGACATGAACTCATCCTTTTTTATGGCTGCATAGTATTCCATGGTGTATATGTGCCACATTTTCTTAATCCAGTCTATCATTGATGGACATTTGGGTTGGTTCCAAGTCTTTGCTATTGTGAATAGTGCCGCAATAAACATACGTGTGCATGTGTCCTTATAGCAGCATGATTTATAATCCTTTGGGTATATACCCAGTAATGGGATGGCTGGGTCAAATGGTATTTCTAGTTCTAGATCCTTGAGGAATCGCCACACTGTCTTCCACAAGGGTTGAACTAGTTTACAGTCCCACCAACAGTGTAAAAGTGTTCCTTTTTCTCTACATACTCTCCAGCACCTGTTGTTTCCTGACTTTTCAATGATTGCCATTCTAACAGGTGTGAGATGGTATCTCATTGTGGTTTTGATTTGCATTTCTCTGATGGCCAGTGATGATGAGCATTTTTTCATGTGTCTGTTGGCTGCATAAATGTCTTCTTTTCAGAATTGTCTGTTCATATCCTTCACCCACTTTTTGATGGAGTTGTTTTTTTTTTCTTGTAAGTTTGTTTGAGTTCTTTGTAGATTCCGGATATTAGCCCTTTGTCAGATGAGTATATTGCAAAAATTTTCTCCCATTCTATAGGTTGGCTGTTCACTCTGATGGTAGTTTCTTTTGCTGTGCAGAAGCCCTTTAGTTTAATTAGATCCCATTTGTCAATTTTGGCTTTTGTTGCCATTGCTTTTAAAACCCTATTGTCTCAGCCCAAAATCTCCTTAAGCTGATAAGCAACTTCAGCAAAGTCTCAGGATACAAAATCAATGTGCAAAAATCACAAGCATTCTTATATACCAATAACAGACAAACAGAGAGCCAAATCATCAGTGAACTCCCATTCACAATTGCTTCAAAGAGAATAAAACACCCAGGAATCCAACTTACAAGGGATGTGAAGGACCTCTTCAAGGAGAACTACAAACCACTGCTCAACGACATAAAAGAGGATACAAACAAATGGAAGAACATTCCATGCTCATGGATAGGAAGAATCAATATCGTGAAAATGGCCATAGTGCCCAAGGTAATTTATAGATTCAACGCCATCCCCATCAAGCTACCAATGACTTTCTTCACAGAATTGGAAAAAACTACTTTAAAGTTCATATGGAACCAAAAAAGAACCCACATTGCCAAGACAATCCTAAGCCAAAAGAACAAAATTGGAGGCATCACACTACCTGACTTCAAACTATACTACAAGGCTATAGTAACCAAAACAGCATGGTACTGGTACCAAAACAGAGATATAGACCAATGGAACAGAACAGAGCCCTCAGAAATAATACCACACATCTACAACCGTCTCATCTTTGACAAATCTGGCAAAAACAAGAAATGGGGAAAGGATTCTCTATTTAATAAGTGGTGCTGGGAAAACTGGCTAGCCATATGTCATATGTAGAAAGCTGAAACTGGATCCCTTCCTTACACCTTATACAAAAATTAATTCAAGATGGATTAAAGACTTACATGTTAGACCTAAAACCATAAAACCCTAGAAGAAAACCTAGGCAATACCATTCAGGCCATAGGCATGGTCAAGGAATTCATGTCTATTGTTGAGTTTTAAGAGTTCTTTGTATATTGTGAATACAATTCCTTTATGTGGTATGTGTTTTACAAATATTTTTTCCAAGTCTGCGACATGTCTTCATTCTCTTAACTATGTCTTTCATAAAGCAGAAATGCTCAATTCTAATGAAGTCTTACATATCACTTTATTCTTTCATGGATATTGCTTTTGGTGTTGTAGCTAAAAAATCATAACTAAAGCCAGGTAAGCTAGATTTTGTGTTTTCTTTCAGTAGTTTTATAGTTTTAAACTTTACACTTAGATCTATGATCTGTTTTGGTTGAATATTTTGGAAGGTAAAAGGTCATGTCTATATTCATCTTTTTTTGCATGTAGGTGCCAAGTTGTGTCAACACTATATCCTGTAAAGATGATCCTTTCTTCATTGAATTGCCTTTGCTCCTCTGTCAAAGCTTACTTGACTATATTCATCTGGGTCCATTTCTGGGCTTTCTATTCTATTCCACTGATTTATTTCTCTATTCTTTTGCTGATACTGCAGTGTCTTGATTAGTTTTATACCAACTATCGAAGTTGGGTAGTGTCAGCCCTCTGGCTTTGTTGATCTTCTTAAATACTGTGTTGAAACACTATGTTGGCTATTTTAAATCTTTTGTCTTCCCTATCAACTTACAATCCGTTTATTGATATCTGCAAATTAACATGCCGTGATTTTAATTGGTTAACTCTCTTTTAAAAATGTTTTATTTTCTGATCCTTGTGATTCAATTGTCTTCTTTTTATTTATACAGGCATAGTAAGTTACAGACTTTTAGATTTTTTCTTTAGTTGCTCCACTGAAATAAAAAATAAACATACCTACATACATCCTTTTCTAAAATATTTGCAACTCATTTTGAAGGGGCTTGAGCTTTTCATAGTTCTACTAATGAATTTTGAAAGCTCCTTCTTACCTTTTTCAAGCTGATCATGAAAGCTTTGCAGGCATGATTCATTTGTTTCAAAGAGCTGAGGAATGTGTAAACTTGACAAGGGTCAGAAATAGCTGCTTATCAATGTGAGATTATACCAATGAATTTCCTCTATGATGTTATCTCGCTAAGCCATTTATGTTGAAAAATTTCTCAGTCCAAGATTTCTCTCTGCCTATATTGTCCCTGTAACCCTCTATGGAGCACGACCATAGGTCTCTTACACATAGATAAATGTGGACGTTTTAAGCCCCCACAGGCATTGTTGACACCGCAGGATGCCTTTTTCAGAGTGCCCTGCTTGCTTGCATAAAGAGATTCAGGTGGAGCTGTAGTCAGTAAAATATTCACTAAAAAAGTATTTTAAATTAAAACTACAAGCCTTGTATGAAGCCTTATATCAGAGATGTATTCAGAGCATAGCATGAAGTGGCACTCACAAATCTTGCAGACTGTGTGTGATGGCAAAATAAAACATATCCTTTAAAAATAAAACTCTCGTTAAGTCAGTATCTGCATATCCCCTGTGTGTGTGTGCGTGTGTGTGTGTGTGTGTGTGTGTGCATGCTTGCATAAGCACATGTAGGTACTCCTTTTTTTTTTTTTTTTTTTTTGAGACAGGGTCTCGCTCTGTTGCCTAGGCTGGAGTATAGTGCTATGACAATAGCTCACTGCAGCCTGGACCTCCTGAGCTGCAGTGATCCTACTGTCTCAGCCTTCTGAGTAGCTGGGATTACAGGTGTGAGCCACTGTAATATTTTAATAGCTAATATTTTAAAATTTTTGTTTTGTAGAAATGGGTCTCATCATGTTGCCCAGGCTAGTCTCCTGGGCTCAAGCAATCCTCCCACCTGGACCTCCCAAAGTGCTGAGATTACAGACATGAGCCACCACACCCAGCCATACGTGGACACTCTAAAAACTCCCAACTGCCAAGGGCAGAGACCTTATAGTTCCTGTTCATCATATACAAATGAATGAATGAGTGGCTCATGTATGAATGAATGATTACCTGAAGGAAGAGATCTATACACTTTTCTATTTTAATTCTGAAGCCAATATTGGAGAAATACTGGCTTTCTCTATTATTCTGTGAGTCTTTTCAAAGCAAGGACTGTGCTGTCCCACTCTATATACCTCCAGCTCCTAGCACAGTGCCCAAAGCATAGCACCCAATAAACCTTTTCAACATTAATAAATAAATAAACTGAGGTATCTTGGTCAGTTTGGGCTACTATAACATAATGCCATAGACTGAGTGGCTTATAAGCAACAGAAATTTCTTCTTCACAGTTCAGGATGCTGGGAAGTCCAAGATGAAGGGGTTGCTGGAAGATTTAGTGTCTGGTGAAGGCCCACTTCCTGGTTCCTAGAGAGCTGTCTTTTCACTGTGTCCTCATGTGGCAGAAGGGGTGAGAGAACTCTGGAGTCTCATTTAAAAGGGCACTAATCCCATTTGTGAGATCTCCACCCTCATGATCTAATTGCCTCCCAAGAGCCCCATTTCCTAGTACCATTACATTGGTGATTAAATTTCAACATATGAATGGGGGGGTGGGGCATAAACATTTAGTTTATTGCATGAGGCGGGGGTGGCCTCAAAGGGAAACTGATTTATCTCTCACTGCTGAAAAACTAATAAGCAGGCTGGGCATGGTGGCCCATGCCTGTAATCCCAACACTTTGGGAGGCCTGGGTGGGGGATCACTTGAGGTCAGGAATTTAAGACCAGCCTCACCAACATGGTGAAAGCCTGTCTCTACTAAAAACATAAAAAATTAGCCAGGCTTGGTGGGAGGCACCTGTAATCCCAGCAACTCGGGAGGCTGAGACACAAGAATTGCTTGAACCCGGGAGGTGGAGGTTGCAGTTAGCCGAGATCCCACCACTGTACTCCAGCCTGGGCAACAGGGCAATACTCCATCTCAACGACAGCAACAACAAAACAAAAAAACCCTAATAAGCAGCTAAAAAAGTGAAAACCTAAAGGAGCACAGGAAGAAAGATACATTCCTAAAATGTCTTATGCATGTATATGGGTGCATTTATCTTGCTTTCACTGGCCCTCAGTGTAAATGAAACATTGGAAAAGGCCTCTTTTAAATGGTATAGTTTATGCTACTGAAATAAGAGAAGCAGAAGCAGAAAGATATTTGGGGTTCAGTGGATGTGAGATAGAAAAGAGAAATGAAGTCAACAAGAGGATACCTTTATTAAATTACGGTATGAATATTGAAATTGTACCACAGTCAAGCTAATTTTAGGATGTTTTCTTTGAAGCAGATCTAATCCTGGGGAAAGGGCCAAAGAATAGGGAGCTGAGAGGAATTATACGCCAGTGAACCGAAATAAACCAAATAAGGCTTTACAGTCTTACCATGGTCCGTGGACATAGTAATGTGAGTGGCAGTATCTGGTAATACAACCTGGTGAAAAGATTTTAAACATTCCATAAGGTGATTATGTAATGGTCAGCTTTCTGCAAATATCCCTAACTTTTTGCTGAATTTCATCTCGGAGGTTTGAAGACCCCTTTTAACTTTAGTAAAACCTTATTAGTCAAATGACAAAACATCTTCCTTCTAATAGCCATAGCTATGAGTAACTCTACATTTCCACCAACTGGAATCTTGGCATAACATCAGCCAGGCTGTTGCTGTTAGACCAAGGCTAAAACAAACAAAAGTGAGTTCTGAGAACATTTGGAGAGATGTATTTGAAGGTATAAAGCACAATGTTGCCAATAAGCTGTTATCTAAGATGACTAAGGGAATTTTTTTTTTTTTTTTTTTTTTTTTTTAGATGGAGCCTCACTCAGTCACCCATGCTGGAGTGCAGTGGCACGATCTTGGCTCACTGCAACCTCTCCCGGTTTCCAGTGATTCTCGTGCCTCAGCCTCCCAAGTAGCTGGGATTACAGGTGAACGCCACCACACCAAGCTAATTTTTGTATTTTTTAGTAGAGATGGGGTTTCACCATATTGGCCAGGCTGGTCTTGAACCTCCTGACCACAGGTGATCTGCCCGCCTTGGCCTCCCATAGTGCTAGGATTACAGGCATGAGCCACCGCGCCCGGCCGACTAAGGGAACTTTTTAAGGATTCATTGTGTTTAGGGCTTTTCCTTTGCACAGTAATTGCCAAATCTTATTAGAAATAAGTATATCCCAGGGATATGACTGAGCCTTGAGGCACTGTGTCTTTGTAACCACTTAGTACTCTCTTTGGGATTATCTCCACTGCCTCTATTACCATATTTAACCCTTCTTTTCTATTACTGTCCAAATGATAATTTTTCTCTTATCATTCCTCTTATACTACTGGCAGTATCATTATGTTGCAATGGTACTTTATCCACAGAGATCATTTAAGTTAACTTTAAAGTCCAGTTGTTAAGTAGTGTAGAGAATGTTGATATATTTTCTTTTTTTTAGGTTTAGGGCTGGATATTCACATGTTTCTTTTTATTTTATTTTATTTTATTTTAACTTCCAGGATACATGTGCAGGACATGCAGGTTTGTTACATAGGTAAATGTGTGCCATGGTGGTTTGCTGCATGTATCTACCTATCACCTAGGTATCAAGCCCAGGATGCATTAACTATTTATCCTGATGCTGTCCCTCCTCCCGTGCATCCCCTACCCCACCAGTAGGCCCCATTGTGTGTTGTTCCGCTCCCTGTGTCCATACGTTCTCATTGTTCAGCTCCCACTTATAATTGAGAAAAATGTGGTGTTTGATTTTCTGTACCTGCATTAATTTGCTGAAGATAATGGCTTCAGCTCCATCATGTCCCTGCAGAGGACATGATCTTTTTCCTTTTTATGGCTGCATAGTATTCCATGGTGTATATGGACCACATTTTCTTTATCCAGTCTATCATTGATGGGCATTTGGGTTGATTCCATGTCTTCCCTATTGAATATATCAATGAACATATGTTTGCATGTGTCTTAATAATAGAATGATTCATATTCCTTTGGGTATATACCCAGTAATGGGATATCTGGGTCAAATGGTATTTCTGGTTCTAGATCTTTGAGGAATTGCCACACTGTCTTCCACAATGGTTGAACTAACTTACATCTCTACCAGCAGTGTAAAAGCATTTCTATTTCTCTGCAGCCATGCCAGCATCTGTGGTTTCTTGACTTTTTAATAATCACCCTTCTTATTGGTGTGAGATGGTATTTCACTGTGGTTTTGATTTGCATTTCTCTAATGATGAGTGGTATTGAGCTTTTTAAAAGTATGTTTATTGGCCACATAAATGTCTTCTTTTGAGAAGTGTCTGTTCATGTCCTTTGTCCACTTTTTAAAGGGGATTTTTTTTTCCTTGTAAATTTGTTTAAGTTCATAGATTCTGGATATTAGACCTTTGTCAGATGGATAGATTGCAAAAATTCCCATTCTGTAGGTTGTCCATTCTCTCTGATGATAGTTTCTTTCACTGCACAGAAGCTCTTTAGTATAATTAGATCTGATTTATTTTAAAATTTCTGTATGACTGAAGATTATTTGTCACCATCATTTGTTGAATCCATTCAACTGTATTGTTCGATATGAACAAATACATAATGTTATTTGCCTTTAATGCTTCCCAGTTATTAAACCATAAAAAAGGAGATTACACTATGAAATCATACGAATTAATGTTTTCCTTAGAGAGACGCTTTATCTTAATTAAAATCAGATATTTTTATATCTGCAGATAATGCATTTACTTCCAATTTTGAATAGATTCTGTGAAATCAGTATTAATATGGGCTTAAATGCTTCGCCTACTTTAGCTTTGCCTAGCTATCAATTTCCATCTTTCCACAGTCTGTTCACTAAGCATAGATTTTTGGAATTCTAATACAAAAGAAATTATATCCATAGAATTTGGGGATTTGGATATCAGAACGTATGAAGTTGCAATATGTAATACAGTTGTTATCTTTCATGTTATGCCTGATAATGTTTCTTTAATTCTCCCTTACCTATTTTCTATATATTTTCTATTTCCTCCTATATGTTGCTCACTTAAAATTCTTTCTTTGCTTAGAATTCTAATGAATATCTATCTTTTTTTGAGGAATCTATAATTTTAGTATAGAAACTTGTTTATTTCATTAAATTATAGAAATTATTTATATTTAAATTTACCTTGTTAATATATTTCCTTATGTATTATATTCTATATCATAATTTCTGCTTCTTAAGAGTTTGTTGGGCCGGGCATGGTGGCTCACATCTGTAATCTCAGCACTTTGGGAGGCTGAAGTAGGTGGATCAGCTAAGGTCAGGAGTTTGAGACCAGCCTGATCAACATGGAGAAACCCTGTCCCTGCTAAAAAAACAAAATCAGCTGGGTGTGGTAGCACATGCCTGTAATCCCAGCTACTCGGGAGGCTGAGGCAAGAGAATTGCTTGAACCCGGGAGGCAGTGGTTGCAGTGAACTGAGATCATGCCGTTGCACTCCAGCCTGGGTAACATGAGCGAAACTCCATCTCAAAAAAAAAAAAAAAAAAAAAGAGTTTGTTGGAACACTTCGGTAGACTGTAGCAATATTCCTAAACAGCCAGCCAACATTTCACATCTTTTTCCAGCTAGAAAATTACCTATGAAAGACTGCAATGCTTGAGATAAATCTCTGCACTAGTAGCTATTTCATTTCAAAGTCCAAGCAGCTCAAATGTCCACAGAAAAGTGATGGAGCTCTTCAGCTATAGAAACCCAAGGTAAATCCCTTGACCTTTTCAAAGTATAGTAATTGTCATTCCTTTTGGTAAGAAGTTCTTGAAAGTAGAAAACAACTTTCAGTCCTTATGTGCAAAGTTTATTGAAACAAAGAGTAATTTTTTTCTTTCATTGAAGGTGTGTCTCTGTATTTGGGTGACCTTATTTGGCTGATACATGGTCCTTCAAATGTGTAGTTTGATTTTATGAATTCAGTGTAGGGCCTGCATACTGAATGAGCCAGGCAAAGATAAAAGCAGTTTCTGAGTGGAAATGTGGCATTTTTTTTTTTAGTGCATAGAAATGTAGACTTTCAATGTCACTCTCAGAATATCTCCAGAAGACACACAAGTGTTATGATTGATGGGTTCAATGATAGTTGCTTAACTGTGCTCCTCAAAGTGTGGTCCTCAGACCACCAGCCTCAGCATGTCCTGGGAGCTTGTTATAAATGCATAATTTCGAGCCCTACACCAGACCTACTGAATCAGAATTTACTCATTACCAAGATCATTGGGTTATTTATATGCACATGAAATTTTGGCTTAATCAACTTCTTGATTCAAAAGACAAAAATTCAGGCAAATCCAAGGGCAGACTTTGTGTAGGGTTAAACAAGTAATTCAAAAAGATAACAAAAGCTACAATTTGTTAGCAAAACCCAATCTGTTTAAATGTTTAAACTCATGTGTAAGAGAAAATAGGAAATTGTGATTATGCATAGGAAGAATTCTCAGAAGCAAGTCCAATTTAAGAAGGCACTTATTGGTCCATCCAATGCCAGGACATTCAGATGAAAAAGGAAAGAACCTAGCAAGCCATGCAGAAGTCCCAATTTATTTGTAGCACTTCAAGAACATCTTGAAGATTTTATTTTAAAATAATACATTTTCATCACAACCTTTGGCCTCCAATGGATGTAGCTTAAACTAAGCCCATCACTCTTTTATACAACCCTCCAAAGGGCACATAATTTACATATCAACTTCTATACGTACCAGGCACGGGGAAAGAAATGGGACTCTTTTCCCATGTTACTGTAGGTTTTCCATCACTTCAGTATTTGGCCTGTGAATAGGCAGTGTGCCCATATGATCCAGGTTTTAAACTATCAAATGATAGATCTCATGGTGGTGCTTTCTGATACAACACTTCAATGGAAGCATATTTTTTACCCATATGCTTTTTTTTTTTTTTACCAATGCATTCTTTCTAGACATATTTCAAAATTGCACCTAGAGAAGAGAGACGTGGATTTTACTTTATGATTTTCTTACCAGAGGGAAGAATGAATTTTGATCCTAGTTACATAATTGGAGGTACCTAGTGCATCTGTTCCTAAGAAGATAAAGGGCAATCATTTCTGAAGCAAATTCAATCAATCATTATTTTATCCCTAAGTCACTGGAGTCTTCTGTGTATCCTTCTTGCTCCAGTACAACATTGTAGAATGAAAGGTGACTTCCTGATAATAAACAATTATCTGCATTTTACTAATCTCATTTGTTTATTAACCTAATACAATCCTGGCTTGTAAAACAGGGGAATTGTTTTAGATGTGATTATTGAAATTTTCATGAAACCAGGTGAATCCTGATCCAAATTCTGTATAAACTTATCTTTTTCTTAATCTGTTTTTGTCAAAGGCAATGGTCACTACAAATTAGCCCAACTTTTACTGAGAATGCACTTCTTCAACTTGGATTTAGCTTTAATTTTGAAAAACAGGAGAAAAAAAGAAATTAGAAATGGTGAAATCTACAGTCCAACTCATTTTATAGAAAAGCCAAATTATGAAATAATTGTATAAATGTTATGATTATGAGAGTAATGCTTTAATCATAAATACAGATTAAAAGATTCATCAATGATTTCCTTTCCAGAAAAAAAATACTTCTTTTCTAGCATTTAAGAGTGTGATAATATCATGTACATATTTTGAGGATCTGTATGATTTCAGAATATTCTCATTTTTTTTCTCTAAAATGGATAGATTTTCTTAAGTGTTCTTTTGGAGTAAAGAAGAACGTTGTTTAGTAGCTTTCTGTAGAGCCATTTGAAATCTATGGCCGGGCGGGCTGCAAGGCTCTGGAGGAGAAAGCTTTCCAAGTATGTATTCTGCTTAATTTCTCTTTAACTTACAAATGACAACCTAGGTTGCAGTCAGGTCTCCCCTCTGGAGTTGGCCTTAAACATAAGAGCATAAGAATCAGAAGAGTAGGTCATACTTATTGTCCTTATTCAGTCTAGCATTCTAAAACTGACTATCAAGAGATGTAATTCTGGAAGATACGTTTGACTGCATGAGCATCTCCTTTAAAGGTAAGGAAAATCCTAAATCTACTAATTGTCTTCTTCTCACATCATGAACTTGTCAAGTTGTGAGTTTATTTCAATTGCTTTTTCTCTTCATGTTTAAACTCTATAACAACTAGTCCACCTTGCACTATGAAGTTCTATCCCAAATAATTATCTTAAAACTTTCCTCACTAATGACTGAAGAGATTTCCTCCTTGTTCTAGTATTCCAGAATGTGATGAGCTGGCCATACGTCTCCCTAGTTTCTGCTTTTACAATTCTAATAACATCAAAAATACCCTCACTCTGTCTTTACCTTTGCAACTAAATTTCAAAACTTTTACATTTGTCTTCATGGATACCCCCCTCCACACCTCTGATCATTTTACTTGTCCTTTGCTGGACTTTTTCCAGGTCAATTATGCTTTATCCATTACAAACTGATCTATTAGATCTTTGTTAGTTAACAGAAAAAGGAGGGAAAGCTGGCAGGAGGATGATTTGAGCCCAGGAGTTCAAGACCAGCCTGGGCAACATAGTAAGACCTCCATCGCTACAGAATTTTTTTTTTTTTTAATTAGCCAGGCAAAGTGGCATATGCTTGTATTCCTAGCTACCAAGGAAGCTGAGGCAGGCGGATAACTTGAGCCCAGAAATTTGAGGGTGCAGTGAGCCGTGGTCACACCACTGCACTCGAGAGCCTGACCCTGTCTGAAAAAGAAAGAAGGAAGGAGGGAGGAAGGAAGGAAGGGAGGGAGGGAAGGAGGGAAGGAAGGAAGGAAGGAAGGAAGGAAGGAAGGAAGGAAGGAAGGAAGGAAGGAAAAGAGAGAGAGGGAAAGAGCGTGACAGAGAAAGAAAGAAAGGAAGAAAGAGAAAGGAAGGAAGGAAGGAAAAGGAGAAAAATGAGGGAGAGCTTGGAAGTAAATAGGCCCATGGTTAATTTGGATCAGTCAGTATTATATCTACTAAGCTTTACAAGTTTGGCATTGTTTGAGTATTCTGGTATGTTTTAAATTCTCTTTTAGTTGAATGACATTTTCACATTATTTCACACTAGCATTTCCACAGTTAGGTACCTCATGCTTTACCACCTGGTAATAACTTGTAAGTTGTTGATGTTGAGAATAACATTTGATAAAAGCTCAATGATTGCTTTTGGTGTTCTTCCAGTTAATATGAATGTGTTTTTCAGATTTCTCTTGTGAAATTTTTTAGGCATACTTTAACCAAAAATTTTTCACAGTCATATCATGGTATTGTTCATGTCCACATAAAATGTGAATGTAGACTTTGTTTTTCTTTAAAAAATTATTTCTCAATAAGTTGACATTTCCCAATATGTCAATGGACTTTGTGACCTTGTGAGACTGCAAGATTATATTCATTCTATAATCCCATAATTTCAAACATCTAACATCTAATTCAGTGTATGTTCTAAGTATGACTGTTCTAAAATGATGATTAGGTTAGGAGATATTATTGTGGTCTGTTCCCAAACAGTCATCATATCTTATGCCATTGTTTTTGTTTGTTTGTTTGTTTAAATCATATGAGCCCACCATAACAATTGTGATGTGGGAAAAATTTATTTAGTTATTTATACTTGGTCATATTTTATGGAACATAATAGCTATATTTAAACCCATTCTTTAGGATGGATTGTACTATTTGCATTAGTTCACTAGCCTTTTCAACGCTCAATGATATGTTTTCATCATTTTTATTATAGTTGTTCATTCACAAAGCATGGTTTCATCCATGGTTTCCTTCCTTGAAGGATTTATTGGCCTAGGTAAGCTTGGAGTTTTCCCCAGATGCTCTCCACAACATTACTTAAAATATATTTAGAATAGAAGTGGTCTTAGAGCCCAATCTCTAAGGTAACCCATGGTTTATATTTTTTTCTTGCAAAGATGTGACCCTTCATATCCTACACATTTTATTACTTGTGCTTCCTTTTTCCCTTGGGAGGTGGATTTGGGGGAGTGCAGGGAATATGTCTTATTTTGTATTTTCCATAGTTCCTAACTAAGCACATCATAAATATTCATTGAATGGAATGTCAGTTTTCTATAATGGTAAAACAGTTTGCTCCTATTTCCAATCCTATGGTGATTTAATTAAAACATAATAGCTTTGGTGTAAAATTTCCTCCAAGACATTTTGGAAGCTTAAACCAGCCATATTCTCAGTGTCTGTTTTCCCACGTAAATATGTATCATCTCAAAGAAGTCTATTCAATTAGTCAGGCATGATTTATGCTTAGGAAAACCACATAACCTTTTCTCAAATAGATTACGTTAGTGAAAGCGTTCAGTGACTCTGCCCTTTATTTTATATACATGCAATTTTTACCAGCCAGTCTTTATTGATGCTGGGCACTGAGAGGCCTATCATGGGATGCCTCTCCTTAAAGCATGTACAAAATTGCAAGGCATTCAGAATGCATGTGCACCTGACTGCAAAGTGCAACCAGGCACACGTTCTCTCCTTTGAAAGGCATACGAAAGTCAGTTAAGCACAGTAGCCAAAGGGTTTCCACAAAAGATGTAAACAACCCAAATGTCCATCACCAGATGAGTGGATAAACAAATGGGGTATATACATGAAATGGAATATTATTCAGCCATAGAAAGGAATGAAATTCTGGCACATGCTACAGCACAGATGAACCCAGAAAACATTATGCTAAGTGAGATAAGTCAGACATGAAATGACAAATATTGTATGATTCCATTTACATGAAGTACCCACAATAGGCAAATTCATAGAGCTAAATAGTACATGAAAGGATACCAGGGGCTTATGGGAAGAGGAAATAGGGAGTTACTGCTTAATGGTTACAGAGTTTCTGTTTAGAGTGATGAAACTTTGGAAATAGTGGTGATGGTTGCACAACACTGTGAATATAATTAATGCCACTGAATTGTATATTTTAAAATAGTAAAAATGGAAAATAACATTCCACAAGTCTTATTGAATAATGATGTAATGTATCAAAAACCATCATTGTGCATTTTAAATGTGCAAATTGCACAATATATGAGTTACATCTCCATAAAGCTGTTTCAAAATAAAGTCAATTGGAGGTTGAAGAGTAGGAGCATAAGACACTTTAGTGCTCTTGCTATCCTTTCCTTAAAAGAATAGATGGGAATAATAATAATATTAAATGAAAATAAAAGTTGCTAACCTCACTATGAAAACCTACGGAGTCTGAGCACATTCTGGGAAATGTGTGGGAATCAATACCTGGATGGACTACCATAATGCCCGTTCAACATTTATGCATTTAAACACTTGCAAAATGAGTTTTCTATTGGAAAGACTTGTTAAATATATTCTATTTCACCCTCTATCTTGGCAGAGCTGGTTATATTTCCAGAATGCCTGTAGGTGTCTGTGATGGATCATTGCTGCCCTGTCCCCACACCCCTCATCTAGGAACTTTGCAAACTTCAAGGATTGCTTTGTGATCTGAAGGGCCCCCTGGTAGTCTGTGAGCTGCGTGGCTTTGCCAAGATTGCTAGCCTGCCAAGTCTTCGGCCTCCAAAAGACTAGCCAGGGCTTCCTCATCTGATGAAAGTACAGAAAAAGGCCATGTGCTTGGCAGACTTGGCCAATTCCCTCTGCTTCATAGAGAAAATAAATCTGTAAAGAAGTTCAAGGGAGAGCTACCATCTGGTCAGACTCCTGGCTTTCTCAATATGGCTCCCAACACCTACTGCCAAGTGTCAAGAGGGCTTCCTGTGCTGGACAGAGGCTGGCGTCGGTGTTCAGTGCCAATATGCTAAAGTCAGATGGGCCCCTGATGAGGTGGGGATCGTCAGACTGGTTTCAAACTGCAGTCTTGTCACCGCCACTGACACATTCACAGAATGGTCAACATTTCAGCAATAAAAGTTGGAGCAATTTCATAGCTGGCCCTGTCATTGCAGACTATCTGTTAATTTCTTGAACAATCTATAAGACATCCAACTAAAAACCTACCCAATAACTACAGCACTGTGCATCCTAGATGACTCAAAGGCAGTGCCATTGGAAAAAGCTGCAGAACTGTTTTTATAGTGCAGACACTTTATTTGCAGCTAATTTGGCCTGCTTCCTGCACACTCAGATCTTCAATTCTAAAAGCCAAGCCAGTTTTTCTTTTGTTCAGGGCTGTTCATGCTGCAAAAGTTCACATCTAGTAAGATACTTTTCTTTGAGAGAAAATGGTGATCTGAAACTTGTGCACTTATTGCATTATTAGATTAGCCGTGAAGATCTGCTTGGTTTAAACATTAATCATGTTTACTCATTGATGTTTCATCTTTAATATCTGAAATTAGTAGTAATAATAAATGTCAAAATATTGACCTATACTAATATTTCTTATTTTTATGAAGATTGGAAGTCACTGATAGGGTATGCAAAGTTTGAACCAAAAGGGTCAGTATCACTTTTTGGGACTCCACGAGAGAATTTAATATTCTTTATTATTGTCCTTTAGGTTTATAAGCAAAGCCAGTACATGAATATTTTTTGTCTCTAACTAAAGACTCTCTTCTGTAAGTTCCCCAGGGAAGCAAAACATCTGTATGCAGCTGTCCTTCAAACCAAATTCTTCAGCACCGCATGCCACAAACAAAGCCTCAAGATCAAACCCATCCGTGAGTGATTTCTTATAGCTGGGCTGTGCTGCTGTCCCTTCAAATTCAACATAGTCACCCTTCCTTGGCTTTCTCTCTCTCTGTCTTTTAACGTATGCCTAGCATTCTTCATCCCCCTTCCAAAGCTGGGAGTCCCTAAGACACTCCCTACTCCTTCCCCCTCTCCGTCTAGTTGGGCATCAGGTCTGGTTGGTCCTGTCATTGCTCCATCTTTCTCATGGTTACAGCCCTCCTTATTCTATCACATGGATGACCACAAAATTCTATTCCTTCCCATCATATTTTTGACCTATACATATTGTCATCCTGAGTGTTCCCAAAAGTTGCTTTTACTACATCGGCTATAAAATTTTAAAAGGAAAAGAAAGGAAAGGAAAGGAAAGGAAAGGAAAGGAAAGGAAAGGAAAGGAAAGGAAAGGAAAGGAAAGGAAAGAAGGGTAGGGGAGGGGAGGGGAGGGGAGGGGGGCGGGGAGAGGAGGGGAGGGGGGCAGGGAGGTGAGGGAGGAGAGGAGAGGAAAGGAAAGGAAAGGAAAGGAAAGGAAAGGAAAGGAAAGGAAAGGAAAGGAGAAAAAGGGAAGGAAGAGAGAAAGAGAGAATTCCCTATTGCCCTAGGTATCCCATAGAATAAAATGAAAATATACAGATGTGTTCTTCAAATCCATTATGCATGCAGCTCGTTACTTTGCTACCCATGATCTCCCTTGCCAAAAAGACCAAGAGGGCACCCTTTCCACTAAGTTGCTCCATTTCTCTGATTATCACCTTTCTGAAACAAACAAACAAACAAACAAACCTTTCTTGGCCATCCCAAACCACTGTCTTCATGCCTCTAAGACCTTGTAGATTTCACTGAAAGTATAGCTTTTTGGAATTTATGATACATTTGATTATTCTTTATTTTATTCTGATACTGTTTGCATTTGTTTTTACATGTCCTGCATCCCCAGCTAGATGTTGAATTGCCTGAGATGGTGTCTAGATCCTGGCATCCTCAATGGCTAATACACTGCGCTCTGTTTATTCATACCGATCAACATTTTCATTAGATCTGTGATGTACTTACTGGTTATTGTGCTAGGCCTGAGGATGCTGCAAGTGAATAAGACATTCTCTGCTCTCCTTGAAGTTATAGCTTATCGAGGAAGAAAGGTATGGATTGTTAAAGCTGCAGGATATGTAAGTAATGAAGTTTGCAGTGCTACACATGTGTATGTTACCATGTGACTGTCTTAGTCTATCCCTGCTGCTCTAACATAATAGTCGAGACTGGGTCATTTATAAACAACAGGAATTTATTGCTCACAGTTCTGGAAGCTGAGAAGTCCAAAATCAAGGTGCCTACAGCTTCAGTGTCTGGCAATGGCCTGTTCCTCATAAATGGTGCTGTCTAGGTATCCTCACCCGACAAGATACAAGAGCAAAAAGCTAGCTCCTATACTAGCTCCCCCAGTCCTTGTATGAGGCACTGATCCATTGTGAAGGTGGAAAACTCCCGACTTAATTGCTACCCAAAGGCCCCATCTCTTAACATCAACATAATGGGGATTACGCTTCAATGTGAATTTTGGAGGGGACACACATCCAAACCACAGCAGTGACCAAACCTGGTCAGGGCAGCCTAGGAAAGCTTTATGAAGAAATGATATTTAAACCGAGACCTGAAAGGCGAACAGTAAGAAGTTAATAACTGGTACTATTTCTCTAATTAAAAAAAATACAGAATGAATTGACTTTAAAGAGCGTGACAAAAGTTCAGTGGGGGATTTTAGAGGTTCAACCAATTTTTAGTTATGGCAGTTTCAATGCAAGTGAAGGACAATTAGTAAAAGAAATAGTATTTTATTTTATTTACAGCTTCTTTAAAATCTTCCTCAAGAAAAAAGTTAATTGTGTGTTTGTCTTTCTATGGTGTAGGGTTTTTTTTGTTTTTTTTTAATTCTCTATACTGAAATAAGCAGCTCCAATTCAGCAGCTAGATTTGGAGACAGAATTGGAATCCTGACTAGACCAAAAAACAAAAACAAAAACAAAAACAAGAATTAGTAATGGAAGCTGGAACTTAGAGCAGGAGGCTAAGCCAGGACCAGGGCTTAGAGAAATCAGAGTCAACAGACAAAGAGATAGGAGACTCCCATGGCTGAGCTCACGGTCAGGGCACATGAAACCAGGCTGGTCTGTGAAACAAATAACTGAATGATGGTTAAAAGATGAAATAAATGTTTCTTGGGGGCATATGCTTTAAACACCAGCTCTTATCCAAGTCTAACCATTTCTGCTGCTGCCATCACCTTTATTTTCACCCAACGTGTTTGTGAAGATGACGTGAATTAATCAACATTAAAGTTCTTTGAGAATGTAAGGACTCCAGAGATAAAAGGAACTTTTATCTGTCACCTTCCTTTGTTCACCACGATACAGGGGTCTATTTTCTTTCCAAAGTATATGAAAAAGCAATAATTAAGCATGGCCTCAACAGCAATGTGCACAAATAAACAATTTACTAAAATTATATGAAGATTCATAAAGATATAAATAAGGGGAAAAAAGATATTCACAGAATCTTTCATTATGGCTGAGAAGCCCATGACCATTGGAAGTAAAGTGCTTCTTGGTGCTTAGCAAAAATGTATAAAGGAATGAGGGGAAAGCCTTGGGGCAGACACTAATACAAGACCAGATGATGCGGTCTCCCCAGTAACCAGTTTGCCTCTTATTAAATGTCTGCAAATGATTACATTGACTTGAGGGAAACTCAAAGTGAATGACTGCAGACAGGCCACTGAGGACCTCCTCTCCCTGTATAGGTGATTTTAGATAGGTGGATACAGATATATCTGGAAAGTGAGGCTTCTAGGATACCCTGAAAAGCACACCAGGGAATGTTATTTCCTCCTATTTTCTGAGATGGTATATAAGGCAATGATTTATCAAAAGGAATTTAAGAATTGCAGAACACTATTTTCTTTTCCTTTTTTTTTATTTTTTGAGATGGAGTCTTGCTGTGTCACCCAGGCTGGAGTGCAGTGGTGTGATCTCAGCTCACTGCAACCTTCGCCTCCCGGGTTCAAGCAATTATCCTGCCTCAGCCTCCTGAGTAGCTGGGATAACAGGCACTCGCCACTCTACCCGGCTAATTTTTGTATTTTTGGTAGAGACAGGGTTTCACCGTGTTGGTCAGGCTGGTCTGGAACTCCTGAACTTGTGATCTGCCTGCCTCGGCCTTCCGAAGTGCTGAGATTACAGGCATAGGCCACCGTGCCCGGCCAGAACCCTGTTTTCAATGAGATATATATGGAACTCACATAAAAGCAAGTAAGATGAGACATGCCCTGATTAGAGCTGGTGATTACAGACAACAACCTGCTCTTTCTTCAGCTAGACTCCATGATGGTGTCACTGCTCCCGGAGTCCTCTCCTGGCAAACATAGAACTTCCCGGGGGCTTAAACCCAGGTCAGTCTGTATCTTTCTGGAAGCCAGAGCACACTGCAAAGTCTGGAGTTGCATTCCCATAGTCTATGGTAGATAAACTTAGCATGAAAAAAAAAAAAAAGCAGTATCTCAGAGGGGCAATATTAGAATAGTAGTCCTATCAGAACTGCGGATCAGAAGAGGCCAACAGGATTGAGCTTAGCAGACAGTGAACACTGGAAGATGGGCCTGCTATAACTTCAATTACCAGAAAGTAGGTTTTTGAACCTGGACCAAATTGAATTATAATATACTGAGATTTTCCATGATAATTGAATTTCCATGCTTTCTTGTTAGGCATCTGAAATAGCTTTATTTTATATTTTGTTTTTTTTTTTATTTGTACCTGTCATAATATCCCCAGATATAAGGATGTGTATTCAGAGCTTAATATAAAGACATAAAATATATCAGAATTCAAAATTAGATATTATAGTAAGATTTAGCCAGTAACTAGTAGGAATCTAACATAGAAAAAGAAGAGAGAAAACTTTCATGTGTTAGGAATTTATTCTTAATGAAGAGCATTTTCTGTCTACTTGAATAAAGTAGTATAAATCAGATGATCACAAGTTATGAATGCTGATATTTGAAACATGCAAGTGTAAACTTAGACCACTAAAGTAGGTGCTATCTTTTCATTAAGCAAAACAAAACGTAATCACAGCTGAGTGTTTCAATATGGAAAAAAAAATGACTAAGGTTCATTTTAGTCTCGTCATTTTAATTCGTTTGGAAATAGGACCCAAAGTGACAATGTTTTATTCACTAATTTTTTTCTATCTACTCTATATGGCAGACTCTCATGACTTTCTCCATGTAAAGTAGAATTTTAGGGCAAAAAAAGAGAGTGTACTCCTTTATTCTCATTGCTTTGGTATTTGTCACAAGGTCAGGTCCAGCACTGGGTTTGGTGTATGGGATGTTGCATTCTCCTCTCTCCACCCCGTTTCTCTCTCCAACAGAAGGTGGGTGTAGTTTAAGCACTATTATAGGTCTTTTTTTTTTTTTTTTTTGACAGAGTCTTGCTCTGTTGCCCAGGCTGGAGTGCAGTGGTGCAATCTCGGGCTCACTGCAACCTCCACCTCCCAGGCTCAAGTGATCCTCCTGCCTCAGCCTCCCAAGTAGCTGAGATTACAGGTGTGTGCCACCACACCCGGCTAATTTCTGTAATTTTAGTAGAGATGGGTTTTCACCACGGTGGCCAGGTTGGTCTTGAACTCCTGACCTCAAGTGATCCACCTGCCTTGGTTTCCCAAAGTTCTGCGACTACAGGCCTGAGCCACCATGCCCAGCCTGTTATAGGTACTTTTATCTTAATTGGTTTATGACCCCCAAAGTCCTGCTGTAAAAACCCCAAGCCTCTGGGGAATCCTTGGAGACCCAGTCTGACCACATTGGAAACATTGAAACCTGGCTTACCTGCTCTCTCGAGAGCTTTTCAGTTTAGCAAATTAGCTTCCCCTTCCAAATAAGGGGAAGCTAATTTCTCCACTCCAAAATAAACATATTTTATTTCTCCACTCCAAAATAAACATACATGGATAGACACGAGCCTAACCCATGAAAACTGACCTGGTACCACGACCAGTTACACCATAGTCTGAAGCAGAGTACACCCTACCCTAAATCAGCAGAACCATAGTCAACTTGCAGACTTAGCCTGGGAATCAAAGTGCAGGGCTATATACCACTTTCTTTGTGGGTAGTTGACTACCCAGCATTATTGTGGCAATAACTGATCAATGTAGTACTTTAACCCATCCTGCTCCATTTCTTCCTTCAAAGCAGGTCTGAACGAGGTAGTTTTCAATCAAAAAGTACTTTGGTTCAAACAAGCAGAAAGAAATGGTTGCAGTTACATCACCGAGAAGCACTTCTATCATCCTGATGGTTGTACTGGTTGTACTTAAAGCTAAAAAGGAATTCATCACAGGCCCTTCAGGCGTTTTTCTCACAAAACACAGGCTCAAGATTTTCACAGAAAATCAATAGATGAAGTAACTGACTAAAGCCATACTTAGGATAAGATGCAAATCTAGCTCTTTACAGTGATCACAGTTTGGCTATTTTGTGTCCCTTTAGAGGGAGTGATCAATCCCATGTTCTGGCAGGATTTTCATCCTGACTGTGTTCTGCCTGGGTCATTATTCTTTCTGTTCAATTCACAGAAAACAGAGATTTCATTGCTACACAGAGGCGTTTCACTGTTGCAGTGAGAAATTACAATGTATTACGGATTAAAAGGAAGCAAAAAGAAAGGAAGAAATCCTAGGATTGTCACCTATTGCCATTGTTTACTAGGTTTCTTGCTTTGGGCTGGACACTCAGTGTTTTCTTTGTGCTGGCATGTATAGTACAAGGGTGGCATCTGCTCCACCTCCATCTACAGTGCTGGTGTGAGAATGCCATGCGATAATGCTATCAAGATGCAAAGAGCTATACATCTGTTAGTCTGGGAAACAGATGGGAGGAAGCAATGCATCATAACATTGAAGAGCCTGGCTTTGAAGTCACACAGACCTGGGTTCCAATTCCAACTCTGTCATTTACTAGATTTGTGATCTTGAATAAGTATTTTTTTTTCCCACCCTGAGCTACAGATATTCCTAGAAAAGTTGGGTAATAGTGCCCATCTTAGAGTCACGTGTACTACATGAGATCAGGAATGTAAGGCATTCAGCACAGTGTCTGGCACAGAGTAAGGGCTCCAGAATATGGTAGGTGGTTTTGTTCTTCTGCGTTGCTTTTTAACACTCGTCGATCAATGCAGTGGTGAAGGAAACCCTCTGCCTTCACACTGTCCTTTGTACCAAGGAGAATGTCTAGAAATTGGCTGGTATCTTTGGCCCTTGGTCACAGAGTTGCCGAACACTCATTATCTTCTTTTCTTCCCTTCTGCTGTTGATGTCCAATGCTGCTTTGTAATAGTAAAAACTCCAGACAAGAGTTTTTGCCATTACCTTTCTTCTGTGTCTCCTCCACGGGCTAGTATCTCCAGTGGCTCATTCTGCATGACAATATCTGGATTACACTGAGTCCGGGAAGATCATCCTTGCCTCTTCACTAATAACTGTCCCAAATCTAACCCTATATCATTTCTTATCTTCGCAGGTGGCAGCTAGGATGTGCTAGGATGTAGCTATCACTGGTTCATATGAGGGAAAACAAATCACTAGTGATGTGCTCTGTTTTCAAAAGTAAGATTAAAAAGCATATTATTATTATTATTTTGTTTCTTTGTTTTTTTGAGACAGAGTCTCACTCTGTCCCCCAGGCTGCAGTGTAGTGGTGCAATCTCAGCTCACTGCAACCTCTACCTCCTGGGTTCAAACGATTCTCCTGCCTCAGCTTCCCAGGTAGCAGGGATTACAGGTGTGTGTCACCATGCCCAGCTAATTTTTTATTTTTAGTAGAGGCAGGGTTTCACCATGTTGACCAGGCTGGTCTCAAACTCCTGACCTCAAGTGATCCGCCCAGCTTGGCCTTCCAAAGTGCTAGGATTACAGGTGTGAGCCACCAACACCCGACCAAAAAACACATTATTGATTGGTATATGAAAATAAAGCTCATACTCCACAAATATGGGAAATCAGGGGCCATAATATTTTCTTTTCTCTATCAGTAGAAAACATGTCATGGATAGCTAGAGAATTAAAAAATTCACTTATAAATTCTAGCCACTTATGAGCTAATGTGCTCATTTTATACAGGAGTGGGCATCCCGTTAGATGTTACAGGAAGTAAAATTTAATTAAAACATTTAAAAATATTTAGTTTCACCTCAATTAATTATTATTCCATTCCTATGATAGAAAATTTAGAACAATAAAGAGATGCTGGAAGAACAATCTAAAGTCAAACATTGTCCTCCCACCTACAGATGATGATTATGTACACTGATGTATTTTCTTCAGTCATTTTTCTCTGTTATGTTTTAATTTATAAAAATTGTATATATTTATGGTGCATGACATATTGTAATATATATACAAACTGTGGAATGGCTAAATCAAGTTAATTAACATATGCATGACCTCACACGTTTACAATTTTTTTGTGGTGAGAACACTTAAAATCTACCATTTTTAGTACTTTTCAAATATACAGTATGTTGTTTTTAACTGTAGTCACCATGTTGTACAACAGACCTCTTGACATATTTCTCCTAATTGAAATTTTTGCATCCTTGTTTTTTTTTTCTTTTTTCTTTTTTTTTTTTTTTTGAGACAGTGTCTCACTCTGTCTCCCAGGCTGGAGTGCAGTGGTGCCATCTCCGCTCACTGCAAGCTCCGCCTCCCGGGTTCACGCCGTTCTCCTGCCTCAGCCTCTCGAGTAGCTGGGACTACAGTCGCCCGCCACCACGCCCAGCGAATTTTTTGTACTTTTAGTAGAGACGGGGTTTCACTGTGTTAGCCAGGATGGTCTTGATCTCCTGACCTCGTGATCCGCCCGCCTCGGCCTCCCAAAGTGCTGGGATTACAGGCATGTGCCACCGCGCCCAGCCGAAATTTTCTATCATTTCACCAACATTTCCCAGATCTCCCCACTCCTCTGACCCCAGGCCCTGGTAACCACCACTTTCTTCTCTGCTTCTATGAATTCAACTACTTTATATTCTACATATAAGTGAGATCATGTGGTTATTTGTCATTCTGTGCCTAGCTTATCTCATTTAACATAATGTCCTCCACGTTAATTCATGTCGTTGCAAATGGCAGGACTTCCTCCTTTTTTATGGCTGAATAGTATTACACTGTGTATCTAATTTTATTTTCTTCATTCATTTGCTGATGGACACTTAAGTGGGTTCCATATGTTGGCTATGTTGAATAGAGTTGCAAAAAACATGAGAGTGCAAGCCAGACACAGTGGCTCACATCTGTAATCCTAGTGACTTCGGAGGCTGAGGTAGGAGGATTGCTTGAGGCCAGGAATTCAAGATTGATCAGCCTGGGAAACACAGCAAGACTTCATCTCTAAAAACAAAACAAACAACAACAACAACAACAACAAACTAGGCATGTTTGCTTGCATCAGTAGTCCCAGCTACTACAGAGGCTAAGCTGGGAGGATCGCTTGAGCACAGGAGTTGGAGGCTTCAGTGAGCTATGACTGCACTACTGCACTTCAGCCTGGATGACAGAGTGGGATCTCAACTCTTAAAAAACATAATGGGAGTTTAGATATCTCTTTGACATACTGATTTCATTTCCTCTGGATATATACCCAATAGTATGATTGCTAGATCATATGGCAGTTTTATTTTTGTTTTTCTTTTTGAGGAAGCTCCACACTGTTTTTCCATAATGGTTGTACTAATTTCCAGTTGTTTTTCTGTGCACAGTTTTGACTAGATCATTTCCAAGTGTGTTTTTGTCCTTTTCTGCTGAAGGCTGGCTTATAGTAAAGACATGCGAATGTCACAAAGCTAGACAGCTTCCAGAGTCAAACTGAGCACTTAGCATCTTTGGTTTTACAATTTTCCAAGCCTGTGAAAACTGAGCTCATTTTCCAAGGCATCTAGAAGGGTTGCTTAAAGCGCAATGCCGACAAACACTCACTGTCTTAAAAACGTGCCTCTAAACCTCAACTATTTAGCTAAAAAGTTAAGAGACAAGTTTCAGCAAATTGACTTGTATAGTGTTATTCTCAGTTCTGCTAAAAAGAGAATAATAAATTGCAATTGACAATAGTACAGACACCTTATTTAGATTTGTTTTTCTTAGTGTCTTCCATTGGGATTTACAAGATCCACATGAGCTCTGAAAATGCTACAATTTCCTATCTATGAAGCCGCACATGGAAAAATAACAAATACAATGAAAAACAGCAATCTAGTTGACAGATTAATATATATTAATCCCATCGCCATGGTTAAGAGATGGAAAATTATTATTGAATAAGACTCTTTCATCAAACCAAATATTTCCTAATGCTCCAAAGTATATAGCTGGCATTGCTTCTGCCTTACACATCTGCTTCTCTCTTTGAACTCTGATATTAATCTGAAGGTTGCATGCAGCTGCACAGTTCTAAGATAATTAGTTCTTTCCATTATATATTATGACTGATAGGGCAGACCTCAGAAAACATTCAGAGCTTGGATTTGCATAAACTCCAGGCAGTTAGACGACTTTTCCAAAATTCAAATCAATCTCCTGGAAAAACGTGTATAATTTCCAGATCCTTCCTGGAATCTTTTATTTTTCATCTCTCTTAGAATCTTTTCTCTTTTGCTCATCTCTCTGCATTTTTATATTTATTTGCTGTTAACCTCTTTGGGATATTTCAGAGAAAACCAACCAGAAGTAGGTGACCCGAGCCCTACTTCCACAAAGCATTGAGCTAGTTTTTATACAGTGCTAAACATGGAGGATTTTGACATTTCCTCCAGAACTTCCAGATTTTGCAAACATCCGTAGAAGAGTGGTTTTACAGTTATCTCCCCACAAGAGATGAAACCAATCATCCTTAGAGACACTGACAATGCTTCATGTCATGTATCAGTATTTCCTTCCACAGTAGGGCAGTCATCCATAGAGTGGGTTTTAGGGCCTCTCAAAGAAAAAAGACTCGATTTTTGTCCTTGCTTTAGGTCAAATGCTTTGTGTCCCTTGAAGGAGAGAGGAGACCAAGAAGGAAGTGAGATGGAATCCTGACATCAGCGTGTCCAGAAGCTGGACTTGAGGTGAATAAAACATTCTAGAATGGAAGAGTATTTTAAGCAAATTGCAGTGTTCCCTTCCAATAAATACAAGCCAACTTGAACTGATCCAGCAATACCACCCAGGCAGCCATCATTTCCAAAACTCAGTTTCATGAACATGGTTTCAAAAGGAAATTTCTACTTCTCTGCAGTACTCTTATTTGATTTATACCTAGTGAAAACATATATCATATCTTGGTTGTTCATCCTCCAGAAAGACAGTCTTTCTCCTTTGAAATAAACAAATGAAATGGCAAAATGGCTGACCGTGGTGCGCAGGGATGATTCTCGGGTATGCTGATGGTTTGGAGTTCCTTTTTCTGTTTTCTGCGTATCATCCTTATTAGAAATTCAGTAGATTCTGCTCAGACAATAACTATCATAGCTCTCAAGCTTTCTGGTTCTTTATATACATAATTTTTTATATGGAAAGTCACAGTATCTAAATATTTCTTTGCTTTTACAAAACCATATTTCATAATCTGGCCAAAACCCTGCCAGTAGCCTTAACCCAGCAGGAAAGTATGTTGTTTTCATTTGTTATTCTATGTGCTTCATTTCGTTAAGTTGGCAGGAGGCCTGAGGGGAAGTGCACACATGTTATGAGATGGCTGGGTTTTTCTTTTGTTTGTTTGTTTTGTTTTTTTTCTTGAGACAGAGTCTCCCTCTGTCACCCAGGCTGGAGTGCAGTGGTGCGATCTTGGCTCACTGCAATCTCTGCCTTCCGGGTTCAAACAATTCTCCTTCCTCAGCCTCCTGAGTAGGTGGAATTACAAGCACCCAACCACCACACTCGGCTAATTTTTGTGTTTTTTTAGTAGAGATGGGGTTTTGCCATGTTCGCCAGGCTGGTCTTGAACTCCTGACCTCAAATGATGCTCCCAAAGTGCTGAGATTACAGGCGTGAGCTACTGCACCCAGCCAGACCACTGTTTCTTAACTAGTTCTCTTCTTCGACTTCCATGACACCACACTGGTCTGGTTTTCTTCCTGCCTTTCTGGATACTCTTTCTTTGTCTACACTGCTGGATGCTCCCCTATCTGACACTTCTGTGTTAAAATTTCTCAGGCATTAGTCTTAAGTCTTCTTTTCTTCTTACTCTAGACTTTTTTGGGGGTTAAGAGTATTCATTTTCATAGCTCCCAGATTTATTCCTCAAGCCGAGATCTCTTTTTCGGGGGATCTGGAATCACATCTAAATGCCTATTAAAAATTTTAACTTGTCTGTCTCTAATTCAATGTGCTGAATTGAGCTCTGATCTTCAAACCTGCTCCCACTTCTTACTTCCCCATCTGTGAGAAGTAATTTTTTTGACACTAGTTTCATTCCCTGCCCTTAAATCTGGACAAGCTTGTTCAGAGTGATGCTGCTCAGCTTCTGGGCCCAGCTTTTAAGAGGCTGGCACCTCCCACGTGCTATCTCTTGGAGTGCTTGAAATATATTATATCTAGAACCAGAATTTGTTACCTAGATGTAAGATGATGCCATAACCAAATATCTAAACATAGTGTCAGCTCTGGGACCAGGTGGCAGGTGGAAGCTGAAAGTGATTGTTGATTAAGATTTGAAGTTGAAAGACAGCAAGGGAAATGCTGCAGAAAAAATGACCTGTATTAGGCAGTGGTGAAAAGTGTAGCAAAACCGTCACCTGTAGAATATAGTAGAGAAAATGTCTAATAAGCTCACGGATCTGCCTAAGGAGATTTCCAGGTAAAATGTCAAAAGGGCCATCTGGTTTCTTTTAGCTGCATGTGATAAAATATAAGAAGAGAGAGATAAACTTAAATAAAAACCGGTTAAGCTTTCAACCTAAGTTTAGAGGAAATACAAAGAATACAGGACTTGCTGTGTTCAAAAATAAACTTTCTCACTGTCATTTTTACCCAGGAAAAAAATGTTCAAAGTGAAAAATGGCTCTAGGGCAAAGACCAAATCCAGGCCTCTATCAGTAAACCATGGACTCAGGGCAAAGATTTCAAGAGTATAGCTTTAAGATTTTTTGTTAAGACTTCAGAAAAATTTAAGGTTGTACCTAGTAGGACTTCTGAGAATCAAAAGGCCTGTGATTAAGAATCATAGATACTTTAGTTTAAATAACAGGGCTTTTAGGTGTTAAGAGCAATATTCCACAGCAATGTCACCAGCCACCCAAGGCACACAAGGTCTGTCTTGGAAAGAAATGTGGATGTGACTTCTATTTAATGAAATTTACTATAAATTGGTAAATAAGAAACCCACAAATGTTTTAAAGAAATTGTGTCAGTTAGGAATGAAATGGAAAGATAGTACAAAGTAAAAAGAGATAATTAGAACTCCCAAATGTCTGTAGGAAGGAAGCAGGCTGAGAAAAGTACTTAGCTGTAAGACAGATGATTTCTTATGGAAGATGAAGTATGACTTGGTGGCTAGGACTACAAACCTAGAGGACAGAGCCAATAGCTCTGCAGGATAATTTCCATAGAGTAGGAATTGCCCTCATCAAGAAACTGCAATGTGCGCTGTTGTGAACTGTAAACATGCAAAGGACCAGCGACTGCTGCGTGGCCGTGTTGCGGCCCTTTTGAATGGGACTATTACAGTTAGGCTAAGCCTAGTCCACTATTGTATGTTGAGTTTGTGGGGAACACGCTGGTCTTCAGACAGACAGTAACTACACCTAACGAGCCTCATCTACACCTGAACGTGATTTCAATGATAATGAGATCTTGGACTCTGAGTTGACGCCATAATGGCATTAGATTTAGGGGAGCCTTAGGAAAGGATAAGAGTATTCTTCACATGGAAGGAGAGTAAATCATTTGCAGCCAGACAAACAAATGACACATATGGATGTAGAAATGGATGGTTATATCTGTTTATAATAATAAATGATATCCACAAATTCTTTGACAATTCTCCCACTGCATCTGAGTAGGCTTGATAATTAGAATATGGCAGAAATAATCTTGTAGCAATTTTTAGGTCCAGGTTTTAAGATTGGAAGCTTCCACTTCCTGTTTCTCAGAATAGTATGTTTTGCAAACTGTCATTTTATAAGGAAGGTCAGGCCACATGGGAAGGCCCACATGTGAAGAAACTGAGGTCACCGGTCAAGAAGCCTGGGTTCCATCTGACAGCCAGAACCACCTTGCCAGCCGTGTAAGGAAATCTTCTTGGAAAAAGATAGAGGTGACCCAATTTATGTCACATGGGGTTGAAATGAACCACCCCCGTTTAGCCTTCAAACCCAAATTGCAAATTTGTAGGCAAAATAAGTGATTGTTGTCTTAAGTCACTAAATGTGAAGATGCTTTGTTATGGAGCAGTAGACTACCAAAACAACATCACAGTAATTGATACCATAATAAACCATTACTCAAGACAATGGATGGAGTTCTTGACATCTTCCTCTTCCTTACTGCCTAAATTTATTTTGTTGCTTCAGTGCTTCACAGTTTTCCCTAGACTGCATCCACCAACTTTTAATGGTGTATTCTCTTAGTAAGAGGAACCCAGCTTATATTCAGCTAGCCAGTAACCCAAATAAATGTCCTTATTCATATTCACTTATGTCTTATGAGAATTATTTGCAATATATATACCAAGAGTAAAATAACTGGGTTGTCAGGTATATAGATATTTAAGCAAAGTAGATATTAACAAATTGTCTTCTGGAATTGTTTCATTAGTTAAGGCTCCCAATGGCGATATATAAGCATTCTTTTTCTCAGTATCTTTACCAATACGTGTTACTATTCATCATTCTAATTTTGCCAACAATATGGACATAAAATGATATACGGATGTTTTAACTGTTTATTTTTCTTATTATAATGCATTCTTGTTAACTATTCAGATTTCCTCTCTGATTTATGCTGATTCATATGTTTTCAAGAAGCATTTTCTTCTCCTAAAATTTCCATATTTTTCTTATTAATTGTTAGGAGTTCCATGTAAATTCTAGGTATTCATCTGGCTTTGGTTTTGTGAATGGAAAATAATGGTCAGTTGTCTTCTAATTTTATATATCCATTCTTTTGGTAAATAGAAATCCTTAATATGATACAGGTAAATTCATCAATATTTTGCCACCTGATGCTATGAAAACCTTTTGACTTTTCACGTTAAGAAGATCTTCTCCACTTTTAGTTTACAAGAACTTCTCTGTTTCCTCATATTAGACTTATGGCTTCAATTCTCATGTTAAGAAGTTTAAACTCTCTGGAGTATCCATTAACTTTGTTATAGTGAAAAAAAGGACCCAGCTTTTTATTTTTCTTTTTTTTTTTTTCCTCTAAAAAATGCCAGTTCTCCCAGCACTGCATATTAAACAGTAGAATCTTTCCTCATTTTATTTTAAAGCAATCTATCCATATTTCATAAGCATTTTAATTCTCTATCCTGTTCTTCTGGTATATTAGAAGTTTCTTTCCCAGCACCATTGAGTATTTATTATGTCCTTGTATTATCTATTCATATTTGCTGGAGCAAGTACCTTTCCTTTGATATTCTTTTCCAAATTTGACTTAACTACCAGAGGGTCCAGTTTTGGGATTTTTTGTTAATCTATTTTATTTGGTCCTCCATAAGCATTTTAATCTCTAATTCTGGGAATGTCTGAATGTTTTTCCTAAAAATATTTTCCTTTTCTATTATTTGTCTTTATTATACGGACATTTCTATTTCTCTTTGCTACTTCTCTTAACTTTCTATTTTTCTCCTGTTTATGGCTTCCTGAAGACTTCTGCTCACTAATTCTCTCTTCTGCTCTAATTCTTTTGCCATTTATTCCCTTTGCTGGGTTTCTTGTTTCAACTCTTGTATTTTCACATCAATAATTTTCCTTGATTTAAAAAAAATAGATGTTTGATCTTGCATTATGTGATTAGAATCTGCCCTTATTTCTTGGAGGATACTTATTTATCATGCTTATTTTAAATGTTTCCGTGCTATAGTGATGCTTCTCCACCTGGTATAGGTTGTATGATTTTGTTGTCTCTCTCTGATGTAATTTGTAGGTCTCAGATAGATTTTAGAGATAGATCTTAGGTAGGTGATCTTAGCTAGGTCATTGTTTTTCTCTGAGGTCACATTCCTTAGAGGTGCCCTAGCAGCTTCTTTGGGGAGAGGGACCATAATCCAGGTCTTAACATTTTCCCCGCCTGGAGCAGAAAGGAGGGTATTCTATGCCAGGGTGAAGAGCTCCCTCACCTGTAGGAATATCCTCTCTATGAACCCTTGCCTTCATGGAAACACCCTTTCCCTCCACGCTGTTTGAGTTGAGTAGAAGAAATTTCCATGGCTGTCCAGTTTGCTGCATCTGTTGATAAATGCTGCTCCATGCAGCAGGGTTTAACAGTTGTAGCTGCCACTGCTTTTTTTTATGCCTTGCTAGGATGACAGAGTAGGTAACAATGCATGCAGGCAGTTTTGAGCCAAAGAAGAGAATACAACCTGAAATCTCTTCTACAACCTATCCCTTGACCACGTTACACTCTTCTCTCTTTCCCTGGAATTCCATTTCTTTTCCATGCCACGTAACTGCATCCTGATGCCCTGATGATTTTGAATAATTTTAAAATTATTTTTCAGGTACACACACATGCTCCTCACTTTCATGACACCTGTAGGGATGGGAGGAGACTGGGATGTTGTAGGCCTTGTTGGTTTGCTCTCAAGAATAAGCAGCTTATTTATTTACTATGGATTTCTAAAAATTATTCTTATATTACAAACACTAATTCTTTTTAACATATGCAAATATTTTTCATTAGCCTGCGTCTTTTATGTTTGTCTTTTATTATACCAGCATTTTAGATTTTGATGTAGTCAAATGTGTCCATCAAATGATATAATCAAATGCATCATTTACTTTTATGAATCAAATATTTTGAGCCTTGTCTAATAAATCCTTTTTAAGGTCTCTTTATTTTCTTATAATTTTCTGAAAGTTTTGTTTTCCATATTGAGATCTACCACCCATGTAGAATTTACTTTTTTTTTTTTTTTTTTTTGCATGGTAGGAGGAAAAACTACTATGGTTTTTCATCTGGAAAATCAGTGGTATAAACACCTCTTGTTTGTGAGTCCACCCTTTCCCCACTGATTTCTAATACTACTTGAATCATATTCTCATACCTCTAACTAATTCTCACATATAGCTTGTACTGTCTGGGAAGCTAATATGTTTTATTGATCTAACATCTATGTATCCCTTTGCCAAAACCACATCTTAAAAATTACTACAGCTTTGTAAGTTTTGACATTTGGTCGAATAAAAAAAATCCATCATTATTGCTCTGTTGTTCCTGGCTCTTTATTCTGTAACTTGAATTTTAAAATCAATTTGCTCCTTTATCCAAGTAGTATTTGAATTAGACTTGCATCGGATCCAAGATCAATCTGTAGGAATCATGAACACTCCTTGGCACCATCACAACTCATCACAAAATATTGTAGGAAGATAATATTTACGAGGGAAACAAGACTAGATACCTAGAAATAACCTAGCAAAATGTGTACAAGACTTTGAGAAAAACACAAAAACCGCCTGCACAAATGTTGAGATGTAGTACATTCATAAATGAGAAGACTCAATATACCAAAGATTCCAGTTCTGCTGAAATTAATCAATGACTCCAGCTCAGTCCTATTAAGTTTGAACAAATGAAAATATTCCTTAACTGTCTGGTTGTCCAAAATATGATGAAATTATTTTTTACCTCGTCTCAGTGCAATGCCAGGAATTTAGCATGTTGTGCTCCTTTATCTTCTCTTCCTTCCTCTTTCCTAACCTCATCAACATCTTCACACCTTTAAGAAATGTTTTTTCTATGATTTATTACAAAACAACTCTCTCATTTTGATTCTCTGTTATTCTAAATATTCCCTCTCTGAACTTCTTGGTTTCTATTCCTTGCATGTTACGTTTTCTGTCCTTGTTTCTCTTCTACCTGTATTATGTATACTTCCGTGGTTCCACGATCTTTTCTGTGAGGATGACTCCCAAATCTGCCTTCATTTCAGGTTGTCCCCTTGAATTACAGGCTCACATGTCTACTTGCTGATAAGGCATGTTCATTTCTATATCCACCAGTGACTTAAAATATAGTACCTCCCAAATGAAATTAATTTCTTTGCTTGAGAATTGGTTTCGCTTCTGTCTTCAATAAATGCAACTGCTGCCTATAAATACTTTCAGACCAAAGGGGGGTGTCAGACACCAGCAACATAATATAGCTAAATAAAAAAGTTGCTTTGCCCACGAGGGTTTTTCTCACTATAAGTTTTATTTGCACTTTTTCACAACTTCATGTCAAGCAATGCTCACATTATTCTCATTTGTCTTTGTGACTTTAAGCCCAGGAAAGTGGTGTTCTTAGTAAGTACACGGGGCATACAGGTTCTTAATAAGTTCACAGGTGTACATGTATGACATTGTGTTGGAAACGAACTAACAAACACGTCATGATGTTATAGATTAGCTGAAGTCTGTTGGAAACAAAAAAATGTAGACTATGGAGTCAACAAATATTACAGTATAAAGCTATTGTCCAAGTATCAGAAAACTTATAGTTATGCATGTTTGAAAAACAAAATTAAGGAAATGCATCTATGTAAATACCAAATGCTTCTCGTCTGTTTTCAATTTTGGCAATTCACCTGGATTTTTTTTTTTGTTACAATTTCATATAAGGTGGATAGCTGTCAGCAAATGACATTACTAATTGTCCTTCCATTCCTTTCTTCTGTTTATGTCCACTCTTCCCATTGCAGTCTCAAAGCTTATGATCACCTAACAGAAAGGTGGGCTGTGGACACTTCATCTGGCATACTTGCAAGTCTTTGCTTGAACCATATGCCTGCCTTGGAGACAGAGCAATTAAGAAATAGATGAAACTGATATCCCTGCTTAGAAGCAAAATAAGTAGAGAAAGCTAATTGCACAAACAACAACGAAGACTGAAAATTAAGACAAACTTTCTTTTCTCCTTTTACAGCTTGCCTCAGAAATCTTTCCTTTGCAATTATTTCTATTCTTTCAATTCTCAACATGAAATATCATCCAGGCCCATGCTCAACCACCAGCCTTATTTTCTATTAGTTGCCAACAGGAAACTTGGCTGACTGTGTGATCTGTCCAACTGGAGATAGTAAACCAGAAAACTTTAGAAGTGTGTTTTATAATAGAGAGAATCAGATTCAACCATATAACAGGTGCATAACTTTGGGCAAATAACTCCCTGAACTTTAGCTTCCTCATTTATGAAATAAACAATATTGCATTTGCAGAGAATGTGGTAACCACTAAATAAGCTCATGCACCTCAAATGCTGAACACACTGGAGTATAAGCACTGCAAATGCAGTAGCTTAATAAGAAAGGCCAAGCCCAGCAGGAACAGACCAATCTGCCTATTAAAAGTAGCTATATTTCCAAATTTGCACACTCCATCTGAGCCCCGAGTCATCCTTCCATCACCCAGTGCTCTTCTGTACCATGATGGGCTTAGTTCATGCTGTCCCTTTGTCTCCACCACACTATTGGTTTTCCTGGTTCACCATCAGTCTCTGATCTCCTGACTTCCCACTGCTTGGTTTACTCCTTGGTATTTGTTCTCTTTCCTGAGCTGCACTCACTGAAAATCCAAGCAAATGTATCCCAATCCTTCCAGAACCACCCCAACTCCCTGTACTTGATCCTGAAGTGTCTAGTGTTGGATCAAAATGAAGATGTATTAATTACTTTGAAGGAATGCTTGGAGTAACATTAATAAAGTCATGTGACTCTAAAACTGGAGGTGCCTGCTGCAGTTCCCAAAAAGATGGAAGACTTCCATTTATGATAAGTACTTGGATACTTGGAATAAATAGCTCATCGGAATTTGAGATATTTCAGTGATAACATTCTAACATAACATCTTCCAACAAATTTAATGCCAGATGAGTCCAGGAGATTAAAAAGCAATTTGATAAAGTAAAAGAGCTTGCTTCTTACCAAAATGAAGTCATCTGTATGTTATCCTATTAATACACCCTGCTGATAGATACAAATTCATCAAAATTATTTTTTGGGGAAATAAACAACCTTACTTGAGACTACAGGCTCATCCTCCAACCTCCCATTTCTCTGCTCCCCTTTTCAGTGGAACTGGAGAAGAGCTATCTATACACACTCTATCCACTGTCTTGTTTCTCACCCTGTCTCAAACGCCCTTCAATCAAGTTCACGTTTTAACAATTTGATATAAACTGCTCTTGTCAAGCTCTCCAATGACCTCCCTGTTGCCAAATACAAGGGCTGATTGCTAATCTTCATCACATTTAATCTTTCACTCCCTCCTTTCTTGGAAACACCTGCTTCACTTGGCTTTCTCATGGCCATTCTCTCTTGTCTCTCCTCTGACTTTGCTGGCCACAAGCCAGTAATCTCCTTTCCTAATTTTTCCTCCTATCATCCTAAGCATCAGAGTTTAGGTGTCTTGCCCTGATTTTCTCCTTTTTTCTATGTGTAACCGCTCTCCAGGGATCTCATTCACTCTCATGTCTTTAGCGACATGCACCTGCTGATAACATTCAAACTTTAATCTCTCAGCATAAAACTCTTGTACACTCCAGACTCGTTTATCCTACTGCTTACTTGATACTTCTACTTGGTTGTCTAATAGGCATCAAAAAACTTAAACATGCCCCAAATCAATCTCTCAGTTTTCCCTATATCCACCTTTCAAATATGGTTTCCTTAGTCTTCCCCATCTCTGCAAATGTCAGTTTCATTGTTCCAGTTGCTCAGGTCAACAATCTTGGAGGAATCCTTGATGGTCTTTTTTCTCTCTTATTCCACCTTCAATCCATCAACTAACCTTATAGGATCTATCTTCAATATAAATATGGAATTTGAGCACCTCTTACCACCAGTACTGTCACTATGGTGTAAGCCATCAACCTTTCTTGCCTGGTTTAAAGCAATAGCCTCCCATCTGCTCTATATTCTTCTGCCCTTGTCTTCCCTTTATTTATTCTTATGATAGACAAAGTGATCCTTTTTAATGTGAAAGTCAAATTATTTCAATTCGCAGATAAAAAACCTCCACTGACTTCCCATGTCCCTCTGAGTCAAAGCAAAGTCCTTATCATGGCCCCTTGCTTCCTCTGACTTCATTTATTTCTACTCTCCCCTTAACTCTCACCATTCTGGTCACATTGACCTCCACTGTTCCTCAAACAAGTCAAGCATATTTTGGCCTCTGATCTCAAGGAATTCCAAATTTAATAATGAAAACCTGGTTTGATGATAGCAATTGTCTTAGTCTGTTTTGTGCCACTATAGCAGAATACTACAGGATGGGTACTTTTTACAGAAGAGAAATTTATTTCTCACATTTCTGGAGGCTGGAGAGTCCCAGATCAAGGCACTGGCATCTGGTGAGGGCTGCTCCCTGCTTCCCAGATGGTGCAGATGACTTGCCTGGAGCAGAGGAATGTTGTGTCCTCACGTGGCAGAAGTCAGAAGGGCAGTAAGGGGCAAACTCACTCACTCCATCAAGCTCTCTTCCAAGGACACCTAATCCCTTTCATGGGGGTGGAGCCCTCATGACTCAATCACCTCCCAAAGGCCACCATCTCACAATACTGTTGCCTTGGGGACTACATTTCAACAGGAATTTTGGAGGAAACAAAGATACTCAAACCATAGCATAGCATTCTACCCCTGGACCCCACAAGGTCATGCCCTTCTTACATGCAAAATATATCTTTACCATCCCAATAGTCCCCAAAGTCCTAACTTCGTCCAACATCAACTCAAAAGCCTAAAACCCTGAAGTTTCTTCTAAATCAGATACTGATGAGACTCAAGGCATGATTCAACCTGAAGCAAATTTCCCTCCAGCTGTGAGCCTGTGCAATCAAAGTTATTTACTTCCAAGACACACTGGTAGGTCAGGCATAGGATAGATTTTTCCATTCCAAAAGGGAGACGTAGGAAAAAAGAAAAGAGTAACAAGTCCCAAGTAAGTCTTAAACCCAACTGTAAAGGGAATATCCAACATTAAGGCTAAATAATAATCTTCTTTGACTCCATATCCCACCTCCTGGATACACTTGAGTGGAGGTTGTGGCCCCAAGGCCTCGGGCAGCCCCATTCCCATGACTTTGCTGGGCACAGCCCATGCCTTACCTGTGATGTACTGAAGTCATATGTCTGTGGCTGTCAGGGATTGGTGCTGCATGCTGGTGGCTCTACAGTTCTAGGGTCTCAGGAGCAGCCCTGTCCCCATGGCTCCACCTGGCATTGCCCTAGTAGGAACTCTCTGTGGTGTCCCCCACTCCACAGTTCTTCTGCGCATTGCCCTAGCGGGGGCTCTCTGCAAAAGCTCCACTCCCATGGCTGGTCACTCCTTGGTCCCTGAGGCTTTCTGAATAAAACACTGCTTGAAAACATTCTTTCTGAAAATATTATTTTTCAAATCTAAGAGATTTCACTTAGCACGCTAAGCCAAGCGCACTTCCACAGCTCTTGCATTCTCCACACCTGCAGAATTAGGACCAACTGGATGCAGCCAAGGATCGCCGCTTGTGCGCGCCTGACAGGTAGCATGAACTACACCTGGGCCTGCTTGAGTCACAGCTAGTCAGAGCGTCACCAGAATGCAGGAAGCAGAGAACTGAGGAGGTCCTTGGCAGCAAGCCGCATGACCACACGGGTGCCCTTGGTCCCTCTGGTGTCCTGGAATGGTTTTCTGGACCTGTAATGGGCTAGGCAGCCTTTGAAGACCTCTGAAATGCCTTTAGGGTAATTTTCCCATTGTCTTGATGACTAGCCCCTGGCTTCCTTGTATCCATGCTAATCTTATCAAATAGTCACTTGGCAACGTTCTTGGTTTTCTCTCCTGAACGTACTCTTTATTTTTTACAAGGCCAGGATAAGAATTTTCCAAACCTTTATATTCTGCTTCCCTTTTAATTCTGAATTCTATATTTAAACCATTCTCTTTCCTTATGCGTTACTATAAACATTTAAGAGAAGCCTTGCCGCATTCTGAACACTCTCACTAAGTCCTGGGATATGGACATAATTCAGCCAAGTTCTTTGCCACTTTATAACAAGGACCGCCTTTCCTCCAGTTTCCAATACCTTGTATCTCATTTCTAAGACCTCATCAGAATGGCCCTTCCAGTCCATATTTCTGCGGACCTTCTGTTCATAACCACTTAAGTAATCTCCAAGAATGAAGCTCTTGCTACAGCTCTCTTCTGAGCCCTCACTAGCATTGCCCTTAATGTTCCATTCTTTGCAATACAGACTTTTTCGAGCACTTAGTTCAAAACTGTTCCAGCTTCTACCCATTAACCTGTTCCAAAGCCACTTTCACATTCTTAGGTATTTATTATAGCAACCAATCCACTCTCCAGTACCAATTTCTGTTTTAGTTTGGGTACTCCAGAGAGACAGAACCAATATGATATACACAGAGAGATATGTATGAAAAGGGATTTATTAGGGGAAATTGGCTCACTTCATTATGGAGGCTGAGAAGTCCTTCAATAGGCCATCTACAAGCTGGAGAAACAGGAAAGCCAGTAGCGTGGTTCAGTCCAAGTCGAGGCCTTAGAGCCAAGACATTCGATGGAGTAACTCCTAGTCCAAGGCTGAAGGCCCAAGAGCCCTGGAAGCCACTGGTGGGACAAGTCTCAGAGACCAAAGATAGGAGAAACTTGAGTTCTAACATCAAGAGAAAAAGGCTGCCTTGGCTCCAGAAGAGAGAGATTTTTATCTTTCCTTTGAATAACTTGCTTAGTTAAGTATGACTGAGGCAAGGGGACAAGCTCAACACACCTTTATATCTGGCAATATCAAGGAATAAATTGGAAAAGAAAGCATTTCTTTAAATTTTATTGATTCTACTTCAGAACTTGAAATGTCAGTAGTAAGCAGGACTGGGAAACAGAATTCATGGTTAATTTTGAATGGTTGGTAGTACCAATAGAAAATATTTTCAAGAATAAAGGATGGGACTGACAGCAGCAATAAGATATTATGTTGGTGCAAAGGTATTTGTGGTTTTAGCCATAAAAGTAATTACCTTTGCACCAACTTAATATAAGGCAGGGTGTGGGCAATTCATATTGCACTTCACAAGCAGTGAAAATTAATTCAGCCTTTATACTCCTGAGGGCTCAGAGAAGCTCTCAGGAGCACAACAGCTCAAGCTGTATCCAGTGCTTCCCAGGAAAGCCGTTATGCAGGCATGTGGCTCTACATAGGTTATCTCCTGGGCCACCAACTGCGCTCTAGTCAAAAGCCCTGTGATACAGTTTGGCTGTGTCCCCACCCAAATCTCAATTTGAATTATATCTCCCAGAATTCCCACCTGTTGTGGGAGGGACCCAAGGGGAGGTAACTGAATCATGGGGGCTGGTCTTTCCCGTGCTAGTCTTGTGATTGTGAATAAGTTTCATGAGAGCTGATGGTTTTATCACGGGTTTCCACGTTTACTTCTTCCTCATTTTCTCTTGCCGCCGCCATGTAAGAAGTGTCTTTTACCTCCCGCCATGATGCTGAGGCGTCCCCAGCCATGTGGAACTGTAAGTCCAATTAAACCTCTTTTTCTTCCCAGTCTCAGGTATGTCTTTATCAGCAGCATGGAAAAAAGCTAATACAGTCTGTCATCTGCAACAAGACTCAGGAGCAAAATCCAAAGGCATTGTAAATGACAACCATCAGATGTTGCTGCATGAGGCCCCATTTCTCCACAAGCCCTTGGAAGTCTGCACTCCCAAGGGGCTTGTTGAGCAAGACAGTGATGCTGTAGCACTGCTATCACTGGAGCTTTTTAGGATGCACACGGTTTCAACAGTGTTTTGAGTTGTTGCCAAAATATAAAAACATAAATTAGAAGAGATAATCCTGATAACTAAAACATCCCAGAATGGCATTAATTCAATCAGCAGATTTTAAAGCAGCAAAGGAAATTGATAGAACATGGCCAGCAAAATAAACAAAGACAGTGCTATTCAGTTGACAAATTAAGTAATTGTCCCTTTCCATGCTATTATGTTGACAAGAGTAAGTTCTTGATGAATAATTAGTTGAATATACCCAAAGGAAAAGGTGTGAAAACATATTATCTTCAGAAGAAGCAATGGGCTTGAGTGGTTTCTGCCAAAATTATGTGCAAGTTAACTACTTGCCTCAGGTACACACACACACATACACACACACACACACACAGATGCACTCCAGACCACCTGTATTACATAGCAGCCCTTGGGCTTCAAGGATCAGAGATACATTAGGTTACTTCAGATGATGGGGATTTAATGAAGGCTACTTAGTTTAAAAATGGCAGATGATATCAAAAATTAAACTTAGGATTTCTTTCTATAGAAAATGACTCCCTCAGGTACCAAAGTTAGAAGTCTTTGACCTCTGTTTATCCTTAACCACCATTTCTAAGGCTTGTTCCCATCAAATTTTCTCATATTGTCATGATTTCTTAACTAACCTTCCAAGCTTTAGTCTTGTAAGTTCTGATCCATGATGTGTGACTTCACTAGATGAATATTTCTAATGTATTACCTTGATTATTAATTCAAAAGGTTTCAAAGTTCTTCTTGATCTTGACATTGAAGATACAATAATGAACAATACAAACTCTCTGTATTTAAGGAGCTCCCTGTGTAGTGCGTAAGAGAAATGTGCCAGTAATAATTACAATGAAATATACTATAAATGGAGGTAATAATAAATATTCTGAAATGTTTGAGTCTACGCTAAGGGTTAGCACTCTTATTTAAAATTTTCGAGAGACATATGAAGTAAATATTGTTACTAAATAATAAAGCAAATAATGTTTTATTTATTTATGATAGAATTCTGACACAATCATGAACTCCATAATTAATGTATATTTTAAATAAAGCATTATTTGAATAGTAAATATATTATTATACAGATAAGGAAACTAAATCTCAAAGGGCTTTGGTAACATAACAACTATGTTGCAAAACTGGAATGTGAACTTCAGTCTTTCTAATATTAAGTATAGCACTATAACCACAATGCTTTACTGCTTCTCACTCATAAAGTGCTCATGTGTCTGCATGAAAGACTCCTGATATTGTAACCATTACTCATCTACACAGGACTCCAAGCACCTCCTGCAGATCCTGTGCACCTAGGATGTGATATCTGTCACTGATTTTGGAATTCTGAAGATGTACTTAGGTTAGGTGGAGCAGGGACTATTTTCCTTCCTCCAAGCCCCTTCAATACATCCATGCATTTGTGAGGAGAGAAGACCTTTCAGGCTCGTGCATCAGACTTGAGTGCCTCTCTTTGTAAAACTGGAATCCAAGTAGCTCATCCATTTACATTAATTATGGAGTTCATGATAGAATCAGAAAGAAAGGGGCTTGGCTTTTATTTCTCTTTCCATGTTGCACAACATAATTGTGAAAATATCAAAACTCTGCAATTCATGTACATAAGGAAGAAGCTGTAAAACTGATTCTCAGAAGAAGGAGAGCTTATTATTCTGTCCATGTTGTGTGTGCATGTGTGTGTGTCTGTGTTTATGAAGCTAAAGAGGACAAAGATAATTTCCACCGGTTTCTGACGATTGCCTGAGTTGATGCAGACCATGACCTCTAATAGGCATACCAAACTGCTAGATAAAATACAGTAACAGCAACATTTAAAACTTAAGCCAAACAGAAAGAAAGGGAAATCTCTAGGTGCTAGAAACAAAGAAGAAACTCAGAGGCAGAAGTGTGAAATGGAACTGATATAAGACAGAGACAGACTGAGGATGTTGGTGGTGGGCATATCTATGTGAAATTAAATTGTTACAGATGGTGGGTGGTTGTAGGGGTGTATCAGCCTGGATATGGGGCCTAGAGCAAATGCTGAAGTTAATGGCTATGAGAAAATATCCAGGTAGCCATGGATCCATATAGGGCAGTGAGTGGAAACAGAGACCCCTAAGTTAAGCCTAGTCTGCCAAAAGGACCCCGGGTTAGTGAAAACAGACTAGAGAACTCTGCCTGCCTGTAACCCTGTTTGTCTTCTGCCTGAGCTCTGGAGGGGCATGTTTGAGGGAGAAGCATAATTTCCCATGAGAAATCAAAACTCCAGGTCTTTGCCACATGCAGGTGAAGGTGTAGATTTACAAACTCACATTGTGCAGAGGCCCTAAGCCAAGAAATTAATATAAAAAAGAAAGAAAGTAACCCATAGTAACACCATGAAAAAAGAGGAGGCTGATTTGGGGAAAAAATAAAAAAAAGAAAAAACAAATAAAACTTACAGAAATGAAAAACAATCGTCATTGAAATTACCACAACACAGTTTCAACTTCATTGAAGTATAAGTGACAAAAATGTATATATTTAAGGTGGCGATGTATAAATCACATTATCCACCTCAAATATAACATTTTTGTCAATTATACCTCAATGAGGTATTATATATATATAGAAAATATGTATAATATAAAATATTATATATTATATATACATATATACATATATATGCATATAATATACAATATAAATTTTGTATTAAATGATTACTACAATCAAATTAATATATCCACCACCTCACATATTAATTTATCATGTTTTTGTGGTGAGAACACTTAAGATCTACTCGGTTCATGGCCGGGTGTGGTAGCTCACACTTGTAATCCCAACACTTTGGGAGGCCAAGGCAGGCGGATGACTTGAGGTCAGGAGTTCAAGACCAGCCTGGCCAACATGGCGAAACCCTGTCTCTACTAAAAATACAGAAATTAGCCGGGCATGATGGTGGGCGCCTGTAATCCCAGCTACTCGGGAGGCCGAGGCAGGAGAATCACTTCAACCCAGGAGGTGGAGGTTGCAGTGAGTCGATATGGCGCCATTGCACTTCAGCCTGGGAGACAGGGTGAGACTCCGTCTCAAACAAACAAACAAACAAAAAAATATATATATATACACTCTTGTTACAAATTTCAAATACACAATGCAATGTTACTAACTGGAGTTGTCATGATATACATTACATCCCCAGAACTTACTAATCTTTTTTTTTTTTTTTTTTTTTTTTTTTTGAGACGGAGTCTCGCTCTGTCGCCCAGGCTGGAGTGCAGTGGCGGGATCTCGGCTCACTGCAAGCTCCGCCTCCCGGGTTCATGCCATTCTCCTGCCTCAGCCTCCCAAGTAGCTGGGACTACAGGCGCCCGCCACTACGCCCGGCTAATTTTTTTGTATTTTTAGTAGAGACGGGGTTTCACCGTTTTAGCCGGGATGGTCTCGATCTCCTGACCTCGTGATCCGCCCGCCTCGGCCTCCCAAAGTGCTGGGATTACAGGCGTGAGCCACCACGCCCGGCCCTTACTAATCTTTTAACTAAAAGTTTGTACCTTTGACCAATCATACTGAATTGATTCTGATTACAGAGACCAACTCAAGTGGGTTTATCTGGGGCTTCCTAGTTGTGCTAAAAGTCCCGTGTTCTGAGAACCTCATCAATCCTGGGTAAACGACGACACTTGGCCACACTACTGAGATGCACGAGATGCACGTATTTTTTGCATGTTAACTTCTCAAAGGTTGTAGTACTTTACACAATCTAGAGTGCTTCACAAAAGCTGCTGGCCAGATAGCGTCACCATATGCCATTTCCTGTACTTGGGTAAAGTTGGTCATAGATGCATATATGGTTGCCACTTAAAATGTCTTTTAAAAGATTACACTATGATTTCATATTGAAACAAAAAATTGTATATCTATAAAACGTGGAAACAGTGGCAGGGTGAAAATATTTAATAAAGCAAACAGTCTTCATTGAAGGAATGACTGCAATTCCTTTCTTTTTCCCTCAAATAAATGATTTACACATAGTGCCTTTGGGCAAAACAAACAAACAAAAACCACTAAAACTTGAATGGATGAAGAGTTGCTTCTTACAGATGAGCAAAGAAAGTGGTTTCTGGAGATGGAATCTACTCCTGGTGAAGATGTTGTAAACATTATTGAAATGACAACCAAGGATTTGGAATACTACATACATTTAGTTGATAGAGTAGCAGCAGGGTTCGAGAAAAATAACTCCAATTTTTTTTTTTCTTTTTTGAGAAAGAGTCTCGCTCTGTCACCCAGGCTAGAGTGCAGTGGCGCCATCTCCACTCACTGCAAGCTCTGCTTCCCGGGTTCATGCCATTCTCCTGCCTCAGCCTCCCAAGCAGCTGGGAACTACAGGTGCCCGCCACCATGCCCGGCTAATTTTTTGTGTTCTTAGTAGAGACGGGGTTTCACCGTGTTAGCCAGGATGGTCTCGATCTCCTGACCTCGTGATCCACCCGCCTGGGCCTCCCAAAGTGCTGGGATTACAGGCATGAGCCACTGCGCCCAGCTGAATAACTCCAATTTTGAAAAGAAGTTCTGTTGTGGGTCAAATGCTACCAAAGAGCGTCGCATGCTATAGAGAAATCTTTCATGAAAAGAAGAATGAATCAGTGCTGCAAACTCCACTGTTGTCTTATTTTAAGAAATTGCCACAGCCTCCCCAACCTTCCACAACCACCACCCTCACCAGTGTGCAGTCATTAACATCAAGGCAAGGCCCTCCACCAGAAAAAGATGAGTCTCGCCGAAGGCTCAGATGATTGTTAGCATTTTTTAGCGATGAAGTATTTTTAAATTAAAGTGTTTATTTTTTAAAAGACACAGTGCTATAGCACACTTAATAAAGTACAGTATAGTGTAAATATAACTTCTGTATTTGCTGGGAAACCCGAAAATTTGTTTGACTTGGTTTATGGTGATACTTGCTTTATTGTAGTGGTCTGGAATTAATGCTGCAATATCTCTTAGGTGCTTGTATTGAAAAAAAGAAGGAAACACAAGTGTCTAATAAACATATTAGAAGACATAATTTTATTAATCATCAGGCAAGTGAAATTAATATAACAATAAGATATGACTACATACCAGCCAGGTTGCTAAAAATGAAAAGGCCCTGTAATACTAACTGATGGTAGTATGTTTAAGAATGAAAGTCTCATACATTGCTGGTGTGAGTGTAATTTGTTATAACTACTTTGGAAACTATTTAGCATTATCTAATAAAGGTGAATATATATTGTGGTATACATTATATATGTATATGTATATAAAATGACATAAATATTGAAAAGGTATTACCATATAATGTCCAAGAGGACATAACATAAAAATATTTATTTCAACATTGTATAAAATAAAAGCCTTAAAATATCAAAAGTCAGCAATGGTAGGTTGCATAAATACACAGTAAACATATATAATAATAGACATAAAAATTAATATTCTCCAACCACCTTGGATGAATTTCCAAAACACAATATTAAACAAGAAAAGCAACTCAGGAATGCAGTTTGATTATATTTTTACAAATGATAAGGAGGGGCAACAATAAAGGCAATATGTTGCTAGGGACCTAAGCATTAAACAACAAAAGAAAGTGTCATCTAGTGATATGTGCAGAAGAGCTGAGATTAGAGAGGAATACGCGTTGTAATGTTCTCCTTTAGACACTGGTTTATGGGCATATAGGTGTTTTTGTTCATTCTTTACGCTGTTTAAATATATTACACATTTTCTTTTTATTGTGCCATACATTTCATAATGTATGATGCATTATGATATGTAGTATATCTTTATAATATATGATATGTTTTTGATATATTACTAAATATAAAACCTGAATCTATAAAATTCTGGAAGTGCAGGAGAAAAGCTTTGTGGTTTTGTATTAGGCAAAGACTTCTTAGCTATAACACCAAGAGCATAATCCATAAAATAAAAATATCAATAAATTAGATATCAAAATTTAAAACTTGGTTTTCTAAATACAATGTAAAGAAGACAGGATGAATCACATATTGGGAGAAAAGATTTACAAAGTATATATCTGATAAAAGACTTATATCTACAATACATGAAAACTCCCAAAGCTCAAGAGTAAGAAAAAAAACAACTAAAAAATAGACAAAACATTTGAACACACACACTTCACCAAAGAAGCTAGACAGATGGTTAAAAAGATGTTCGACATTATTCATTATTCATTAGTGAAATGCAAATTTTATCCTTATGAGATATTATAAGACATCCATGAAAACAGCTACATTTAAAAAGTTTAAATAAAGTGTTGGCAAGAATGCAGAAGAACTGGAGTTCTCATATGCTGGTGGTCAAAATGTAAATTGGTAATAACCAAGCTACTTTGGAAAGCAATTGTACAATTGTAAATTATAAATCTGACATGATTTATCCATTTCACTCCTAGGTATTTACTCAAGAGAAATGACACTGTATGTCCATAGAAAAACTTGTACACAAATATTGACAGCAGCACTATTAGTAATAGCCAAAAATTATAAATAGTCCAAATGTTCATCAACAGGTTTATGATTTTAAAAAATGTTGTATATCTCTCTAATGGAATGTTACTCTGGAACAAAAAGAAATGAACCATTGATCTACACAACAACATGACTAACTCTAAAAAATTATGCTGAGTGAACAAAGCCAGACAAAAAAGGGAGATATACTGTAGAGTTCCAGGTAATATAAACTTATGTATAGTGACAGAAAGTAGATGATTGATTGCTGGAAATTGGGGACAGAAATGATCATTTCATAATATTTAACGTGTAATATTTACACATTAATATTACAATTTATTGTATGTTAATTATACCTTAATAAAGCTATTAAAAATTATGAAATGCAGTTTAAGTTAGATAGAACTACGCTTATATCCTCCAATGCATATGTTAGAGAATAAAATAATTTAAATTAATGAACAAACTTTTACTCAAAAAAAAATCACAGTGTGATATGGTTTGGCTGTGTCCCTAACCAAAAACTCATCTTCAATTCCCATATGTTGTGGCAGGAACCCAGAGGGAGGCAATCAAATCATAGGGGCATGTCCTTCCTATGCTGTTCTCATGATAGTGAATAAGTCTCACAAGATTTGATAGTTTTATAAGGGGGAGTTTCCCTGCACAAGCTCGCTCTTTTTGCCTGCTGCCATCCATGTAAGATGTGACATGCTCCTGTCTGCCTTCCAACATGATTGTGAGGCCTCCCTAGCCACATGGAACCTTTTCCCTGTAAAAATTACCCAGTCTCGCATATGTCTTTATCAACAGTGTGAAAACAGACTAACACGCAGAGTAAGTCCAAAGAGAGTAAAAGGAAGAAAGTAATAAATAAAAGCAAATTTTAATGAGATATAAAACCAAGGAATATAGAAATAACACAACCAATGTCTTGGTTCTGAAAAATCTGATGTGATGAATAATCTATGGGCAGATTGATAAAAACAATCAAGATAATGAGCAAGGGACAAGCAGTATAGCTAATAGAAAATATGTAAACATACGAGAGATTACCATGACTAATTTTACGCCAACAGATGTGAAAACTTGGATAAAATTATTGTTTCTAGGAAAATATTAATTCATAGAAGTTACCTAAGAAGAAATTGAAAGCACAAATAAGTCTATATTCATTTATGAAACTTGAATCAGTAGCCAAAATACACCCACAAAATGTTACCATGCCCAAATAGTATTACAGAAGAGCTTACCAAAATTTGCTTACAAATAATCCATATATTAAAGAAATTATTTCATAAAATAGAAAAAGTAGGAATTTTTCACAACTGTTTATTAATGCTATGGCAACCTTTAATCCCGAAATTTGACAAAAGAGGGTATAAGAAAGAAAATTTATAGTTTAATATTACATAAATAGAGATATAAAAATCTTAAATACTGGCCAATTGCATCCAAATAGTCTAAATAAAATCTATCATAAAATACGTAGATTTTATTTTAGAAATTTAAGAATTCTTTGTTAATAGAAGTATTTTAATTCCAATAAGCATATGAAAATGAATAAGTGAAAATCAGCAGAATGTAAATGTATCCAGCAAGTAGATATTAGTTCACACTAGTATAATGGGCAATAATCAAAATGTCTCAGAAGATGAAGTATTAGAGAAAATATGGAAACATGGCAATTCTAATATACTGATTGGGGACTGGAGTGGGCAGGGGTTAGGGGACGATGAAACAATTAATTGAAAGAACAATTTTGCATTAAATAGTAACTTCATAGATACTCATACCTTTTGTCCAGGAATTTTATTTCTATGTCTACTTCCCAAAGACACCCCTCATGTTAACCAGCCTATATGACCTAGCTGAATTCTACCCCATCCTAACTTCTTTAAGAAACAGGGACTAGGCACGGTGGCTTACACCTGTAACCCCAGCACTTTGGGAGGCCAAGGTGGGCAGATCACCTGAGGTCGGGAGTTCGGGACCAGCCTGACCAACATGGAGAAACCCTGTCTCTACTAAAAATACAAAAAATACAAAAAAAAGTTAGCCGGGCATGGTGGCATATGCCTGTAATCCCAACTACTAGGGAGACTGAGACAGGAGAATCGCTTGAACCCTGGAGGTGGAGGTTACGGTGAGCCGAGATTGCACCATTGCACTCCAGCCTGGGCAACAAGAGTGAAAGTTCATCTCAAAAAGAAAAAAAAAGAAAAGAAACAGGATGCCTGTGACAAAGTTCTACTTATAACCAGACCACCTGAGACTGGTTAGAATCATGGTAGCTAATCAAAGGACTTAACAACTTCAAAAAGAGCTCAGGTTTCATTATAATCTCATTCTCATGCTAAATGACACTCCCACTAGTGCCATGACAGTTGACCATCACCATGACAGTTTACAATCACCATGACAATGACCAGAAGAAGCCATTAAAGGACAAAAGGAAGGTGGCACTCAAGTTCACCACTCATTTCTGGAAAAGACATGAATATTCCTCACCTCATTTTTAATGGCCAACCCCTTCATTAGAGAGAGCCTATATTTTTGCCCTCTCACTCCTCACTTGTCCTAAAGTTGATTTCTGAGCCAGGTTCCTGCCTTTCAATTATGTAGCCATGGAATCAAGTCCTCACTAGTTGATGCTCCCTTTCAGCTTTGTATATAGGCTTCAGTGACACCAAACCCAGAAAAAGCCCATCTTTGGGGGGAACAGATTTGTCGATATGCATGTGTCAGACATATGACCAAGCACTTCTCTATTTTTTTATACCTCTATATATTTCCCAGTACAAGTGTATTAAAGTAGCATACCACATTAACATACCACATTAACATTTTAAAGATAAAAATTTATGTGATTATATAGATTCCAAAAAAAAAGCATTTGAAAATTCAATAGCAATATATAATTAAAACAAAGCAAAATATAAAATCCATCTAGCTAACTGGGAATAAAAGGAAACTTTCTTAGTCTGCTAGAGGGTATTTGCCAAAAATCTGTAGTACACATAATATTTAATAGTAAAACACTGGAAGTTCTTTAAAGCTAAACCAAAAATAAGACAAGGATACTTGTCGTCACCATTTCTATTCAATTTATTTTTCTAGGTTTTAGCTAGTACAGTAGACCTAAAAACAAAGAATGTAGAACAGAAGACAATTTTTATTTTACTAAAAATAGAATTCAGAACACACAGTTAATATGGAAATATTAAAAGCTCCAATATTGCTCTAATGAATACCACAGAAAAAACCAAAAAACAACAAAAGTTCTCAGTATATAGGAATAAATGAACAAAAAACTAAGTAGATAAAAGAAAGCAACAAAGTTTTCAGTATATAGAAATAAATGAACAAACCATTAAATAAGTAGATAAAAGAGATAAAAATATTTATGATAAAATACTCAATGGTATAAAAATACCTATTCCTTCTAACTTAAAATAAAAATCATGTCATTTCAATCACTGGCAAATTGATTTTTCTTTTAAATTTCTCCCAAGAATATAAACAACTTATAAAATTAATACAGAAGACTAAAGAATGGAAAATATCCAAGATATTTAAGAATAGGGTGGAAACATATGCCCTACAATAAGTTAAGACTTACTGTAATCCAAGATAATTAAAAGATATTGACATTAACGATAAATAAAAGATACAGAATTCGTTCAAAAATAGACCCTCAAATCTATGGGAGATTGATATATAACAGATTTAGTATTACATATCAGCAAGATATGATGGACTTTTTAGAAAATAGTTCTAGCAGAACTGGTTATTCATATTAGAAAAAAATTAAAGGTGATCATCATGGCTGACAGGAGGCAGAACTGGATTGCAGCTCTGACTCGGACAGACAGAACAGTGTGCGGAGGCTCACATCACGAATTTGAGCTCCCAAACGACTACAGGAATAAATCAGGAATCCTGAGAGGACCCACCAACCCTCTGAAGGAAGCAGACTGCTCCTGCAGGACCCAGGAGACACCCCAAATACTGTGAGTGCCCAAACTGAGGAAGTGGGTGTCAGGCCTCTGAGCCCAAGCCAAGCCATGGCATCCCCTGTGACTTGCATGTATACGCCCAGATGGCCTGAAGTAACTGAAGAATCACAAAAGACATGAATATGCCCTGCCCCACCTTAACTGATGACATTCCACCACAAAAGAAGCGTAAATGGCCGGTCCTTGCCTTAAGTGATGACATTACCTTGTGAAAGTCCTTTTCCTGGCTCATCCTGGCTCAGAAAGCACCCCCACTGAGCACCTTGCAACCCCCACTCCTGCCTGCCAGAGAACAAACCCCCTTTGACTGTAATTTTCCTTTATCTACCCAAATCATATAAAATCGTCCCACCCTTATCTCCCTTCGCTGACTCTTTTCGGACTCAGCCCGCCTGCATCCAGGTGAAATAAACAGCTATGTTGCTCACACAAAGTCTGTTTGGTGGTCTCTTCACACGGACGCGCATGAAAGTGGGAAAGGGAGATCATTTGCCCCTGAACAAACACCCCCACTACGGACACAGAAGATCTAGTTTGCAGGAGAAGTTCCTGACCTTACCTGGAGCTGAGTCCATTTAGAGAGCCGAGCGAAATACAGGGGTAGAGGAAGCAGCAGCAAAGGCCCTAGAAGCTTGCTGGGTCCCCAAGCAGGCCATTCCTGCCTGGCCTCACAGGGATCCTTTGGGAGGGTGGCCAGAGGCATGAGGAAAATGCCACGGAGAGAAGGAAGTCTCCAGCTGAACTTTATAACAATTTGAACAGGTGGAGAAGCCTCCTGGCCAGAACTCAAGGGAGGGCACAAATCCAGCGTGTAGACTCCACAGGTGGGGGAAGAACGAAAGCCCTTTTCTTTCACAGCTGGGAGGTGGGTAGCCTGCGGCAAGTTCTCACCCCTGCTTACCCACTGCTTGGAAACAGACTCAATGCTTTAGAGGGGGCATGGTGAGAGTGAGACTGGCCATTTGGATTGCATGGGAGCTGGGTGAGGCCTGTGACTGCCAGCTTTCCCTCACTTCCCTAACAACCTGCATGACTCAGCAGAGGCAGCCATTATCCTCCTAGGTACACAACTCTATTCACCTGGGAACCTCACCCCCCCCTCCCCCACAGCAGCCACAGCAAGACTCACCCAAGGAGAGTCTGAGCTCAGACACACCTAGCCCTGCCCCCACTTGATGGTCCTTCCCTACCCACTCTGGTAGCTGAAGACAGAGGCTTCCAGAGCCTCTGTCTTGGAAGTTCTAAAGCCCCACCCACTCTCTGGTTTCTCTCCATGTTACCACAGCTGATGCTCTCCGGAAAGCGCCGCCACCTGGCAGGAGGCCAACAAGCACAAAAATAGAGCATTAAACCACCAAAGCTAAGAATCCTCACAGAGTTCATTTCAGCCCCCTGCCCCCTCCATTGGAAAAGATGTTGGTATCCACAGCTGAGAGATGCATAAATGGTTCACCTCACAGGACTCTGTGCAGACAACCCCCAGTAACAGCCCAGAGCCTGGTAGACTTGCTGGGTGGCTAGACCCAGAAGAGAGATAACAATCTCTACAGCTTGGCTCTCAGAAAGTCACATCCATGGGAAAAGGGGAACAGTACTACATCAAGGGAACACCCTGTGGTACAAAAGAATCTGAACAACAACCTTCAGCTCTAGACCTTCCTTCTGACAGAGCCTACCCAAATGAGAAGAAACCAAAAAACCAACTCTGGTAATATGACAAAACAAGGCTCTTTAACATCCCCCCCAAAAAAATCACACTAGCTCACCACCAATGGATCTAAACCAAGAAGAAACCCCCAATTTACCTGAAAAAAGAATTCAGGAGGCTAGTTATTAAGCTAATCAGGGAGGCACCAGAGAAAGGTGAAGCCCAATGCAAGGAAATCCAAAATATGATACAAGAAGTGTAGGGAGAAATATTCAAGAAAATTGATGGCATAAAGAAAAACAGTCAAAACTTTAGGAAACATTAGACACATTTGTAGAAATGAAAAATGCCCTGAAAAGTCTCAGCAATAGAATTGAACAAGTAGAAGAAAGAAATTCAGATCTCTAAGGCAATGTCTTTGAATTAACCCAATCCAACAAAGACAAGGAAAAAAGAATAAGAAATATGAACAAAGCCTCCAAGAAGTCTGAGATTATGTTAAATGACCAAACCTAAGAATAATTGGTGTTCCTGAGGAAGAAGAGAAATCTAAAAGTTTGGAAAACATATTTGAGGGAATAATCAGGGAAAACTTCCCCAGCCTTGCTAGAGACTTAGACATTCAAATACAAGAAACACAAAGAACATCTGGGAAATTCATCAAAAAAAGATTATTGTGTGTCATCAGGTTATCTAAAGTTAAGACAAAGGAAAGAATCTTGAGAGCTATGAGACAGAAGCACCAGGTAACTCATAAAGGAAAACCTATCAGATTAACAGCAGATTTCTTAGCAGAAACCGTACAAGCTAGAAGGGATGGGGCCCTATCTTCAGCCTCCTCAAACAAAACAATCATCAGCCAAGAATTTTATGTCCAGTGAAACTAAGCATCATGTATGAAGGAAAGATACAGTCTCTTTCAGACAAACAAATGCTGAGAGAATTCACCACTACCAAACCACTGCTACAGGAACTGCTAAAAGGAGCTCTAAATCTTGAAACAAATCCTGGAAACACATCAAAACAGAGCCCTTTAAAAACATAAATCTCACAGGACCTATAAAACAAAAATACAATTTAAAAAGCAAAAACAAAAATGAAAAACAAGGTATACAGGCAACAAATAACATGATGAATGGAATGGTACCTCACATCTCAATACTAATATTGAATATAAATGACCTAAATGCTCCACTTAAAAGATACAGAACTGCAGAATGGATAAGAATTCACCAACAAACTACCTGCTGCCTTCAAGAGACTCACCTAATACATAAGGACTCACATAAACTTAAAGGGGTGGAAAAAGGCATTTTATGCAAATGGGCACCAAAAGTGAGCAGGAGTGGCTATTCTTACATCAGAAAAAACAAATTTTAAAGCAACAGCAGTTAAAGAGGACAAAGGGACATTACAAAATGGTTAAAGGCCTTGTCCAACAGGAAAATATCACAATCCTATACATATATGTATCCAACACTGGAGCTCCCAAATTTATAAAACAATTACTAATAGACCTAAGAAATGAGATAGGGAGCAACACAATAATAGTGGGTGACTTCAATACTCCACTGACAGCACTAAACAGGTCATCAAGACAAAGTCAACAAAGAAACAATGGATTAAAACTATACCTTGGAACAAATGGACATAAGATATATATATAAAACATTCCATCCAACAACCACAGAATACACGTTCTATTCAACAGCACATGAAACTTTCTCCAAGATAGACCATATGACCATAGGTTACAAAATGAGCTTCAATAAATTTAAGAAAATTAAAATTTTATCAAGCACTCTCTCAGACCACAATGAAATAAAACTGGAAATCAACTCCAAAAGGAACCTTCAACACCATGCAAATACATGGAAATTAAATATCCTGCTGCTGAATGATCACTGGGTCAAAAATGAAATCAAGATGGAAATTTAAAAATTCTCTGAACTGAACAATAGTAGTGTCACAACCTATCAAAACCTCTGGGATACATCAAAGTTGGTGCTAAGAGGAAAGTTCATAGCCCTAAATGCCTACATCAAAAAAACTGAAAGAGCACAAACTGACATTCTGAGGTCACACCTCAAGGAACTAGAGAAACAAGAACAAAGCAAACCTAAACCCAGCAGAAGAAAGGAAATAACCAAGTTCAGAGCAGAACTCAATGAAATTGAAACAACAACAACAACAACAAAATACAAAATGTAAATGAATAAAAAAGCTGGTTCTTTGAAAAGATAAATGAAATTGATAGATCATTAGCAAGATTAACCAAGAAAAGAAGAGAGAAAATCCAAATGACCTCAATAAGAAATGAAATGGGAGATATTACAACTGACAGCACAGAAATACAAAAGATCATTCAAGGCTACTATGAACACCTTTACACACAGAAACTAAAAAACCTAGAAAAGATAGATAAATTCCTAGAAAAATGTAACCCTCCTAGCTTAAATCAGGAAGAATTAGATACCCTAAACAGGCCAATAACAAGCAGTGAGATTGAAATGGTAATGTAAAAATTACCAACCAAAAAAAATCCAGGACCAGATGGATTCACAGCAGAATTCTACCAGACATTCCAAGAAGAATTGTTACCAATCCTATGGACACTATTCCACAAGATAGAGAAAGGGGGAGCCCTCCCTAATTCATTCTATGAAGACAGCATCACCCTAATACCCAAACCAGGAAAGGACATAACCAAAAAAGAAAACTACAGATCGATATCCCTGATGAACATAGATACTGAAATCTTAACAAAATACTAGCTAACTGAATCCAACAACATATCAAAAAGTTAATCCACCATGATCAGGTGGGTTTCATACCAGGGATGGAGGGATGGTTTAACATATGCAAGTCAATAAATGTGATACACCACATAAACAGAATTAAAAACAAAAATCACATAATCATCTTAATAGGTGCAGAAAAATCATTTGACAAAATCCCGCATCCCTTTATGATTAAAACTCTCAGCAAAATTGGCATACAAGGGACAGACCTCAATGTAATAAAAGCCATCTATAACAAACCCACAGCCAATGTAATACTGAATGGGGAAAAGTTGAAAGCATTCCCTCTGAGAACTGGAACAAGATAAGGACGCCCATTTTCACCACTCCTCTTCAACATAGTACTGGAAGTCCCAGCCAGAGCAATCAGACAAGAGTAAGAAATAAAAGGCATCCAAATCAGTAAAGAGGAATTCAAACCATCACTCTTTGCTCATGATATGATCATTTACCTTGAAAACCCTAAAGACTCCTCCAGAAAGCTCCTAGAACTGATAAAAGAATTCAGCAAAGTTTCCAAATACAAGATTAATGTACACAAATCAGTAGCTCTCCTATACACCAATGGTGACCAAGCAGAGAATCAAATCAATTACTCAACCCCTTTTACAATAGCTGCAAAAAACAAAATTGGAAAAACTTAGTAATGTGTCTAACCAATGAGGTGAAAGACCTCTGGAAGGAAAACTACAAAACACTTCTGAAAGAAATGAAAGATGACACAAACAAATGGAAACATATCCCATGCTCATGGATAGGTAGAATCAATATTGTGAAAATGACCATACTGCATAAAGCAATCTACAAATTTAATGCAATCCCCATCAAAATACTACCATCATTCTTCACAGAATTAGAAAAAAGTATTCTAAATTCAAATGGAACCAAGAAAGAGCTTGCATAGCCAAAGCAAGACTGAGCAAAAGACCAAATCTAGAAGCATCACACTACCTGATTTCAAACTATACCATAAGGCCATAGTCACCAAAACACCATGGTACTGGTATAAATATAGGCACATAGACCAGTGGAAAAGAATAGAGAATCCAGAAATAAACCCAAATACAGCCAAGTGTTCTTCAATAAAGCAAACAAAAACATAAAGTGTGGAAGGGATACCCTTTTCAACAAATGGTTCTGGGATAATTGGTTAGCCACATAAAGGAGAATGCAACTGGATCCTCATCTCTCATACTATACAAAAATCAACTCAAGATGGATTAAGGACTAAAATCTAAGAGCTGAAACTATAAAAATTCTACAAGATAATACTGGAAAAATCCTTATAGATGTTGGCTTGTGCAAGGATTTTATGACCAAGAACCCAAAAGCAAATGCAATAAAAACAAAGATAAATAACCAAGATTTAACTAAATGAAAGAGCTTTTGCACAGCAAAAAGAGAAGTCAGCAGAGTAAACAGACAACCCAAAGAGTGGGGGAACATCTTTACAATCTATACATCTGACAAAGGACTAATATCCAGAATCCACAACAAACTCAAAGAAATTAGCAAGAAAAAGACAAACAATCAAAAAGTGGGCTTTTTGGTTGTTTAGTTTGGTTTAGTGGGCTAAATCCTTAGCCCATCAAAAAGTGAACTAAGGACACAAATAGACAATTATCAAAAGAAGATGTACAAATAATAGCCAACAGAAATGTGAAAAAACGCTTATCATCACTAATGATCAGGGAAATGCAAATCAAAATCACAGTGTGATACCACCTTATTCCTGCAAGGATGGCCATAATAAAAAAATCAAGAAACAGTAGATGTTGATGTGGATGCAGTGATCAGGGAACACTTCTACACTGCTGGTAGCAATGTAAAATAGTACAGCCACTATGCAAAACAGTGTGGAGGTTCCTTAAAGAACCGAAAGTAGAACTACCATTTGATCCAGTAATCCCACTACTGAGTATCTACCCAGAGGAAAATAAGTCATTATATGAAAAAGATACTTGCACATGTTTACAGCAACACAATCCGTTAATTGCAAAATCGTGGAACCAACCCAAATCCCCATCAATCAATGAGTGGTTAAAGAAAATGGAATACTACTCAGCCATGAAAATGAATGAATTAATGGCACTTGCAGTGATCTGGATGAGATTGGAGACTATTATTATAAGTGAAGTAACTCAGGAATAGAAAATCAAACATCATATGTTCTCACTGATATGTGGGAGCTAAGACATGAGGATGCAAAGGCAAAAGAATGATACAATGGACTTTGGGGACTTGTGGGGAAGGTTGGGAGGCAGGAGAGGGATAAAAGACTATCCAAATCGGGTGCAGTTTATACTGCTCGGGTGATGGGTGCACCAAAAACTCACAAATCACCACTGAAGAACTTACTCATGTAACTAAACACCACCTGTATCCCAATAACCTATGGGAAAATTAAAAAAAAAAAAACACATTCCTACCTCACAGTAGAAAATTAAAGTACATACTAAATGAAGTACTTACCCTGCCTCCCAGCCTGACTTCCTTACTGAGATATTTGAGCTTTTTCTTTTTTAAAAAGCTTAACTCAGATTTTTTCTCCCTAAAGAATTTAGAAATGACCCCCCAACACAAATCAGAAAAGAGCTGAACTATCAGAACTAGACTGATCCGGATTTTTATTAAATTTAAATAGATTTAAATGTTATTTTAACAAATACTTGGACAATTTTATTATCCAAAAAATGTGCAGACCTAATATTAACTTTACAAATAAAAATAACCCAATAGCAAATTTGCATAAACTATGAGCTGACAAGTAGCAGAAGATTTTAAAAGCCAATACATATACTTCTACACACTGTAATTAGAAAATTGAGAATTTACACAAGAAGGTACAATTTTGTAACCATCAGATAGAGAAAGATTAAAAATCTGTATTACTAAGTGAGGATCAGATTGCAGGCAACTGGGAATTCTTACACAGTGCTGGAGAGACTGTCAACATGATTAAACTATTGTCAAGAGCAATTATAAAGATTGAGTTAAACTGAAAATGCTTGTGACCCTGGGACCTAGCCATGCCACTTTGGATACATACCACAGAAAAGCCCTCATACAAGGCACAATGGATGTTTGTGAAAGAGAACAATTAGAAAAAAGCTGGATCACAAAGACAAGAGTATGGATGAATACATTGTTTTCTATCATAAAATGGAATACTGTAACATAATTATGCTAATACTGTAATTATTAACATAATTAATGGAATGAATTAAATTTACAAATAGCAATTCAGATATATCTTAAAAGTTTAATATTTAGCCAGAACAAAGCATGTTGGAAAATAATATCATTTCTATTAAAAACTATGTTTTATTAATGGTTACCAATATGTTATTAAAATTGTAAACGTATTTACTGAATAATAAATACAAATCTAGGGTAGGCATTACCTCTGGGGAGAGAGACTGAAAAATGAAATTATAGTGAGGAACACAGAGGGCTTCAAAACACCCAGTCATATTTTCTGCCTTAATATAATCAGAGATAAATGTGACAATTATCAAGGATTTATACAATAAGGTGTTATGAGTAAGAGCCTTCATTACTTGTCAATCTGAAATATTTAAAAATTTTTTTAAAGTTACAAAAGTATTAACTGCAATCTTATTTTGTATCACAAAGGTCTGAAATACTGAGTTATACCAGTAAAGAAAATTTGGCAACAGTATGAAAATTAGTTAGTTTACTTGATTTCTTTTTTAAACTAAAGACAAACATTAGTGCAAATAAAACCAGTTCTGTTATTTCAGCTCTTCTCTGATTATAGTGTTGGATGGTCATTTTTCAAACCATTACAGGGGGAAAAATTCTGAATTAGGCACTTTAAAGACTTTAAACTGATTTGGATTATGGGTTGATACAGTGGATAATGATGCTTTATTAGTCCTAACAGTGTCTTGCCCCATCAATCCTACTTAAGTTGAAGAAATGATTTTTCTTTGGATAATGTCTTTCTTATTATTTTTCTTTAGATAATTCAACAGCTTCTTGTGGTGACTATTTGTTTCATGTAGAGTAAGAGTACCATGACCCTTGTTAAAAGGTGTTTGAGCAGGAAAATGAAAAATGTTAATAGCCTCCCTATATAACTCCCACCTTCTAATGGAAATCCAGGACTTTAGATTCTTTTCTTCTTATTGAAATGAGACAGGCTGGTCACCATTTTCTGTAAAACAGTAGCAATTTTTAAAATTCTACATAAATAATAGATAACAATCCTCCCCCAAAGCTTTGCTTCACCCTTCCAGTTACTCTTTTTGACCTTTTAATTATCCTGTGACTTGCACCAATTGACAACAAATATTTTATGCTATCGTGTTAGTCACACACTTCAGCCAGAATTTTTTCAAACGTTATTTAACAATAAATTTGATGTGGGTGTGGGTGTGTTTCCTACATAAATATCTCCACTGTAAATATAAAATGCCTCCTACAGTTTATATAATACTTTTCCCCTTTTCTTGGTTGCTATCTGTTTTTGTCTGTTTGCGTTGTTATAAAGGAATGCCTGAGGCTGGATAACTTATCAGGAAAAGAGGTTTATTTGGCTCACAGTTCTGCAGGCAAGTACAAGAAGCACGGTGCTGGCATCTGCTTCTGATGAGGACCTCAGGAAGATTTTACGCATGGCAGAAGGCAAAGGGAAGTGACCATGGGCAGATCACATGGAGGGAGAAGCAACAATAGAGAGGGAGTAGAGGAAGTGCCAGGCTCTTTCCAACAGCCAGTACTCTTGGAAACTAATAGTGAGAATTCACTCACTTCTGTGAGAAGGGCATCAAGCTATTCATGAGGAATCCATCCCTGTGACCCAAACAGCTCCCATTGGACCTCACCTCTAACATTAGGAATCACATTTCAACATGAGATTTCAAGGAACAAATAGCCAAGCATATCAACACCCAAATAAATTACTCTTAAATCTCTCTAGAATTATATGTTACTAATAATTACATTATTAGTACTATCACTTGTCTAAAGATTTCATTACAGAACATCTAATATAGTCCCAATCACATGGAACTCTAAACTTCACTTTCTGATTTCCCATAAAAATAGTAAAACCAATAGTTATTGAGTATTCACAATGTTGTAGACGCTATATTATCACATTATGTATGTCTTATAACAAATACTCCGTAAGGGAGTTATTCCAATCTGACAGATGAAAAAACTGAGATTGGAAATGTTACACTTTAATTTTTGGCACACTACTGTTCAATGTTAGAAACAATATTGTCCGATGCAGAGATTAAACTAGTGATCTTCCTTGTGTGACAGACAGCAGTTATCTGGAGAGCTTTTAAATGGCACCAATTCCTGAAATGGAGATTTACCTGAAGGAGAATTTTTTTAGGCAGTACACCTGGGAATAACCCTGTGAGGAGGTGGGGGAAGCAGGATGGGACAGAGGGTGACTGAGAACTGTGAGGCCTTTGCAAACGGGGCCTCTACTGTCCCAGCAGAAAATGAAATCTCGGAAGACTCTTCAAAATTATCTTCAGTGGAGGCAGAGAGCTGGGCCCGTGTATTCTTACATCGGCTGATCTTCAGAAGCAGACTGCTCCAGGGAAGGCTGTTTCCTTCTGATGTGGGCATTTGCTGGAAAGGAACTCAGCTATGAGCTCTCAGTAGCCAACACTCACAGCAGCTGGGGGAATGGGCACCTGGAGCCTGAAGGCTTGACCTGCACGGCACTCCAAAACATTAGCATTTCTTTTTTTTGAGTTGGGATCTTGCTTTGTTTCCCAGGCTGAAGTACAGCGTCCCGATCATAGTTCACTGTAACCCCAAACTCCTTGGCTCAAGTGATCCTCCCATCTTAGCTTCCCAAAAAGCTGGGATAGTGATATGGCTTGGCTGTGTCCCCACCCAAATCTCATCTTGAATTGTAGATCCCATAATTCCTATGTGTCTTGGAAGGGACCTGGTGGGAGGTAGTTAAATCATGAGGGGCAGGTCTTTCCAGTGTTTTTCTTGTGATAGTGAATAAGTCTCATGAGCTCTGATGGTTTTATAAATGGGAGTTCCCCTGCACAAGCTCTCCTGCCTGTGACCACGTAAGACATGCATTTGCTTCTCCTTTGCCTTCTGCCATGATTGTGAGGCCTCTCCAGCCATGTGGAACTGTGAGTCCATTAAAAGTCTTTCCTTTATAAATTACCCAGTCTTGGGTACATCTTTATTAGCAGCATGAGAACAGACAAATAGAGATGGTGTTTCTTATTTAAGTCCTTGGATGAAAATAGTTGAATAGTTGGCATTATTATCAACCAAGCAGCTGGAGAACCAAGTGTTACACATTAAGAGAACTGAACTACTAACCACAGAGTAGAATGACCTTAGCTTTTCACCTAGTGTGGCACAGTTTACAAAAACACATCCAGTTTCATTATTTCATTTGAGACTCAAAACAACCACTGAGGTGCTTTAGTTTTACAGGACAGGGTATTGATACTCAAAGACTTACATGTCCAAGTCACTCACACAGAAGTTCGTCAGACTTACTCCACGGCCAGTCCTCTGTTTAAATTGATCTTTGTGTGTTTTAGCCTTGTGTCCAAAACACCAGTGTGGCAATAAAACCCCAAATTCCCTTCATCTCTAACTTTTGACAACCTTTTAAGCTTCCATACAAAGCATAAGCCAAGCCCATGTAATAATTTTAAATGTTAAATACAGAAACTGCACATCACTGCCTAAATGTCTGTTTTATAAGTCACCTTTAATAAGGAAGGCTATTAGATTATATACTTTTGCATAAAATAAACCTATTAGTTTTGACATCCACTACATCTTACTTACCCACATGTTTTATTGGAAATGGATGAAATGTCATAGGAACATATCTAAGGAAAGATTTTATGCTTAACATCTCAGTATATAGTATAATAGGACACTTTTAAACAGTACAGTATGTCAATGGGGAAGAATATAGAAAAAAAATTTTGAAAACCATGGTCTTTTTTGTTTTTTTTTCTACCAATCCACGTTTTCCCTAAAATCTGAAGAATCTGCATTGAGTTCACCCTGGGAATGTTCAGGAAATGATGTGATCATCATTGGGAGAACCGCAAACAAGCACAACGTTTAAGGAAGTTAAGAGATTTGTAAAAAGATTCAGTACACACGGAGCTTTCATTCCACAAAGATGGAAAATAATGACATCTAAATTCTTTACAAAACTGTCATAATTTATTTAACTTAACAGGAGGAATATTAGTCAAACAATAATTTTATAGGGGGAAAAACTGAAATACAGGTCTGCTCTCTGAGTTTGGCCACAGGGCCAAATAATTTAACTTGGCAAAAGACAAGAAAGATAGTTTAAATCTAGCAGTTCTGTGTTTGCTTTGGACATTTTGGAGAATTCAGGAGTTAAATCTGCAGTCTCTTATGGGAAGAGGTCACTTGATTCTGCAGGTAAGACCATGATGGTGAGACAGCTGTTTTTTTGGAGGAGGGGCCACAGAAATATCTTTCTGGAAAAGGACATAGATCCTGATGGTCTGGAGGAATTCCAGTTGCCAAAATCTCCAGCTTGGATTGCACCTGGAGGCTAAGGAGAGGGGACGATAGTCTTTAATAAGTCTGGGAGGAAGAGATGATATTGTGAACCAAAGCTCAGTAAAAAAGTGAGGAAGGATGAAGGCTCCTAGAAGCTTCTCGTTTACCTTCTTGGAGGCCATCAGAAATTATACACCAGGAATCTCCACAGCAAGATCTCAGAAGACTTTGAGCCTCTTTGGGCTGTGTCTTCTTTCCTATAAAAATTTGTTAAGAAAATCTTAAAACACAGAGGCAAGAAGAAGGATGTGAGAATGTGTGAATGTGTAGAGACTAGATTCTACTCCTCAGTAGGCTACAGAGTAGGGAAGGCAGGTGTATTAATCCATTTTCATGTTGCTGATAAAGACAGACCCGAGACCTGGAAGAAAAAGAGGTTTAATTGGACTTACAGTTCCATACAGGTGGGGAGGCCTCAGAATCATGGTGGGAAGTGAAGACACTTCTTACATGGTGGCAGCAAGAGAAAATGAGGAAAAAGTAAAAACGGAAATCCCTGGTAAAACCGTCCGATCTTGTGAGACTTATTCACTACCACAAGAACAGTATGGGGGAAACCACCTCCATGATTCAAATTATCTCTCACCGAGTCCCTCCCACAACATGTGGGAATTATGGGAGTATAATTAAATATGAGATTTGGGTGGGGACACAGCCAAATCATATCAGCAGGTAAGAGAGGGGAAGGAAAAGCACTGTATGTGAAAGAACAGGAGAAAAAGAGGCTGAGTCCTCGGGAGACTGCTCATAGAGGAAAGCAAAGCTAAGTATCAGTCTCGAGCTGAGAAAAATACCTGGCACCAAGCAGTAAAAACTCCCATGTAATGATCAATAACTCCCAAATTGCTATCCCTAACCTTGTCTACCTCCCCCTTCTTTTCATCTCACTCCTAGGTTTGTGTCTCACATGTCTTCTAGACTTGCTCCCACTTACGACTCACTGGCATCTCCAATTCAACCCATCTCCTGATTTGTGTAGTCCTGAAAGTGGCAACAGCATTTGCCTTTCTCTTCCTGCATTTACCAGTCTCACTGGTGTCTCTTCATTTCTTTCTGCTTGGATTATTGAAATAGCCTGGACTAGTACGTTTTCACTGCACTTTTCTGTACGATTTCCCTACTCATGAAGTTTTGAATGACTCTTCTTTGTCAACCTGACAATTTGTGCATGCTTGGATGGTAACCCCCAGTCCTCACCAGCTGGGTCTTTTCCTTCATGTGGACCCCAGTTAAGCTCGACTAGACTCCCTGCTTAAAGAACAGCCTTGTTTCAAATTGCTCATCTTGGCTGGGTGCGGTGGCTCACTCCTGTAATCCCAGCACTTTGGGAGGCCAAGGTGGGTGGATCATCTGAGGTCAGGATTTTGAGACCAGTCTGGCCAACATGGTGAAACCCACATCTCTACTAAAAATGCAAAAATTAGCCAGGCAAGGTGGCAGGCGCCTGTCATCCCAGCTACTCGGGAGGCTGAGGCATGAGAATCGCTTGAACCCATGAGTAGGGGGTTACAGTGATCCAAGATAGTGCCACTGCACTCCAGCCTGGGTGACAGAGCAAGACTCCATCTCAAAAAAAAAAAAAAAAAAAGCTTATCTTGCTCAGCACCTTTTCCTGTACGGTATCCTCTTTTCTGGAGAGCCATTCCATCTGTGCCTGTCCACATTCTCCAATGCATCTTCAATATTTTATGCCATAGGGTACCTCCTTTGAAGCCCCTTCTTTTAACCCCATGGAACTTAAAAATATCAAACTATGGTTTATTTATAGTCAAAAGGCAACATCTCTTTACAGTTACAGAAATGTGTGGATCCATTCTCGAAAGCAATTGTTTTCCAAGACCATGAAACTGAGAAAGCTGAATTGGAAATCATGTCGTTGGTGCAGGCAGGTGTAAGGCACCGATGGTTATTTCTCCTGGGCTAGAGTGAGGCCTAATTCAATACTGCGCCTCACAGCAAAGAAGTTCCCTTAGGACCAGGTGCCTTTTTTCTCCCTCTCAGGATCTCTGTACTCTAGACAGAAGCACAGTCTAATATCTTGATGCTGGAAGAAGCAAAAAACATGCCACAGCAGTTCTTCCATCTTTCTCCACTCATACAAACTTTTTATTTCTCCTCCAGTTTCTAAACAAAAACACCTAAGCATACAAAGAGGTGGAAGCACATAAAAGGTCCTAGTGTGGGGAGGTAGGGAGGCAGGGTAATAAGTGTGCACTAAAAATGCGTGGGCTCCAGCTCAGCTATTCCAAACAATCAGATAACACTATGAAAATCCTTTTTTGTTTTCATTTTTTACTTTGTGTTTTCTTTGTCTTTTGAGACAGAGTCTTGCTCTGTTGCCTAGGCTGGAGTGCACTGGTGCCATCTTGGTTCATTGTAACCTCCACCTTCCAGCTTCAAGCAATTCTCATGCCTCAGCCTCCTGAGTAGCTAGGATTACAAGCACATGGCTTATTTTATTTTATTTATTTTATTTTATTTTTAGTAGATACAGGTTTTCATCATGTTGGCCAGGCTGATCTCAAAATCCTGGCCTCAAGTGATCCGCCCACCTGAGCCTCCCAAAATATGAGATTATAGGCGTGAGCCACTGCACCCAGCCTGACACTGTTAAAATCTTACTGGAGTCAGTTACTTCCTTCTTTGCCCTTAAAAGTGGTTACACATATTGCTTTAGTACAAAGCATATAGAAATCTTAACAAAAGACTGGCATAGTGGCTCATGGCTGTAATCTCAGCACTTTGGGAGGCCGAGAGGGGAGGACCTCTTGAGGCCAGGAGTTTGAGACCAGCCTGGCAACAGAGTGAGACCCAGTCTCTACAAAAAATAAAATAAATCAGCCAGGCCTGGTGGTGCACACCTATGGTTCCAGCTACTTGGGGAGCTGAGGTGGGAGGATGGCTTGAGCCTAAGAGACAGAGGCTGCAGTGAGCTACAACCATACCACTGGACTATATAGCCTGGGTGACAGAGCAACCTTGTCTGTAAGAAAAATAAAAAAAGCTTAACGAAGAGTTCCCAAACCTGCCCTTCACCTATGAGAAGTGAAGCCCAGCAGTGTTCAGTGAGTATGGATTCTGCTGGTTGGAATAAATCCTTCTGAAGGTATTTCCCTTCAGTGTTGTGACATGTGACTTGGACTCTTGATGAGATAATTGGCTAGGCCTGCTCTGAAAATGGAAACCACCCCTACGAGGTGTAATCAACCATGAATCTGCACAAAGAAACATGCTAAACACAAGACTTTCTGAGCATAAGCTTTATTCTGGTATATGGAAGGTTTAGGCATTTCTTGGTAATTTATTAAGTATTCATGCGGCTGAGTGTTCTCCTATGCCAGGCACATTTTTTTCCCGAGAGAATACATGGCAATATTTTATAAAAGACTTACCCCAGGAACCTTTAATCTTTAATGTCTACGATAGAATAGTAGTAGTATTCCCAGAGCAGCACAGGGAGACATCTGTAATAACCCTGTTGTTGTTGACCATATTCACCTAAACATTGAAGGAGCATTTTTTCAAATGCCACTGCTTGCCAGAAAAAAAAACAAAAATGGGCAATTGTTTTCAAATACATACCACTAGGCCACATTCCCAGGGAGCTTATGGTGAGCCATTAATTAGCATTTTTTAAAAACCACCACAGGTTATTCTGATGAAGGTGCTATTCAGTATTCCTCTCAGAGCAAATAAATTTAAAGAGCTATGTGAAGCACTGGTATCAACTGTAATTTTTTTTAACTTTTATTTTAAGTTCAGGGGTACGAGTGCAGGTTTGTTACACAGGTAAACTTATGCCATGGGGGTTTGTTATACAGAGTTATTTCATCACCCAGGTATTAAGCCTAGTAGCAATTAGTTATTTTTCCTGATCCTCTCCCTCCTCCTACGCTCCACCCTCCAGTAGGCCCCAGTATGTGTTGTTCCCCTCTATGGTCCATGTGTTCTCATCATTTAGCTCCCACTTATAAGTGAGAACATGCGGTATTTGGTTTTTTGTTCCTGTGTTATTTTGCTAAGGATAATGGCCTCTAGCTCCATCTATGTCCATGAAAAGAATATATTCTCATTCCTTTTTCATGGCTGCATAATATTCCATGGTGTATACGTACCAAATTTTCTTTATTCAGTCTATCATTGCAATTTTTAAAAGAAAACAATCAGTTACTCCATAAAGCAATGGCATATACCATAGTAGCATAACTACTACAACTTTTGCAGATGATAATTTTATGTCTTTTTGTTTTCCAAGAGAAAGGGGAAAAGGACAAACACCTTTTGACTGCCTTTTGCAGGCTAGACAGCTTTCACACAGCTTGCTAAATCCTTAGATAAACAGTGACATGATTGTTAATTAATACTTAAATTTTTATACCATACTTTATTTCAAATAATACTTAAAGCAAGACAAAAGTAGTCATATTCTAACTTTAGAGATGGGAGAAAGTGAAATTCTGAAATATTTAGGTATTTTTTGAGTTTATAGAACATAAAATGGCAAAAATTGAACTCAAACTAAAGTCTGACTCTGCAATCCATTCTCCTTCCCAGATTTTTGCAGAATTAAAATTAATTTTGTAGAGGGAAAATATATAGCATCTGTGTGTGTCTCTGAGAGTAAAGGCAGATAAGACGACTAGGAAATAAATAGACGAGATCATGGGTAATTGTTAGCCCTAACCACATTTCTCTGCATTTTACTTTCACAAGTATTGATATTTAGATTTGAGGTTGAAATTTTTCATGCTTTTTCTCAGCCTGAAGGTAATTTTTTTTCTGGAACATATAATTGAAAGCAATGCATGAACGGAAAATACTTTTTTTCCCCCATTTTAACTTCATTCTTTGGCTATTTTTATATTTGAATAACTTGAAAGGCCAAACTTTAGAGCTGAAATGTTCCATATGCCCAGTTTTACTTAGGAAGAGACTGTTGGCATATGCACAATGGAAAAGCTGAGTACTGTGGTTGACAAACAATTGAAAAAATAGCCTTTGAATATGAACAACATGAAATCTTGTGTTGTGATTCAGTGACTTGCATGTAGCTGTGGTTTGTCTCTAATATGTCTTTGTAAAATTAGATGCTTCCTTGTAGGATAATTAAATGTTCTTTATTTACCTTTTCTTTGGATATGTCTGCAAATTATTTCCAGTAGTTGATTTGTGATTTTAAACTTTCAACTAAGAAGAAAAGTTTTTATCTTAACTTTTCTTCTCAATTGCCATGTTCATCTCTTTTCAAGTGCTCCATTTCATATTCAGTTGTTTAAAAACTGAAAAATGCCCTTTTTGAAAAGATTTGATTGAAGTTTTATCATATTGAAAAATTGAAACCAACTGGAAAGTTGAAAGTTGTCCAACTAAGGGAGAAAGGTTTAGTATTCAGCCAATGAAACACTAGCGAAAATTTAAGAGTTGTATTAAGATTACTGTGTTATACAAAAAAATTACAATGTACGATTAAGTGGAAAAGTGGGAAACAAAATTATTTCAATTTTTATTGTGAAGTATATCAAACATCCAGAAAATAACCTATAAAGTATATTGAAAAATTCTTTCAAATCTAAACTCAGTGCTCCATTTTTGTAAGACACTTTAAACACAGAAACAAGGTTTCAAACATGGTTGAGGCCTTCATCACTGTCCTTTTTTTGTTTTCGATTTTTTTTTTTTTTTTTTTGAGACCGAGTTTCACTCTTGTTTCCCAGGCTAGGGTGCAGTGTGCAATCTCGGCTCACTGCAACCTCGGCTCCCTGCAACCTCTGCCTCCCAGGATCAAGCAATTCTCCTGCCTCAGCCTCACAAGCAGCTGGGATTACAGGCATGCACCACCATGCCTGGCTAATTTTTGTATTTAGTAGAGATGGAGTTTCACCATGTTGGTCTGGCTGGTCTTGAACTCCTGACCTCAGGTGATCTACCTGCCTTGGCCTCCCAAAGTGCTGTGATTACAGATGTGATCCACCACACCCGGCCACACCATCCTTTTTGAATCCATGTTATTCACTTATTCCTCAGTTAACCAGTAAGAGGACCTCATGTTTATCATTCTTATCCATGGTTTTATATTGATAAACATATTTTTATATATGTAAGCAGTGCATAGAAATTAGGTGGAACATTTTAAATTTTATGTAAATTTGATAAATTTATATATTCTGCAACTTGCTTTTTAATCCTCTTCCCAACATTATATTTTTTAGATTTACTCATGCCATACTTACAGATTCAATGTATTCATTTTTTTCTGTTATGTAATGTTGCATTAGATAACTATGCCACAATTTATTTATCTGTTCTCCTGTGGGTGGACATTTAGGTTGTTTCTATTTATTCACTAATATAAACAATGCGGATGAATCTCATTGAATGCCAGTTTCTTCAGGATTTGCACCTATAAGTGGGATTCCTGGATCATTGAGCAAGAGCATTTGCAACAATTAGATTGTTCAAGATGATTTCTGATATGATTTGGCTGTGCCCTTACCCAAATCTCATCTTGAATTGTAGCTCCCATAATTCCCATGTGTCATGGGAGGGACCTCGTGGGAGATAATTGAATCATGGGGTGGTTACCCCCATACTGTTCCCATGGTAGTGAATAAATCTCACAAGATCTGATGGTTTTATAAGAGGAAACCCCTTTTGCTTGGTTCTCATTCCCTCTTTGCCTGCCGCCATGTAAGACATGCCTTTCACCTTTTACCATGATTGTGAAGCCTCCCCAGCCACGAGGAACTGTGAGCCTATTAAACCTCTTTTTCTTTATTAATTACCCAGTCTCAGGTATGTCTTTATCAGCAGCATGAAAATGGACTAATACAGTTTCCAAAGCATTTGTATACATTTATGCATCCACCACCAGGAATTGGTGCTCCTGTTTTTCCAAATTCTCACCAACATAGTTTTGTCAGATATTTAAATTTTTCCCAAAAGATGAATAGGACATAATAGTCTATTGTTTTAACTGGAGTTTTCCTGATGTAATCTTTCATAACTGCTTTGGCTATGCTAGTTTCCTTTGCATCAGTTGCTTATTTTTGTTTTCCTATTGGGATGTTTTATTCTGATTGGGTCATACAAATTCTTTAGGTAATCAGAAAACTAATTTTTTTTTGGCTAAAATTCCCCAATTTTGTTCATTCTTCAAAACTGCAGTAACTATTCTTGGTAAGTAAGTTTTCTGTATAAATTTTAGAAGCACATTTTAAGTTTGACAGAAACCTTGTTCAGATCTTGATTGAGACTGCATGAAACTTACAGTGTAATTTGAGGAAAATGAACACTTTTCTCATATTTCCTCCAAACCATGAGCAAGTTATACATTTTCACTTATTTGGATTCTTTATGTCCTTCACAAATATTTTATACATTCCTCAACAGAGATCTTGCATGTTTCTTGTTAAGTCTATTTCTAGGTACCTTTTTTTTTTTTTAATTGTGAATGTGATCCTTTTGTTAGTGCAATTTTTTTTAAGTGTATTGCTTTATTTGGTAGGTTTGGGGAATACATCATGGTGAAAGAATAAATGAATTAAAGTACTACCGATACAGGGACCAATAACGTTAAAAGAGGCATACACAAAATGAGTAGCTGAAATCATTTTCATAAGAGGACTTGACTCATGGAAGAAAAATTTTAATTACAGTGGCAAAAAATTCTGTATAAAGTAGAAATTGGTTTCAGTAACAGTAAAGAATGTGTGCTAGAAAGTAGAGGCAATTGGATGTAAAATTCTGGCAGCAATTTTACAGAACAGTCTCAGATGGTTAGGCGGAGACCAACACCTAATTGGGACAAAATTGTGTGCGGGAAATTTTGGATGATACTTGGAGAAATATCATACTGCACATAAACTAAATTGAATTGTTTTCACAAGTGTTGCAAAGTTTTATATCATAAAACGTGTTTTTTTCTACACATACTTCAATTTCACAGCAAGAGTGATAGAGAACGTCTAAACACAGAAGAGAGCATTCATGCAAGATATCTAACTCCTTCATATAATAATGCATACAGTTCAAAATGATTGCACTATGATTATATCTAAGGCTTTCTGCAACAACAAGGTGATGGTTATAGAAAGCATGGTCCCTGGCATGAACATCTAGAAAGCAGCCACTCCCTTCTACATGTGTTCTCTTTTTGCATTTCTTCCTTCATTTTTCTTAATCAAGTCTCTGTTGTCATTGCTGCTTTGCAAAACCGGTAAAAACAAAATTGTAATCATTGAACACAGCATTCTGGCAATCAAGACATTTAAAACCTTCAGTCTGCTGGGGTGAAGAAAACATGGTGTGACATTTAGAGCTCTGATTAGCTAACAAGGTGGTCACAAATTTTCCTGTCTTGAAGACTTTCACAACTGTCCCGATTAGGTCATCATAGGAGGTATGACCTAAGTTTCTTTTAAAACTAAAGTAAGAAAATTCTGGTTCTGGAGTGATATGAATAGTCCAATAAGTTCTATCTTATTTCATTCCATTCATCAGATCCCCCAAGGATTGAACAGTGTGGCCTCAATGACAGGATCTGGTATCAAGTCATGAATTTCATTCTAGAGAGTGACGTCATCTACAGTAACACCATCTTTCATGCAGAACTGGTCCATAACTGCTGGGTCAAGCACACTCATCAGAATTTCCAGGGTTTAATCTGTCTGACTGATTACCCCACTCCCTGGGAAACCCAGTACATATAAGTACCAACATCACAACTCATACATCTCATACAATATGCTGCTCCATTTGGGAAAATTGCATTAAGAATCTCTATTTCTTCCTGGAAATTCTGGCGTGAGTATCCTTGGTGAAGAAGCTTCATGAAATTCTTATGCGAATAAAAGAAGCTTTAATTGAGTCAAACCCATTGTCATGTCTAGCAAGCTTCAATATGGGAACCAGTGCTTGCAGAAAGAGGGTAGTTCCACATGTCTGCAAAACGAGACATCTCTTGAAGACAAACATGCTACTCTCACTGCGTACATAAGCTTCCTATTTGTCAGTTTTTGTCAGGCTTAGGATTGAACATTGCACATTTATCAAATGTGTTCAGTTGATGCAAAAGTAATTACAGTTTTTGTCATTACTTTTCGTACTTTTAATACAACTTACATTACTTTTAATACGACTTACTCAGATCCTGAAGTAGTGCAAAGATTCCCAGATCCTTGGGAGCAGCAAACCTCCAGCAGCTTCTCGTCCCCTTTGAAAAAATGTCTACTGTCATCACCATGAGAAAAGTGAACAACCAACAACTACAGAAAATTGTTTAAATTAGACCTTTTCTCTCGCCACTGCCACCACTCCTGCAGATTGTTCCCGCTGTGTTACTAAATACAGGTTGCTTTTCTTTTAATGCTATAATTTTATATTAACTGCTTTAAAAAAAAACTGGCAGGTTATAGTGACTCATGATTGTAATCCAAACACTTTGGGAGGCAAAGTAGGGAGGATCACTTGAGGCCAGGAGTTTAAGACTAGCTTGGGCAACATGGCAAGACCCTGTCTCTATAAAACATTTTTTTAAATAAAAATTAGTCAGACATGGTGGCACATGCCTGTAGTCCTAGCCTCTCAGGAGGCTGAGACAGGAGGATCGCTTGAGCCCAATAGCTGGAGGCTGCAATGAGTTCTGATCAAGCTACCATACCTCCAGCCTGGGCAACTGAGCAAGACCCCATCTCTAAATATAAATATATGCACACAAATAAAATAGATAAAGACTAACAAAATTATCCCAGCTGTGCGTTTGTGTGAATGAAAGTTGAATGTGAGTCTGTTGGAAATAGAAGCAGGTATAGTTCAGTCTCTTATAGTCCATTGTATCCTCATTAGAGAGAGTAGAGTGAGTGCTACCTAATGTCACCAGCCATGCTGTGTAAGCCTGTAGTTTCTAATTGTACATTACTGTTGGACAGTGTGTGATTTACTTTCTATATAGATTCTGTATTCAGCAACCTTGCTAAACATTCTTATTTCTAGTGGCTCATAGGACATCCAAGAGAATCTATTTTCTTCCTCAAAATATGGTCCCTTGATTAGTGGCATCAGGATCATCCGAGAAACTGTTAGAAATGCAAATTACAGGCTCAACCTGGACCACGGAAACAGAAACTGCAGATGTGGTTACATTAAGAAACATGAGATGTGCAGATTATCCCGGCTTCTCTGGCTTCTCTCTCTCTCATTTTTTTTTGAGATGGAGTCTCACTCTGTCGCCCAGGCTGGAGTGCAGTGGAGCAATCTCTGCTCACTGCAACCGCCACCTCCCGGGTTCAAGTGATTCTCCTGCCTCAGCCTCCCAAGTAGCTGGGACTACAGGTGCCTGCCACCATGCCTGGCTAATTTTTGCGTTTTTGGTAGAGACAGTGTTTCACCATATTGGTCAGGCTGGTCTCAAACTCCTGACCTTTTGATCCACCCACCTCAGCCTCCCAAAGTGCTGGGATTACAGGCATGAGCCACCACAGCCGGCCCTGCTTTATCTTTTTAGGCTCAATCTAATCACATAAGGTTTTTAAATCAGAGAAGCTTTCCAGGCTGTGATTAAAGGATATGAATATAGAGAAATATAAGGAAAGATGCATGAGGTCATGGTTAGACAAGGAAGCAGATTCTCCACTAAAGCCTCTAGAAAGAGTCACAGTCCTGCTAATACTCAGATTTTAGTCCAGGACGTGGATGTCAGACTTCTATAAAACTGTAAGATAATAAATTTGTGTTGTTTTAAGCCACTTACTTGGCAGCAATTTGTCACAGCAGAAACAGAAAACCAATACAATTTATATCTAGTAAAATTCAGCCTTTTCGCCTGTTTTTAGAGAGTTTGACAAATGCATGCAGCTACATAATCACTACCACATTCAAGATACAGAAGATTTCCATCACTCTAAACTATCCCTTTATGGCACTTTGCAGTTAAACTTGTCCCCACTAGCTCCTGGCAATCCTTGACTTACTTTCTGTTACTAGTTTTGCATTTTCCAGAATGTCATATAAATGAAATCAAAGAGCATGTAGCCCCTTGTGAATGGCTTTTTTAAAAAAATTAGATAGAGTCTTGCTCCGATGCCCAGGTGATCATAGCTCACTGCAGCCATGAACTCCTGGGCTCAAGCAATCCTCCTGCCTCAGCCTTTTAAGTAACTGGAACCACAGGTGTTACCCACCGTGCCTGGCTAATATGTGTGTGTGTGTGTGTGTGTGTGTGTGTGTGTGTGTGTGTGTGTGTGTGGTGGGGGAGGGGGCAGGGGGACAGGGTCTTACTGTGTTGCCCAGCCAGGTCTTGAACTCCTGGACTTAAGCAATCTCCTAACCTGAGCCTCCCAGAGTGCTGGGATTATAGATGTGAGCCACCATCCCAACCTTCAATGTGAGCCACCATCCCAACCTTCAGTGGCTCTTTTTTCACCTGGCATCATCGTTTTGTTGCATGTTGTCAGTAGCTCCTGCCTTTTCATGGCTGGGCAGGATTCCATTGTAGTAATGCACCGCAGTATCTTATCTATTCAAAAAAAGACATTTGAGTGTTTCCAGCATTGAATACTGCCTGAAAAGGTACCAATGATATTGTGTTTTTCAGGTTTGGTGAAGCCAACAGATCAGGAGACAACTGCCATTGGGAAGGTACTTTGTTATTCACAGTTTCCAAGAGAAGGGGTCATACCATGGTAGGCAGGACCACACAGGGAAGCACCTGGGTCAGTCGGGAGGCAGAAGCAGAGAGGAGAGGGCAGAGGCACAGTCTTAATTGTGGTTTTTCACAGAAAGGAATGGGAAAGACAGGCCAAGAACCTGAGCAGGTTTAGGATTGAGTGAAGAATTTTAGCAGGCTCTGTGCTGCAGGGGTGGTCTCTCCTTCTCTTGGTATGTGGCTTCAGGTTGATTTAGGGCAGTGGAGTAGTATCCCAGGATGAATTGTTTGCCGTCTCTAGGGATTAGCTAACCCAGGAAGGGAAGGTCTCTCCCTGAGTCCATAAATTCCCAAGATAGCAAAGCATCATAGAATACAGAAAATTATAAAAACATGATTACTGTAAATATTATTAATAAAGTTGCTATAAACATTGCATATAGCTCTTTTGTGGGTGCATGCTTTTATTTCTCTTGAGTAAATATCATGCAACTGAGGAGTCGTATGGTGTGTGTTTAACTTATAAGGAGCTGCCACACCCTTTTTCAAAGTGGCTGTACCATACACATGGACATAGAGAGTGGAAAAGTAGACATCGGAGACTCTGAAAGGTGGGAAGAGGGGGAAGGTTGAAAAATTGCCTCTTCAGTACAATGTTCGTTATTTGGGTGATGGTTACACTAAAAGCCCAGATTTCACCACTATGCAATATGTCCATGTCACAAAAACATACTTGTACTCCCTAAATCTATAAAAGTAAAAAATTTTAAGAAAGGTCGAGTGTGGTGGCTCATGCCTGCAATCCTAGCACTTTGGGAGGCTGAGGCAGGTGGATCACGAGGTCAGGAGATCGAGACTATCCTGGCCAACATGGTGAAATCTTGTCTCTACTAAAAATACAAATAATACAAAAAAAATTAGCTGGATGTGGTAGCGCACGCCTGTAGTCCCAGCTACTTGGGAGGCTGAGGTGGGATAATCACTTGAACCCAGGAGGCGGAGGTTGCAGTGAGCCGAGATCACGTCACTGAGCTACAGCCTGGCAACAGAGAGAGATTCTGTCTCAAAAATAAAATAAAATAAAATAAAATAAAAATTTAAAATAAGACAAGGTAGCTATACCATTTTGTGTTATCACCAGCCATAACAGTTTTTCCTCATTCATGCTAACACTTGGTATTGCCTTTTTTTTTTCTTTCAGTCATTCAAGAACTGTATTGACTGTGGTCCCAGCTGCTCAGGAGGCTGAGGTGGGAGGATCTCTTGAGCCTGAGAGGTGGAGGTTGATGAGCCAAGATCATGCCACTGCACTCCAATCTAGGCAACAGAGAGAGACCCTGTCTCAAAAAAGAAAAAATTGATATATCATCGTAGTTTTAATTTGCAAGCATCTTTTCATGAGCTTATTTGTCATTTGCATATTTTTTCACTTAATTATCTCTTCAAATATTTTATGTATTTTTTATTTAGCTTGTTTGGTTATTATCAAATTATAAAGTACTTGATATAGTCTGGATACAATATCTTTATGAGATATACATTGCAAATATTTTTGTTTTTTACAATAATTAATAAATGCCAAGTTTTATTAAGTGCCTTTTTAATCCTTTTAAATTATGTGTTTTTTCTTTAATCTGTTGTTGTGGCTGATCATATAAAAATTTTCTAAATTTTGAACTACCTTAAATTCCTGGAATAAATGTCAATTGATAGTGACAGTTTAATACTTTGTTGCATTTATTCACTAATATGTTTTCTCAAATTTTACAATACTCATCAATAATCTATAATTATCTTTTTTCTGCCAGTCTTTGTGCATTCTTGATATCAATGTTATTCTAGTCAGATTATGCAAACTGGTTAATTTCTCCTTATCTTAATTTTCTGAAATAGATTTTATAAGAGTAGCTGCCTCTCACATAATCAAACACATCAGATCACAAGTCATCTCCCTTTATTATTATTATTTTTTAGCCCTGCAGAATGATCTCTGGGAATGCTCATTGTTTTTCTCCAGTCTGGATTGGGATTGGGTGCACGCTTGGCTTTCTGCACAGCTTTTGTTCAACAGCATCTTGGGAATTCTTTTCACTTTTTTCTGCATTGTGTACTTTGTTTGTAAGATCTACTCTCTCTCTCTCATTCTCTCTCTCTCTTTCTCTCTCTCTCTTTTTTTTTACTGTCATTTTGGTGGAACATGTCTTCCCAAAACCTGAAAAAATGGTCCATAGGGAATACAGTGCTCCTGAGAACTTACATGTCTGAGAATGTCTATCCTATACTTACACTTTTTATTATTTGACTGGAAATAGAATTCGAGATGATAAGCCATTTCCTATACATTTTATAGGTAATTTTCTATTCTCTTCTTCTTTTAGGGTAGTTATAGAGTAAGTTGATGCCATTCTGATCCCTTTCGTATGTGGCCTAAACCTGTCCCTCTACTCCTCTTCTTATCCCTACAAATTCCTGAAATGTCAGAATGATAATTTTAGTGTCTGTCAGTTTGTTAGGCAATGTGTGATATCTCATCACTCAATGAGACCTTAAGAATATTTGAACTGAAAAGCTAGGAGTCACCTCGTGGATTCCTTTCTATATATTGAGGCAAGAAAATCCACAAACACTAATGTGTTCACCAAGTGGAGAAATCCACCAGAAACAGGACATGAGTTAAATTAGACCCATTTGTCAAATAGACGGAATTCTGTTCACATTTACTCCATTTATCAAATGAGACAGCTCTTCCTTCTGTGTGATTTTCCTCCCCACTTTCATTTACTTCAGGCTGAAGAGAAAAGTCGATGGTTTGGGATGAATGCCGGGAAAAGAGAGTGCTCACCATAGATTTCTGTTGTAATATACCCACATATAGAATTTCTTTAAGCCAAGTGATTAAATGAAAAGTTAGAACCTATTGCTGACATATTGATATGACCTAAAGGACATACATATTTGTTTTAAGTTACTTCATAAATTAAAACAGATTCTGAAATCTTAGCATTATGTTAAATTGAAACTCATGGCAGTGTCCATGATTTGTTTTACCAATTAATCTTAAATAGGATAAGGTTGGCAAAACATGAAAAAAATGATCCAACAAAAGAAATACCTTAATACACAAGAAAATTATAAAGCATAATGCCAAACAAGCTAGAAATACAAGCTGTAGAATTACCTACCCAGAAGTACCCATGCTCGTTCCTTCACCCACAAGTCATATCCCGTCTCTCCTCTTCTCATCCTTTTCTCAACCTGCACTCCGTGTTCAGGGGTGCTGACCTAGTTGAACTTCAGGCTTCCTTTTTTTTTTTTTTTTTTGAGATGAAGTTTCACTTTTCTTGCCCAGGCTGGAGTGCAATGGCGCAATCTCGGCTCACTGCAACCTCTGCCTCCCGGGTTCAAGCGATTCTCCTGCGTCAGCCTCCCAAGTAGCTGAGATTACGGGCATCCACCACCACGCTCGGCTATTTTTTTTGTATTTTCAGTAGAGACGGGGTTTCTCCATGTCGGTCAGGCTGGTCTTGAACTCCTCACATCAGGTGATCCGCCTGCCTTGGCCTCCCAAAGTGCTGGGATTACAGGCCTGAGCCACAGGCTTCCTTCTTCTCCAGGTTCTGATTGGTAATGAAGTGGTGTCATTTGTCTGGGGTAAATACTTGAGGTTCCTCATCTCACACCAAGGAAACTGAGGATGTGGACACACAAGAAGAGAGTTTAAGAGTGGAGGTTTAATAGGTGAGAGAAAAGAGAAAAGGTCTCTCTCTTGCAGAGAGAGAGGGGGTCCCAAGTGGATCTTCTGGTTCCATGGTGAAATCCATGGGGTTTCATAGATAAGCTTGAGGAGGCAATGTCTGATTTACATATGGCACGTGAGATTGTTAGGACCAGGTGTGCCATTTGCATAGCATGCAAAGAAGCTGGACATTCTACCTTAATCTTTTATTATGCAGATGTGTCTCTACCTGGCCGGCACCACGTTGCCTGCTTTTTTTACTGCACATGTGGCGACAAAGAAAAGGGAAGAGGGAACCTCCATGTTGAATATACCTGGCTTAAATAGAGAGAGACTGTAAGCATTGAAGAGAACCGGGAGATTACTAGAGTTGTTGAACACAGAAAATAAGATCTTGGTGACTATAAGTCAAAAGGGAGAAGAAAAAGAATATAAAAGGTTAATATGAATAATTTTGTAGTTTTGGGTGCCGGTGCCAGTGCCAGAAGTTAGACTGTGCAGAGAGGGAAATGGCTTAGGAGGAAAAAGAAGTTAAAGGTATCTTTTGGATGCAGGTGGAAGAGTGGACGGCAGCTTTGGGGAAACCAGTGAGCTTGGATACAAATATGGGCATGCTTTTGCTTTGTGGGATTGAGGCCAATAGACTGGCTAAGATTTCAGAGAGAAATACTCTGTTGTGAGCTGCGTGAGAGCAAGGGATCTGGGCATGGAGCCTGTGAAGCAGAAGCAGTGAAGAAAAGAGAGACTAGAGGAGACAGCGCCCCATCTCTCTATGCTACTGAGATTTGGAAGGAGGGATTTCAAGAAAGACAGGGTTAGGGACAAAAGTATGAGGTAAGGGGAAAGAAAAGGTCAGCAGGGTTAAGAATGATGAACCTATTGGGTATTTTTGAGGCAGAAACCAGACTAAGAGGGTGAGGAAGGAATAGGGAAGGACATGGCAGAGAAAGGACATGTAAATTTAGAAATTTTGAGGGGATGATGATGTGAGGAGGAAGCAGCCTTTTGAAATGGGTAGGGAAGTCTACCTAAGATTTCTTTGAAATTTTTTCCCAAAGAATACAGGGAGTGACATTTTCATTTCATTTATTTTCTTTTTCTTTTCTTTTTTTTTTGAGACAGGGTCTTGCTCTGTCTTCCAGGCTGTAATGCAGTGGTACATCCACAGCTCACTGCAGCCTTAACCTCCTGGGATCAATTGATCCTCCCACCTCAGCCTCCCAAGTAGCTGGGACCACAGGCACGTGCCACCACATCAAGCTGACCTACGTTGGCCAGGCTGGTCTTGAACTCCCGGGCTCAAGCAATTCTCCCACCTTGGTTTCCCCTAAGTGCTAGGATTATAGGCATAAGCCACTGCACCTGGCTGGGAATGCCATTTTCAATCTCATTTCTGCTTTTGCATTTGCAATTTACCTCTGCTGTCCTTTGGTTGAGAGGTGGTCATTGGCAGCATTACACATTCCAGCATTCCACGACACAGATTTGTATTTATCTTTTTATTTTCATAACCATGTACAGCACATTTAAACTTTGCTTTATAGCATTACCTCAGCCATTCTGCAGATGATCCTCCCAAGACTTCAGTGTGTTCTCTTTTGATTTCTTTAATGGAGTGAACTGTTTACTCCATTCAGACATTCTTATTCCCCTTTCTTATGCCCCTTATGCCCCATTTCCAGTCTTCTGTACTTCCTTTTTTTTTTTTTTAATGAAACTCCTAAAGCAAGTCTTGGAATTTGATAGTCCATTCAAGTTTAAGGTTTTGAAATTTGGTTTTTCATATTACAAAATAGAAAACATCCACGGAATATCTATGATTAAAGGGAAAAGAAATAGTCCTAGTTCCCTGATTCAAAAAAGAGAAAGGAAAAAGCTCATTTCTTCCTAAGAAAGCTTTCAATCAAATTAGCAACACTGGATTTTTATTACACAGAAGCTGCCAAGATGACTTTATAGGACTGGATAATCAACTCTTAATTCCTTGCAGGAAAACCTTGAAAAGGTGAATGCAGATCCTAGTGTGGTGCCTCATCAGAAAACAGAAAGTGAAGAGCAAGTTGATGAGATACAGATAAAATAAACCCTGTGAGTAGACACATGTGACAGACCCAGCTGCAACAGTGGAAAGTGTGAAGTGTGTTATTTCAGTTAGCCTAAGGAAATAAAATGTGATTCTAAAATGGAAAAAAAAAAAAAAAGGAAGCTTGGAGATAATAGCAGCTGCTGAAATTAAAGAGTTGGCACCTTGCTTGCAAAAGGTATATAGGAAGAATAGACCCAGAGGGAAAATGTAAGAAAAGATCTAGAGGTGTGTGGATTTTTCATCTTTTTCCCATCATTGCATTTGAAGATCGATTATTCCTTGGAGGGCTCAGAATTCTTTGTATTCTTGCTGTGGTGATAACAATCTATATTGCACCTCGGCTTGTGCACTCCAAAGGACACAAGCACAGGAATTCTATTACGATAGTGCCTGCTTTGGAGATAGAGATAAAATGAAGAGGACAACTTGTACTGTTAATAGAGTAGATTACTAAATGTTAGTAGACATCCGATTACATTTTTGAGCCCAGAGATGCAATTTTTGAAGTTCAGTATTTTGATATTTGGTTGTAGGTAAATAAATGATGGTCACTGCTTTCTATCCTTCAAAAACATAGAAATGGTGCAAAAGCTTGAAGTCATGGCTTCTCTATAGAATTTGGATCCTTGCTCTCAAGCAATGTTGGAACTAATGGAGAATAAGAGAGTACATTGGAGTTCTGTGAAAGAGTATTTTCTAACATGCTTTTATTTAACTTCTTTACTTCTTAAAAAGTGTTTCCACCTGGCATTATGTACTCTAATTTTCTGACTCTGAATATTTCAACTTTCCAGGCATTCCCTCCTAAACAGTAACAGGAAATATTTTCCAGGGTATCTTATATTGTATTTGTATTTCTGCTTATTTTATTTATGTATTTATTTACTTATTTACTTTTTTTTTTTTGAGACAAGTTCTCACTCTGTCACCCAAGCTGGAGTGCAGTGGTGTGATCTTGGCTCACTGCAGCCCCAGCTTCCCAGAATCAAGTGATCCTCCCACTTCTCAGCCTCCCGAGTAGCTGGGACTACAGGTGTGTGCCACCATGCCCGGCTATTTTTTTTTTTTTTTTTTTTTTTGTAGAGATGGGATTTCATCATGTTGCCCAGGCTGGCCTTGGATTCCTGAACTCAAGCAATCCACCAGCCTGGGCCTCCCAAAGTCATGGGATTATAGGCATAAGACACCACCCCTGGCCTTTATATTATATTTCTTCTCAGAGCCTGGAACACTCAGATGTCTTCTCCCTTTGAACAGTAAAAGTCATGCCCATTGCAGCTAGCAATTTTATAACATAACTATTCAACTTTAAGAAAGATTCATTGAAATGATGATATAAGTGCTCCGATTAAATATATTCACAATAACTCTACATTTGATGGAAATCAATATTGCACCAGATCTGTCCTTCATAAAATCCAGGTGTAATGTCACTTTCTTTATAATACTTTAGCCAAAGCACATTGGCAGACACTTCTAAAGCGAACCCTTACAACTAAGGCAGCATTGTTGATAAAGAGTAGATTTCCTGGTGGTGGTGGCAGGAATGTGTAGAGGTGACCTGCAGAGTCAGCGTGTTCAGCTTCCAATGTGAATTACACAGTCTGAGAGGTTATGAAGAGGGAATCCAGTTTTGCCATGTACCTATTATGATGACATGTTATATCCCCTCTGTTTATATCAAGAAAAGCAAATTTGCCCAATATTCTTGATATCAACCATGGTAGAGATTATGGTTTGTTGCTAGTATCCACTTCTACCCTGACTTTTTCTTTGGAGAACGATGCTATCACCAATCTCAGTTCATTCAATTTGAGAATTATAGGAGGAGTCAAGATGGCCAAATAGGAACAGCTCCGGTCTACAGCTCCCAGTGTGAGCGACGCAGAAGACGGGTGATTTCTGCATTTCCAACTGAGGTGCCAGGTTCATTTCACTAGGGAGTGCCAGACAGTAGGTGCAGGACAGTGGCTGCAGCGCACCGTGCACGAGCCAAAGCAGCGAGAGGCATCGCCTCACCTGGGAAGAGCAATGGGTCAGGGAATTCCCTTTCCTAGTCAAAGAAAGGGGTGACAGATGGCACCTGGAAAATCAGGTCACTCCCACCCTAATACTGTGCTTTTCCAACAGCCTTAACAAACCGCACACCAGGAGATTATATCCCGCACGTGGCTCAGAGGGTCCTACGCCAACGGAGTCTCGCTCATTGCTAGCACAGCAGTCCGAGATCAAATTGCAAGGGGCAGTGAGGCTGGGGGAGGGGCGCCTGCCATCGCTGAGTTTGTTGTTTGATTAGGTAAACAAAGAAGCCGGGAAGCTCGAACTGGATGGAGCCCACCACAGCTCAAGGAGGCCTGCCTGCCTCTGTAGGCTCCACCTCTGTGGGCAGGGCACAGACAAACAAAAAGACAGTAGTAACCTCTGCAGACTTAAATGTCCCTCTCTGACAGCTTTCAACAGAGTACTGGATCTCCCAGCACGCAGCTTGAGATCTGAGAACGGACAGACTGCCTCCTCAAGTGGCTCCCTGACCCCCGAGTAGCCTAACTGGGAGGCACCCCCTAGTAGGGGCGGACTGACACCTCACATGACCAGGTACTCCTTTGAGACAAAACTTCCAGAGGAACGATCAGACAGCAGCATTTGCGGTTCACCAATATCCGCTGTTCTGCAGCCACCGCTGCTGATACCCAGGCAAACAGGGTCTGGAGTGGACCTCTAGCAAACTCCAACAGACCTGCGCTGAGGGTCCTGTCTGTTAGAAGGAAAACTAACAAACAGAAAGGACATCCACACCAAAAACCCATCTGTACGTCACCATCATCAAAGACCAAAGGTAGATAAAACCACAAAGATGGGGAAAAAACAGAGCAGAAAAATGGGAAACTCTAAAAATCAGAGCACCTCTCCTCCTTCTAAGGAACGCAGCTCCTCACCAGCAATGGAACAAAACTGGATGGAGAATGACTTTGACGAGTTGAGAGAAGAAGGCTTCAGAAGATCAAACTACTCCGAGCTACAGAAGGAAATTCAAACAAATGGCAAAGAAGTTAAAAGCTTTGAAAAAAATTAGACGAATGGATAACTAGAATAACCAATGCAGAGAAGTACTTAAAGGACCTGATGGAGCTGAAAACCAAGGCACAAGAGCTACGTGACGAATGCAGAAATCTCAGTAGCTGATGTGATCAACTGGAAGAAAGGGTATCAGTGATGGAAGACGAAAAGAATGAAATGAAGCAAGAAGAGAAGTTTAGAGAAAAAAGAATAAAAAGAAATGAACAAAGCCTCCAAGAAATATGGGACTATGGGGAGAGACCAAATCTACGTCTGATTTGTGTACCTGAAAGTGATGGGGAGAATGGAACCAAGTTGGAAAACACTCTGCAGGATATTATCCAGGAGAAATTGCCCAATCTAGCAAGGCAGGCCAACATTCAAATTCAGGAAATACAGAGAATGCCACAAAGATACTCCTCGAGAAGAGCAACTCCAAGACACATAATTGTCAGATTCACCAAAGTTGAAATGAAGGAAAAAATGTTAAGGGCAGCCAGAGAGAAAGGTCGGGTTACCCACAAAAGGAAGCCCATCAGACTAACAGCGGATCTCTCGGCAGAAACTCTACAAGACAGAAGAGAGTGGGGACCAATATTCAACATTCTTAAAGAAAAGAATTTTCAACCCAGAATCTCATATCCAGCCAAACTAAGCTTCATAAGTGAAGGAGAAATAAAATACTTTACAGACAAGCAAATGCTGAGAGATTTTGTCACCACCAGGCCTGCCTTAAAAGAGCTCCTGAAGGAAGTACTAAACATGGAAAGGAACAACCGGTACCAGCCACTGCAAAAACATGCCAAAATGTAAAGACCATCGAGGCTACAAAGAAACTGCATCAACTAATGAGCAAAATAACCAGCTAACATCATAATGACAGGATCAAATTCACACATAACAATATTAACTTTAAATGTAAATAGGCTAAATTCTCCAATTAAAAGACACAGACTGGCAAAATTGGACAAAGAGTCAAGACCCATCAGTGTGCTGTATTCAGGAAACCCATCTCACGTGCAGAGACACACATAGGCTCAAAATAAAGGGATGGAGGAAGATGTACCAAGCAAATGGAAAACAAAAAAAGGCAGAGGTTGCAATCTTAGTCTCTGATAAAACAGACTTTCAACCAACAAAGATCAAAAGAGACAAAGAAGGCCATTACATAATGGTAAAGGGATCAATTCAACAAGAAGAGCTAACTAACCTAAATATATATGCACCCAATACAGGAGCACCCAGATTCATAAAGCAAGTCCTTAGTGACCTACAAGGAGACTTAGACTCCCACACAATAATAATGGGAGAGTTTAACACACCACTGTCAACATTAGACAGAACAAGGAGACAGAAAGTTAACAAGGATACCCAGGAATTGAATTCAGCTCTGCACCAAGTGGACCTAATAGACATCTACAGAACTCTCCACCCCAAATCAACAGAATATACATTCTTTTCAGTACCACACCACACCTACTCCAAAATTGACCACATCATTGGAAGTAAAGCACTCCTCAGCAAACGTAAAAGAACAGAAATTATAACAAACTGTCTCTCAGACCACAGTGCCATCGAACTAGAACTCAGGATTAAGAAACTCACTCAAAAGCGCTCAACTACATGGAAACTGAACAACCTGCTCTTGAATGACTACTGGGTAAATAATGAAATGAAGGCAGAAAAAAAGATGTTCTTTGAAACCAATGAGAACGAAGACACAATGTACCAGAATCTCTGGGACACATTCAAAGCAGTGTGTAGAGGAAAATTTATAGCACTAAATGCCCACAAGAGAAAGCAGGAAAGATCTAAAATTGACACACTAACATCACAATTAAAAGAACTAGAAAAGCCAGAGCAAACACATTCATTCAAAATCTAGCAGAAAGCAAGAAATAACTAAGATCAGAGTAGAACTGAAGGAAATAGAGACACAAAAAACCCTTCAAAAAATCAATGAATCCAGGAGCTGGTTTTTTGAAAAGATCAACAAAATTGATAGACTGATAGCAAGACTAATAAAGAAGAAAAGAGAGAAGAATCAAATAGATGCAATAAAAAATGATAAAGGGGATATCACCACCGATCCCACAGAAATACAAACTACCATCAGAGAATACTACAAACACCTCTACAGAAATAAACTAGAAAATCTAGAAGAAATGGATAAATTCCTCGACACATACACCCTCCCAAGACTAAACCAGGAAGAAGTTGAATCTCTGAATACACCAATAACAGGCTCTGAAATTGAGGCAATAATCAATAGCTCACCAAGCAAAAAAAGTCCAGGACCAGATGGATTCACAGCCGAATTCTACCAGAGGTACAAAGAGGAGCTGGTACCATTCCTTCTGAAACTATTCCAATCAATAGAAAAAGAGGGAATCCTCCCTAACTCATTTTATAAGGCCAGCATCATCCTGATACCAAAGCCTGGCAGAGACACAACAAAAAAAGAGAATTTTAGACCAATATTCTTTATTACCATCGATGCAAAAATCCTCAATAAAATACTGTCAAACCGAATCCAGCTGCACATCAAAAACCTCATCCACCATGATCAAGTGGGCTTCATCCCTGGGATGCAAGGCTGGTTCAACATACACAAATCAATAAATGTAATCCAGCATATAAACAGAACCAAAGATAAAAACCACATGATTATCTCAATAGATGCAGAAAAGGCCTTTGACAAAATTCAACAACCCTTCATGCTAAAAACTCTCAATAAATTAGGTATTGATGGGGTGTATCTCAAAATAATAAGAGCTATCTATGACAAAGCCACAGCCAATATCATACTGAAGGGGCGAAAACTGGAAGCTTTCCTTTTGAAAATTGGCACAAGACAGGGATGCCCTCTCTCACCACTCCTATTCAACATAGTGTTAAAAGTTCTGGCCAGGGCAATCAGGCAGGACAAGGAAATAAAGGGTATTCAATTAGGAAAAGAGGAAGTCAAATTGCCCCTGTTTGCAGATGACATGATTGTATATCTAGAAAACCCCATCGTCTCAGCCCAAAATCTCCTCAAGCTGATAAGCAACTTCAGCAAAGTCTCAGGATACAAAATCAATGTACAAAAATCACAAGCATTCTTATACACCAACAACAGACAAACACAGAGCCAAATCATGAGTGAAGTCCCATTCACAATTGCTTCAAAGAGAAAAAAATACCTAGGAATCCAACTTACAAGGGATGGGAAGGACCTCTTCAAGGAGAACTACAAACCACTGCTCAATGAAATAAAAGGGGATACAAAGAAATGAAAGAACATTCCATGCTCATGGGTAGGAAGAATCAATATCGTGAAAATGGCCATACTGCCCAAGGTAATTTATAGATTCAATGCCATCCCCATCAAACTACCAATGACTTTCTTCACAAAATTGGAAAAAACTACTTTAAAGTTCATATGGAACCAAAAAAAGAGCCCGCATCGCCAAGTCAATCCTAAGCCAAAAGAACAAAGCTGGAGGCATCACGCTACCTGACTTCAAACTATACTACAATGGACATAATATAATATAAAAATAATATTTTATATTATATATAAGACATATGCTTTTAAAATTGTTTACTGAGCATCTACTATGTGCTGGGTGCATTGTTTTTGTACATGTTAATTCATATGAACACATTTAATTCTCACCAAAATAGTTACCACCAGGTAAGAACTATTACAGTCTTCATTTTATAGATAAGCCAATTATAAAATTTAAATAATTCACCTGAGGTCATACAACTAAAAGCAAAAGAGTAGTATTCAAATATGGATGTAAAGTCTACATTATTAATGCATTAATGTATTATGTATGAATAATTATTAATGCATTAGCTTCCTCTCTAACTGCCTGGATAATTCGGCCACCTCCTGTCATAGGCCATTGGCTCCATTCATGCTCCACCTGTATGCAAGGCTCCCTTTGTGTCAGGGGTCAACCCCCAGGCAGATCACTACTGCACAGTGTGGCATGCTGACTAATATAAGAAAGACCTTCTGTTCTCTTCATTCAAAGCGGCCTGTGGGTTTGGGCTCTTCCTCAGCATTTGTCAGAAAAATATGCAACTTCCTGTCATTGTTTCTTCTTTCAACAGAAATACATGGTTAAAAAACTTGTGTCTCATACTAGATTAGGGGGATGTTGCACACTGCTCTTATACCCATTTCCCTGCTCCCCTGCAGCCGGCCCAGTCATTCATATCCCTATTTTCATTTTGACCACATGCCTTTTCTGCATAGCACGTATCACAATGCTTACTTTTAAATATTTACCGATGTGTTTATTTTTCCAATGTTTATCTCCTCTATTTCTGCAAGGGCATGAAATATAACCTGTTTACCAGTGCTGGAACATCAGCAGGTTCTGGCTATGGTGGTTGATCCATAAACATCTGTCACATAAATAAATGAGCAAAGAAATAAATGATGAATGTCTTATCGGGATTCCTGTTTTAGGGAAAAGAAAGTCTAAAATAGAGGTGAAAGTGGCAATGCCCCCAAACTAAAGCAAATGTATTAGTCAGGATTCTGCAGCAAAATAAAGCCAATACAATATATATAGATTGAAAGAGAATTATTGTGAGGGGTCGGCTCACATGGTTATAGAGGCTGAGAACTCCCACGATCTGCTGTACGCAAACTGTAGGCTCAGAAAAAATAGTGGTGTCGTTTCAGTCTTAGTCTGAACACCTGAGAACAGGGGAGCCAATGGTAAAAATCACAATCCAAGTGCAAAAGCCTGAGAACCAGGAGTACCGGCATTGGAAGGCAGGAGAAGATGGATGTCCCAGCTAATGCTGCGAACACCTTCTCCCTTCCTCCACCTTTTTGTTCTATTCAGGCCTACCGTGGACTGGATGATGCTCACCCTCATTGGTGAGGGCAATTTTCTTTACTCGGTCTCCTGATTCTAATGGTCGTCTCTTCTGAAAATACTCTCCCATACACCCCCAGAGATAATGTTTTACCAGCTATCTGGGCACCCTTTAGCACAGTCAAGTTGACATATAAAATGAACCATCACAAGTCATTTGGGAAGACAAATAGGATACTGATATTATGTAACTAATGTGTAGTATATATGTTAATTTATTTACTACCAGGTGTTTCTAACTGTCAGCTGTATGTCTAATAGGAGGCACATTCAGTGACATTTCTTACTGAAGTTCAAATCAAGATGATTTGAGGTCCTGATATCTTGTCTGATACTACCCATGCTCGTGACCATTGATGGACAATGGTTCTTTTCCCAGGCTGGTGTGGAACTTGCTAAATTTAACAGTAGAAATATGTTGTGTATGTATAATTTGTGTGTGTGGTATCTACATGCAAGCACATGTATAATGGTGGTTGAAGGGAATCAAAAATAGGAATAATACTGATATTTACATCAAGATAACATGGACAATATGGATCTGTTTCATATCAATAGATGAGAAATTTAAAAACTGGATTGTGTACCTAGATATGTACACATTATAGATTGTCTTTTAAAAAGTACATTTTTCTTTGTGCTTCTGAGAGCACTCTGTTTTTTTTTTTTTTTTTTTTTTTAATCGACCCATCTGCTGTATTTGCCACACAGAAGAGAAAATGTTCTTGATTGGGTAGAATTTTACTAGTTAAAATCATTGTACTGAGTGGTTTTGAAAAATAACAGATCTAAAAACGGCTACTTTGTTTCTTACAAAAAGGTCCCTTTGGTCTGATTCTTGAATGTGGTGGTGCATGGATGGTGCAAAAGTGAGGCAAGATGCATATCGAAGGGCTGGATCTTATTCTGTCTCTCCACATGCTGGTACATGTGCTGTCAGCATGGCCGACCAAATAGAAACAAAGCAGACACTCACCATCAGTGTCTGAGAACTCTACAACATATTTCAGCATTAGGAGACAAACAGAGCAAAGCCACCAGTGGTATTTGTTAAATGTCAGCAATAAGAAAGAACAACAAAGACAGATTTCAGTGGGATTTGCAAAGTTCTGGATATAGCAGTAAGATGCAGTAGAAAGAGCTCTTTACTAGCAGGGAGAACATTTAGGTTTGGTTCTTATCTCCTCTATTTATTACTTTTGTAAAAATGTCAAATCTTAGAGGGGAAAAGATGGTGAGTAGGATTATATATTCATGTTAATTACCTAATGTTTCAGAACTTTGTCTATTATTGGGGATGACAATAGCTACTGTATATTGTTATCCCTATGATGCAAGGGTCAACTGAAGAATGATAAGGTTCATCAGTTTGAAAAGGAGACCTTTAGTTCTCATAGAGGGTTGCAGCCTGTAAGCTAGCCATCCTAAAGACTGAGAAGCGTGACCTCCAGCAAAAGTTGAGAGCAAGCACTTCAAGGGAGGAAAGAATAAGACAGGAATTTAAGTTGAATTTGTTAGCTAGCTATATACATATTCAATATGCTGTAGGAGGAGCATAAATATTTATGAAAGGAGAAACATGTACATGTGCAATTGAGTTTCATGCCTCTTTGTGGGTCCCATGTACGAAAAAAAATGGCAGTGCTGGCATAATCCAAAGGTGGGCTTTTCAGCCCTCTGACCTCAAAAGGTGAAGCAGAGGATACAAAAACTCGTGCTGTGTATCCTCTATAGACTGGACAGACTCTTATGAGGAAGGGATGCATTGTGAAACTGGCAAGCTGTCATGTCAAAACTGTGAAGAGGGTGGGGGCATCTGGTGATGGCATCAGTTGATTGGCTAAAGACAACAAAAGAATAAGTCATCTGTTTCTTGTTTTCCAGAGCTGGTTTCTGCTTACTCCTTAGGAAAGAATTCCGGTTAAAGGTTAATAAGAAATGGGCATTTTAAGATGTGTCTGACCTCCCATCCCATCATGGCCAGGAACTCCATTTTTAAGGTTTCTTTGGGGTCCCCTTGACCAAGAGGAAGTCCATTCAATCAGTTTAGTGACCTAATGTTTTATTTTTATTTCTTACAAGTTAAAACCCATGACAAACCATTTACAAAAGCAATTGATCCTAGGAAAAACTTTGGGTTTGGGATCTATGAATGCCCCAGGTGGAAGAGAGTAGGGGTGGGAGAAGTAATTTGCATGTTGAAGTTGACAGTCTCCTTGGTACGGGACTTGGAGCCTGCAAACCTGTGTTTGCATTTCTGGTTCCACTAATGTCTTAGTTCATTTTGGGCTGCTATAACAAAATACTACAGACTGCGTAATTTATAATGAACAGAAACGTGTTGGCTCACAGTTCTGGAGGCTGAAAAGTCCAGGAACGGGGGACCAGCATCTGGTGAGGGAGTTTTGTGCTAAGTCATCCCATAGCAGAAAGAAGGGCCTAACTCGTCTTCCCAGCAATCACCTTTTAAAGTCCCACCTCTCAATGCTGTTGCAATGGCAACTAAATTTAAACATCAATTTTGAAGGAGATAAAAATATTCAAATCATTCCAAAGGGCCTCTAGCTCTCTAAATCTCATGTCCTTCTCACATACAAAATAGATGAATTTCATCCCAATGGCCCCCAAAGCCTTAACTAGTTCCAGCATCAATTGAAAAGTCAAAAGTCTCACCTAAACATCATGGCACAATCCATTCTGAGGCACAGTGCTCTCCAGCCTCAAGCCTGTGAAATCAAACAAGCAATGTACTTCCAAAATACAACTGTGGGACAGGCATAGGATAGACATTCCCATTACCAAAAAAGGAGTAAAGAAAATTAAAAAACGAAGTAACTTGGCCCAAATAAGTGCAAAACCTGACAAGGCGAACAACATTAAATCTTAAGGCTCCAGAAAAATCTTCCTGGACTCAATGTCTCACCTTTGGGCATACTGGAGTAGGGCTGGGTCTCCCAAGGCCTCAGGCAGCCCCACCCCTATGGCTTTGTGGGGCTCAGCCCACACATCTGATTTTGCAGATTAGAGTCACATGCCTGAAGCTTTCCCAGGCTGGCATTGCACACTGGCAGTGTTACAGTTCTGAGATCTTGGGGGTGGCTCCACTCCTGTGGCTCCACCGGACACAGCTCTAGTGGGGACTCTCTGTGGCAGTTCTGACCCTGTGGCAGGTTTCTGCCTGGGCCTCTAGGCAAATACATCCTTTGAAATCTAGCTGAAGACCGTCATGGCCCCGCAGCTTGTGCACTCTGTACTTCTGCAGAGTTAGCACCACATGGATGCCACCAAGATTCACTACTTGTGCCTTCTGAAGTGGTGACCTGAGCAGCACCTGGGCCCACTTGAGCAATGACTGGAGCAGCCAAGGAGCACTGCACCAGAATGCAAGAAACAGACACTTGAAGTGGTATGAGGCTCCTCTCTGGAAAGCTTGCCCTCAGGCTCTTCTCTGGGTCTGTAATGAGAGAGGCAGCCTCAAAGATCTCTGAAATGCTGTTAGGGACATTCTTTCATTGTCTTAATGCATAGCAGTTGGCTTCCTTCTATCCATACTGATCTTATCAAAGGTCTACTTGGTTGTACCCTGGATATTCTCTCCTAAACAGACTTTTTTATTCTTTACATAGCCAGGCTGAGAATTTAAAAAAATATTTTTTATTCCTTACATGGCCAAATCTTTATGTTATGCATCCCTTTTAATTATAAATTTCATCTTTAAATTATTTCTCTCTGCTCACATTTTAAGATATGTGGTTAAAAGAAGCCACACAGCATCCTGGATGCTTTGCTGCTTTGATATTTCTTCCACTTGATATCTTAGCTCATTGTTCTTACGTTCTGCCTTACATAAAGTCCTAGGACACAGTTCAGCCAATTTATTTGTCACTTTATAACAAGGTTGACCTTTATTACAGTTCCCAATACCTGTCTCTTCCTTCTATCTGAGACCTCATTAGAATTGCCTTTTCTATCCCTATTTCCACCAAATTTTATTCATGTCCACTTAAGTAATCTCTAGGAAGTTTCAGACTTTCCCTGCAGATATTCTCTTCTGAACCTGCACCAGAATCATCTTAATGTTCCATTCAGGGCAACTGATGCTTTTTCCAGCCTTCAGTTCAATACTGTTGCAACCTGTACCTATTACCCACTTCCAAAGCTGCCTCCACAGTTTTAGATATTTTTATAGCGATGCCCCACTTCTCTGGTCCCAATTTTTTGTTTTTGTTTGTTTTTTGTGGTTACAGCAAAATATCACAGACTAGGTAATTTATAATGCACAGAAATGTATTGGCTTATAGTTCTGGAGACTGTGAAGTTCAAGATCAAAAAATCAGCATATGTCAAGGACCTTCTTGCTGTGTCATCCTATGGCAGAAAGCAGAAGGGCAAGAGAAAAAAGGGACCAAACTTGCTCTTTTTCTATGGTAGTAATCCCACTCATGGGGGCAGAGCCCTCGTGGTCCAGTCATCTCTTAAAGATCCCACCTCTCAACACTATTACAATGGTAACTAAATTTCAGCATGAATTTTGGAGGGGACATTCAAACCATAGCAACTAATTTCTAGCTAGGTGACCTTGGGCAAGAAACACAGACACTTTAAACCTCAGTCTCTAAAAAATAGGGGTAAACCACAGTATTTACTTCTTGAAATTGCTGTAAGGATTCAGAAATGGCTTTCCAATAGGCTGGGTGAGTGTCTGGTGTACAGACACACTCAGCACATGCTGAATGTGATTATTATAATTCCCCTCAGTGAGACACTGATAAAAATCAGTGGCATTACATGCACTTCATTAACTGGAAACTATTTTCTTTGATAGATTTTGGAATTTTCTCTTTTAATTTCTGAGCCTTTTAGAATTATGATTGAAATGTACACTGGAGATCCCTTTTAAACTTTTTTTTAAAAATCCTTTATTAAGAGTGAATTCAAGCTGGGCATTGTGGCTCATGCCTGTAATCCCAGCCATTCAGGAGGCTACAATGGGAGAATGCTTGAGGCCAAGAGTGTGAAACCAGCCTGGCCAACATAGTGAGACCCTGTCTCTAAAAGAAAATAAAATAAAGTAAAAAAATAAAGAAAAGTAATTTCAAGAAACTTTCTTCAGTGAATTTTCTAATGAGTGTTTTAAAGCATAGGTATCGCAGTGAAAGTTATTGTTGGGGGCAAGGGAGGAAGAAAGGAGAGCAGTAGGTTAGGAAAACTCTACGTCAAATTTTTTCTCAAGAATTTCTCAGAGACCTTATTTGTTTAACAAGTACTTATTTAGTCATTATGTTCCAGGCACTGTATGTTAATATACTAATTCTATGAAATAGAATATATTATTATCCTTATCTTACTGGTAAGAAAATGGAGAGGTTAAATTCATAGCCCAAGGTCTTACAGCTAAGAAAGAAGAGCCCTGATAATCTGGCCCCTGGTCTCTACTTTTAACCCTCATATGCTAATAGACAGCTTAAAGCCTGACCTTTGACTCAGCAATTTCATCTATTTACCTGACCACAGAATCCATTTTTTTTTGCAGAACATCCATGGGACTTTTAAAATTAAGTTTAACCTAAAAAAGTTTGCTTCCATAGTCTAAGTTTAGCCTAAAGATTTCCGCATACATAGTGAACTGTAACCTAACTGGATGTATAAACAGGCTCTAACCCACTCTTTTAACAAGTAGCTGAGTCTCAGCCAATCACAGGGGACCAGCTATTCAAACTGTGTTCAAAGAAGGCAAACACTGAGCTGTAACCAATCCAACTGTTTCTGTACCTCACTTCCGTACTTCACTTTCATTTTCTGTATATCATTTTCCATTTTCTGTTCATAAATATGATCTGACTATGTGGAAATCCCAGAATCACCCCGAACCTTTTCTGGTTGAGGGGGCTGCCTGATTCATGAATTATTCTTAGCTCAGTTAAACTCTGTTAAACTTAATTTGTCTTTAATTTTTCTTTTAACAGATGGCTTCAGAAATGGAATATGAAGTAGAGTTTCCAGTGGCCCCTGATGCACCTCGTGACCAAGTGAGATAACTGCCAGGCCCATTGTGCCCATTGCTTTCTTACAGCAACTAAGTTCCTTCTTGGATTCCAAAGCTCCATGAATTTGTATTTTGAGCTATCTGAATTTGTTTGAGAAAACTTTTGATTTAAACTGGGTTCAGAAGTTGTGACAGAAACTAGCCAGGGCCCAGGATCAGATTGGATCTGATAATTAGCTATACTGTATCCAGTTGCACACTGAGATGTCTGACAGGGTCAGATGGAAACTGACAGTAAATGGCAATACTGCAAAAGGTACAAACTCTAGATTTCAAAAATTTGCAGAAATGTTTGTGTTATATCCCCTTTGTTTCTTTCTCTTGTGTGCTTAGGAAGGGAAAAATTATTGGCTAAGTTGATCAAGGAGATTTGACAGCCAAAGCCAAGATTCGATGTAAGAATGGGATCCTTAATTTGTGAAAAATGGAGCACTGTACCTTTTGGCTACACCTACCTGTACTGGGCTCCACAAACACCAAATGCTTACAGAACTGGTAAAATCCTTCTAAAGATAATTTAAAAGTACAGCAAAACATTCCAAATGAACAACAGTGCACTTTAAAAAGTACTTTTATGGATAAGGGCTCCCAAATTAGTTTAACTCAGATACATCTATTGATATGCAGAAGTTTCTAAAAAAAATTACAATATTTTTGTTGCCACTCTTAAAAAGCTTTTTATGAAAGAAAAATAAAAAGCTGAAACAACTAATTGATAATAAAAATTAATTCTGTTAGTTTTTGTGTTAGTTACTATACCACTCTAGGGGCTAGAAGAATGCAAAATAAATGTTTATAAAATATAGACCCTCAGGCAAGGTAGGCTTGCTTATTTTTTCAGAGCTATCCATGCTGAGTCCATGCATAGAGGATGCTTTCTTTACCCTGTTGCTTAATGGGCTTTGCCTTAAACTCAGTAAGTTTTACCAAGAAACAGGAGTTAAGAACACTGCCTGTTGAACCCAACAGTCTCCACAATACCACTTTCTGGCATTTAGTTGGCTATTTTGAAATTCTTTCATAAAATAAATTTATATATAAAGAAAATCTCCTTTCATAAGGGTGTTTGCCTTTGTGCATCCTGAAAAGAAGGAGAACTGAGTCACTAGAAACTCTTAGTATTGTTTTAAATTTACATAACGAGTCTTACCTTTGTTTAACATGTGTTTTCTGACCATCTTTTCTTAACTGGGCTTTTATCTACACCCTCCTTTCTTAATTTGAGCAAAGAATGATACAATATTTAGGCCTGAAGTTTCAGCTCTGTGACTTTGAGATATAAATTTTCTACCTTGTTTCACCTAAGACTTATTTGATTAGAGGTGCAAATTTAGGGTTGCCCAGCTAACAATTGCTTAGGGCAATGAAACAGGAAATTCAAGAGTGATAGTGTAAATGGGGAAAAGAAAAACTATTTGAAAGCTGACAACTGAAAAATTATCATGAAAGCTGTAAGATTTTCTTCTGTCTGTATGTCTGTATGTTTATATGTGTTATATGTATGTGATATTTCTCTGATCTAAGATGATATTTGGTAAATAAAACTAGCTTTAAAATTGTTGGTAAAATAAAATAGCATATGTCTTCAAAATTTTTAATAGTAAATATAATGCAGACATTTTTGCCTGGATTTAGTGATTCAACAGGTTTATATTGTCTCTAATAGATGTTTTAAGGGTATAAAACTGCTCCTTCTGTAGTATTTTTTATGCTTGTCCTGTTTATGACCTTATGTCTTTGGTTTCGAGACTTTAGATTCTGAAGTCTAGGCAGATGACTATGGTGAGGCCTAGGGACATGTGTGGCCACAGCACCTGTGACATCAGCTGCAAGTCAGAGATAAGCCCAATATGGCCCTATCCTTCCTGGCCCAGCTTTGCCTTTTGGCCATTCTGGGAGAGTTTAGATCCTTCAGGCACTGTCTTCACAGTTCTATCTTCTATCCCGAGCTATATGTAAATTCAGGACCCAGATGACCTCTGCTTTTCATAGTCATCCTGGGTGCCACGTGGGTACTTGGTACCCACAACTGGGGAAGACATTAGGGAGGATACCTATATCGGAGTTTCAAATTTTTTTTAATAACTCAAAATATTAAGGTCATGCTATTTTAAATTAAGTAGTACATAATCATAAAATACTCTAAGTTAAAATATCAAAATATTAATTATTAAACATAGATGTAATTTTAAGTTTATATACTTCAGCATATTATTTTTATATGGTATAAAAAAACTTTGCTAAATGCATGAATTATGTATTATTTATAATACATACTATTTATTGTAAATATATTTATATGTTAAATATTTATTAATAAACAAATATTTACTAAATCTGTTACTTTAGAAATTGAGGAAATATTTCTTTCTTAAAAATTATGTAACGATTTTCATCTAAAAATATAAAAGATGTAGTTTTTGTTATACAAAAAGTTATTTGGTTTAGTTGAGAGGTTATTTAAAGATGTTTCCAAATGAAGAGATGATATAAATAAAACTAAATAGATAAAAATAGTTCAAAAAAGGACAAATAGAAAAAAATGTTGTAAGAGGTTATAAAAGGTTTATGGAAATCTTAACTTGTATGGTCAAAAGCTGGATGAGATTGGATGGATTTATTCATAAGGTTTTATTGGATTTAGTATTGACAATAAAAAGGTACAAAAGTAAAATTTGTTTTTCTCTTTTGAAGAAGAATTTTACATAGTATTAATAGAGACAGTAAAATATTATTCTTCACCCTTTATGTAGACTGCAGAGAGAGAGAAAATGAGTGGAGAGAAGGAGAGACAAATTATGTTTCATGCTGTCTTGATTGTTTGAAAAATTGAATCTCCTCTAGAAGAGTAAAGTTTTGTTTTTTTTTTAAACCCTTTTAATTATCACTTTGGCTAAATAAATGCTTGTTATTTTTACAGTAATCTGTGTTCCTGTTATGATTACTTTAAACCTTTGACATATTTGACAAGCTTCCAAAAATCAAACTTCAAATTGTAAAATTATGTCTTTTTGACCTCAAACTAACTTTGAGATATTACAAAGGATCCCTGAAGTGTCCAAAAGGGAGACACTAATTAGGCTTATTTGATACGATAAATTATATGGGAAGCATTGTCAAATAAGAAATTATTTTTAACATTGAGTTGTATCTTTTTGGATATGTTATTAATAAGTATTCCAAAATTGTATGAGATTTCAAAAATTCTGCTATATCTTGGTATATGTGATTAGTGATAATTACGGTTCTTACATTAAATTATTGTAGGCCACAAAATAACCAAATTTTTTTTCAATTGGGTCTTTAAACCTGACGATTTTAAGTCTCATTCACAGTTAATTGCTTAAATCTGATGCATTTTCTAACTTCTGATGTATTTACTAGATTTTTATAAGCAAATAAAATCCTAGAGTGTTATGTCTTCATGGATTTTCATGGAAAGGATGGAAAGAAACCAGACAAGCGCTCTTGAATACAGGTTTCAGATAACTTTAGAATCGTATTATTTGAGTAAATATTTCCAAATGGGTATTTCCATAACACTAATAAAGAGATTTACTTGTTTATAAAACTGCTAACCCAATCAAGACAAGAATTAATTGAATATCAAGGAAATACTTTGCCAGATTTTCATGCTAAATCAGCCAGTACTGAAATTGAGATATGTAATTTGAATAAACTCCATGGTCCAAGTCAAATTACCTAATGGGTTACCTAAGTAACCCATTAAGTAATGGGTTAACCCGTTAAATGGGTTTACCTAAGTTAACCCATTTAATACACAGTGCTATACACCTGAGTTGGAGGAATAAAATGAATATTTAAGAGGATAGACATCCAGGGTTAACTATTATATATAATATATAAGTATATTATATATAATGACTGTTCTAAATTTCGAAAGTGGCTTATGACCAATGTTTGGTTTGTCAAATCCATAATCTTGGGAAGACAATCAAAATTTCAGATATATCTCTGCTACCTGATGGCCCATTTGAACATTTATAAAGGGATTTCATTCAATTGACATTTTCAATGTATCTTTTCTAGTTGTGTAGAAGCTTTCCCATCTATGCAAGAAGGTGAATGCTATAACATTCCTCTAAAAGCCAAAAGGCATTTAGAAAATGTGTTTTTCCCTCGTGTGGTGTTCCTGGAGAGACCTCCAGCAACAGAAGCACTTGTTTCACTGGACAAGTTGTAAAGCATCTAAATAAGATGTTATAGTTACAATAGCATTTGATAAAGCTAACTGAATACAATCAGATCCACTTCCACTGGAAAACTAAGTTGGTCCCTTATGAAATAGTCACTTGAAGGCTTATGACACTAATAATAGAACCTCATGTATCTTCCACTCCTAAACTCTGATATGACTAAATGCTGCAATGCTTTAATGCATTATGTCGGAATATATTTTCACCAAGTAAAACAAGGTTTCCATGATCCAGTGACTGAGGACAATCAAACTTTTCATGTTCTAGAACCCATAAACTGAGCCTTCCGGAAATGACATCAAAAAAAGACTGTCCTTGCCACACACATTGCAAGGGTCCATAACCTTGCAACTCAAAAGGGGCCCTCCAGACTCTTAGAACTGTACAGCCATTTAAGACCTTAAGGTAAAGCTAACCAGGGAAGTTTCTTTCCAGAAGCAGATGGCATCCTAGACATGAACAGCTTTCCCAGAATCATGGATCAAGATTTCTCTGCCATCATAAGCCTTCTACCTCTCTTAATTTTTTCCCTTCCTATACCTCTGTGAACAATGAAACTGGAAAAAGTATTGTGTACACCTATGGAGTATAATTTTATTTGTGGAGGACTTTGCAGCCAATATTGTGTACACCTGTGGGGTATAATTTTATTTGTGGAGGACTTTGCAGCCAATATTGTATACACCTATTGGGTATAATTTTATTTGTGGAGGACTTTGCAGCCAATCTTATATATGAGCAACTTATGCTTTGATAGATGGAAGATGAAGATCCCATGGTGGGCTTGGAACTTTAATGGAATTTTTCTTGCTCCATAGACAAAAACAGAAAGTTGGTCCAGTCTTAACCTACATTATAGGTTAAAGATAACATCACCGGGGGCTTTCACAGTTCTGGATGATTATCATTTGCTAGGGCTCTTTTTCCATGACTTAGAGTAAATATCAATGAAGCAATGATTAGGAATCCCTCATAAAAGGCTCTATAAAATATTGTACTGCAAAAGCTATTATTGTACAACTTCTTTAAGTTCTTCAACTTCTTTAAAATATTCTACTGAAAAAGCTATTATTGTACAACTTCATTAAGTTATTTAGCTAAAGTTGTGCTAGATAATAGAATTGCTCTTGATTATCTACTGGCTGAACAAGGAAGAACCTGCAGCTGCTAAAACATTTCGTTGCACATGAATGAAAGCAGTGGATATTATAGACAATGAGTTGCAGGGGATTAACAAATAGGCTGTTTGATTAAAATGAGTAGACTCTTCATGTGACTTATCTTTTGATCTATTTGGTTTTATTTGGTTTGGTACATAGGTACCCTGGCTAAGGAACATGCTCCAAACTCTTGGTATTATCCCCCTGATAATCATAATAGTCTCCCTAGTGCAGTGTTTTTTCTCAGAAGTTTTAAATGTTTCTATGCAGCCATTCATAGAATATCAAATGGCCTCTGTTTGACTGGAACAACAAAAACTCAGAAATGAATGAACCACGAGAACACTGTAACTGACGTAGGATGTGCTAAGACTGAAAATGCAAAATGATGGTAACTGGACGTAATGTTAAAGCACTATGTTTTGGCCACATTCTAATCCAGGTGAGAACCTGACCAAGAGGTAGGAATTGTTAGACAAAATTACGAGAATCCATTGTTCTGGACTGAGCTCCAGCACTTAGCCCCAACAGACCAGACCAAACCAAATGGAGTAATTCATGCTAAATGCTGCATAGTCAAACTGAGAGCATAAAGAAGTAGATTGATCTCAACACAGACCAGTAGTTTTTCCCTGAAAACGGAAGATTCCAGCATAATAAGAAAGTTCCCTCTGCTCTAACCCTTACAAAAAAGTAATCTTAAGTAACCAGTTTTTAAAAAAATTATTCCGTTTCCTTTTTCTCACCTTACGAAACCCACTGTTCTGCTCTTTCCCAGGGGGACTTCAGACAAAACAAGTCCATTTATGGTGATGACAGGGCAGCATCAATACCTTAAGTTTTGGTTAACCTCTGAAGCTGAGCGGAATTGTTAATTTAACTTAAGTTCAGCTTAAAACTGCCTCCTTTCATATTTTAAGTGCAGCCTAAAGCTTTTTCCATACATAGTGAAGTACAACCAGTTAGGTTCTGATTATATAACTGCATAGGATTTATAAGCAGCCAGTAACGTTCTCCTGTACTAGTCACAAAGTTTCGGCCAATCACAGATGGCCAACTGGTCAAAATGTGTTCCATTAAGGCAAATGCTGAGCTGTAACCTATCCAGCTATTTCTGTACCTCACTTTTGTTTTCTGTACGTCACTTTCCTTTTTCTGTCCATAAATATTATCTGACCATGTGACAACCCAAGAGTCACTCTGAACCTATTCTAGTTCAGGGGGCTGGCCGATTCTCAAATTGTTCTTTGGTCAGTTAAACTCTGAAAACTTTAACTTGTCTATAGTTTTATTTTGTTTGTTTAACTGGTTTTCTTTTAACTAGACTCATTTTGTCCATAATTCACTAATTTCTTAACTTTGAAGGGGGAATAAAATTTACATTTGTTGAACAACTGCACCATGGAGGTGTGGTGTTTTTCTAGGTTTTTCTTCCATCTGTGATAGGTAGTACGTATACAAGCAAAGCTTTAACCTGAAAATGACTGTCTGTGGATTTGATTAATAAAGCCAACGACATGTTATAGCTATGCATCTAATTCCAGCTGCTGGATTTTCCTGTCTACAGGACACAGTCATTTATGTTATCCGCCAAAATGAATTGGACTAAGTTTTGGGATCATAAACAACAATGTCAAATGAGATCACAATTCATTTTCTGAAACAGCAAAACCAACCCTTGAGCTGAAGGTGTTTGCACTGATATACAGGTCTGCAGATTCTTTTTGTGAAATCCATCTCTCCAGCTCAGACCCCACCAGATCACCACAGGTCTCCTTTCTACTCAGCCTTCCCACTATTTGACAAAGCAAGGCTGATTTTTCTAGAAACCACCTTTATCTTTTTGGAGAGATCTTTGTGTCTGTTACTTGGGGAATTTTAATCCAAAGCATGACAGAATAAAATCGAATCACAGAAATAAGCACATTACAGTTACTAAATTCTTCAGAAAATTAAAGAAAAAGGCAACTACAGTTTAAATTTAACAGAATGTTCTTTTATAGCTGTCTTGGCAGCTATAAAATATGAAGGCATCTGAAGTACAGTGTTTGGTAGATTTAAGATAACCTAGGCTGAACACAGAGACACAGAAATGGGAAAATGATCAATGCCTCTCATCTTAGTGAATCCCCAAACATAAGTGGCTACAAAGTCATCATCCTTCTTGAAGCAAATAAATTATATTTTTAACTAATTTGTATTTTGAGTCTTATTCTTCATTTAAATGTGGTTACCAACGATAATGAACAAATAAATCTCCTAAACATTCATAAAGACATAGGGTAAATACTGCACATACTTTGCTATGTATCCTTTATTTATCTCTTTAAAACTAAAAATTCCAAGAGATTTCTGTTCTATGTTTATTTTTTTAAGTTAGCATATTTTAAACTGGTTGGATTAAAGTAGAATTTTTATCAACAACAGCTGGCGCTACCATATCAGCTTTTAAGGTATCCCTAAGAGAATAGCAACACACAAATGAACAAACCAACAACAGAAACAGCACACCCTGAAGATTTAAAACAATAAAACAAAACAAAAAGATTTAGTATTCTAGAGTGTTTACTTTTTTCAAAACTTTTCTTTTAAGTACTAGTTTCCAAACTCATATGTCAAAAATAAGAGGCAATTTTCTAGAAAGCTATATAACTATAGGAAAATGTTTTTATAAGAAAATGGTTATATAGAACCACAAAGGTTCATTATTTGACACTAAGCTTAGTGTTCAAACACTTAGTCAAAAGTGAGTTCATTCCTCCTTTTCTTTGGAAACTCAAGCCATGCACCAAGTAATTTTTTTTCTGTCTATAGCTTATTGGGAGACAGGTGACCATTTCACCAAGTTGTGAATCTATCTTTCTTTTCTTCTCACTGTACTGCCTCTTTGCTTCTCTCCTTTCCTTCCCCCCAGTTCATCAAAGAGTTTGCTCTGTGCTCATCAGCTCATTTCATGCATGTGACAGAGAAGAAAACTGAAGTTTGGAAGTAAAATACTTACCTTTCCAACTATTATCTTCCAGAAGCCTAAGCACTTAAGAGCATTTCGATGGTTTTCACAGTGAGATAAAAAGGACAGAACTCCTGATTCTAGATAGCCAAAGAATCATGGCCGGAAACACTAGGAGAGTTTTCTCCAATCTATAAAGAGATTCCTTTGGCTGGGTGGTGGGTAGGAGAATGGAAGATTCAGAGCTTGCCAGAGTCAGGAAGATCAGAGTCAATGGCCATATGCTACACCCAGGAAAAAGCTGGCCTCCCCAAGCATGCCAGTCTGGGGACTACAGGCCATCTGGCAACACCTAACTAGACCCAAGTATGTCAAGGGAAAAGACCTTGGGAGGAACATCACTGGGTGCCCAGGGTTATGAGGTAGCTGAGTCATAGTTTACAGGATGACCCCTTCCTCTGCTCTTAGCCATCACGTAAGCAGCCTTGACTATGACCTCTCTCTGGAGAACATACTAAATATCCTTCCTGTCAAAGGTAGTGAAAATATTTAAGTGAAGCAGTGTCGTCGTCTGGGGTAAATACCTGAGGTCTGTCGTCTCATGCCAGGGAAATGAAGGATGTGGACATACAAAAAGTGGGTTTAAGAGTGGAGGTTTAATAGGCAAAAGAAAGAGAAAAGTGAATAGCTCTCTCTCTTGAAGAGAGAGAGGGGCTCCCAAGTGGGGCTTCTGATTTCATAATGAAATGCATGGGGTTTTACAGAGGAGACTGAGGAGGTCGTATCTGATTTACACAGGGCCTGAGAAATTGGCCGGACCAGGTGTGACGTTTGCATAGCGCGCGTAGAAGCTGGCCATCCCACCCGAATCTTTTATTATGCAGATGGGTTCCCTACCTGTCCAGTGCCATGTTGTCTGTTCCTCACTGTACACATGGTTGACAGACAAAGAAAAGGAAAGATGGAGCCACCAGGTTGAACATGCCTGGCCCCCAGGTAGCCTTTTCCTGTTGGCACAGCTGCGGCATTTACCTATGAAAGCTTCTAGTTTGCTTACCTATGCTTGCAGCTTGATTTTTCAGACTGCTTTTTGTTAGAAAAGAAATGATTTTCAGGATGCTTTTTATTACAAGGAAACCTTATTGAGGACTTCCTTACCCTCACTATCTGCCTAAATATATATTTTTAACTCCTATGTCATTAACAGTGGACAGCACCTTGCCCAGTGAAAGCCAAGCAGTTTCTTCATTCATTCATTTTAATTAATTCAACAAATAATTACCGAATACCTACTAATGTCGGGCACTTTTGTAGGCACTGGGCATAGAACCTCTCCTTACAGCTCTTCTACTCTTTTGGGGAAACCACCAATAAACACATAAATAATATGAAGCATGCCAGGAAGCCATAAGTGAAATGAAGAAAAATAAGGATTGGAGACTGGAAAGGAAAAGGGGATGCTTCTAAATACCGGCTGTTCAGGGAAGGCAGCTGTGAGGAAATGACTTGTGACTTAATTGCAGGGAAGGATTGGTAGAGGAGAGGAGCCTGGAGAAGAGGAAGAGTGGTCCTGACAGAGGGGCAGCAAGTGCCGGGTAAAAACCTGAAGCCTGAGCATGGGTGGGCCTGTAAGTGGAACAGCAGGGAGGTCTGTATGCCTGGGGAGAAGGGGTCCATCCATAGGGGTTACAATAAGGGATTTGTATTTCATTCAATGTGCTTTAGGAAGCCATTGGAGAATGGAGAGGATAGAGATGACATTTAACAGACCACAGTGGACTGTGAGTCTCCAGGTCAAGACTGCTGTAGGCAGAGATCAGGAAAGAGGTGGAAGGACATCTTGGGCCCCACAGTGCTCAGATTGAGGAATGCTGAGCTGGGCCTGCTTGTTTTTGTTGTTGTGTTTTGTTTAAAGACAGAGTTTTGCTCTGTTGCCCAGGCTGGAGTGCAGTGGCACGATCTTGGCTCACTGCAGCCTCCATCTCCCAGGTTCAAGCGATTTTCCTGCCTCAGCTTCCTGAGTAGCTGGGATTACAGGCATGCAACCACCATGCTCTGATAATTTTTGTATTTTTTGTAGAGATGGGGGTTTCGCCATGTTGGTCAGGCTGGTCTCGAACTCCTGAGGTCAACTGCTCCTCCCGGCTCAGCCTCTCAAAGTGCTGGGATTACAGGTGTGAGCCACAGCGCCTGGCCTGGACATGCTTCCTGAAGGCACTTTGGTGCATGCTCTGTACCTGTTTTTTACAAAGTGAGATGTTTTTCAACTATATGTTACAAATTATGGCGAAGACTATAAGGTAAAGTGTTTAGAAAAATTCTGTTACTGATCATTTTAAAGTCTCTAGACTTGGGTAATCTCAAAATTTGGAAGTAAGGACTTCCAGTATGATTTTTCACACTGGAATAAATCTTCCAGGCCTATGGAAGAGATTAAAGACATAATTACTTCATTCTTCATTTACTTCCCCTGTTGCTTAAATCAATGGTGAAGTCAATAATCTCATTCTTTTTCAAGGCCATTGAATGGTGGTTAATTTCTGACACAGAAAATGATAGCAATGTGACTTATCTGACACTGGAGAAGCATTGATAGGATTACTGGAGCTCAGGGGCTAGTTTCCTTCCTTAACCCACAATAAAGAAGGCTCTCTGGATGAAAATGTACAGAAGAGTCTGTACCAAGTATAATGGAGAGTATAACATTAATTACTAGAAATTTTCAACAGATCTGGTTAATAATCCCAAAGGACTAAAAGCATTTTGATTAGTTAAGAATTATGATACATAATAGCTCCAGGTAGTATATGTGGAAATGAAGCTATAACTAAATGGGGCAAATGTATAAAAATTGGAAAGTTACTGAAACATATTTTGGGGGGTTGGGAGAGTTTGGAACGACTTCATTGACAGATTATCAGAAAATCCCTGCCGAGGGCGGTGGCTCAAGCCTGTAATCCCAGCATTTTTGGAGGCCAAGCCTAGTGGATTTCTTACGTCCAGAAGTTTGAAACCAGCCTGGACAACCTGGCAAAATCCCGTCTCTACTAAAGATACAAAAATTAGACATGCGTGGTGGTGTGTGCCTGTAGTCCCAGCTACTTGGGAGACTGTGATGGGAGGACTGCTTGAACCTGGCAGGTGGAAGTGGGAGTGAACTGTGATGGTGCCACTGCATTCCAGCCTGGGTGACAGAGTGAGACCCTGTCTTAAAAGAAAAAAAAAAAAGAAGGAAAGAAAAATCTCCATGACGTCCTGTAGGACAGTTTTTTGGATAGCTTTGGATCAGCCCAATTCTCCCCTCTTTTTACTTGTAATTCTCAAGAATACCTTTCCAATATGCTGGGAATGCAATATCCTGAGATAGGGAGGAGCTGGCTAGAAAAGTCCAGGCCCTCACCCAATCTCTTCTAGAAACAGGATGACCTTCAGTGCCTTAACCCAGCATATCATGTAACCCCTGAAGCATAAAAATCCAGGGCACGCTGATTTCTGGGGTCCCTCCACTGCAGTGCAAGTGGGACATGCACAGATGAGACTCCATCCACTGCAGGTAGCTTTCCTGAGCCTTACAGACCAGCTTGTCATGAAACCTCATCTTCTGTTGCCCCTTGCTGCCTATCTGTAAGTAATAAGTCTGGTTCATGTAACTTAGTATGGGTGTTCTATCTCACTGGACCCAGGCAAGCTGGTGATCTGTACACAGCGAACTAATTTTCATCCCCATTGTCACCCATTTGTGAGAAATATAAACGTAGTCTAACATTAAGTAATGATAACCAGAGTATTGGGAAAATCACCTTGAAGAGAACATACCAACTGAGTTTCAGAATTCTATCTTAAAAGGGAGAATTCTAAAGTGTTTTATGGGCATCACTATCTTGGTGCCTCAGCTCAAGACTTGTTGGCTGAGGGCACTTTTAGCACCCGGAGGTACTTGGAGTGTAGAAGGGAAGTGTGATATTGTGAAATGTATATTTGGTCTTCATCCCAGTCTCCTGGTATGCATATTCTAAAATACTTGGACTCTCTGTAGTGATAAGTGTCTTTTAGTATGCCAATGAGTTGATTGATGGCTAGCAGCCCCCTAGGTGGCTTCAATATGGGTCTGCTCACAGGAGAGACCAAGGCAGGATCAGAGGGTTGAGACATTCAGCCTCCCCAGCAACCTGCATGGAGGGGAGAGGAGCTGAAGGATCCGTTGATTACCAATGGCCAATGATTTCATCAATCATGCCTATGCAATGAAGCTTCAATAAAAACCCAAAAGGACTGGGTTCAGGGAGTTTCCAGAGAGCTGAGCATGTGGAGGTTCCCAAAGGGTGTCCCACCATGGGAGGGCATGGAAGCCCTGCACTCCTTCTCCCATACCTCATTCTACGCACCCTTCATCTGTATTCTTGTAATATTCTTTATAATAAACTGAACGCCGGTGTGTGTTTCCCTGAGTGCTGTTAGTTGCTCTAGCAAATTAATTGAACCTGAGGAGGTCATGGGGTCTCTGATTTATACTGGGTTGATCAGAAGCACAGGTAAAACCACCTGGAACTTGTGTGTATGGGTAGAGGCAGCCTTGTGGGATTGAGCCCTCAACTATGGGATCCACTGCCATCTCCAGGTAGGCAGAGTCAGAACTGAATTGGAGGATGCCCAGCTGGTGTCTGCTACAGAATTGATTGCTTGCTGTTGGTAGGAAGAAATCCCCACGCACTGAGACACAGCAGTCTTCTGGGTTGATTGTTGTGGTTAGAGAGCAGAGGAAAAACAATTTGTTTTTTTCATCACAGAGGCAGTGTAGAAATGCAAAGAATGACCACCCACAAATGAGACTGGGAGTTGGTGGTAACTACCTCAGCTTCTTTGCCCAACACTGGGGCAGCTCCAAGACGAGTCCCACACAGTTTCTCAGTGGATCCTCAGTGGAGTTGAGCTCATGGCAGTAACTGCATTTTATCACATATTTTCTTGGCTTGCTTTCTTTCCCTGCCTTATCTCCCTATTTTCTCATGGTATTTCCTAGGATTATCGCCCAAATAAACTTCTTGCTCTTAAACCCATGTCAAATTTGTCTTTCAGGGAACCCAAACTAGGACCATGTTATATCCCATGTCACAGCCAGAGATACCTCTTGATCAATAGGCAACAAGGTCAAAAACTTTCCAGAGCTTTTTAACCATAGGACCTGAGGTGTTGATGGAGGAGGTCAGTCCTCCATGGGCAATGAAGCTGGTGAGCCAGAAGAGAGAACAGATGCTTGGTTCTGTTGCTTCTCTTTTGACATGGGCTTCAGAATTCTATCCAGAGAAGCTGTTATTTGAATAAGTAACATGATACCTAGTTTGATAATGTGGGATTAAGGCAGAAACACCTTTCCTTTTTTTCTTACAGAGTTGTCAATGTATTTCTTGTGACAAACATCCCATTTTGACTGTTCTTTCAGTTTAGCTTGAAACAAGAAATGCAATATCAGGGACAGTTTGCACGTGGCAAGACACTTATTCTTTCAACATATTCGTTTTTGTTCCTGGCACTGTGCTAAGTTCTGTAGAAAGCAGTGAACAAAACAGATTCACACCCGGCCCTGATGGAGCTCAGAATCTGGTGGAAGGCAGATGTGAATGAATAATTGAAATTACATAAGGTGATTGTTTTGAGGGAGGAAATGAAAAACAATAGGAACAGCTGGAGGAGTATGTTTAATGTGTGCATCAGGGAAGTCTTCCCAGCTAGAGTTGAGATCTGAAGGTGACTAGGATTTATCCAATCCAAATAGGAAGTTAAAGCTGGGGGTGGGTGTGAATAGCAGATGTAAAAGATTTTAGGATTGGAAGGCTCCACACAGCCTGGAATCTATTATTAATCCATTCAGATTCCCCACCTCTAGCCTTGTTTCTCTCTGGACTTCAGCAAGGATGACCTTATTCTTGATGCTGGAATATGCAATACTTCAACCTGCCTCAGAGTCTTCCCACATTTGGGTTTTCTGTCTGGAAAATTCTTCCCCACACTCATCTTTTGAATCTTACCTCAAATGTCATTTTGTTGTTGTTGAAACCTTTCTGACTTCCAGACTAGGATGGAGTCTTCTGTTAAATGCTGCCTTAGAAACTTGTACTTTTCCTCCATAGCTCTTACCAGAGTTTTGTTCATATGTTTATGTATAGGGTGATGTGTTTAATCATGTGTTTAAAAGCTGCTCCTTATATTAGACTGTGGACTCCATTGGGGCAGAGGCTGGTTCAGGTTTGGTTGTCACTTTTTCCCCAGCATATACTTTAGTAATAAGCACATCATATACATGCAGGAAAGTGATGGGATTCAGGTTTCACAATTGGATGTACACATGTGTTAGGGAGGTGACCAGCATTTAAAAGTAAAGGGAAAGGGCCGACAAGGAATCCCACGTTACCCTTATGTGTATGGTGATGCTGCTGCTGACACAGGAGAACCTCTTACAGCACTTCTGACATTGGTTATAGAGCAGATCATGGGACTAATGAGGGGTCTACCTCCATCTCCTTAAGAGTGCTGCCATTTTATCAGGCAGAACTTTCAATAAATTAGCAATAGTGTTTTCAGGGGAAGTGAAATGGCACTGTGAGATTACAGCTAGAAAATGTTTAGTTGAGTTCAGCCATGGAGAGAGTCCTGGTCAGTGTATCCAGGAATCCTGACAACAAACACTCTAGAAATCATCTCCAATTAATGGCACTGATGGCAACCAATATGATTTGGCTCTGTGTCCCCACCCAAATCTCCTCTAGAATTGTAATCCCTAGGTGTTGAGAGAGGAACCTAGTGGGAGGTGATTAGATCATAGGGACACTTTCCCCCATGCTGTTCTCATGTTAGTGAGTGAGTTCTCTTGAGAGGTGATGACTTTAAAGTGTGGCGCTTTCTTGTTCTCTCTCTCCTCTCTCTCTCCTTATGTCATATGTCATGTAAGATGTCCTTTGCTTCCCCTTCACCTTCTGCCATGAGTGTAAGTTTCCTGAGGCCTCCGAGCCACGCTTCCTGTTAAGCCTATGGAACTGTGAGTCAATTAAAACTTTTTCCTTTATAAATTACCCAGTCATAGGCATTTCTTTATAAAAGTGTAAAAATGAATTAATACAGAAAATTAATACCAAGGTAGTGGAGCACTGTTATAAAGATAACCTTAAAATGTAGAAGCAACTTTGGAACTGAGTAACAGGCAGAGGTTGGAACAGTTTGGAGGGCTCAGAAGAAGACAGGAAGATGTGATAAAGTTTGGGACTTCCTAGAAACTTGTTGAATGGCCTTGACCAAAATGCCGGTAGAGATGTGAACAATGAAGCCTAGGCTGAGTGGCACTGTGTCCCAGCCATTCCAGCTCTAGCTGTGGCTAAAAGGGGCCAATGTACAGCTTGGGCCATTGCTTCAGAGGATGCAAGCCTCAAGCCTTGGTGGCTTCCGCGTGGTATTGGGCCTGCAGGTGTGCAGAAGACAAGAGTTGAGCTTTGGGAACCTCTGCCTAGATTTCAGAGGATGTATGAAAATGCCTGGATGTCCAGGCAGAAGTCTGCTATAGGGGCAGAGCCCTCACAGAGAACTTCTGCTAGGGAAGTGCAGAAAGGAAATGTGAGGTTGGACCCCCCCACACATTGTCCCCACTAGGGCACTGCCTAATGGAGTTGTGAGAAGAAGGCCACTGTCCTCCAGACCTCAGAAGAGATTCACTAACAGCTTGCACTGTGTGCCTGGAAAAGCCACAGGCACTCAATGCCAGACCATGAGATCAGCCATGGGGGCTGAACCCTGCAAAGCCACAGGGGCTGAGCTACCCAAGGCCTTGGGAAACCACCCCTGGCATCAGCATGGCCTGGATGTGAGACATGGAATCAAAGGAGATTATTTTGGAGCTTTAAGATTTTATGACTGCCCCACTGGATTTTGTACTTGCATTGGGGCTGTAGCCGCTTTGTTTTGGCCAATTTCTCTCATTTCTAATGGGAGCACTTATCCAATGTCTGTACCCCAATTGTATCCTGGAAATAAGTAACTTGTTTTTGATTTTATAGGCTTATAGGAAGAAGGGACTTGCCTTGTCTCAGATGAGACTTTGGACTTGGACTTTTGGATTAATGAGTTAAGATTTTGGGGGACTGTTGGGAAGGCATGATTGGTTTTAAAATGTGAAAAGGATGAGATTTGGGAGAGGCTGGGGTGGAATGGTTTGGCTCTGTGTCACCACCCAAATCTCATCTTGAATTATAATCCCCAGGTGTTGAGGGAGGGACCTGGTTGGAGGTGATTGGGCCATGGGGGATGATTTCCTCCATGCTGTTCTCATGATAGTAAATAAGTTCTCAAGAGAGCTGATTACTTTAAAGTGTGGCACTTCCTTGTTCACTCTCTCCTCTCTCTCATCTGCCACCATGAAAGATGTGCTTTGCTTCCCCTTCAACTTCTGCCATGAGTATAAGTTTCCTGAGGCCTCCTAGCCATGCTTCCTGTAAAGCCTGCAGAACTGTGAGTCAATTAAACCTCTTCCCTTTATAAATTACCCAGTCTCAGGCATTTTGTAATAGCAGTGTGATAATGGACAAATACAGCAACTGTACAAAACTGGACCAATTCTAGGGTTTGAACCTTTTAAAGCCAGATTTAGAAGTTTTACATCAAAGTGAATTTTCTCTGTACTAATTCAGAGTAAGTAAATATCTAGGTTTCTAATGGTGCTTCGTAAATAAATAATTATGTGATGAATGAAAAATTATAACAAGATCTATGCCCACCAGCATAGTCAGTGTGCCCATTTTCTCACACCTGCACCCAAAATGAACATTAGTCTTTTATTATTTACCAAATTGATAGGCATGTCCCCTGCCACGTTTAAGTCTGTTCATTTATAAATTTTTTAATGAGAGAGGGGATTAATTCTCTCATAAATACTGTTTCTTTCTTTTTTTAAAGACAGGGTCTCTCTATTTTGCACAGGCTGGCCTCAAATTCCTAGGCTCAAGTGATCCTCCCACCTGAGACTTCCAAGTAGCTGGGACTACAGGCATGCACCACCACACCTAGCTCAACCCTGTTTCTTGATAGCATCACATAGCCAGTTCTACCACCCTCTATCCATGCTCGCTGCTATTGTCAATCTAAATAATAAACAAAGAGAGGCTCTCTAAAAGAAAATGATGTTTATCTGGGAATAGAGCATTGCAATGGGAATACACATACCGTAGCAATCTATGTGCATAAGCTGTGTGTTTTGAAATAATGATCCTTGGCTACTAAGATTAATAACAAGGATGACGCCAGTCCCAAGGTTGGACAGGCAATTGCTGGGCAGATGTCCTTGCAGAAGTGAGTTTTGTGAAAGGCTGTGATGGCCTTGGCACGAGATTGTGGTTTTTGCAGTCTTTTGTGATTGTTTTTGTTATCAAGTACACAAGCCTGGGAACCCTTTCTTTCTGGCCTTCCCTAGCTCTATTTGACAGAATTTTCTTAACACTGGTGACTCCATTTTGATTCTGATAACTTTCCCACTGTTATCTACTGATTAGCTGTTAAGCTCCCAGTGCAAACCCACTGCCATCGCCAACACACTGAAGACTTTGGCACAAGATTCATTCATGTGCCTCTTTTCTCCTCAACACCACTATTGTCTTGTGACTTCAGGGCATGGTGACCCTTTCAGTGTGTGAGTCTCTTTGTCTTGACCTTCCCACCTTTAGTAAATGTCCACCTATTTCAACTTTGTCACAGCCCCACCCTGGGTCTTGTTATAACCTGAGATGCCTTCACCTTGAAAAGTTAACTTCATACATTCTTCTTCCTGACTGTGACACACTCTTCTAGTTCCATCATTTAGTCACTGTCACTGCATTTATTCTTGATCTTACAGACTATTCAGCTCCTTGATGTTCTTCTGCTTTCTTCTCATCAATACCCTGCTGTCTTTACTTTTTTTTCCATTCTAGCTCAGTTTACCTGTCACTTCAATTATGCTTGCCCATTTTGTTTTCTGTTCCATCTACCAGGGGGGAAAATAATCCCAACTCTGGGGCAGTCCAATTCTCTATCTTGTCAGTATCAATACTTTGGTTTGGTTTATTACTTCTGGGGGAAAAAATTCCTCAGTCATGCATACTGGGACCTCTCCACATCCTGGGACCCAGTGTCGCCTGACCCTGCCATGATATCTGACAGATATTGATTATTCCCTAAATCCTCTCCTGTTTTCACCACAGCTTCATCAACCTTGTCCTGGAAACCTCCCACTGAGCCACATTCCCTCTAAGGTTTAGAACATGCTGTCACCCTCAGCTTCTCAGAGGAAGTAGGGTCCATCCAATGAGGACTCCACAAGCCTCCTGCCACTGCCACAAAACCAACAAACTTATTTCTATACTTGTTCATATTTTCCTTAATTCTATCACATTTCCTTCTGCCTTCACTGGCTCGCTTATTTCTACTTTCCTGAAGTTTTAAACATTTACTCTCTCCTCACTCCATATTAATTACAATTTAAAAGCTAAAATGACCCTCATCCTAAAAAAAATAACGAAAAGAAACACATAAACAAAAATCCCTTCCTGGACTCCACATCTTCCTTCAGATACAATGGTATCTTTCACCTCCTTGATATCACCAAACTGTTTCCAGTCAGGTCTGCTCATTTCCTATGCATTCTTCAATTCACGAAATGCTGACTTCCACCATGGGCAAACCCACTAATGCTGCTGCTAAATCCAAAGATTACTTCTTAAATTCTCATTATTCTCATCGCAGTGGCTGCTTACCTTCTCCATTTTTTTTTTGTTCAACCTCGCTCAGGGCCCATTGTGCTCTCTGTTCCTCTGCCCATTCTTAACAATTGATGTTATAAGAGTTTTGCCTTGAATCCTCTTTTCTTCTTTCTCATGATGAGAAGAGCTCTCTTAATGAGCTTATCCGCTTCAAGATTTTACTATCGTTTATTTATAGCTGATGACTGCTGAATCAGTATCACCAATCTCAGTCTTAATCCTGAGCTTCAGACCTTGTGGTAGATTGCTAAAATGGCTACAATCCTTTACTTTTCCCTGTCTCCTTGTTTTTTGTAGCATGGCTTGGCTGCTCCTTCCATCAAATGGTAAAGTCTGCTTTTCCTCTCTTTGAATCTGCCTGGTTTTGTAACTTGCTTTGGCCCACAGGATGTGGCAGAAATGATGGTGTGTAATTTCCAAGCTAAATCTTTAAACCTTCTTGGTCTTAAATTCTTCCTGTTAAAACTCTGGGCCAGGCGCGGTGGCTCACGCCTGTAATCCCAGCACTTTGGGAGGCCGAGGCGGGCGGATCACGAGGTCAGGAGATCGAGACCATCCTGGCTAACACGGTGAAACCCCGTCTCTACTAAAAATACAAAAAATTAGCCGGGCGTGGTAGCGGGCGCCTGTAGTCCCAGCTACTCGGGAGGCTGAGGCAGGAGAATGGCGTGAACCCGGGAGGCGGAGCTTGCAGTGAGCCGAGATCGCGCCACTGCACTCCAGCCTGGGCGACAGAGGGAGACTCCGTCTCAAAAAAAAAAAAAAAAAAAAAACTCTGCCACTGCCATGAAAACAAGACTTGGCCAGCCTGCTGGAAGTTGGAAGAATGTGTAGAACAGCTGAGTACACAGCTGACTTCAGGCATGCAAACAAACCTAGCCTGGCTAGAGCAGAAAAACTGCCCAGCTGAGCCCAGACTTAATTGCTGACCTGAAGAATCATGAACAAATAAATGATTGCTTTAAGCCATCAAGTTTTGGAATGATTTGTTATGTAACAATAGCTAACTGCTACAGATTTCTAAATACTTGTAATGATAGCTAACTTTTATTGAGTGCATTCTATACGGCTGTCTCTGTTCTAAGCACTATGTCTATTTCAGATTTAATCCTCATACTGATATTATGAGGTATGCGTTATTAACATCAGCTCTCATCTTCTAAATGAGGAAACTGAGGCACAAAGAAGTAAGCAACTTCTGAAGTCATACAGCTTTAGTACTTGAATCCAAGCAATCTGTGCTCCTGAACACTGAACTAAGTTTCCTGTGTTCTATGCTGCCTGCTGAACATGACTGTCATAGGCATGCAACTAAAATGGAACTTTGATGATTTTTTCCTTATAAAAGCTTTTAGTGCTTTCCTAGTTTCCAGGCATAAAAAGAGTTTAATAATCTTATTTTTTTATTTATTTTTTGAGACAGACTCACTCTGTCACCCAGACTGGAGTCCCGTGGCACGATCTCAGCTCATGGCAACCTCCGCCTCCCGGTTCAAGCAATTCTGCTGCCTCAGCCTCCCAAGTACCTGGGATTACAGGTGTGTGCCACCACGCCTGGCTAATTTTTTTGTATCTTTAGTCGAGATGGAATTTTACCATGTTGGCCAGGCTGGTCTTGAACTCCTGACCTTGAGATCCGCCCGCCTTAGCCTCCCAAAGTGCTGGGATTACAGGAGTGAGCCAGCTCACCCAGCCGAGTTTAATAATCTTTACCTTAACTGTTATGTTAGCCCTATGCATAGCTCCATTCCTGTCATGCTGAACTACTTGCTATATCCAGCCCACTCTAGGGCTGCCACGATTCCATTTTTTGATCCTGCTGCTTTCTGCTTAGAATATTTTCTCTTTTACTTTGCTGATAACCATCAGGAAACAGTGAATGCCGTTTTGTTAACTGTATTGCATGTACGTGTGATGTGTTTGTCTTCTCCTCCAGACAGTGAGCTTGTCTGCAACAGAAACTACGTATGACTTAGGTTACAGTGCAATCTCCACAAGTGTCCTCCAACCACATCCCAAAGAACTAGCAGAGTGTCTTCACACAGTACGTCATCATGAAATGCATTAATGAATACATAAGAATGCTGAGCACATTAATTTTCATTCCTTAAGAACCTGTTTGAAAAATATGTGTTACAGAATGAAGGGGGAGAATATTGTGTTGAAAAGGCAAGCACTGTTCATCTTCAAAATACATTTTCCAAAAGCATTTTGCCTCACAGCAAACTAACTCCACTGCTGAAGAAATAAAAAAATACAGTTGGCCCTTGAACAACAAGGGCTTGAACTGTGTGGGTCCACTTGTACGTGGATTTTTTTCAATAAATATATTGGAACATTTCTTTAGAGATTTGTTACATTTGAAAGAAGCTGGCAGACAAGACACACAGTCTAGAAATATAGAAAAATTTAGGAAAAATGTAGGTATGTCAGAGTGGATTAAAATATATGTAGATACTAGTTTATGTGTTAACGAGCTGTTAATGTTATTGGCAAGGCTTCTGAACAACAGTAGGTTATTAGTAGTTAAGTTGTGGGAAATCAAAAGTTATTAGCAGATTATCAACTTTGAGGACGTCAGTGCCCTTGATCCCCAAGTTGTTCAGGCATCAACTTTATCTGGCAGTGCTAGGGGTTTCTATAGTGATCCTTAGTTTTATAGGTGAGGGGTTAGAATTATGAAATTAAGAGAAAATGAATTCTACAGGAAGAAATCAGTGCTTACTTCTATGTTTTGTTGTCATTCTTAGAATCCCCCTTTAGAAAAAAAAATCATGAACTCACAATTTGTATTATATTTCCACAGTAGGTCGTGAACACTTCTTTAGGAACATACGAGTTTTTAGGAGAGGCCATCAGATTTCCCTGTGTGTGTGTTGTGTGTTTCCTTCAGATCCCATATGTGTTAATATCAAATACAATATGATCAAAACAACCTTCTGAGCCTTTGCCTTCTCATCATACCTATAATACAGAATTAAAAATAACACATATAAATGATTAGCACAGTGCCTTTGCACATAGTACCTGTCTAATAAGTGGTAATTATTAGTTTTGTTGTAACTGTGAGAAAGAAAAAGCATTACCTTGTTTTCCTCAATTAATGTAGCATCATGAGGACTTTTACAGGTCATTAAATATACTTTTGAACCATGATTTTTCTGCGCTACACAATCCTCTTAGTATTAGGCTCATAATTTATTGAATAATTTTCCTTGTTCAAAATTGAATTTTTTTCTTAGTTGTTTGTTAGTACGAATAGCTTTGGAATGATTTTTTATGTAACAAATCTTTGTTAAACGTTTATGTAACAAATGTTTGTATAAGACTTTGTCCAGTTTCTGCTTATTTCTTCAGGGTAGACTCCTAGAAGAGGAACCGCTGAATGTCAGTGTGCAGACTTTGTATAGAGATTCCTTTTATATAAAGTTAACTTGCTTTCCAGAAAGTTCAACCCAGTTTTTTTCCTAATTGTGGTGTAAATTGGTACAACTGCTGCATGGCACCCTTGACAACATGAAGTGTCTGTTTTGTAAATGACTTCCTAATTTGGTGGTCAAGAGTACCTTATTGCCATTTTCAATATACCTATTTGGTTGTCAGTGAGTCTGAACATTTCTATATCCTTGAAACACTTTGCTCACTCAGATCCTAAACCCTCTACTCCACCACTTTTCCTTTCCTTCTACTGTTTCTTCCTCCTTGGCTCAACTTCTTCATGTTGGACTGCCCCAAAATGCACTCAATAGGCCACATACTTTTCTTTATCTACCTTCACTTCTTGGATGATCTCAATGGGTCCCATGGCTTTAGATACCATATTTATGTCAAACACTCCCAAATTTATATCTCCAGTCCAGACATCTCTTTTGAACTTCAGAGCCATAAATTTATTTTCTGCTCAACAAGTTTACTTAAATATCTTGTATTTTTAAAAAAGACATTTCAAACACCGAATGTTCTAAACTAAACTTCTAACTTTTCCTTACAAACTTGTTCATTTTGTGGTCTTGTTCATCTTCATTAGTGGCAACTGCCATCCAGACTCAGGCCTTCAACTCGGAGATCCTGTGGACTCCTCTTTCTCACACACCCCATATCTAACCTATCAGAAAACAGTGTTGGCTCTTCCTTCAAATAGAACCACCACCGGACCAATTCTCACCATCTTCATTACTTCATTGTAATACACGTAGTTTATTTATGTTTTTGTTTTACATCTTAACCAAGTTTTGAGGTCCTCGCTGGAGGCTGGTCTGTTCCCTTCTTGAGTAGCCAATTAAGTCTATGCTGAAACCACTTTCCTGCCTGGGCTCACACTCAAACCAGTATACATTCACCCTAATTGCCCCTGGGCCACTTGCCTGACAACTAGGAGCAGCCTCTATGTTGCAGAGCCCTCAACCATATTCAAACTGGCCCATCCACAGTGAGCCCAGAACCCTAGCTATTCTTACCTGACTTGGCACAGGTAAACTATCCCCTCCATTGTCAGCTTGCTGTTGCTTTCTCTGAGGTGCAGCCCCATGTGGCCCTGCCTGGCAGCCTCCTCTGCTTGTGAGCTGTAAGTGGCAGAGAGTTCTGCCTTCTGTCATGTTGTCATTGTGTTGTGTCTCCTACCATCAAGAACCTTTACATCTTATAAGATGGCAGTCCCCAACCTTTTTTGCACCAGGGACCAGTCTTGTGGAAGATAATTTTTCCACAGACCAGGGTGGAGGGATGGTTTTAGGATTATTCAAGCTCATTATTATGTACTTTCTTTCTATTATTATTGCATCATAATATATAATGATATAATTATACAACCCATCATGATGTAGAATTAGTGGGAGCCCTGAGTGTGTTTTCCTGCAACTAGATTGTCCCATCTGGGAGTGATGGGAGACAGTGGCAGATCATCAGGCATTAGATTCTCATAAAGAGCATGCAACCTAGATCCCTCACATGCCCATTTCATAATAGGGTTTCCTCTCCTATGAGAATCTAATGCCACTGCAGATCTGACAGGAGGTAGAGCTCAGATGGTAATGCGAGCGATGGGGAGTGGCTGTAAATACTGATAAAGCTTTGTTTGCTCACCTGCCACTCACCTCTTGCTGTGTGGCTCAGTTCCTAAGCCATGGACTGGTATGGTAGGTCCCTGTTATAGGACATTGGATGACATTAGCAGCCTCCTCCTACTTAGTCTCCTATTTCTTCCTTTGTCCTGCTCAGAAGCCAGAGTAATCCTTTTTGTTAGGAAGTCAGATCTTCTCCCTGGACTTCTCTGAACTCCCCACTGGTTTTCCATCTTTCTCAGGATCACACAGACGTTTTCTCTCTGATCTGTATAGAACTCTCCTTAACTCATTCCTCGCCGGCCACAGTGACATCCTAGCTGCTTCCTGAAAGTGCTGGAAGGTTTCCTCTGCATGGTCTTTCTACTTGCTGCTCCCTTTTTCTGAAATACTCTTAGGTCAGTGCTCAAATGTTCCCTTTCCTGATTACCCACTTAAAAAGAGAAATCCACTTCTCATTCCTGATCTTTCCCCTCTTTTGTTTTTCTACACAGCATTCATTTTCTAACTTACTATATGTATACATAGATATTACTTAGATAACTGATTGTCTGTAGCTCCTCACTAGAATATAAACTCTTGAGGGCAGGGATTTATGCTGGTTTTGTTTGTTTGTTTGTTTACTGTTTTTTTCCAAAGACAGCCTGGAGTAGTGGCCAAGAGTGAAGTCTCCAGGTTTTTATTTGGTCTCTGCTTCTTCCTTGCTGTGTGGCCATGGATCAGTAGCTCAACCACTAAGTAAATGTTTTTCTCTTCTGTAACATGGTGACAGTAAGAGCACCTGCCTCACAAGGATAATAAGAGAATTCAATAACTAATATCTGTAAAGTGCTTAGACCAGTGCCTGGCACAAAACAACACTATTTGTGACATAAATATATCACTCTACTTCCAACATGTGAAATGGTACTTGGATCTTGAAAGGTGATCAACAAACATGCATTGAATAAATGAATTTGTTTTGTTTTCTCTTCCCAGGTGAGTTTACTATCACATTACAAAGAGACATCTACTTGGAGTTGCTTCAGGAATGATGGGAGTATCTGGGCATATACCTTTTTTTTTTTTTGGAGACAGTGTCTTGCTTGTCACCCAGGCTGTAGTGCAGTGGTGCAATAACTGTTCACTTTAGTCTGTTAGTCTGGTATGTCTGGGCTCAAGTGATCCTCCTGCATCAGCCTCCTGAGTAGCTGGGGCTAAAGGCGAGCACCACCACAGTCAGCTAAATTCATAATTTTCTGTAGAGATAGGGCCTCACTGTGTTGCACAGGCTGGCCTCAAACTCCTGGCCTCAATTAATCCTCCCGCCTCAGTATCCCAAAGTGCTGGGGTTGCAGGTGTGACCCACCACACCTGGTGCAGGTGCATTCCTATTGTCATAAGCAAGAGCACATATCACAGAAGGAGAGGGGGATGGTAAAGATCCCTGACTCACAGGGTTGTGTGACACAGTAAGTAATAAATATTTGGTCTTTGTCCAGGTTCCTGACACAGAACTCCTAAATCCCTTGGAATTTCCCAAGCGATAGGAACATCTTTTGTTCTAAAGAAGTGATTCTTGTTGGGCCCCTAGGTAGCTTCAGGATGGGGGCTGATTAGAGGATTGCACTTTGAGCTCCACCTCATAACCTCCAGGAGGGGAGAGGGGCTAGCTAAGGAGTCAATCACCAATGACCAATGATTAATCAATCATGCCTCTGTAATGAGAACTCCATAAGAATCCCTGCTTCCAGGTGGGGAACACATGGAGGTGCTGGGAGGGTGGAGCACCCAGAGAGGGCATGGAAGCCCTGTGCCCTCCCCCATATCTTGCCCTATGCCTCTCTTCCATTTGGTTCTTCCTGAGTTACATCCTTTGCAATAAACTGGTGACAGTGAGTCAATGGTTTCGCTGAGATCTGTGAGCTGTTCTAGCAAATTAATGAGCCTGAAAAGTGTGTCGTGGGGTTCTGCAAATTTTACCTGGTTAGCCAGAAATGTGGTTGGCCCAAGACTTGCTTTTGGTATCTGAAATGGGGGGTGGTCCTTTGAAACTTAATTCTTCACCCCTGGGTCTGTGCTCACCCTGGGTAGTTAGTGGAGTTGAGTGGATGGTAGGAAACCCAGTGGTTTGGAAAACTGGAGAATTGGCTGGGGGTGGAAAAATCCACCACACATTTGGTGTCAGAAATAGTCTGTGGATAAACAAGTTCAGAGGCTAGAATCTGTGACTTAGGCTATCCATATAAAGTCCGCATATGCTTAAAACATTTTATACTTATGAATTCTCTCTTAAACTACTTTGAGATGTCAGAAAAATTTTCCTCATTTTGCTAACAGAGAAATTAGATACAGAAACATAAAAGTAGTTTTCAAAATAACACTCAGCAGCCTTATTTGATTTTTCTGTAAAACCATAAATAAATTAACAAATGAATTAAGAACATACAAGGCAGTTACCTCCTTAAATTCCATAACCCACTATCTGTTCTTAATACAGACTTGGGTTTTGGTATTTAATTTTTAATTTTTTAATCACTTGATGTTTGAAATTCCCTTCTTTTTGCTTTTTTATATTTTAGAATGGGGGATGAATAATACTGACATAAATGCTAGAAAGAAATGAGACTTGAGGGAGAATGAGTAAGAAGACTGTAGGGGAAATGGTCTTCCTCCTATGCAATTTCTAGTTTGAATTGCTTATTTTGCAATCTGTTCATCCAGTTAATTGTTCATCTCAGCTTTTTTGCCTTCAGTTTATCTCCTCAAGGAGTAAGACAGCATTCTTGCTGCCAAAAATCAATGCATCTTTCATTGGCAACAATAATCGTTGCATAGCTAACGGTTCTTGAATTTAATGGCAGAACACTAAGCTAAATATTTTGGACCATTTACTTGTCATAATAATTCTAGGAATCAGGTACTATTTTTGTCTTTACTTTATAGATGAAGTAGCCTGGGCTGTGAGAAGTCACACGCACAATGTCACAAAGCTTGTTTCTGTATTTTTTTTTTTTTTTTTAAGACAGAGTCTCGTCCTGCTACCCAGGCTGGAGTGCGGTGGTGTGATCTTGGCTCACTGCAAACTCCATCTCCTGGGTTCAAGCAATTCTCCTACTTCAGCCTCCTGAGTAGCTGGGATTACAGGTGTGTACCACCAAGCCTGGCTAATTTTTGTAATTTTAGTAGAGATGGGGTTTCATCATGTTGGCTAGGCTGGTCTCAAACACTTGACCTCAAGTGATCCGCCTGCCTCGGCCTCCCAAAGTACTGGGATTATAGGTGTGAGCCAAGACGCCTGGCCTTGTTTCCATAATTGTTACATGGGCAGATATCACATGATCTGATGTATTATTGGCAGAGAGAGAATTTTTCTGAAGAAACTGATATATGTATCCATGAATGCAGATGCACTTTGGCTGGCTTCTTATAATCCAGGGGTCTTGCTTTGATCCTTATGAGAGAGGCAGAGAGTAGTTTGCAGTGGACCTTTCTTCCAGTTTTAGAGGGCGCTAAGTGTTTTCCTGTCTCTGGATGGCAACTGCCAGGTTAGGTATTTGTTGTGGTTTTATGACAAGGAAATCAATCTGATTACAGCAGTCTATCTGAAGTAAATGAACTCTCATCTCAGTGCCTTAATAAAGCTTCACATCAGGTCATAAAGCAAAACAATAGAAAATCCGCATGGTACATATACATCATGGAATACTATGCAGCCATAAAAAGAAAGGAGATCATGTCCTTTGCAGGGACATGGATGGAGCTGGAAGCCATTATCCTCAGCAAACTAATGCAGGAACAGGAAACCAAACACCATGTTCTCACTTATAAGTGGGAGATGAACAATGAGAACACATAGACACAGAGAGGGGAACGACACACACTGGGGCCTGTTGAAGGAGGATGGGGGAGGGAGAGCATCAGGAAAAATAGCTAATGCGTGCTGGGCTTAATACCAAGGTGATGGGTTGATAGGTTCAGCAAACCACCATGGCACACGTTTACCTATGTAACAGACCTGCACACCCTGAACTTAAAATAAAATTAAAATTATAATTAAAATCCACATGGATTCCTTCCCCTTTCCAGGAACACACCCCTTCTGCTGGAGTTTATTGCCTCATATGTGACTGAGAAGTCTCCTGTGATCTCAACAACCTCATTTTAACTTTTCTCTCTAACAAGGCTGTTCCTTTCTTATTTACCCTATTGCTGTTTAACCTGCTGGGATCTGGCCTAGCTCAAATAACATACATTTCCTCAAGAAGATGACATTTAATTAAATTCCAAGTGACAACATTTTACAAAAAGGATGTTTCATTTATTTTTTTTTTGCAAGTCACTATTTCTCTTTTGTGCAATGAGCTCTTGCTTGTTCAGTGTCTCACTTCCAGGCATCCTGACGCAGATTTAAAACAGTCTAGAAAGAAACAACATGCAAGATTCTATGGCATTTAGAATAATTTATGCAGCCCATCCTCTAGGCTTACAGCCAAATTCCAGGAGGAGAATTTGCTTCACATTCTATCAAGACTCACGCCACAATGAATCCATTTGGAAAGAAAGCTAAATTGCAATTGTACAAAGAAATTCTGGGAAGAAAGCTGAACACGATTCTGCAACCCCCAAATGTTTGTAAAGTTTACCAAAAAAAAATGACAGGGGAATATTTGGTAGACGATCAAAGGCTTTAAGTAAAGTTTGCTGCAGACATTAGAATAATACACGTTAAAAAGGGGTCAATTAACATTTATCAAGAGATGCTGGCATTTCTAAAGTTTATTTACTTTGGGAGACCAAGTACTTCTGTGTGTCTTGAAAGTGATAGCAATTCACAGAAAATAACAGGTGCATTACCGGGTGGAGGCTAGTGTTTCTACCTGTCCTGAAGTTGCAAACTCTTATAGGATTCTCATTGGATTTTCTCTCTTTGACACATTTTAAAAATTTCCAAAATCTACAATTGCCCTATCTTTAGACTTGGAGAAATAGATGTGTAGATGACAGTTATTAACATACCCACTGCCTGGAGCAGGAAAATAGGCACCAGCTGAAGCAGTAGCTTCCTGTCCGCACCTCTAGCTTTTCTCAATTTCTGCATTCTCCTCCTCCTTCCTGTGTTTACTCTACGCTCTATGGTAGTGAAGTGCACATATGAAATCTGGTTCCCCATAAATGGGAGGCCTAACATATAACAAACTAGTTGGTTCCTGTTCTTCCACCAGCTCCTTACATCTCCAAGGCACAAACCAAGCTCCATTGCAGGGTGAATGGACTTGGACCCTGCAGGGCTATGATCTTTAAACACAGAGACAGGGTCATGGGAGCCAATCAGTTTCCTTTATGACTGACATCTTCATAGTTTCCCTGATGACTAAATCAGGTGTTTACCTGCCTCCTCAGAGAGCTCTGAAACACTTCAATATACTCTCAAGTTATCCAAAGGCAGTTTTGCATTCACCCTTTGAAATCTTCTAGCTGTAGACTGTGGACTGCCTAAAATCTTGGAGATTTTGTCTTTCGTTCCTGTCAATCCTGACATTCCGATTCCCTCTAAAGTCTAGTTCTCCCCTTAACAGACATTTGAGTGTCTCCGTGGTGGAGGCTTCACCATGCATCCGGTTCTCAACTCAATGGGAAGCTATTTGATCTTTTCAACTCCTTTCTTGACTGCAGGTTTTCTGAGCTTTGTAATAACCCTAGACACTCCTGAACAAGCATTTTTTAAGTCATTAATTCTGAGTACTAATTAATGGGTTAAGTGCTAATATAAAAAAAGGAAATAAATTTTTAGGCTATTTCAGGAACCACACCTTAAATTCAAACCCCTCCACCCAAATTCCAAGTGATTTAATTAATAAGATGTCTAGAATGACCAGAAGGAAATTGATGAGATATGTCATTTTCTTGTATTATCATCATCTGGAGGAAAGTTAATCTCCACCTGAGGCTGTGTTGGTTGTCTGGGTTGCCTTGGGTGTTTAAAATGAAAAAGGGGGGCAGGAGAATCACTTGAACCTGGGAGGTAGAGGTTGCAGTGAGTCAAGATTGTGCCATTGCACTCCAGCCTGGAAAACAAGAGCAAAACTCCATCTCAGAAAAAAAAAAAAAGGGTTTAGGAGGGTGGACCCAAGATGGCAAAATAGCAACAGCTCCGGTCTACAGCTCCCAGCGTGAGCGACGCAGAAGACGAGTGATTTCTGCATTTCCATCTGAGGTATCGGGTTCATCTCACTAGGGAGTGCCAGTGGGTGCAGGACAGTGGGTGCAGCGCACCATGCACGAGCCACAGCAGGGCGAGGCATTGCCTCACTCGTGAAGTGCAAGGGGTCAGGGAGTTCCCCTTCCTAGTAAAAGAAAGGGGTGACAGACAGCACCTGGAAAATCGGGTCACTCCCACCTTAATACTGTGCTTTTCCAACGGGCTTAAAAAATGGCACACCAGGAGATTATATCCCGCACCTGGCTCAGAGGGGTCCTACGCCCATGGAGTCTCACTGATTGCTAGCACAGCACTATGAGATCAAACTGCAAGGTGGCAGCGAGGCTGGGGGAGGGGCGCCTGCCATCGCCCTGACTTCATTAGGTAAACAAAGCAGCCGGGAAGCTTGAACTGGGTGGAGCCCACCACAGCTCAAGGAGGCCTGCCTGCCTCTGTAGGCTCCACCTCTGGGAGCAGGGCACAGACAAACAAAAAGACAGCAGTAACCACTGCAGACTTAAATGTCCCTGTCTGACAGCTTTGAAGAGAGTAGTGGTTCTCCCAGCACGCAGCTGGAGATCTAAGAATGGGCAGACTGCCTCCTCAAGTGGGTCCTTGACCCCTGAGCAGCCTAACTGGGAGGCACCCCCCAGTAGGGGCAGATTGACACCTCACATGGCTGGGTACTCCTCTGAGACAAAACTTCCAGAGGAACCATCAGGCAGCAGCATTTGCAGTTCACCAAGATCCGCTGTTCTACACCCACCACTGTTCTACAGCCACCGCTGCTGATACCCAGGTAAACATGGTCTGGAGTGGACCTCTAGCAAACTCCAACAGACCTGCAGCTGAGGATCCTGTCTCTTAGAAGGAAAACTAACAAACAGAAAGGACATCCACACCAAAAACCCTTCTGTACGTCACCATCATCAAAGACCAAAAGTAGATAAAGCCACAAAGATGGGGAAAAAACAGAGCAGAAAAACTGGAAACTCTAAAAAGCAGAGCACCTCACCTCCTCCAAAGGAATGCAGCTCCTCACCAGCAACGGAACAAAGCTGGATGGAGAATGTCTTTGACGAGCTGAGAAAAGGCTTCACATGATCAAACTACTCTGAGCTACAGGAGGAAATTCAAACCAATGGCAAAGAAGTTAAAAACTTTGAAAAAAAAATAGACGAATGGATAACTAGAATAACCAATGCAGAGAAGTCCTTAAAGGAGCTGATGGAGCTGAAAGCCAAGGCTCAAGAACTACGTGAAGAATGCAGAAGCCTCAGGAGCTGATGTAATCAACTGGAAGAAAGGGTATCAGTGATGGAAGAGGAAATGAATGAAATGAAGCGAGAAGGGAAGATTAGAGAAAAAAGAATAAAAAGAAATGAACAAAGCCTCCAAGAAATATGGGACTATGTGAAAAGACCAAATCTATGTCTGATTGGTGTATCTGAAAGTGACGGGGAGAATGGAACCAAGTTGGAAAACACTCTGCAGGATATTACCCAGGAGAACTTCCTCAATCTAGCAAGGCAGGCAAACATTCAGATTCAGGAAACACAGAGAACACCACAAAGATACTCCTCGAGAAGAGTAACACCAAGAAACATAATTGTCAGATTCACCAAAGTTAAAATGAAGGAAAAAATGTTAAGGGCAGCCAGAGAGAAAGGTCGGGTTACCCACAAAGGGAAGCCCATCAGACTAACAGCGGATCTCTCAGCAGAAACTCTACAAACCAGAAGAGAGTGGGGACCAATATTCAACATTCTTAAAAAAAAGAATTTTCAACCCAGAATCTCATATCCAGCCAAACTAAGCTTCATAAGTGAAGGAGAAATAAAATACTTTACAGACAAGCAAATGCTGACAGATTTTGTCACCACCAGGCCTGCCCTAAAAGAGCTCCTGAAGGAAGCACTAAACATGGAAAGGAACAACTGCTACCAGCCACTGCAAAAACATGCCAAAATGTAAAGACCATCGAGGCTAAGAAGAAGACTGCATCAACTAATGAGCAAGATAACCAGCTAACATCATAATGACAGGACACAAAACACACATAACAATATTAACTTTAAATGTAAATGGGCTAAATGCTCCAATTAAAAGACACAGACTGGCAAATTGGATAAAGAGTCAAGACCCATTAGTGTCCTATATTCAGGAAAATCATCTCACGTGCAGAGGCACACATAGGCTCAAAATAAAGGGATGGAGGAAGACCTACCAAGCAAATGGAAAACAAAAAAAGGCAAGGGTTGCAATCTTAGTCTCTGATAAAACAGACTTTAAACCAACAAAGATCAAAAGAGACAAAGAAGGCCACTACATAATGCTAAAGGGATCAATTCACCAAGAACAGCTAACTATCCTAAATATATATGGACCCAATACAGGAGAACCCAGATTCATAAAGCAAGTCCTGAGTGACCTACAAAGAGACTTAGACTCCCACACAATAATAATGGGAGACTTTAACACACCACTGTCAACATTAGACAGATCAATGAGACAGAAACTCAACAAGGATACCCAGAAATTGAACTCAGCTCTGCACCAAGCGGACCTAATAGACATCTACACAACTCTCCACCCCAAATCAACAGAATATACATTATTTTCAGTACCACACCACACCTATTTCAAAATTGACCACATAGTTGGAAGTAAAGCACTCCTCAGCAAACGTAAAAGAACAGAAATTATTACAAACTGTCTCTCAGACCACAGTGCAATCAAACTAGAACTCAGGACTAAGAAACTCACTCAAAAGCGCTCAACTACATGGAAACTGAACAACCTGCTCCTGAATGACTACTGGATACATAACAAAATGAAGGTAGAAATAAAGATGTTCTTTGAAACCAATGAGAACAAAGACACAACATACCAGAATCTCTGGGACACATTCAAAGCAGTGTGTAGAGGGAAATTTATAGCACTAAATGCCCACAAGAGAAAGCAGGAAAGATCTAAAATCGACACCGTAACATCACAATTAAAAGAACTAGAAAAGCAAGAGCAAACACATTCAAAAGCTAGCAGAAGGCAAGAAATAATTAAAATCAGACCAGAACTGAAGGAAATAGAGACACAAAAAACCCTTCAAAAAATTAATGAATCCAGGAACTGGTTTTTTGAAAAGATCAACAAAATCGATAGACTGCTAGCAAGACTAATGAAGAAAAGAGAGAAGTATCTAATAGGCGCAATAAAAAATGATAAAGGGGATATCACCACCGATCCCACAGAAATACAAACTACCATCAGAGAATACTACAAACACCTCTACGCAAATAAACTAGAAAATCTAGAAGAAAAGGATAAATTCTTCGACACATACACCCTCCCAAGACTAAACCAGGAAGAAGTTGAATCTCTGAATAGACCAATAACAGGGTCTGAAATTGTGCCAATAATCAATAGCTTACCAACCAAAACAAGTCTAGGATCAGATGGATTCATAGCCGAATTCTACCAGAGGTTCAACAAGGAGCTGGTACCATTCCTTCTGAAACTATTCCAATCAATAGAAAAAGAGGGAATCCTCCCTAACTTATTTTATGAGGCCAGCATCATCCTGATACCAAAGCCTGGCAGAGAAACAACCAAAAAAGAGAATTTTAGACCAATATTCTTGATGAACATTGACGCAAAAATCCTCAATAAAATACTGGCAAACCGAATCCAGCAGCACATCAAAAAGCTTATCCACCATGATCAAGTGGGCTTCATCCCTGGGATGCAAGGCTGGTTCAACATACGCAAATCGATAAATGTAATCCAGCATATAAACAGAACCAAAGACAAAAAACACATGATTATCTCAACTGATGCAGAAAAGGCCTCTGACAAAATTCAACAACCCTTCACGCTAAAAACCCTCAATAAATTAGGTACTGATGGGGTGTATCTCAAAATAATAAGAGCTATCTATGACAAACCCACAGCCAATATCATACTGAATGGGCAAAAACTGGAAGCATTCCCTTTGAAAATGGGCACAAGACAGGGATGCCCTCTCTCACCACTCCTATTCAACATAATGTTGGAAGTTCCAGCCAAGGAAATTAGGCAGGAGAAGGAAATAAAGGGTATTCAATTAGGAAAAGAGGAAGTCAAATTATCCCTGTTTGCAGATGACATGATTGTATATCTAGAAAACCCCATTGTCTCAGCCCAAAATCTCCTTAAGCTGATAAGCAACTTCAGCAAAGTCTCAGGATACAAAATCAATGTACAAAAATCACAAGCATTCTTATACACCAATAACAGACAAACAGAGAGCCAAATCATGAGTGAAATCCCATTCACAATTGCTTCAAAGGGAATAAAATACCTAGGAATCCAACTTACAAGGGATGTGAAGGACCTCTTCAAGGAGAACTACAAACCACTGCTCAATGAAATAAAAGAGGATACAAACAAATGGAAGAACATTCCATGCTCATGGGTAGGAAGAATCAACATCGAGGAAATGGCCATACTGCCCAAGGTAATTTATGGATTCAACGCCATCCCCATCAAGCTACCAATGACTTTCTTCCCAGAATTGGAACAAACTACTTTAAAGTTCATATGGAGCCAAAAAAGAGTCCGCATCGCCAAGTCAATCTTAAGCCAACAGAACAAAGCTGGAGGCATCATGCTACCTGACTTCAAGCTATACTACAAGGCTACAGTAACCAAAACAGCATGGTACTGGTACCAAAACAGAGATATAGATCAATGGAACAGAACAGAGCCCTCAGAAATAATGCCACATATCTACAACCATCTGATCTTTGACAAACCCAACAAAAACAAGCAATGGGGAAACGATTCCCTATTTAATAAATGGTGCTGGGAAAACTGGCTAGCAATATGTAGAAAGCTGAAAATCAATCCCTTCCTTACACCGTATACAAAAATTAATTCAAGATGGATTAAAGACTTACATGTTAGACCTAAAACCATAAAAACCCTAGAAGAAAACCTAGGCAATACCATTCAGGACATAGGCATGGGCAAGGACTTCATGTCTAAAACACCAAAAACAATGGCAACAAAAGCCAAAATTGACAAATGGGATCTAATTAAACTAAAGAGCTTCTGCACAGCAAAAGAAACTACCATCAGAGTGAACAGCCAACCTACAGAATGGGAGACAATTTTTGCAACCTACTCATCTGACAAAGGGCTAATATCCAGAATCTACAATGAACTCAAACAAATTTACAAGGAAAAAACAAACAACCCCATCACAAAGTGGGTGAAGGATATGAACAGACACTTCTCAAAAGAAGACATTTATGCAGCCAAAAAACACATGAAAAAATGCTCACCATCACTGGTCATCAGAGAAATGCAAATCAAAACCACAATGAGATACCATCTCACACCAGTTAGAATGGCGATCGTTAAAAAGTCAGGACACAACAGGTGCTGGAGAGGATGTGGAGAAATAGGAACAGTTTTACACTGTTGGTGGGACTGTAAACTAGTCCAACCATTGTGAAAGTCAATGTGGCGATTTCTCAGGGATCTAGAACTAGAAATACCATTTGACCCAGCCATCCCATTACTGGGTATATACCCAAAGGACTATAAATCATGCTGTTATAAAGACACATGCACAAGTATGTTTATTGCGGCACTATTCACAATAGCAAAGACTTGGAACCAACCTAAATGTCCAACAACGATAGACTGGATTAAGAAAATGTGGCACATATACACCATGGAATACTATACAGCCATAAAAAATGATGAGTTCATGTCCTTTGTAGGGACATGGATGAAACTGGAAACCATCATTCTCAGCAAACTATCGCAATGACAAAAAACCAAACACTGCATTTTCTCACTCATAGGTGGGAATTGAACAATGAGAACACATGGACACAGAAAGGGGAACATCACACTCCAGGGACTGTTGTGGGGTGAGGGGAGTGGGGAGGGATAGCATTAGGTATATCTCCTAATGCTAAATGACGAGTTAAATGGTGCAGCACACCAACATGGCACATGTATACATATGTAACAAACCTGCATATTTTGCACATGTACCCTAAAACTTAAAGTATAATAATAATACTAATAATAAAATGAAAAAGGGAGTTCTTGCATAAAGAGATATGTAAACCTGGGGAGGTCTGGCTGATTTCACATGAAAATCTGTCCAATTGTGTTGTGCCATGACTTTGGGGTAAAGGGAATATATATTTTGCTGGAAGGGGTGACTGCGAGGGGAGAAAGGCAGTGCATATGTGCTGATGGGCTTGGGTTTTTATTAATAGAGGACTGAAGACATGAAGAGGACGATCAGAGAACTAAGAAGGGATAGTCCTCAGGAAGCAGTAGTCAGATTTGAGCAGTTATGTCCAGAACGGCCTCCCAGCTTTCTCCTATGCAATTCATCTATTCCTGTGCTTATGAGGTGATCTTTCTGAAATATTTGGGGTTCTTCAAAGCTACCAAGTGCATCTGTGCTTAGAAGGTAAACTCTAAAGTCATGGAGGTCATCAAGGGTCTAACGCTCTGGCCTCAGTGACTCTCCAGCCTTCCTCTCCTTGCCTGCCTTTTGGATCCCTCTGACACAGCCAGTCCGTTAGCTCCTAGTCCACCTGCTCCCTGGTAAGCATGGGCTGTTGGCTGGGGAAGGCCTACTCACCCTTCAAGACCAAGTTCAAATACCACTTGCTTCATGAAAGCTCCTGGCCTTTTCCACACAGAATTAACTCTTCCCTCCTCTGCCATTACATTGCATTACGTAAAATTTATAGCCTGGGACCTACAGTCCTTGGTTTGCCATATTTATTTAAATGTTTGTCTCCCCGAATGCACTGAAGGCTAATCAGAAGCAAAGATTCTGGCTGAGCACGGTGGTTCATACCTGTAATCCCAGTACTCTGGGAGGCTGGGACGGGAGGATCTCTTGAGCTCAGGAGTCTGATATAGCCTGAGCAACATGGTAGAACACTGTCTCTCCAAAAAAAAAATTTCTTTTAGCTAGCCAGGTACATGCCTGTAGTTTCAGCTACTCAGGAGCCTGAGGAACACCTGAGCTTGGGAAGTTGAGGCTGCAGTGAGCCAGGATCCCACCACTGCACCCTAGCCTGGGCAGCAGTGCAAGACCCTGTCTCAAAAAAAAAAAAAAAAAGATATAAAATAAAAGGAAAGAAAGGAAGGAAGGAAGGAAAAGAAAATCAACAAAAAATTTTTTGTTTTTTGTTTGGTTTTGTTTTTTTGTAACCCTGGTGTCAAGAACACGGACACTTGGGCACATAGCACAGAGTAGTTATTTAATAAATGTTTAATAAAATAAACTGAAGGGGAAAAACTGCAAACTGCATATCAGAAGACTCTGATTCTAAAAATAGTGCTTTGGAAGAGAGAACCTGTGAGGAGAAGATCTGCTCTCTTTATTTATAAGAGATTGATCTATAGCTGATTTAAAAGCTGTGTGATTGTCATTAGCATATTTTCCTTTAACATATATCTGAACAAATGTCTATTGAATTATTTAAAGAAATGGTACACACTAAGTCATTTTTAAGAGCATTGGCCTAATGTTTTTCTATTGTTAGGGAAGATTGCATGATTCACATTAATAATTTTCCTTTTTTTGGCATCATAAAGACAATTCACACCATTTAAAATTGCACTTCTGAATTTACTCCACAATATCAAAGTTTAATCAGTACAGTCCAAAAGATCTATACAGAGGTATGATTCTTAAAAAATTATAATTGAGTTGTACAGAGCCAGTGCTCAGGGAATGCCACTGACAGGAATTCCCGACAGCTCCAGTCATTGTGTGTGCTTCTTGGGCATGGGTTCAGGTCTGTGCGTACTCGGTGTTGTTATAAAGGTAGTCCAAGAGTGGAGGATTGGGAAAAGGGGAAGGAATATTCAGAATTGGAGACATCTTGCTTTACACATTCCACATAAATTACCTGAGGCACACATCCAAAATATCCTGAGAATTAGATACAGCCATTTCCAGTTTGGAAGAAGGACAGAATAATAGAGAACCTTCTGGAACTTATTCAGAAAATCAAAGGAGTTCATAAAGCAAGATTAGTGACAGAGGCAAGAGCTGAACTGAAGTACCTTGACTTATTCCAGCACTAGGATTTAAAGCAGCAGCTAAAATCCCATCTGTCTGATCCAGGAGACTTGAACGCTTGGGCACTGTGGCTGGGAATAGGGGAAAAAGTCTCCATCCCATTGCCCACACACTGTGCAATCCTGAAATCTTTGTTTTCTACAGCTCCCTCTAGCTAGTATCAGTTTCCACATCGGGGTGGGTTTAGAAGCAAAATAACTTTCTATCTTGCCATCAGCCTTGTGCCTCTGAATTCTGCACACAGAATTTCTTCCACAATGGGTAGAACCTTTTGAACACTAATGGAAGAAAGGAAACAAAACGTATGTTGAAAGACAAGGTATTTAAGAAATTAAAACAAAATGCTCATTTACTGTTTTTAATATGTAGTCAAATATGACAGCAGTCTTACACAAATAGCTCCCTCCTCCCCCTTCTAAAATCCCAAATTTGTTGACTCCTACTGTAAGTGAAAAACATGGTTTGCTTCTGAAAATAGCAATCAACAGCAAAAACACAGGTAACATTTGGTCCCCACCAGCTTCCACACCTTTAAAGATAAATTGTGTCACTGAGGCAGTCAATACACTAAATTTCTTATCAAACTATTACTAGGGGAAAAAAATCAGATTTCCCACACACTGTAAGCAGAACCGAAAGAGCTGCAGAGAAACTTGGTTTAAGAAGCTGTGTGAAGAAAACATTAATGACTTATTGCAATTGTAATAATCCCCAGGTAAAAGATGGATGTCAAATTAATGGACTGTAAGGAAATACATTCAAACTTAGGTCATTAATATTACAGTGAACATAATCAGGAAGCTTGCAGAAGTATGTAGCATCTCTGAATTATTGAATTTGAACAAAGGTTTCCAATAGAGGTCACACTCTTTTTGCTCTCAGACACCATTAGTGCAGATTCAGATACAATCATTTTTACATTTGCAGGCTCAGGTACGTTCAACAGAAGGTCACCGAGAAGTATGGGCTGGTTATTTTAGCATGACAGAATGCAGGCTTGGAATTTCTCCTTGACATGGCAGAAGAAATAGGAATGATGCCCAGAGGACTGGAATAAATTCAAAATGCTTGGTTTTCCAAGTTCTATTTTAATAAACTTCGGAAAATTAACCTTTCCCTGAAAGACACGTCCTTGGTTTGGCACACAGGGCTTTCCAAAACAGTGAGAAACGAACTGGCCATGTGCTGCACTCACACACATAGTCATTCTTTTTGCTTGGGGTTGACTAGGTTCATAGGGCCAGATTTTCCTCAGTGTCCTCTTGTAGCAGTGCCGCAGTGAGCTTTGTGATTCTGACAAAGGGTGCCATTATATCCACTTTGAAATGCATTACAAATATTCTGCATGCTGGTGCAACTGGCATAAAATCTGGAAAGCCACCGCCCCCCCCCCCTCCCCCGCCGCAAGAAGTGCCCAATTTCTTCTCTTTTCACACTTCAACATTTCAAATGACTACACACAGAATTACCAGAAACAGTAGTAAATTCCTGGCATTCGAAGTTCCCATGATCCCAGCTGGCATATAAAAAAGACTCTCTCCTTTTTTTCCCCTGAAAATAATGTACTCTCCAGGCACTGTTGAAATGCTTCAAATCAGGCAAATGAGAGATTTGTTTTGACCAATCAATGAAAAGACTTCCCCCTCTTCTCCGTGAGGGCCCCAAGACTGGGTTACGCCATACACAAGATGTCTGTTTCTAAAGAGACTTCACTGATTTCCCTAAAATGATTTTAACATTTCTTTGCAAGTGAAGCTCTGATGTTGCCTAATGTTATTTTCAGAGTAGCCTGCTGCAGGATGCCTAATTTGAGTTTTTATTTCCCTGCTATAAATGTGACAATCTGAGTATGTTTTCATTCAAACCACCTTGAACATGGTGGCTGAGGCTTCACCACAAATGTCCAGAAAATAGCACTGGAGTCTGTCTGAGTCCTGAGATGGTCAAATCTCAGAGAAATCCAGCTCTGGGCCCGGAAAGGAAAGTGCCATCTCTTAACCTTTCCTCAGGAAAATTATTTTATTGATTTTTTTGCCTTATTTTCATGCCTTTTAAGTCAAAGGAAGATAAATGGAAAGTCTCTTTTTGGTCATTCACTAATTCTCTAGGGCAAGTCACATAATTCTCTAGGACAAAGGCCTCCATGATGTTAGGATGAATGCCATAGAAGAGGTATGGGGGGTGATGGCTGCATTTTAGACTAATCATAGGCATATCCTTTGCTTTCTCTATGTCAGGGGTCTCAGCATTGCTTGCAGAATATGTGCCCCAGTGTCTGGATGTCTGAATGACCTAAATTTGAGCTGGTCATCAATGAGTATTTATTAGCACATTGCTCTTAAGAAGTTAATAACTCGGCCAGGCACGGTGGCTCAGGCCTGTAATTCCAGCACTTTGGGAGGCGGAGGTGGGCGGATCACCTGAGGTCGGGAGCTGGGGACCAGCCTGACCAGCATGGAGAAACCCCGTCTCTACTAAAAATACAAAATTAGCCGGCTGTAGTGGCATATGCCTGTAATCCCAGCTACTTGGGCGGCTGAGGCAGGAGAATCGCTTGAACCTGGGAGGCGGAGGTTGCAGTGAGACGAGATCACGCCATTGCACTCCAGCCTGGGTAACAAGAGCAAAACCCCATCTCAAACAACAACTAAAAGAAGTTAATAACTCTGCCTAATAGCACATTTAGATTTTTATTTTTTTTTCCATGAATCATCTCCATTCACTCACTCTTAGGTTTATACTTTCCCCTAAAATTCCCCCATGAAACTTCTAAAATTAGTTTCATGCTATGTATTTGTTTGATAGGCACAGAAGGTTTACAGCTGCATGGTCAGTAAGCGATACTTTGGTCATGAATGTATATATACATATATATTTGCAATGCTGAGAAAAAGAGAGACTGCTGTTAAAAATCAAAATTCTCGTGGAATGAAGAGAAGCCACTGAGATTTTTTTCAACCAGAATGAAAATAAATAAAATATCACTATCTGCCAAATCAAAAGCTTTTATGTTATTCCATTATGAAAGACATTTATTGAGTAATTTGCAAATGTTAATAAGCCTTAGAAACTAGGAAAAGCTGAGTACTAGTTTATGACTTACATTTAATTTTTTTTCCAGCCTTTTATCCTGGGTTTAAAGTAACACAGAATCTTTCAGTGTCAACAGTGAGCTGGAAATTAACCTATAATAACAAGTTTTGAGCATTTTGCTCCTCCAGGCAAAATTTGGTCACTCATAATAAATATATTATGAAGAAGCCAATGATGATGTATTCCATAAACTTGTTATGAAAAACTGACTCCAGAAATTATGTGACTTTACTTGAATAATTACCATTTTACTTCTCTACAATAATCATTGTGAGAGCAGTGGGCATTGGATGGTTGAAAAGTTATTCCAGACAATAATTAGGCAGATGTATTACAATTTAAGTTGAGGCTAGATCAACTTAATCAAAACCTTAAGAAGTAATACCATGTTATGATATGACAATGGTAGAACAGGAAATTATAGACACATTTGAGGCTGGAGTTTTCTGATTTCCCTGATTGTCTTATGTCTGGGATGGTCTAATAAATGACATAACCACCACACACACCTAAAGTGCAAATGCTTTTTTGATACACTGGTGTTTCTGAATACCTCAAAACAGTGATATTAATAATTCAAAACCCAATAGAAATATTGGGTCGAGAAATCAAACTTCAACTGTTGCATCTGGTCAGTAAGACTGCAGTGAACTAGAAAGTATTCTTAGGTCAGGGAGAATTTTGAGTAACTTTTTTTCTCACAGATAAAATTAACAGGTCTACAGCACAGACATGCAGTGATATATTATGTTTCAGACACATTCTTCAGGCAAACAGTTTCTAGTTCCCATTTTAAGTAGAATAGAAAATTGGAGTTGAAAATTGATAGAGTATTGTTGATCCTATCTACTTGTAAAGTCTGGTTTAGGGATGTTATTGTATTATAATGATCGGTTACATGCCTGGACTCTCACTACTGTATATCACAAGTTACTAGCACAGTCACTTGGTTCCAGTAGGTGTTCAATAAATATTTCAGTGAACTGAACAGTTAAATAAATGAACAAATAGGGAGATGAATCAAAGTGCTCTGTAAAATGTAAAATGCTTCACAAACATAAGGTAATAGGAGTATATAAAAGGTAACACCACAGACCTCGCATTATCTGCCCAAAAAACCTTATAAGGACAAAAATGTTGTAATAGTTTGAAGAGCAAATAAAAATTGCAATTATATATGTGGTCAGAAAATCAGCTATATAGATCATTCATTTTCAAATATATTTGGGAAGAAATAAAACAAAGGCAGAAAAATTTTAAATGGCCAAAATAAATTGTATTGCTAACTTAGATGGCCACAGATGGGGGCAGGGGTGGAGAGAGGAGAAATTGAAAACACCACAAAGACCCCGCAATGGCTAGAACTTGAAATCTCTGGATATTGCAACAATAGCAGCCTCCTTAAGTCAGCAAAAAGATAAAGATTGATCCAATGTTCTATATTACAGAACAGAGCAGATTGTCAATATAGCAAATAAAGTTACCGTTGAGTGGACTGCGCTGTCTAAGCTGCTTGGTTGGCCTTAAGTGCCGACAATTAAGAGATGAAGGCAATGAGAACTGAAACAAACATTTAAGTTCAAGACCCAGTTTACTGACACTGGGACTATTACTATATCTCTTTGGGCCTCAGTTTACTTATCTGTAACATTAAGAGGTTGGATTACATGATGTCTCACGATTCTTTTTTTTTATTTAGAGATGGGGTTTTGCTCTGTTGCCCAGGCTGGAGTGCAGTGGCATGATCATAGCTCACAGCAGCCTCTAACTCATGGGCTCAAGCAACTCTTACACTTCAGCCTCCAAAGTAGCTGGGACTACAGGCATGAGAAACCACACTTGGCTAACACACACACACACACACACACACACACACACATAATTGCTATCATCTCTATCAAATATACATATATATTTGATATATATGTATATTTGTGTGTGTGTGTGTGTGTGTGTATATATATATATATATATGTATATTTGATAGAGATGGGTCTCACTATGTTGTCCAGGCTGGATCTGCCATGACTCTGGCATATGACGCTGATAACAAAAGTGGGGTTGGAGGTCGTGAAGTAAAAGCAGCAGTAACTTGGAAAATACCTAAAGAAATACAAACCAAAAGAACATTTCACAGGAGGAAGAAATTAGAACCAGATAATCTAGTTTTCAATTAGTCTTATTTAAATATTAATTTCCTATCATAAACGAAAGCATCTTGAAGCGATCTGTGGATCCTGGCAAAACCTTTCTCAAGTGGGCAATAGACACTAGGGACGTGATCAAATTTATACTCCCTCATGAAGATGTAACATAAGAATCTGTTGCGAAAAACTGATAAATGATACTAACCTTAGAATATGTATCTGGATATTAGCATAATTTAAAATAATTTTATTCCCTTTATATAGTCTGCATGTGCAAAGGTTTACATTAAGTTCCAAATAGTTTTATATTTTAATGCCATAGCTCCTTAGTGTTACAGTGATAAAATAAATATGAAATTATTTATGTTTGAGATAGTGCCTTCTAAATGGAAGCCTCCTTTTGCTGTTAAGTGTAAAATAGGAAATCATAAGAAACTAGAGAAGCTAAGTGGCTCTATGCAATAAAGAACTGAGCCAGTTGAAGGATGTTCATAGGCAATGTTGTGAAAGAGTGGATAAATACATGGGATGGATGTCATGTGGGACAAATACTAAAGGAAATATTCAGATGGGCAGAAAAGAAACTGAAGCAATTTTGCTTTGTGTTTTGAATGCATTCTCTTTTTCTCAAGATACGTGATGAACTGATTACCTTTGAACGCTTTTTGCACTGATGAACTATTCTTCCTTTGAATGCAAATTTGTGCTGGTACTCGACCAAAAGTCGTACTTTATATGGGTTACATTAACATAAGGTTTTTAAGAGTCTGCACATCTGTACATTTAATCAGGTTGCATAATAATCTTGCAAGAAAGACAGGACAAAAATTGTTTTTCTTTTCCAAAATTGCAAATTGAGACTCAAGGAGGTTGAAGTGATTTTCCCAAGATAACACAGTGGGGATTTAAAGCTGTGTCAGCTTGTATTTTTTTCATTACTCCATAGGGCCTCTCTAAAATCAAAAATGCTTGGATATGCCCAAGAGCTACCAAATCTTGTTTCTTTCCTCTTCTTCCCTTTTCTTCAAGGACAACGAATTCAAATGAAACACAGCATTGTCCATTAAAATTTTCTTCAACCACGGAAGTGTTTCTTGTTATCCAATATGGTAGCCACAAGCCAGGCGTGGCTATTGAGCCTTTGAAATGTGGCTGGTGTGACTGAAGAATTACATTTTTAATTTAATTTTAATTAATTTTAATTTCAAAAGCCACGTTGGCTAGTGGATATAATATTGGACAGCACAACTCTAGAAGCTACATATAAGAGATTGGCAAATGCCCTTGATACCTCAAACTAAAATAGTAATTGGGGGTCAATTGCACTTTTAGTTTTCTAGGTGTTAGTATATCTTGAAGTCCAAACCCTTCACACACAAGCCACCATTTATGGTCAGTGCCATCTCTTGGGCTTAAGCCATTTATGCCTGAGGTTGCAATTTTTTGAATTTTTGCAACCAGACCTTGGTGATGACCTTGAGCAGTAGGCTCTAAATAACTCCCATAAGCTTAGCGTTCCAATAATGGAACACTAGACATAAATGGGTCAAGATATTTTTCTTGAGTTTCAGTATCTTTACCTAGTCACTGATTATTATTTTTACAAATAATTAAGCTGAAATAACTAAATTCCTCTGTAGCACCATTTATCTGATTTATCCAGAAGTTTGCATCTCTTTGTTATCTTTTTTTGTTATTCTATTATGTTCATAGTATATTAAGTAATGTACAGTTGCACCTTCTCTAATACATAATTATGTAAAGTCCAAAGCATTGATGACCATTTTGAATTTTCAGAAACTGTATGTTTTCTCACATGGGAACAAGAACAAACCAGAAATATAAAATAGAATGAGAGTTTCATGAAAGAAAAGGATTTAGCCCACATTTCCCCTTACCACTAAAGAATTCACACACCACACACTTCTCACTACCTTTAACTCTTAGTTCTGTTAAGAAGTTTTCCCACACTCCAGTTTCAAGAAGTTTTCTCTATTATTTGTTGCTTTGGTTCACTGAAGAATTCAGTGTTTATGTTTTTTTACAGAATTATCAATTGTTTTGAATCAAAATAGAAAATTGATTCAAAATTGTTTTGAATCAATTGTTTTGAATCAAAATAGAACGCTGAAGGGTATAAGAATAACATTACTACTTGAGAATTAAGTAGTACTTAAGGGACACAAACTAAGAATACACATGCAAGATTTATATAACTGTCAAACAGTTGCTATTGGAAGCCACAGCTACCACAAAAGGTAGTGAAAGAAGCATCATTTTATCCTAAAAGGAAGTCGTCTATGTGTTCCTTATGCATTTGTAGAATACCAGTTGCACCAGTAATATTGGCATGTCATTTGGTTATTGCTGTCTCACCAAACCTGCTCCACAAGAATAAGTGGGGATACTTCACATAAACCATACATAGCTGCTGCAAAGAGATTGTCATCACAATCCTTCAATCACCTTGCTTTTCAAAATTTTTTTTAATAGTTAACTAAGTTAGGAAAAAGTTACCATCTTCATCAAATACTTAAAATTGTAAAGCAAAATATATGGAATAGAAAATGGCATTCGTTCACGTCAGACACTTGTGATGATAAAGTATGGTACTCTGTGAGTGGACTGATGACCAAGGCAGATGTGTACAGATGCTAAACTGTTGGGAAAATGCTGCTTATGAGACATCTCTGCTTCTTGAGACCTGAATCTGCAAATGTTGAGCACTGTACCTTACAAAAGCCAACAGTTTCTTGGCACAGAGTGTAAAAGTTTCATGGGTTAGAATGTTGGTGAAATTGTACACTCAGTACCTGAATTTAAACTTTAGGAGCTCAGTATGTATATTAACCACTTTCCTTCTCAAGGGATGCCATTCCTTTCTTCATTCATGAGGAATTTTCAAAATCAGGATTGTGATTCCAAGGCAATCGATATCTCCATTTAAGGAGCTTTCTGCATCCACTTTATTTAGCCAGAGAGGGAAGGGGTTGACATAAACGAAAAAGTGGATCAAATAGTCAAGAACATGATGGGCGCGGCAATGAACTGAACCACTTTTGCTAAGTGACAGAAAAATATTCTAATATTAAGGATTATTTTACAACTCTATGGAAGTAATGCAGTGATGCATCTTGCATCTGTTTTGCCTTGATGACAAAACGCACTCTTAGAGTCACAAGATCCTGCCTTGTGTTAGTTATAAACAAAAATATATTTATATATATATATTTATGTAACTACTATGTGCTTTAAAGAAAATTACTGTATGATTCAGCAGGGTTTTTTCATTCTTTCTATCGCCATGCTGACGTGAATGGCTTCTTAGACAGGAATCAGCAATGAAATGGGTGTTTAGTACTGAAAAGGCATAAAATTAAAAATAATCATATGTTTAAAATCCCTTAACATTTTTGTTTCAAAAATGATTAAGGAACTCTTCATACTGTTTCCTTTTGTTTCCATCAGCCCAGAGCAACTGTGGTTTCATGGGACTTAACAGTTGGGGATTGGAGGTAAGGCTTCCATAAAGCATAAATCAGATGTTTTCATGCTGAGGCAGGAAAACAGAAAGCCCCGTTTGCCACCCCCTCTTCCCAAATCCTTAGTTAATTGTTCGGAAATTTTGTCACAGCTCATAGAAAGGTCATTCATTACAAAGGAAGAGGCAGACATGGTTTGAACCTCCTGTACGGATAAAAAGATTCGTTCTGTAAAGTGATGAACTTGTTGGTACAGATGGATCTAGACCAGAAAAACAACATCCTTTTGCCACACATCTGTTTTGAAAATGTAGAAAATCTCTTATTTTGTGTTTGTTCTCACTCTTGCATGGGCTGTTTTTCTTAGCAATCTTGAGACATTCATCATTGCTCTTTTGAGTGAAAGGGTTCAGGCTTTGGAAAACAGTTATCTTTGAGACATCAGAGAACATTTGAACCAAAGGTGTCGATCCCTCATGAACTAAAGCTTTATTATGATTTTTTTTTTCTGATCCCTTTGCAACCCTGCACCTAAGCCAAAAGCATTATAATCTTGTCATACTTCAGATAAGTCCACGGGAGATGTTCCGAGTGAACTATAGATGACATTCCACTAGGGAATTCTATGTTCAGTGTAAATGGTATCTTGTATAAGTTTTAGTTTTTTGTTTACCCTTTGTTTCCTGGGCTGAGCTTGTCCAGAAATCTTGTCTTCTTCAGGCTACAGCAGCTTAGAGCTTGTTTGTGTGTGTGTTTGTTTGTTTGTCTTAAAGGTATAGGCAAAATTTTAGTCTTAACACCTGTAAACCAGTACTGGTGTTGTTCTGTCCTAGAAATTTTAGCACTGCTCTGATACAATAAAGCCTTCTTTCTCTCCAACTGGTTCAACTTCAGCATAGGCAGGATGTCCAGAGCCTCTTCTAAACTTCATCGCAGGCCATCTGCTTGGGCGTCTCTGAAACAGAAAACACAAAAATAAAAAATGTGCGTCAGGGTAAGATTCTAGCACCAGAAAAATCTATTTGCTAGCTATTTTAGATTAAATGTTGAATTAATTAACACATTAAATTATCTCTTATTATAGCTACAGTCAGAATTAAGAATTCCCCTTATCAACCCTCCAAGCCCTGTGCTTGCATTTCCAAGATGGCGCTATCTACCCCTGTCACAGGAAAGACCATTTGTCACACCTGCCCTCAAAGGATTCAGAGCTTCTCCCAAGCAAGGTTTAATGCCTTATGCATATGTCTGAAATGCTCAAATATAACTAGGCAAAAAGGAACTGTAATAGAAAATATTTTTTAATATATGGGCACAGACACTCTCTCTTCTCTACAAGTCAATACTGATATCACTTCATTTTGTTCATTAATTCACTCAAAAACTAAGGTCAAAAAATTCTGCTGTTCCTAGAAGGGTATTTTCAATTAGGCACCAGACTTCCTAGCAAATAAGCTAAAAGAAATATCACTTAATATCTTAAGAAATTATTTATTTAGTTAAGCATACCCATCTATGATTTCTTTGTGCTTGAAAATTAAAGCTGTTATATCCTAAAAATGGAATCTATTATCAGAGGGTGTGGCCAATCGTGAGCTTATGAAACAAATATTGTACAATAGACACTAGTCCTAAAATACAGGTTATTTGTATTGACAAAAAGAGAGCATTTCTTCTCAGCACTCCATCCATCAAACAAACCTGTGATTTACAAATAGATGTACTGAAATGAATTACTGGGTTATCAAAGCAAAAGACACTAAAATGCATTTCACAGCCATAGTGACACTAGAAACTATTACTCCATTTTTCAAAGTGCCTGCAATTTTGGGCTAAATAAGATGATAAATATTGAAGGAAGTTCATTTCTATCTAAAGAATTCTAATGTAAAACAGGTTATATGTCAGTGTACATATACTGGCATTTGGTATCTTTCTAGATTTTCCAATTACATGCCAATGTCGATGGTTAATGGCTGTGAAAGTTTTTCACATCAGGTAGGGATGACTATTAGCTCTATATTGTGTAAAAAAAAATGAAGGTAATTACATTCTGCCTACTAATAATATTAAGTGCTATCTCTATAACATTATGTGGTCAGAATGCCGTAAATTTATTTGCTGATTAAGTTCCATTAAGTGGAACTGAATTATCCCTATTTTCCAAAAGAAGAATTTAAAACTAAAGAGAGGGCCACACAGCAAAACAACGTGTCTGTGGTGGGGCTGAAATCATCAACAATGGAAACATACTAAGCACCTCTAGGGAGGTGGGTACCACAACTCATGGTTATGCCTGTTTGTAGGGTAAAGATGACATGTTGCAGTGCTCACTACTTATAGCCCCAACTCTGGTTTTAGTGACTTCACAGCTGAGCTTCTCCAAAGCTACAGCTTCCCTGGGCAAGCAGCACCAATGAGATTTTGTTCTGAAATGCCACCTTTCCAAGGCTAGTTGGTAGCAAGAACAACCCTGCCACCTAGCATGAATTTACAGTTACATAAAGACATTGTGCTATACTGTTCACAGTAGCCAAGATTTGGAAGTAACTGAAGTGTCCATCAACAGATGAATGGATGAAAAAAACGTGGTACATAAACACAAAGGAGTACTCTTCAGCCTTAAAAATAATGAGATCCTGTCATTCACAACAACGTGGATGGACTGGAGATCATTATCTTAAGTGAAATAAGCTAGTCACAGAAAGGCACAAACATCACACGTTCTCACTTACTTCTGGGATCTAAGAATCAAAACAATTAAACTCATGGAGATAGAGTAGAAGGATAGTTACCAGAGGCTAGGAAGGGTAGTGACAGGGTTGGGAGGAGGTGGGGATAGTTAATGGGTCCCCCCAAAAATAGAAAAATGAGTAAGACTTAGTATTTGATAGCAAAACAAATCTAACAAATGTCATGTAGCTAGGGTTTTAAACATTTGATCTTATTTTGTATTCTTTTATAATCCCTTCACATCTCAGTCTTAGTCATAACAACGCCAAGCAAAGAGTAACAACTTCACCAAAATTCTCCTTTCTTTTTAGAATACTTTCATAATGAGATAGGAGATGTTATCTCACATTGCAAAGCAATTACTTGATTGTGAATAAATGACTTGATTTCTCTGGGCCTTTGTTTCTTCATCTGTGAAATAATAGCTAATTTGTCCTCTAAAACCCTAGGATCTTTATATTTGCTTGCCTGAGATAATTGCCTTTAAAGTGGAGAGAAGATCATAATTTTTAAAGAGAACCTTCTGTGTTGAGGTTTTTCTGATCCTTGTCCCTTCTGCCTCCTTCTGCTAACTTTTAGAATTCCTATATTTAAGGGAAATCTATATAAATCGGCCCTAACTGAAATTAATTTTCCATGTCAGTCTGCATGTGGTCAGATTATTCTTTATAAATGAAAAGAATGGGACTCTTTTTTTTTTTTTTTTTTTTTTTTTTGAGATGGAATCTCGCTCTGTCACCCAGGCTGGAGTGCAATGGCAAGATCTCAGCTCACTGCAACCTCCACCTCCTGGGTTCAAGCGATTCTCTTGCCTCAGCCTCCTGAGTAGCTGGGATTACAGCCGCCCACCACAGCACACGGCTAGTTTTTGTATTTTTAGTAGAGACGGGTTTCACCATCTTGGCCAGGCTGGTCTTGAACCCCTGACCTCGTGATCCACCCACCTCAGCCTCCCAAAGTGCTGAAATTACATTCTTTAACAGAATAACTGAATATTTAGTTAGCATAGAAAAGTCCTTAACATCTATGCCATAATAGGAGCCACCTACCCAGAGTACGGGGAAGGGCTTGGATGGAAGGATCTGAAAACCTGATCCTCATGTCCAGCCCTGTCACAAACTTGCAAGCATGATTGAGCACAGCCAGGGATTTCAGAGAAGGGATATGTTGTTCTTTCTCAAGGCCTAGACAGTTCCAAATCTGTGTTCTTTTTAGAATGGCTAATTCAAATTGTTACAGAAACTCATCAAGGCCACAGGGTCACTCGCTAACAGGGCAGGATATATGCTGAAAATTGAAGAACTCAAACCAGACTGTAATGTTAATTCATTACAGAGTTTCAGGATGTAATGTCTTAAAACATTACTGGGTGCAGTGTGTGGGTGATTTCTAATTTCATTTCTGAGAATTATTTATGTGATTAATCATATTCAGAAGAAAATGCTCGCAGCAATAATGTTGGCACTGGGGTTGGCTGTGCAGTCAGGAATTCTCCCTAATTCTTGCTTCAGTACTACTAATTGAACAGTCATCCAGGTCTGACTCAAAGGTCTGCGACAAGACAATTAGCTAAAATATCCACAAACAAACCCGGAGGGCACCCTCAGTTAGCAGTGTACACAAAACCGCAGCTGGAGACCTTTCTTCCAGTTCAGAGAGCAACACAGAGAGGGTTTTGTGTTGGGTTAGATGAGCCCTTGAAAGGAAGTTACAGGCATGAGTATGAAAGAAAAGGGACTGATTTTGAAATTAAAGGCCCAGATAGAAAACACCTGTGGTACATAATGGCACTTGTCAAGCAGTCGATTAGAAATTTCTGCCATTTTGGGGCTGTCTTCCTCCATGAACAGTGAGGGAATAGAAAGAGGCTGGGATCACTTCCCAGTGTAGGACTTGGGGAAAGTCACGTCTTGTTACTCAGTTTCCGAATCTAAATGAACGAGAGTATTGTTTTTCAAAAAAACCTACCCTTCCTTCCGTTTTTTAATTTAATTTTATTATTATTATTTTTTGAGATGGAGTCTTACTCTGTTGGCCAGGCTGGAGAGCAGTGGCGCGATCTCAGCTCACTGCAACCTCTGCCTTCTGGATTAAAGCGATTCTCACATCTCAGCCTCCTGAGTAGCTGGGATTACAGGCGCCTGCCACCACGCCCAGCTAATTTTTGTATTTTTAGTGGAAACAGGGTTTTGCCATGTTGGCCAGGCTGGTCTTGAACTCCTGACCTCAAATGATCCACCCGCCTCAGCCTCCCAAAGTGCTGTGATTACAGGCGTGAGCCAAAGCGCCCGACCCTTCCTTCCTTTTTAATTTTTAAGCCGTGGACTCTTTTTGTTTTCTAATAAAAATCTTACCTTGAAGCCCAGAGTGAAGCACACAGGGTCGGTCTCCTTTAATTGTGGTGTACAGTTCCTTGCTTGCGTGCGCTCCCCGAGCCCTCATGGAGTTTATGAATCCTATACTTTCTAAAACATGTGTTTTGGAAACTACAGAACTAAATCTGTGTTTCTCAAACTTGCCTGGCCACACGAATCACAAGGGATCTTGTTAAACTGCAGCTCCTGATTCAATAGATCTCAGAGAGGCCTAGGGGGTCTGTGTTTCTCACAGGCTCCCAGGTGATGTTGAGGCTGTGGATCCACACAACACATTTCGAAGAGCAAGGGTGATGATTTTCTAAGGTCTCTTCTAACAGAAACTCCTCCAGGAGCCAGTAGAAAAAAAAATATTGAACCTCAGGCTTCCTTGTGTCTCTGGCACACCTTCATGGGAATTGAAGGTTTGTTTTTGCACCCAGGTCAACCTTTCAATATTTAGCTTCGACAGTTTGACTGTCCAAGGGAAGGAATTTTTTTCTCTCTATTTCATTCTTTGAAATACAATTTTTTCTCTATTTTCCTTATTTTGTGTTGAATATTTCTTAACAAGTTAAAGGTTGGATTGCCAGATTTAGCAAATAAATGACACACCCATAAAATTTGGATTTCAAACAAACAAGTCATTAAACATATATATTTAATTGGACATATACTAATTAATGGCTTTTTTTTTTTTTTGAAATTCTGATTCACATGAGTGTCATGTATTTTATTTGTCAATTGTATCTATGGGGAAACACAGTGGTTTTGGGTCCTGGCCAGGGAAACCAGCAATCTAATTAAAACAAACGGCTCCTGTGTGTGGCTGTATCTCTTTGCTTCATGAAATGTAGGTCACTTTTTCCTTAAAAAGAGTAACTCAAATTGATCTGTTGGTCTTCTGGTGTGGTTGAGAATTCCAAGCAGGAGCATTGTAATTGCTCGTGTGGGAAGCAAAGCCTGGGTGATCTTTGCACATTTTCTGCTCGCCCTCTTTTGATTCTTCCTGGTGTGGAAGTTGCCTTATTTTCCTGCGTCAGCTCATCTCTAGTCTCCCGTTACTACCTGTCGTTGATATGTTGCCTTCATTCTAGAACTGTCTTATGGATGATCTTCAAGGATTAGTTATAACCATAGTCGGTTCATGTGCAAGATGAAAACTGTTCCCAAGCATATACAGATCAGCTCTCTTCTAGGGTTAACATAAAAACATACAATTTGTGTGATTTTCCAAAAGCTAGTATCTTTAAAGTACAAAGTCAATGATTCTCCAATGGCCGAATAAATATCTTTCAATCACACATTGCAAACACTTAATGTGCATTATTTTCTTTCACTGTTTAGTCTAGCTGACTAAAAATAAAAATCACCTGGGGAGGTGCAAAGACTATCCATTTATCCATTTCACATATTTCCAAGAACACTTTCTTTCTTTCTGTTTTCTTTCCTTCCTTCTTTCTTTCCTTCCTTTCCTCCTCTCCCCTCCCCTCCCCTCCCCTTCCCTTCCCTTCCTTTCCCGTCTTTCTTTCGAGACAGTATCTTACTCTGTAACCTGGGCTGGAGTATGGTGGCATGATCAACTCTCAATGCAGCCTCAACCTCCTGGGCTCAAGTGATCTTCCCCCCTCAGCCTCCTAAGTAGCTGGGACGACAGGAGTGCACCACCACTCCTAGCTAATATTTTTTAAACTTTTATTTGTTTATTTATTTATTTAGTAGAGACAGGTTTCACCACATTGCCCAGACTGGTCTCGAACTTCTAGCCTCAAGCAATCCTCCTGCCTTGGCCTCCCAAAGTGTGGGGATTACACGCGTGAGCCATTGCACCTGGCCATGCAAACTTTCTGAATACCCACCTACAGATTACAAGTCACTTCTATTTTTCCTGTGCTGTTTCAGATGTTTCTTGGTATTTTATCAGTATCTCTTGTCACATTGTTTTCACATATTGTGGTTGTACATGTGATTGAAGGGATGCAGTCAACATACATATATACATATGATATGTATATATGTGTGTCTATGTATGTATATCTATCTATATCGTGCTCTATGTATATGTCCTAGAAGTCGGATGTCATATTCTGTGAACTCTGAAATATGCACAGCAGTGGAGTATTGAAGCTATCTGACACCAGGAGTGAATCCTTTTCATAACATCTCCTCCTCTAGAAGACAGCATTATTTTCAGTAATAATCATGAAAGGAAATTAATAATAATGGCTATAAAGGAACACAGACGAGAAGATTTTCTTGTTTTGAACTTTGTCGATATACAATCATGCCAGTAAAAATCATTAAAAATAAAAAATAAAATATTGCCATAAAAAACGGGAAACAGAGTGAATGAATGCACTTTTTGGTAAGAAAGAAAAGGGGCATATTGCCAAATGAAGAATTCCACAAGGTTCAGAGAATGATTTGTACTTGCAATGGCAGAATTGAAGTGCCTTAAGTTCTGTTTTTCCGTCTTTACAACCACAATGCTATCATTCTTTGTTTAGAATCTACTATTTTAACACAGATATATAAAGTACCATATAGGTTGAAGACACCAGTGTGCCCAAAACAAATGCAATGGATTCCAAACCCGGATTAACTTTTATTCTCTAAATGAATGCATGTAGCTGAGTTCACTGTTGGGAGCCAAGTGTGTTACTGGGAGTTCTCTGAATTAACTTCCATGTGGAAGGCAATGTTTACTAAAGGATAAGTGATAACATTGGACTAACTTGAAGCTTATTTATTATGTCAGTAAAACTCAACAGTAAGCGAGCCCACTCTTTAATGCTTAGATCAGCAAAAGTTTCTTTCAGGGAGGAATATTTTATCACTAACAGAGTTTAGAATTTTTAGTACATGGTGATAATAACAAGCCAATTTTATTTGAGTCAGTTTTATTATAATTTTACCATTCTCTCAAGATGATGCAACCCCTTTTTACCTGTACTTGGGAACACATAGCTTTGATCCACCATGGCTGGCAAAGTGTTATATACAGGGAGATTCACAATAAGTGTGTTCACTTGCACAGATCTTATTTATAGTTTATGCTGCCATGAGAGGCATGGCACTCAGACTCATGGGTGACAAGCTCTCTTTCTTGAATTTTTTTTTTCCTTTTTTGACTTCATTTTTTTAAATAATTACTTTTTATTTAAAATAAATAAGCCCTCTTACTCACAGGGAAAATATGAAAGTAAACTCTGTCCTCCTGGTCTAAGACAGAAACCACATTCAGAATATGTTCATTTAAAAAGGAAATATTTGTTGATTATCAAACAAATCTAGGTACTTCAATACACATTGTTTCTTTGAAAAATAAAGACTGAAAGGAATAATTCATTTCAAAAAGCCACAGGTTAGAAAACCAATTTTCCTTCTGAGGCTCATTTTAGCAAATCCTCCAAGTGTTCCCAAATCTTTTTAAAAAGCTACATCCCCTGAAAAAGGGCCCTTCCCCTGTAGCCCTCTTGCTCTGACACCAGCAGCCCTGCACCCTTCCCACTATTGGCCACTTTGTTGTTCAAACCGAGCATGACTGTGTGATAATGCATTCAGTCATCCGATAAAATTAGTATTTGCACAACTTTATGTAAAACAGTACTAAAGATAAGGCATTTATCTTATTTATAGGGAAAATAATATATTTGTACATAAAAACTTGAACGGGAGCTAACCAATGAGATTTGAGAGTCAGCGTAATATCCACTTCCATCCCTTCTACATTTCTCCTACCTCACCTCGAAGCTGCTACCTCCAGAGCCTGGCTATTACATGGCACTGCACTATGGTGGAAGATCACATCTAATTAGCCTCTGTAGTTCACCCAGGCTTCACTTAACTTCCTGCCAGCCTGCATTCCATAGAGGGCCTCTTCAGTCAGCTTACTGTCTGTTCTCTCCTTTATCTGACCATCAATTCTGGGTAAGTTTCCCCAGTCCTCAGCACAGATCCTTATCTTCTATATTTTTCTATTCCAGATCCTAAACAGAACCAACTAGTGGAGAAAAAAGTCACATGTTCAGGTTCACCCAGTGTCAAAGAATCACACTCTAATTTCCATTGGAAAGTCAGTGATTCATTTACTCTTCTCTTGTTGAATTCTTTTCACCAAACATCAGGAAAAAGCGTTTACTTGATGTTTCTTTGAACTCTCAATACTATATCTCTCTGAAATGTCTGGCCCCATCAATTGCCTTCATGGTACAAAACCATTTTTCACCCTCAGTGCCTGCTCCCCGCTTTAAAACTGCATTCTCTAAGGTTATCAATGACTTAGCTGTCAACATCTTCTGTGACTCCTCTAGAGCACTTTACACTGCTGCCTGTCTCTTCAATCTTGACGCTTTCCGTTTTGTGGCTTTCTAGGATGGTATATTTTCTTGCATCTTGCTCTGTTTGTGTGTGTGTGTGTGTGTGTGTGTGTGTGTGTCTGTTTTTTGTCTTAAACGGTCCCCTTTTCTGATTCATCAACATTAACTGTCAACACGTCCTAAGGTTTCGTGTTGACAAGACCCAACTCTTTATTCTCTTGGGTTTCAACTTCTACTACTAGTTCCATATTTTCTCACCTGATTGTTTACCCATATCCATTCCTTTTTTTTTTCCAGTTTTTTTTTTTTAAGATACCCAATTTCTTGACCATCAGCTCAAACCAAACCTGCCTAAAATCCATCCTGTCACTTTCCTTCCTAAACTAAGCCTTCTGATGTTTTTAATTCTGTCATTAGAAAATTCAATTTCGGCAGGGCACGATGGCTCACACCTGTAATTCCAGCACTTTGGGAGGCTGAGGCAGGCAGATTACCTGAGGCCAACATGGTGAAACCCCGTCTCTACTAAAAATACAAAAATTAGCAGGGTGTGGTGGCAGGTGCCTGTAATCCCAGCTAATTGGGAGTTTGAGGCAGGAGAATCACCTGAACCTGGCAGGCGGAGATTGCAGTGAGCCAAGACCATGCCATTGCACTCCAGCCTGAGCAACAAGAGCAAAACTCTGTCTCAAAAAAAAAAGAAAAGAAAATTCAATTTCTCAGTTGCTCAGATTCTGGACTTTGAAGTTATCTTTGATCCTTCTTCATCCTACATATTCAATGTAATGAATCAGGGCATCCTCCTCACCTTTACCACTAATTTGATATAGGAAACGTTCAGAAATTGCTTACTTTCTTGGAATCTCAGTCATCCTAACCGTAAAACAGGGATCTAACAATTCTATATTTACTGAGCTCACTGGGGAGTACTGGGAATCGAATATAACTGATTGAAAACCCTTTCACATATAAACCTTTACGCAAACAAAGATTGCTAAATTCTACCCTCTTCCTTCACATGGCTCCTGTATTAGCCTCATTCTTGTCCCTCTATAAATACCCCAATTCAGCTCTCAGCAACCACTTCACGTATAGACTACCAATAGTCTTCTAACTCCCTTGGGACCATCATTTCACTCTTCTTCTGGCTCACTCTCTACTCCTTCCCCACAACCATTTTAAACTCCCACTTCTTTTTTATTTTATTTTATTTTATTTTATTTTATTTTATTTTTTGATGGAGCCTGTCTCTGTTGCCTAGGATGTAGTGCAGTGGTGTGATCTCAGCTCACTGCAACCTCCACCTCCTGGGTTCAAGAGATTCTCCTGCCTCAGCCTCCCAAGAAGCTGGGACTACAAGCACGCACAACCATGCCTGGCTAATTATTGTATTTTTAATAGAAACGGGATTTCACCATGTTGGCCAGGCTGGTCTCGAACTCCTGACCTCAAGTGATCCACCTGCCTCTGCCTCCCAAAGTGTTGGGATCACAGGTGTGAGCCATCATGCCAGGCCCAAACACCTACTTCTTTATTACATCACTGATTCTCGCTGCTTGTAGAATGATAGTTAGCTTCTGTGGTTTGTCCTTCAAAGCCTACCATATCTTCCATCTATAGTAAAGCCATTTTCAATATTTGCCCATAGATATTAACACATAGTTAAATAAGTTGATTCATCTTGACCTTTCTTGATATGTTTTTAAAATCATAATATATCCCCATTCCATCTGAAAAGGTATCTCCCCTTCCTCTCTGCTTAGCCAGAACATAGCACCCTTTCAAAACCCTGCACAAATACCATGTCTTTAATGAGATTCCTCCTGATTCTCTCTCTCTAAGTATTTTATAGCATTTGACGGAATCCTTTATTCAATATTGATCATATCTTTGATGTTCCTTTCATTATTACTGAATTCTTATGTGGCTGTTTGGCCTTAAAATTTTTGTGTCCTCTGTCTTTAGATGCATACTAAGCTGGAAAATATAATTACACATAGGATGAGCATATGATTTATTGTCCAAATCAGGACACTTTTGAGAATAAATGGAGAAACTATTAATAATTATATCAGACAACAGACATATACAGAATAGTTCTTGGCAAAGTGGAATGTATGTTTACCTTAGTTATACCCCCCTGTAAATGTAAGAGACTCTAGCAGAGTATACTGCACAGATTCTTTGGTTTTGACTAATTTTCTGTGATACCAGCTAAGAATATTCTAATCTTCTTCAGCATTAGCCTTAGTTCATAATATGTTAATAATGCTTTAAGCAGCATATCTTTATTTTTTGAGCCACATTGCCACAAGTGGTTATTTTCTACCCAAATCATGTAATAATTTGCTATTAGGCAATCTACTCTAAAGAAAAGTACTTTGCAGAAGGTGTGAAAACAAGCCAGTTCACCGCTGCCTGGTGACTGAGTTAAAAGACAAGATAGTGCTGCACTGGTCATAAATATTCTAATGAAAGTTGAATGTGAGTTAGTGCTGCCTCCCTACAACAGACTGGCTGTGTTCCTTAAGAAATTGTTCTTGTCAAGTTACTTGTGTCTGGAGTGCCAGTGTATTTCTAAGTGAAGCTCAAGAAATCTGGCAAGTTAAGGTCTAATCAGCAGTGACCCTAGGAATGGTTAATGGTGAGTTATTTTCTATCCTAAAGTAATTGTGTGCTTTACTCCATATTTAATCACATGATTAAGAAACAACACAAGAGAATGATTTATGTCATCAAATCCAAGAGTGGACACTATTCATTTGAAGCTACAGAGTGATCTTATCAGTCAAACTAGGGCAAAACCACACTTACATATATGACCAGTTTCATCATATGTTTTTAATCTGTATATGTTGAAATAAAATTAAAAGTTTTAAAGAAACTTTAAAAGGCAGATAACAAACTTTTTACCTATTTAAGGTCCTACATTGAAAAATGAGTATCCAAAATGGTGTATGTTTTTAAATCTGAGGAACTTGATTTACTTATTTTGCAATTTTGGGCACATACTGTCACGTGTCAAATCAATTCAGAGGTTGAAATAAAAATATAATTATGACCCTGAAAAAAGGAACAATAAAGTATTAGTGTAGCAGGAAAATAAAAGTTAATATGTAATTTAGAGGATCAATTGTAGAGGCTTTACAGATACATTTGTAATTATATTGTCATACAATGTTATAACTGACTAATAACAGTGTTTAATCATTCCTTACTTAGGGCTCCAGTGATATTCATTACTGTCCTTTACACAGATTCATGTAACCTCCACAGAAGCTTTCCTGAGAGTGGACTGCATTCATCCTGTGATAAGGAAGTGCTGATAACCATGGTAATGATATTATGTGAGCCAGATGATAGCTCTGGAAGTAATCCTGTTTGCAACACTTCAAAAATAAAAAAAAAAAAGATAAAAAAGCAAGATGACTGAGATATAACAATTAGAACCTATAAAAATAACTTCTTTTGTTTTTGTTTTGTTTTGTTTTGTAGTCAATGGTATAATACTCAGGGGTTTGATAATATGGTTTGTGAATTATTTAGGTCATTTGTTCTTTTTCCCTTCTTCTTTTCATTTGGATAACTTAACAATAGCTCAAGAAAATTGTGTAGGAGTGGGAAATAAAGGAATCCCTCAAATTTTGCCTGAAACCGACTGGTGTTTAAAATAGCACTTTTAACAAAGTTGAAGGCTGCTTGGGAGAGTCAGCAAATTTGGTTTTAGCTCCTGGTTGAGTTACATAGAATGGTTCAGGATTGACCAGAATCACATAGTTAGTAAAAGCTGGAATTTTTGCAAATTCTGCTGCCTTCTTGGTGCTATCTTCTTCCTGCTGCATTTTACTGATTCCTGATTCTGCTTCTGTTAAGCACTAAGGCCTATGGCAAGTCAATTCTTATCTCATATTCTCCATGTTCTTATATATAAAATAAGAAAGAGGATAGATACTGATTCTCTACTTAGTAAGAAGCTATGGCCTTCAGTCAGCCTTAACAACTAAACACTACATCATAATAATTTTTAAAAGGCGAATATTTATTTATCAATCACACCACTTTCGCTTTATGCATTTAAATCATACTGTGAATGATTCAACTAAAACATTTCTAATAAGATTTGTATAAAAATGTCTGAGCACATCAAATCAATGTTGTAATTTAAAGAGTTGTTTATCTTTTCAAGCATACAAATGTTCTTTTGGGAAAACAGAGTTTTATGTCTCTTTAGGTGAGACGTATAATGCAAAAAGTTATAAATGACTTCGTTTGATGTTTCCTTAAGTTCTCTGCTAACTCTTAACTTTCCGTCATTTCATGATGCTGTTTGTTTATTGAAGTTACACTTGGATTATTTTAGATAACGCATTTATTCAGCAAATATTTACTTAGCATTGTGCTTGCCCTTGGGGATAAAAACGATGAAATGAGACAGATAATGTTGTTCTCTGGAGCGCCTATATTGTTATTAGAATTCACCAAGAATAAGATGATATTTTCAACAAGGAAAGTCTCTCGATTTAGTTTTAAAGCCAGTTCTTAGAAGAGAACTGATCAGTCATTTCTACCTATTAACCAGAGTTCTGCCTACTCTAACAAATGAAAAAGAATTCTAAATCTCCTAATCTCCGGTTATTTACTTTTCTCACTGAAACACCATGAATTGTTTCATTTAATAAATAGACATATACTAAATTTTCAGTTATCCTAAATATATTCTGCTAAATAGCTTTTACTGATTGGGAGTAAAAATTTAAGTCCAAAAATATAATTATTTAGATTTTAAAAATGTATTTCATTTTGTTTTCCCTTTTTGGGTACTGCTGTAATTTTCAATAAACAACAATTGTTCTTGTATCATTTTCTGTCATTACGTTTTTTTTTTTTTCCCCAACAATTTCATTAATTTACATTTGGGTTAGTCACTATAAATATATTGATAATCTTAATCTGCCTTTGATTTTACTTTGCTCAAAATTTTCAATGGTTTTTAATCCACCTGGTCCTCTTTCTATAAACCACTTTTTCTAAACAAAGAAATATTCAAATGTCATTATGTTGTTTGCTAAAACACACCCAGTCCATTGATTTTCCCTGATTTCTCATTACTCTAATAAACGTCTTATGTGACCTTATGTGCACTGGATGGTGACTATTTTCTATGTGAATAATCCCTTTTAAAATTTTCTCAATGGTATAATAAAGTAGAAGTTTATCTCTTGCTCATATCATAGTCCAAGACCAGTATTCCTTACAGGGAGGCAACTTCTTTCCATGTGTGGATCCCAGTTCTTCCATCTTGACTTTTCCATTCTCCGGGGACCGTATATCCCGTTGGTGGGGCAGGAAAGAAGGTGTGGCAAAGGCACACGTAATTGTCAAAAGCCTTGGCTTAAATGTGACTTTCTGGAGTAACAAGTAGTCACCTGCCCATCTTTGGGTGTAAGAGAGTTTGAAAAAGATAATCTTTAATTGTGCAACTACTTTCCAGTCACAACCCTCTACTCTAGAATTGGGAACATGAATTATAGTAAGTAGTTAGCCTGCTCTTCTACAAATATCTATATCTTTTTAATGACTTACATGAGGCTCAGAGATTATAACTATGAGGTATCTAGTACTTTATATGCCAATATATACAATACTAAATGATATGTAGTATTATCCCCGGAAACATTATTATTATTTTAACATTCAATAAATGAGAGCTTAGAATGTGCATGTATATGTGTAAATTACCAATTGCTGTTTAATAAATATAGATGGAGTAACACACATAAAAAAAGCTGTAAGCATGTTCCAGACATTTCCAAAATGTTTGTTGCCAAATGAAGCAAGCTGAAATATGAGATGTGTGTTACAGCAGTAGCTACCTTCAAATGCATAAAGGATAGTCATAAGGCAAAAATGTATGCATGCATTCTGAGTTCTGGCAGATGGCTGCACTGATTCCACCAGTGCTTGTATGATGTCTTTCTGGTCATTTTGTTTATCTGAAGCTCATCTCGGAAAGAGTTTTCAGGAAGAACTCATGGAAAGAACATTGGCAGAGTTCCTCCACATGGATAATAATTTATTTATGCCCTTTCTACTCAATGGTCAGTTTTGCTGGATATAAATTCTTGGCTGACATTTTCCATCCTTTCACATGGTTACTCTATTTTCTTTCTAGCACAAAATGTTGCTGTTAAAAACTTCATGATTGTCTAATTCAGATATGCTTATAATTCAAGTGTTTTCTTTATCTAAGTGCACAAAACTTTTTTTTTCTTTAATATCATCCAGCGACCTTACTAGAATAAGTCTTAATGCTCGTTGTTTTGGGTAAATAATCTCAGGTACACAGCATGCTCTTTCAATATTTACTTTTTTAAATTTCAAGAACTAAACATTTTTTAGTTTGTGGCTTATTTTTCTTTTGCTTTGGTTTTTTTCTTTCCTATTATCCAGATGTTGAAGCTTCTTTGACAAACTTAAATGTTTGCATTACCTCTCAAATATTTTTATCTGATTTAATTCTTTTCAATTAAAAAATCTACTTTTAAACCTTTTATTTCTTGTAATACATTAAGAATTGTGTTTATTTACTCTTCCATTATTCTAGTTTTTTATTTTCAAAATTATTATTTTTTTCTGTATTTCTAATTCTCACATCTATTTCATTTTTTGGTTGTTCTAATGTTAATTTGGGTTGTTCTTTTCATCTTTTAAATGACTTTCTTTATGCTTTTTAGCTAGTTTTAAAATAGTTCCTTAGCGTTTTTATTAGATTTTTTAAAAAATTTTTATTTGATGTTTGGGGGTACATGTGAAAGTTTGTTACACAGATAAACACATGTAATAAGGATTTGTTGTAGGCATTATTACATCCACCAGGCATTAAGCCCAGTGCCTGATAGTTATCTCTTCTGCTCCTCTCCCTTCCACCCTTCCCCCTCAAGCAGACCCCAGTGTCTATTGTTTCCTTCTCTGTGTTCATAAGTTCTTATCATTTAGCTCCCACTAATAAGTGAGGACATGCAGTATTTGGTTTTCTGTTTATGCATTAGTTTGCTAAGGATGATAGCCTCCAGCTTCGTTCATGTTCCCACAAAAGACATGATCTTGTTCTTTTTTATGGCTGCATAATATTCCATGGTGCACATGTACCACATTTTCTTTATCCAGTGTGTCATTGATGGACATTTAGATTGATTCCATGTCTTTGCTATTGTGAACAGTGCTGCAATGAACATTTGAGTGCATGTGTCTTTAGGATAGAATGCTTTATATTCCTCTTGGTATATATATATACCAAGTAATGGGATTGCTGGGTCATATGGTAGTTCTGCTTTTAGCTCTTTGAGTAATTTTCACAATGGTTGAACTAACTTATACTCCCACAAACAGTGCAAAAAGGGTTCCCTTTATTCTACTGGCTCACCAGCATCTGTTATTTTTTGACTTTTTAATCATAGCCATTCTGACGGGTGTAAGATGGTATCTCATTGTTGTTTTGATTTGCATTTCTTTAATGATCAGTGATACGCAGCTTTTTTCTATGCTTTTTGGCTGCATGTATGTCTTCTTTTGAGAAGTGTCTGTTCATCCACTTTGCCCACTTTTTAATGAGGTTGTTTGTTTTTCTCTTGTAAATTTGTCAGATGCATAGTTTGCAAATATTTTCTTCCATTCTGCAGGTTGACTGTTTACTTTGTTGACAGTTCCTTTTGCTGTGCAGAAGCTCTTAAGTTAAATTAGATCCCATTTGCCAATTTTTGCTTTTGTTACAATTGCTTTTGGTGTCTTTGTTGTAAAACCTTTGCCCGTTTCTATGTCAGGATGGTATTTCCTAGGTTGTCTTCAGGTGTTTTTATAGTTTTTTGGTTTTTATTTAAGTCTTTACTCCATCTTGAGTAGATTTTTGTGTATGGTGTAAGGAAAGGGTCCAGCTTCAATCTGGTGGATATGGCTAGCCAGTTCTCCCAGCACCATTTATTGAATAGGGAGTCTTTTCCCCATTGTTTATTTTTATCAGCTTTGTCAAAGAAATGATGGTCGTAGATGTGTGGCCTTATTTCTGGGCTCTTTATTCTGTTCCATTGGTCTGCGTGCCTATTTTTGTATCAGTACCATACTGTTTTGCTCACTGTAGCCTTGTAGTATAGTTTGAAGTTAGGTAATGTGATTACTCCAGCTTTGTTCTTTTTGCTCAGGATTGCTTTTTGGAGGTGTGAATAAGGTACTTAGGGTCTTTGCTCCTTCATTAGTCCAAGGGTGGCAAGGGCAGTTCCACTGCAAAGGCAGTAGCAGAGAGCTTTCAGATGTCCCTGGAGGCTCTGTCCAGGGAGTTGCTGAGTTGGTAATGGCTCAGTATATCTGGCAAGAGGTGGCTGGAGGCCCAGGCCTGGAGGACCTGCCTGGTGAGGAGATATGGGAATGGGCCCCACCTAACAGTCTGGCCACTTTTCTGTAAGGCTGCTGTGGTATGCTTGGGGCCCATGCCAGTCCCTAGCCACCTCAGATTTTTCAGAACCTGTAGGTGTCACCAGTGAAAACTATGAAACAGTAAAGATGGCAGCAAAGAGGCTGTGGTTGGGAGGTCCCACCCGGGGGGAGGTACGGGATTCGGTACCCGCTTAAAGCAGCAGTCTGGCCTTCGTTTTGGTAGAGCAGCTGTGCTTTGCTGGGGTATTCCTTCTGTCCCAGGTTGGCTCAGACTCTCTGAAGCCTGAAGGCTGGAATGGCTAAAGTGCCAAAGATGGCAGCCTGGAGGCTGCCTGGAGGGAGGTATATACAGGAGTCTAACCTCCCACTTTGCCGAGGCTACAGCTACTTTTTCCAGAAAGTCAAAGTATCTAAGGCTCCAGGGTCTCCACACATGCCTGGGCAGCATAATTTTTTAATATCACACTGAAACTTCAGATAACAAAAGCAAAAATTAAAAAGTGAGATTACATAAAACTGAAAAGCTTCTGTAGAGCAAATAAGCAACGAGACTCCTTATAGCTCTGGCTGTCAGAATGAAGACTGAAGGCCTTGGTGGAGTGGGTTCACAAGGAGATCTCATGACCTGTGGGTGCAAATATCTGTGGGAGAAGCGTGCTTTCCCTGGGTTGGGGAGGATCCCCTGGCTCTGGTTGCTCCCAGGTGGGCCGTTGTCCTATCTTGCTTTTCTTCATTCTCTGTGGGTCAAGTTGTTTCCTTGAGAGGAAACCAGTGAGAGGACCTGGATGTTTCAGTTGAAGGTGCTGTATTTGCTCATCCCTTCTGTTCCTTTCCATCAGAGCCATGCACACTGGCTGCTTCTAGTTGGCCATGCTGGCCACTCCTAGATTATTTGAAAGCATGTCTTCCTGATAAAATTTCATTGTCTGTAGGGATATTATTCTTTGCTCTATTATTATTATTATTATTTGAGATGGAGTTTTGCTCTTGGCGCCCAGGCTGGAGTACAATGGCACGATCTTGGCTCACCGCAACCTCCGCCTCCCGGGTTCAAGCAATTCTCCTGCCTCAGCCTCCCAAGTAGCTGGGATTACAGGCATGCGCTACCACCCCCGGATAATTTTGTATTTTCAGTAGAGACGGGGTTTCTCCATGTTGGTTAGGCTGGTCTCAAACTCCCAGCCTCAGGTGATCCGTCCGCCTCAGCCTCCCAAACTGCAGGGATTACAAGCATGAGCCACTACCCCCGGCAGATTATCTTTTAAATTATAGTATTTTTGCATGAGATTCCATGTCCAAAATTTTCTTTTGCTCATTTTTGTGTGAATTTAACTTTTCTGAACATTTAGAAGGAAGGTTGGTTTAAGCAACATTTGTATCTTTATGAGTTTTCTGTTCTGCTGTTATTCTCTTGTATTTTAAAAATATGATGAAACTGGACCTTTCTCTTACACCACACACAACAATCAACTCAAAATGGATTAAAAGGCTACATACAAGACCTGAAGCCATCAAATTCCTAGAAGTAAATATAGGGAAAAAGTTCTTTGATATAGGCCATGAAATAATTTTTTGAATATCACACTGAAACTTCAGGCAACAAAAGCAAAAATTAAAAAGTGAGATTACATAAAACTGTAACGCTTCTATACAGCAAACAAGTAACAACATGAAGAGGAAGCCTATGGATTTTGATAAAATATTTGCAAACCATTTATCTGAGTAAGGGGTTAGTAGCTAAAATATATAAGGAACTCACACAACTCAATATAAAAAAACCAAATAACTCAATTTAAAAATGGAGAAAGGACTTGAAAATTTCATTTCTCCAATGAAGTCACAAAAATGGCAACAGGTGTATGAAAAGACGCTCAACATTACTCTGTCTCAGGAAATGGAAGTCAAAATTACAATGAGAAATCACCTAACACCTGTAGGATGAATATTATTGAAAAGACAAGAGATAACAAGTGTTGGGAAGGGTGTGGAGAAGAGGGAACCTTTGTACATTGTTGGGGGAAATGTAAACTGGTACAGCTGTTATGGAAAACGTATGAAGTTTACTCAAAAAATTAAAAATAGAAGTACCATATGACCCAGCAACCTCACTGCTGGATATATATTCATAGAAAATGAAGTCAACACCACATAGAGGTATTTTCATTCCCATGTTCATAGTACCATTATTCATAGTGGCCAAAACATGGAAACAACAGAAGTGTCCATCGACAGGTGAATGGATACCACAACATGTGGCATATGTACACAATGAAATACTATTCAGCCTTAAAAAAGGAGACACTGCCTTTTGCAACAACGTAGATGAACCTGGAGAACACTGTGCTAAGTGAAATTAGCCAGACATAGAAAGAAAGATACTGCATGATGTCTATCACATGTGGAATTTTTTAAAAGATCAATTACATAAAACCAGAGAGTGGTTACCAGGGGCAGAGCAGGGCAGGAAATAGGGAAATGGGAGAAAGTAGACCCAAAGGTACAAACTTGCAGTTATGTACGACAAATAAGTCTAGAGATTTAATGACAGCATGAGGACTACAGTTAACAACATTGCATTGCACAGTATACTGAAAATATGTTAAGGGCATAGATTTTAGGTGCATGTATCACACAAAAATGATATCTATAGAAGGTGATGGATAGGATAAATTCCCTGACTATAGCAATCACTTCACTATGGATATATATGTATATCAAAAATGTCATTGTTGTATACCTTAAATATATACAATTTATAAAAAAGAGTACCTGATATAGAGTATCTGCTAAGTAAATGATGGCTATCATTAAGACATATACGATGGTTTTCTTCTTAGTATTTCTCGACTCCCTTCCCTTCCCCAGCTTTTATAGGAATCTTCTTCCTTTTTTTATTTATCTCTGTTGTCCCTATCCTACTCATTATTCATTTTACTCCCAGGATTTTCTCCTAGTGTGGGCCACTGTCATGGAAGATGGCCTTGGCAGGTCAGTTTTGAGAATTCCTTGTGCTATACTGCTCCAGCCCCTTCAGAAATTCTTACACAGGTCCCCTGTACTCACCTGCAACTGGAGTGGGCACTTGCCCCTCTCACTTTCTGCTGCTCTTCTCACATGGGCCTGCTGTATTTTCCAGGCAATGAGTATTGGCTTACTTTGTGTTTTTCTTGTTTCCAGTCCTGCTAGACACCTTGTGGATTCCCTTTGCTTTCTCTCACATAAAACCCAACAACATTCAGGTCTTGTGGCTATGGGCGGTTTGTTATTACATGAAGTATTTAGAGCTGATGCCTGCAGTTTGGCCATAAACTGTCAGCTAATTTTTTTGTAAATATTGTCCACAGATTTTCTAAAATCTGATGCCTAATGGTTCTGTTTTTAATGTGGATATTTTAGAAAATAAAAAAATAATTATGCTGCTTTCATTGCTATCAACATTCCAGAATCTTTCATCAGCATTCCTTTTGACATTTAAGGGACAAGGACTCTTTTTGCATTTACTGTTAAATCACTTTCCTCATTACCATAAAATCTTTCAACAAATTGATCTGAATGAAATGTTTCTGAACGTTTTAAAATATTTTACTATTATACCCACCTTTCATTAAAAAGAAAAAAAAGGCAATTGTTCTGCTATGTGCTGAGATGAATTAATAAATATGTGTGTGTGTTAATATATATTTTTTAACTTGGAGATCAATAAGAGATAAAGAATCATGGTAAGAAGCTATCTAAGTGGTTGTAGCTTCCTCTTAGCTCATCCTGATTAAGATTGAAGTTTTCCATCCTTTCCTTTCTTTTCTTTTTTTTTTTTTTTGAGACGGAGTATCGCTCTGTCGCCCAGGCTGGAGTGCAGTGGCATGATCTCTGCTCACTGCAAGCTCCACCTCCCGGGTTCATGCCATTCTCCTGCCTCAGCCTCCTGAGTAGCTGGGACTACAAGCGCCTGCCACCACGCCCGGCTAATTTTTTCTATTTTTTGGTAGAGACGGGGTTTCACCGTGTTAGCCAGGATGGTCTCGATCTCCTGACCTCGTGATTCGCACTCCTCGGCCTCCCAAAGTGCTGGGATTACAGGCGTGAGCCACCGCACCCGGCCAGAAGTTTTCCATCCTTTCTATGTTAGGAAAACAAATTTGCACATCTTGGATGTGACTGAATTGCATCATTTATGAATACATAGGGGATTCAACTTAAACAAAGTCTTTGCTATAGTGAAGAGAACGAGTGAGAAGAAAAAAACACTTTGTCCATCAGCAATAGTTTTACTATAAAGATATTGATGATCACAGATTCTAATAAAATAGAAATGGAACAAATGCCAACTTAAATTTCAGGAAAAAATGTGAAGGTAAATACTTAAAAATTCTATAAAACTGTTTGGCCGAGTATAAGAGGGAAGGAAACAGAGTAAGTAGCAAGAGTGATTTTGTGTAACTGGAGCTTACATGCTATATACCCAAAGCTCTCAGAGTAGTCAGTCTTCGGCGAAAGGAAGGAAAAGACAGAAATAGAAAGAAAACTGGGCAGGCACGGTGGCTCACGCCTGTAATTCCAGCACTTTGGGAAGCCGAGGCGGGCGGGTCACAGGGTCAGGAGTTTGAGACCAGCCTGGCCACCATAGTGAAACCCCATCACTACTAAAAATATAAAGAATTAGCTGGGAATGGTGGCAGAGGCCTGTATTCCCAGCTACTGGAGAGGCGGAGGCAGGAGAATTGCTTGAACTCGGGAGGCGGAGGTTGCAGTGAGCCAAGATAGCGCCACTGCACTCCAGCCTGAGTGGCTGTGCAAAACTCTGTCTCAAAAAAAAAAAAAAAAAAAAAAGAAAGAAAAAAAAGAAAATCACAAAAAGGCTTATTTGCAGGTAGAAAATACCAAGTATGCCACTCCTACCTACTTGCAGAAAGCATGGGTATTTAATCATCAATTTATTCTCTTAGTAAAAATTTAAGAAATTTGTTAGTGAATATATACACCTACTATGTAGCCATAAAAATTAAAAATTAAAAAAATTAAAAAAGAAATTTGTGAAAAGGACATAAGGGAAAGTAAAGAATAGCACCTTGCATCTCTGGCTCTATGTCACTTTCTTCTGTTTCAAGTAACTTCTTATTGAAAACGATTTGCTTAAGGCATTTTAAATCATTGTTATGTTAATGAGTAGTTCTTTTGTTTTTAGGCAGACTTTCCACTAAAGGTAAACCTGAGCCTTGCTTGCTCTGCAGTAACCTGAGCATGAAATCTGAGACATTACCCAATACTACCAACTTTCATAAAAGGGCTGTGGTCATTTCCTGTAATTATTAACTCATTCTATTCTCTAAATAGGAGAACTATAGACTTCTTTGTTGTTTGTGTTTGTGTCTTATTTTTGCCGTTGGGTTACCAATAATAACAACAAAAAGTTTCCTCCATTAACTGTAAGTATGCACACACATGCCTTCTAGTTCACTTTGCAGTTTTTGCTTCTTCATGAAACATATACAATACTGTGGAATCAGAATACCCTAGATTTATAGGGACAGGTGAAACTAAAATTAATTCTAGTTGAACCCCATATACTGTCAAAATATCCTCTAAGAAATCCTTGATAATGGGGCCTTCTTGTGTACTTAAGTACCCTGGTAATGAAGAGCTCATCACTCAGGAAGCCTGTTGCATCTCTGAGTACCTGTGAGTGTCAGAAAGTCTTTACAATGAGTTGGTATTTGTACCTTCACAGCTTTTCCCCAGAGATCCTTGCGTCCCTTCCTCAGATCCATCCAGCACAAGTCACCTACCTTGGTCTAAGTTTTGTCTTTACTGTTCTTAGTCAGTCTCCACTGAACACAGTTGAGGCTACGATCCTCTAAAAGTATGGGGTACTTACTCTTTCCTCTACAAGAATGGACCCTGCTTCTTTTGAAGAAGTGCTATCCTGCTTTTCATGAAAAATATGATAAATTTTTGAATTGACAATCACAATTACAAATAAATTAAACATTTTGAGATTACTTGTGACTAAATTCAATGTTCAGTATCTACTCTCATGCTACGTCAAATTTTCTCCATATTAAACTTATACATATTCAGGATTCAAGTCCACTTATAAGCTACTGGATCACAGTGAGATATTTCAAGGACAACACCAAGGGAAAAACTGAGAAAAAAAAAAAGGAAATAACATAAATTCCAACATTAAACAAGATAAAATCTGATACACTTTTGGGAGGATTAAATCTTATTACAAATCTAGGGGCACAATAAATTTTAATAATTATAACAAATTTATTTTACTTTTGTAAAAGAAAGTATTTTCTTCTTTTTACGAAGCAAATATCATTTCTCCTTCAAAGGCTGTCCCAAGAATCACATTTGGTGCAGTCTCAGTGTTAAAAAAAAGTTTGGGGGGCCTGGTGTGGTGGCTCACTCCTGTAATCTCAGCAGTTTGGGAGGCAGAGGCCGGTGGATCATTTGAGGTCAGGAGTTTGAGACTAGCCTGGCCAACATGGTAAAATCCCGTCTCTACTAAAAATACAAAAATTAGCCAGGTGTCATGGTGGGCGCCTGTAATCCCAGCTACTTGGGAGGCTGAGGCAGGAGTATTGCTTGAACACAGGAGGCAGAGGTTGCAGTGAGCTGAAATTGTGCCACTGTACCCGAGCCTCGGCAACAGAGCAAGATTCTGTCTCAAAAAATAAATAAATAAATAAAAACAAAAACAAAAAAAAAGTTGAATAGAAAAATGGCTTTTCATCTATTTAAAATTTATCTCATCTATAGTAATTTTAAGTATTATGTTAATTAGAATACAAATGTAGTAATTAGCTGAAAGTAGAAAGTATAGACATAGAATAATTCTGACCCTATATTCACTTACTATGTGATGTAAGACAGGATGTATGAATTTTGCATTAAAATTTACTTTGTTTCTATTAAGGAAGTTTTTATAAAGGGATTACCACAAGATCATATAGTAAAATAATCTTAATCCATTTTCAAACTAAAAATACCATTGATTGTTCACTTCTAATAAAATAACAAAAAGCACGATTACTACCATCATTTATAATACATTCTTTACATTCATACTCTCTAGATTGTTAATGTTTTTGGTCTCTGAAAATTTTACATTTTAATTTTCTTACAATCACAAATAACTCTAGTATTAGTTATAAACCAGAATATGCCGTAATAATAAACTAATTTAGTTTAGTTGTTTGGTATGTTTGCTAGAAAAGAATACACTAAAAGGAATTGGTGGAAAAGATAATCTTGTAATTGAATGAATTAATTTTTACTGTGAAGCACTAATTATTGCTAAAATTAAAGTTTTTATTATTTGTTTTCACAATAGAAAGGCTTAAGTATTTATTTTAACGCAGAACAATTAACCAATGTCACAAGGAAGAAATTATTCAACAGTTGGTACTGTCAGTAGAGTAGTCTCTTCAAGAGGTAACAGAAGAAAAGAATCAGAATACTTAAGACATATGTCCTTAAAATGTCATAATTCAGGCTTACAAATGCCCAAGTGAATTGTAGCTTTGCAGATTTTCATTTATTTATCCATCTGATTCTTTCATCTATTAAGAATCTTTCTGTGGTATCTATCTATCTATCTATCTATCTATCTATCTATCTATCTATCCATCCACCTATCCACCCATCCATCCATCTATCCATCTATGGATTTTCATGGTCTTATGTAGCATTGAAATAATTAGGGAATTAATTAGTAAAAAGAAATTACAGCAAATTAGTATAAGATATTTTATTCAGTATTTTCAGTAATTCTCCCCAATGAAGGGAAGAAATTATTTCATTAAATTAGAAACACTATTATAGTTTCAGGAATTTAAATGAAAATGTGTTACTTAGAAGAGTAAATTAAGGATGTCATTTATAAAAGAAATCTTATTTTGATGATTACATATACAAGGCAATTGCCATGCACTTGAGCTGATGTCTCAAAAACATTCAGTGATGTTCATGAATAAAAATTCTAGCATCTTAGAACAGAAATTGAGAAAAGAAAACCACTGACATACATAGAGTGTCTCTTTTTTTCAAGTGACCCAATTTCACCTATTTTTCTCTGCATTTCACTATATTTCTGGAAAGCTGTCATCTACTAATATAGCTTCTTTAATGAGAGCTATGTCAAACCATGTCAGATGTGTTTTGCCTTATCTTTCTTTCCTTGCAGCAGGCCATAAAAAAATGAATACCATCTTTTTCTTCGGCTAAGAAATATAAATAAAAAGTATTTTATTTCAATGAATCATTTTTTCCCCTTGAGTTTTCTTTAAAACTGAAGTAAGACTAAGAAATACCTGAAGAGCAAAACTCAGTTATTAAAAATATGTGACTTCAAGACAAAAAAAGATTTGTGGTTCTATGAAGTGATTTCTCTATGAACTACATAGGTTTGTCCACAGATCGCGTCTTCCTAACTCCCCAAGTGCAATCCATCCAGCAGCTGCAAAGCAAGATGCCAAACTCTTAGCAAATGCTTTTTTCTTCCCAGCAGTCTTTGAATTCTTGCCTGGCTCCTTCTTCTGGCTTGTTTCCTGGTGGTACTATTAGTTGCCAGGAAAAGTTGAGGGCCACAGCTGCCTGTGTTTCTTTAATCATATTCTCCACAGGTTCTTGTGATCCAGAAATATTTCTTGGGATGGGGAATCCCCTTGAGTGGCAAAAAAGCTTAAAAGACTCTTGCTATGATGCTGTGTAGCTTCTCAGGCTATAGGGCCGGGGTGAGGAATTCTAGTTTGATGTCTTGGCTCTGTAACCGGGTGCCATAGGATCCAAACAAATTGTTTCACCATCCTGAGTATTTCTACCTTGGACTTGACTCCAACAAAGGGGTAGAAAGGATACTGCCCACTCAGGTTTCAGGAACAGAGGTCTTATCTCTGCTGGTTTAAACTTATCTGGATTTTATAACATCTACAACCATACAGCTGGGGTTGTATAGCTACAAGAGTGATATGAATCACCTTTTGAAACGTTAATATTGGTTGAAGATTGTGTGGAATCATTTTTTATATCAAACATGTGTCTGTATTAAAGAGAATAATACGAAACTCATATAAATTTTTAAGATAAAACATGAGTCCTCAAGGAAATTTACTTGTGCTAGATAACTGGAGAATTCATCTACTTATTTTGGAAAAGTTACAGAATCCCTAGGTTGCACACAGGCTGAAGTTTCTTTTTGCTTTGGTATCCTGATTTTGCTGATAGAAAATACAAAGTACTCCCAGTAAAGGCAGATATTTTGATGCCCTGGAAATAATAAGAATTTAAAAAGCGTGGTATGAACAATGACTGGTATTTAGACATTTATGTCCAGATTTTATTATGGAAATAACTTATAACTTCTAATTTAGGCACACTTTAAGAATGGTGAGAGTGTTTCCCCATCAAGAAAACAAATTATTATTATTATTATTATTATTATTATTATCATTTTGAGACAGAATCTCACTCTGTTGCTCAGGCTGGAGTGCAGTGGCGTGATCTTGGCTCACTGCAACCTCCTTCTCCCAGGTTCAAGTGATTCTCCTGCCTCAGTCTCCTGAGTAGCAGGGATTACAGGTGCACACTACCATGCCCATCTAATTTTTGTATTTTTAGTAGAGGTGGGGTTTCACCATGTTGGCCAGGCTGGTCTCAAACTCCTGATTTCAAAGGACCCTCCCGTCTCGGTCTCCCAATGTTCTGGGATTACAGGCATGAGCCACCGCACCTGGCCTAGGAAAATAAACTGTTTTGGAGAGCAGTCTTTTTTTATTTATTTACTTTATTTAATTTTTTTTAACTAATCTGTATCTAGAGCTCCATAAAAAGTTCTATGATAAAATAAGGATAATGATGATAATAATAAGGATGCCACTTATTATCAAGTTGAACCCTCCACCTCCTGAGCTCAAGCGATCAAAAAAGGTAACATTGCTCAAGCAATTAAAAAAGGCAACATTTTATCAAATATTTTATGGTGACTGCCTCTTTTGTAAAACTAATCATTCAACGTGAAATCCACACCTAACTTAGAATGTGTTTATCATCTGTCTCCACCCACTGGAATGTAAGCTCCCTGAAGGAAAGGATGATCTTGTTCATTTTGTTTACCAATGTATCTTGGGGACTTGGTGCATAATAGAAGCTCAACAAATATTAAACACATGAATGAGTGACTGGTCAACTTATCCAGCCTTCTGCCTCCTCATAAGCTCCTCCTTTCCCTCTTGCTAAAAACCAGTTGATTTCCTACTTTTAAAAAATATGGAACCAACTTTTCTTTCTAATTCTTTGTCTCTGCAAAGTCTTCTCTACAAACCAGCATCATCCAATAGAAATATAATGTGAACCAAATACATAATTTTAAAAGTGTCTAGTGTCCATTTAAGAAGTAAACATGAATAAAATTAATTGTAATAAAATTTATTTAATCCAGCATATCCAAGATACTATCATTTCAACATGTAATTATACAGAAATTATTGATGAGATATTGACATTATTTTTTGTACTCAGATTTCAAAATCCAGTGTATGTTTTACATATAACTTGTTCTAGACTAGTCAGATTTTAAGAGCTCAGAAGTCCATATAGGCAGCAGCCACATATTGACAGCACAGGTCTATACTCTGTATTTCTCCAATCCTTAAGGTAGGAATTATAACCACTATTTACAGGCAAACTCCATTGCCCTTGCACGATATCAGTCCCCTCCTGAAATACAAGGGCCATTGTTCCTATAATTTTTGCTTCTTCTGATTTCATTTTAAATTAATCATTTGAACTGACTCCTTTCTCTCTGAGGACATTTCAAAGCTTTGCAGCATAAATGGCAGGATTAGGTACTCTTAGTTTTTACTTTTTTTTTTTTAACCCTCCAATATTTTACTCATAGAATCTATTTTCCAAGGCTATAATCATTTTTATCATGAGGTTCTTATCAATTTCTCTTCATTTTTATGTGAACAGAGCAATCAAAACTGTACATGAGTGTCCAAATACTAGCAATTATTTATGTATACTAAGAAAAATTAAGGACAATGTTCAACATTAATACTTTCAGCAAGATGGCTAGTCTAAACTATTTCGTTATAGTCCAAATAGAATCCTTTCATAGGAATGTTGATTTTGTATGATTATCACTTTGTAATATTATTTTCTTGACCTTCAGTTAGATTACATTTTATGTATTTTATTTAAAAATCTTGAATAGTGATATGTGTAGAATACCACTCAAGAGTGTAAACATTTATCTCCGTGACCTATGTTCATGAAACAATAAAATATATTACAAGTCACAAAATTTATGCCTAGCAATGTTGAACAATCATTAAATTTAATGTAGAACCTAGATATATTGACCCTTCCAAAAAGATACTAGTTTCATCAAGATCTTTTAAAAATTAAGGAATTCATGCTTACTTAAATATGTATTCTCTGCTATTTTGTTTCAAGATAATAAATTTCATTTTTTTAAAAAAACTTAAAGCATATGTAGACATTCTTGTACATAATGTGATAGATTTTCACCAAAATCAGACAACCTTTAGAAAATTACTGTGAAAAGCTAGACACATAACTTGAAATGCAAGCCAGTCAGTTGAAGAAACTGCCCAGTCTAAGATCTGAGAATGATGGAGCAATATAGAAGATAAGTTAATAAAAAAAATAGGCTATTCTGCTTGACTGAATAGAAATGGAATGTTTTAGGAGAATGGAACTCTTGTACCTAATCTTGTATAAGAAGACATGGGATGTATACAGTTAATTCACTTGTTTATGGAGTGATGATTTGCTTAATTATCTCATTTCCTTTTTACAGTAAGAAATCTAAAAGCTAAAGCCCATGTAAGTATTTTATATAAGGAAGAGTGTTGGTGTCCACAAAATGTATAATAACTGGTGTATATTTTCTGCAAGAAAAAAATACACAGATAACAGCCACTGACATTATCATCACTAAAAATAGACAACAATAGCAACAGCTACATGAATTGGTGTCATGCTTTTGGCAATATTTACTAAGTTCTTTTATACCATTCATTTCTTTCCTTTGATTCTACTTCTGGAAATCTGTTCCAAGGACATAATGTATGTCCTTGCATGTATATCAGCCTGCATTTCTACATACAGCATATGAAGAAAAACTCTTTATACATACAGAGGCAGCACAGCCTGGTGGTTATGGGCATAGTCTCTGGAGTTGGAGAGCCTGGGCTTAAATCCTGACTCCACTACTGACCAAATGCGTGATGTTGAGAACTTACTTAAGGCCCGTGCTTCAGCCTCCTCGTCTATGAGATGAAGATAATCTTTGTAACACACACAGTCTTCATGAGGATTAAATGAGGTAATAAGTGTCAATCACTTTATTAGTGAATTTGATAAATGTTGGCTGTTACTATTAATATGTTTATAATGGGGAAGATTAAAAATAAGAAAAAGTAGGAAGAGCACCATTGCTCTGCAATAGGAGACTGGGTGCATGAGCTCTGATATATACACTCAAGGATAGAGTCATGAATTTTTTTTTTTTTTTTTTTTTGAAACAGGATCTCACTCGATTGCCCAGGCTGCGACCAGTGCAGTGGTGTGATCTTGGCTCACTACAACCTCCACCTCCCAGGTTCAAATGATTTTCCTGCCTCAGCCTCCCGAGTACCTGGGATTACAGGCACGTACCACCATGCCTGGCTAATTTTTGTATTTTTAGTAGAGATGGGGTTTCACCATGTTGGTCAAACTGGTCTCGAACTCCGGACCTCAAGTGATCTGCCCGCCTTGGCCTCCCAAAGTGCTGGGATTAGAGGCGTGAGCCACCGCTCCCGGCCTAGCATCATTCAATTTCACCATATTATATACGCTGTTTAGCACAGGAACTAACTCATACAAGTGTTTAGTGAAGCCTGGATTTCACTGTGAAATACTCAAGATATCCATTGGGTTACATTTTAATATAATTGAAACTGGGACATATCTTGCAGTCAAGGGTGTGTTAGAGTTTAATTGGAAGCGTGTGATGCATCTCACATTTGATGCACTCTGTGCTCAACAGAATAATGGCCTCCCAAAGATGTCCATGTCCTAATCTCCAAAAGGTGTCAATGTTACCTTACACGGTAAAAAGGAACTTTGCAGATGTGGTTCAGTTAAGGACCTTGAGATGCAGAGAGTATCCTAGATTACCCAGGTGAGCCCAATGTAGTCACAAGGGGGCCTTACAAAAAGGAGGCTGGAGGGTCAACGTTAGTGGTAGGAGATGTGACGGTGGGAACAGAAGTTGGAATGATATGAGAAGAAACCATGAGCCAAGGAACACATGCGGCATGTGGAAGCTGAAAATGGCAAGGAAACGATTATCCCCTGAAGCCTCCCGAAGGAACCAGCCCTGTCCATATCCTGATTTTAGCACTTCTGACTTCCAGAGCTGTAAGACAAGTGTGTGTTATTTTAAGTAACTAGGTTTGTGGCAATTTGTTACAACAGCAGTAGAAAACTAACACACAGTCTTCATCTGAATGAAAAGAGGTCCTTTTTGACTTCTAGGCACATGTTAGGCTCTCAGTGCATTCCGAGTTACCACTTGACTGCATAAGAGGCAGTCAATATAAAGCTATTGAATGAATGTTGAATAGAATAGAATACAAACATTAAAATGATGTTTACAAAGCCATCATAATAAAACAGAAAAATGTTCTTTAAAAAAGAATACCTATTTGTATTACAGTGAAATCACCACTGTGTTAAATGGGCAAACATCAAATTATGTACATAAAAATTCCAGAAGAAAATAAATTAAACTATTAATAGTCATCATTTCTGCATGCTGGAACTATAAATGGCGTTTCTTCTTCCTTTTACATTTCTGCATTGTCTCAATTTCCTACAAAGAATGGTATCACTTTCATAAAAGAAGAAAGCACATCAATTTCACTTCAAAAGTAGATAGGAATATAATATGGAACATAAAAGGCAAGAAAAGAATGTTGTTATATTCAGTTCCCTCATTTATGCAACAACAATTCTAATGTAGCTAATAATTCAAAAATCTTAAATCCACGCGTCTGCATATCACAAACCATGGTCATTGTGGATCTGTTTTGATTTTGTAAACAGTGGTCAGTTTTAATAATAGTAAATTTATGATTATCACCTCCAAAAATCAGCTGCTTACCAGCCACTGTGAGCCGCATGACCCCAGCAGCATGTCAGATAGGTAGTGATTTAAGCAGACTCTGGCAACTGACTCCACAGGAAGGAAAAAAAGCCAAGCGGAGAAAAGCTGGGAGACCTGCTGAATGAATCTGCTTCACTTACATGTGAAAAGAAGAAAGAGTTATTCTTAGAACTATGACTCTTTGACCTTGGATAAGTCATTCCACTCTTCTGAGCCTCACTCAGTCTCTCCTTTTGTGTTAGGAGAGTATAGAACTAAATTATCTCTAAGATTCCATCTAGCTCTAATATTCTATAAATACATGTGTACGTATACACATGTAAACACTCCACACCTATGGACATACAGGCTCTGAGACATAAGACAATGAGACTAATACTCAAAACAATATTCCACTATTTTGCAGTCATACAGGGGTTCCTTTGAACCAGCTTTAACTAGATCTTTCATACTATGCAATTTGCTGCTAATACCATCACCATCAGATATTTCAGTGTCTTCTTTTTCACCATGTCAGAAAATAAACTGCACAGTTTGAAAAGGCTTAAACGTGTGAGGGGTTACGGCAGTAGCAGCAGCCTGAGGTCTGGCTAGTCCCTGAGGCTTTCTAGCTTGTCACTCAGCAGCTCTTTGAAGAATGCATTTGTAACTTTGAGAAGGTTGTCTACTTTCTTCCAAGAAAACGAAGCACATTAACAGAACTTAATAACAGATTTCCAATTCAAGGCAATGCGTGATAATATCTCAATTACTGATATCAAATGAAGATGCCATTTCTGAAATACATTTTATATGAAATTTCACTGGAAGTCTGAAATGTCCTAGGATATTTATTATGAACGTTTTTCCAGGAAATATTGGCAGAATCCCTATTTTTCAAAGGAAATGTAAGTGATTTAATCCAAATCTTAAGGCACTTACAAGTCTTGCAGGGCAGAATAAATCATGCGCATACTGGACTCTAATGCAAAACAGAAAGATGAATGCCAGAGAAAGGTAGGGGTGTATCCCTGCAGATAGAGTTTCAGAAGAGAAAGAGATTATACCCAGCTGCCGAGGCAGGAAGATGGTCTAGAGAAGCTTATGGGGTACACAGTATCAAAGGCCTTTTGGCTCCTAAATTCAAGAACTAATATGGGAAGGGAGGAAATTTTTTTTTTTCCTAGACCAGGCCTCACTCTATTACCCAGGCTAGAATGCAGTGGCACAGTCACTGTTCCCTGCAGCTTTGATTTCCTGGGCTCAAGCAATCCTACCATTTCAGCCTCCCAAGTAGCTTGGACTACAGGCATGTGCCACCATGCCCCATTCATTTTTTTCTTTTTTTCTTTTTTTTTTTTTTTGTAGAGATGAAGTTTCACCATGTTGCCCAGGCTGGTCCCAAACTCCTGGGCTCAAGCAATCTGTCTGCCTCAGCTTCCCAAAGTGCTGGGATTACAGATGTGAGTCACCATACCTCACCAGGAGGAATTTTTGATGGAGGAACTAGAATGAGCAATGTCTTTGTGACATGGAGAATTTGGGCTGTGTACAGAGACAAAGCATGAAATTTGACAGAAGTGCCAACTCCAGATTAGGGAGCCAAGGGAATAAAGATTGAAATGACACATAAGATTGAGAGTGCCAAGGCCTTGAGCCCCCACAGAAGGAAAAGGAGACGGCACTTTCTTCTACAGACAGTTGTGAGCTATCAAGGACATTTAAGCAATTGTTTGATTTGCATTTATTCACCCCTCCCCATTATAAGTGGCATAGGTAATTTTAACTCCATAGTTTAAAAGTCATTAAAAAAAAGGCATTATAATTTCTCGCTCAACAAGTGAACATAATTCCAAGCAACCTTTCCATGTGTCATACAATGAATAATTCTAATTACATGTTTGAAATTCTGCAAGAGAAGATTTCTTTTATTGCTTTAGTATTTCTAGTTCTATCTGGTGTTGGAAGAGGAGTGGTTCCATTTAGATGTTAGAGTCAAAGGTGCACATGTGGCCAGGCACGATGGCTCACACCTGTAATCCCGGCACTTTGGGAGGCCAAGGCGGGAGGATCACTTGTGGTCAGGAGTTTGAGACCAGTCTGGCCAACATGGCAAAGCCCCATCTCTACTAAAAATACAAAAATTAGCTGGGTGTGGTAGTGTTTGCCTCTAGTCCAAGCTGCTCAGGAGGCTGATGCACAAAAATTGCTTGAACCCGGAAGGCAGAGGTTGCAGTGAGCCGAGATCGCACCACGGCATTGCAGCCTGGGTGACAGAATGAGACTGTCAAGAAACAAACAAACAAAAAAAACCTGCATATGCATGGGGCCCAGGAAACCCAACCTTCTGGAGGACAGAGGTGACTTCGTCACACAGACACACAGACTGTATCCACTGGTCTCCAGGCTTGCTGGTTTCAGCCTTTTAGACCCCAGGGCTTAGCCATGGCTCCTTATGCACAGCCCCTTGTCTTCCCACCTGTTTGCTCCTTGGCATTGGCACTAAACCTACATTCCGTACATGAAGACATAACACTTATTCAGCATGGTGTTCTCATTGTGTGTCTGAGTGTGTGGATATGCGTCTCTCTGCATTTATATATAAATGTACAAGTGTACATACATTATGCAAAATGGCAACAGCACATACCATTTTTTATTTTTACATCTGTCATTTTGTGGTGAAAACCATATTTTTTCCAAACGGTTTGTGAGCATTTTGAGAAGAGGCCCATCATATTGTATCATGCATACAGCCAATACTCAATTAGCATTTACTGAGCAATTAACTTAAGCTAAGTCTTCAGCCCCCCAGATACGTAGTATTTCCTCCTAGAACAAGGAGAACAGCTGGTTAACATACTTGGTATAAAAGGACCAAAAACTATGGTTCCCATTTTCTTTTAGATCTTAGAAAGACAAGATAGTTTATGTCTTTAAAAGCTCCTGAGATAAGGTAACTGAATCCATCATCTGAAAGCAATCTATCAATATGTACGTGAGTGCATGGGGGACAACATCCATGTGTGTGAAATCAGAAAGCTTGAACTGAAAAATGGAGAAGCCATGTGGTAAATATTAAATCCAGGTGGTGTTAGCAAACGGATACAGTTCATCAACTGGCGTGGTTTTCATGTGTTAAACTCAACACTTACCTCAATAAAGAAGATGCTGGCTGCTGATGTTGGGTGGTGATACATATAGACTGTCACAAGAATGGCTGTGGCTACAATGAGGACCAGGATGAGGATTCCAATGATGAGGCCAGCGTGGAGGGTTCCCCCTTTCTTCTCAGCTGCACTGTCATCTGTAGAAGCTGAAAGAACATCCCAGCTGTCAGGACCTTCATGAGTTTACCCTCAAGTTTGCATTTTCATCTGAGGAGATATTTGTGTTTTTAATAAAGTACGACTGGATCTTTACTTCCTGGACAACTTTTCTGCAACATCAATTTTACAGGTGACGTGCTCTTCATATGGGCAATGAAGAATCCATAGGATTCATGAGTAAAAATACATTTATCACTGTGTTTTATTTTTATTTTTTGAAATGGAATTTTGCTCTTGTTGCCCAGGCTAGAGTGCAAAGGCATGATCTTGGCTCACTGCAACCTCTGCCTCCTGGGTTCAAGCGATTCTCCTGCCTCAGCCTCCTGAGTAGCTGGGATTACAGGTGTGAGTCACCACACCCGGCTAATTTTGTATGTTTAGTGGAGATGGGATTTCACCATGTTGGTCAGGCTGGTCTCGAAATCCTGATTCAGGTGATCCGCCTGCCTCAGCCTCCCAAAGTGCTGGGATTACAGGCGTGAGCCACCGCACCTGGCCTGTGTTTTAAAATTTCTAGTTTGATAAGCAAAATGAATAGCTTTTATTCTCAAAGTACTGTGGGAAACCTCAAACTCTAATTAACTACACACTAAATTTAACTTTGATTTTTCTCATTAAACCACCAAAGTTACCTATGGAAAAGCTGATTAATTTTGAAAGCTCCTCTCATTTTCTTTTGGAAATTTTAAATTAAAGAGTATCGGACATCTTTTGATAAGCTCTATAGGCATTTTCAGAAAGTCTGTGCATGAACTCCAAGCATAATTTGTGAAAAATCTGTTTTAAACAAAAATACTTTTTAAAAGTGTAACAGATGGATGCTTAATGACCCTCAAATAGTTTTGATCACTAAGAGGAGCGCCACAGCAAAGGAAAACTTTCCACTACACCCCAGAACAATATAATTTCCTCTAACTTTTACTGAGATGCTTTCCACTGTAATACACATTTTCTGAATTAGCAAAGGGAGGAATTAAATTTATAAAGTAATAACTATCCTAACCAAAGCCAACCAGCCAAATACAACTAATCTCTAAAGTCTTCTCTTTTTCTAAAATTCTGTAATCACTGATGATTACTCAGGCATTTAGAGATCTTCCTGAATTATGTGCAGTATAATTGTAAGATACAGTAAGTTGTATCTTAAGTGCACCATATGACTGGTATTCTGAATCATGACATAATTTTTTAAGATGTACAAAAGTTTCAGAACAGTGGTTCTCAATCCTTTCTTTTCTTTTTTTTTTCTTTCTTTGTTTTTTCTTTGAGATGGGAATCTCGCTCTGTCGTCCAGGCCCAGGCTGGAGTGCAGTGGTGTGATCTCGGCTCACTGCAACCTCCACCTCCCAGGCTCAAGCAATTCTCCTGCCTCAGCCTCCCAAGTAGCTGGGATTACAGGCGCTTGCCACTACACCTGGCTAATTTTTGCATTTTTAGTAGAGATGGGGTTAAACCATGTTGGCCAGTCTGGTCTTGAATACCTGACCTCAAGTGATTCACCCACCTCGGCCTCCCAAAGTACTGGGATTACAGGCGTGAGCCTTTGCACCCGGCCTCAATAATTTCATGACCAATTTACCTCTTCGTTATTTTTACCATTTGCCTCTATGTTATAAGCTTTTTTTGTCTATTAAACTTCATTTAATAAGCACTGATTTCTTTCTTTTATTTTACCTTTTTTTAAAGAAAAACCAAATATGGATGTCTATCACAATGTGTGGTCCACATGAACTGACGGAATTCCAGATAAAGTGGAGAAATATGACCTCCTAATTCTTTCCACCTCCCCTCTACGTTTTTATTGCTGTTGTTTACTCTTTGCTTGAGAACCATTGTTGGTGTTCAGTTATCCTTCTCCAAATCTAGTAAGGCTGAAAATTCTAAAGATTTCCCTTATGTAACAGAAATTAATTAGTGAAAGAAGATCAAATTTAGAGTAATTCATTATATAATAGTTCATTTATACTGTGTCAGGGATAGTTGTATTACTTTGCAAGTACCAAACCAACAACCCTAAGAGGTAGGCACTATTATTATTTCTGTTTTATAGGTAAGGAAATTGAGGCACAGGATAATTAAAAAATGAGCTAGGGTTGCAAAATTATTAAGGTAGAACTGAGCTCACACACCAGCAGTCTGGCCTCCAAGTCTGAATTCTGGACCTCTGATCAATACCTCCTCAATGAACACTGGGCTGTAGGTCCTGCTATTTCCTCTTATTTCATGTTGTGAGTTCTTCTAGGAAATAATTCTGAAAAGAATCTGGTAATTTCAAGCAAAGAAAAACTAATGTAAAAAACAGTTAAAGAATTAACATTGGAGCCAGGCGTGGTGGCTCATGCCCGTAATCCCAGCACGTTGGGAGGCCAAGGCAGGTGGATCACCTGAGGTCAGGAGTTTGAGACCAGCCCGGCCAACATGGCAGAAACCCTGTCTCTACTAAAAATACAAAAAATTAGCCAGGCTTGGTGGCGGGCGCCTATAATCGCAGCTACTCAGGAGGCTGAGACAGGAGAATTGCTTGAACCTGAAGGCAGGGGTTGCAGGGAGCCGAGATCCTGCCACTGCACTCCAGCCTGGGCGACAGAGCGAGACTCCACCTCATAAAAAAGGATTAACATTGCACCTCCAAGATGACAGAGGCTATGTCTTTGGGCTGGGTCTTAGGTCAGTATCTGCCATCATAAACATTTTCATCCATATTTGGTGAGAAGGGAGGAGGAAAAGAGAGGAAGGAAAAAGATAAAAATAAAGGCTTTTGGAAATAGGTTACAGTATTAGAATGACCACATTGCCAATAAAAATCAAATGAGGCTATAATAAATGACCTCATCTGTCTGGTCTTCAGTTAACCTTATCTCCAAAACGCAGTCAATAACAGTAATTACCCCATAGGGTTGATGTGAGAATTCCACATTTAATACATATAAAGTTCTTAGGAGAGTACCTGACTCATAATAAGCACTTAATGAATATTGAGATATTATGTTATTATCATACTTTTTATATGAGGCAGGTTGAGACAAATTACACAGTCAGATTCACAACAATATATAAACTATGTTTTTGCCCTTAAAATGTGTTGCTTTTAAAACTTTGGCCTCATTCTTATGTATGCTTATATTATCGCATCTTGTGGACTTGTCTATTTTCTTATTTTTATAAGAGTATGACACAGTGCTCTCCTGGGAAAATAGGATTAATTGAAAATGTGGCTTTAGGGAAAATGTAGCAAAAATAGTAGATATTTTTGAGTCAAAAATGAAGACTTGACTGTTTCTTCAAATCCTTCCCTCCCTCTTCCACTCGTCTTTCCATCCCTCCATCCCTCTCTTTCTTGCTGTTTCTTATCCTCCCTTTCTCCATCCATCCATCCATCCATCCATGCATCCATCTATCCACCCATCCAGTGTCTGATTCTATTTCTGGGGTTTGTCTTTGGGATGGGTTTTAGGTCAGTATCTGCCATCATAAACAGTCCTTTATACACAGCATGCCAAGTTTTAGCCTCACAAATTTCCGCCTCACTTCTTCTTCTTTTTATTTTTTATTTTTGAGACAGGATCTTGCTGTCACTCAGGCTGGAGTGCTGTGGTGTGATCTTGACTCACTGCAGCTTCGAACTCCTGGGCTCAAGTGATCCTCCTGCTTTGGCCTCCCAAGTAGCTGAGGCTACAGGCATGTGCCACCATGCCTGGTTAATTTTTTTGTAGAGGCAGATTCTCACTATATTGCCCAGGCTCATTTTGAACTCCTGGGCTCAAGCATTCCTCCTGCCTCAGCCTCCCAAAGTGCTGGGATTACAGACATGTGCCATTGCACCTGGTTTAGCCTTACTTCTTTTGTGTATGCAGGAATGGAGAGGGAAGATTAAGGTATTTGTGAGTTGACCTCAGGTTGCTACTTCCCAAATGTGCTGGAGGACCAGAACTTGCTAAGGAGGCAGCTTTTCCCAGGAAGGAAAAAGAGGGCAAGGGTCATGTTTCACTTAATAAGAGTCCTTGTCAGAAATAAAATTAATTTTGTCCTGCAGGGCATAAGTTGCCAATGTTTGGAATATAACAACCATAACCAGATTTGCACCTTGAGTGTGGTAAACCTCGCTACCTTTATTTAGACATAAATACTTCTCTCCCAATTATTATTTATTCATACTTCCAATAATAATTTAGTGACATTATCTCCTTTTAAAAAATGTTCCTTTACATTTCTGCTTTAGATGTCAAGACACCATGGCCATATCTAATAACACAATTTGTACAGAGTCTAGTTTATTACTATCCAAATAACCATTTAATAACATTTTTGGATGACGATTATTTTAATAAAATAAACAGCTTTCATGGATTCTCAATACTAACCAGAAGACAAAATAAATATTTAGAGATCTATGAGTATGACATGACTTGATGTGTTCTAACAGAGCAAGTCATTTAAGGAAAAATGTAGCATACTCAACTCCAAAATATTACAAGACTTTCTTTGTGTCACATACCAATGACTATTTCAAAATGCTTTAGAGTGACCATCTGAATGGAGGGACCAAAATTGCACACATAGTTTTGGAGAAAGCATTTTTCTACTCTCATATTATTTAACCTTTTTTTTTTTTTTTTTTTTGGCTACTGCAATGATTCTACAATTTCCTACACAGTACAAGCATCTCTATTCCAGCTTCTTTCTATGGGCTTTAGATGAACGTATATTAGCAGGTATTATGACGGCTTAATTAGAGACTGTTAAATCTGAAGCTGCAGGGAGCACTTCATTGATATGCTTTGATTTTAAATTCTTTCACTAGTTGGTTTCCAGTTTAATATCATGCTTGATCAAATGGTACAGATTTTGCATATTTATGGAGATTTGCAGACAGAATTTAGAGTATCCTGGGTATATACTCAAAAGGATACAAATTATTCTACCAAAAAGACACATTATGTCCATTACAGCACTGTTTACAATAGCAAAGACATGGAATCAACCTAAATGCTCATCAACGGTAGATTGGATCAAGAAAATGTTGTCCATATACACCATAGAATTCTATGCAGCCACAGAAAAAGAATGAGATCCTATTCTTTGAAGGAAGCAACACGGAAAGAGGTGGAGGCCGTTGTCCTAAGCAAACTAACACAGGACCAGAAAGCCAAATACCCTATGTTCTCACTTGTAAGTGTGTGTTAAACATTGAATACATACGGACACAAAGAAGGGAACAACAGATACCAGAGCCTACTTGAGGATAGAGGGAGGCAGGAGGGTGAGGATTAAAAAACTACCTATTGGGTACTATGCTTATTACCTGGCTAATGAAATAATCTGTACAATAAACTCCCATGATAATTTACCTATAAAACAAACCTACACAGGTACCCCTGAACCTAAAATAAAAGTTAAAAAACATAGTCACCTCAAATGCAAAGCTGAAATTTAGAAAGTGTAAGTGCTTACTAATTCCCATAAATGAAGTTTAGTTCATTCACCTCTAGGGAAGACTGCTTGAGTATGCTCATTTCCCTCCTGCAGAAAATACAATAAACTAAGATGTCCATATGTGGCTCGACTGATTGTTCTTTTATATTGGCAGATAGAAGTATGTCAAAGAGAATTCTGAACTTGCTTCAGGGACAAACTTCTCAGTAAGCTTGATATGGTTTGGCTCTGTGTCCCCACCCAAATCTCTTCTTGAATTGTAATCCCCACGTGTTGAGAGAGGGACCTGGTGGGAGGTGATTGGATCATGGGTGTGGTTTCTCTTATGCTGTTCTTGTGATAGTGAGTCCCCATGAGATCTGATGGTTTGAAAGTGGCACTTCCCCTTCTTTCTCTTTCTGTCCTGCCGCCTTGTGAAGAAGGTGCTTGCTTTTCCTTCGCCTTCTGCCATGATTGTAGGTTTCCTGAGGCCTCCCCAGCCATGCAGAACTGTGAGTCAATTAAACCTCTTTTGTTTATAAATTACTCAATCTCAGGGACTTCTTGATAGCAGTGTGAAAATGGACTAATACAAAGCTCATCAGAGTCTAGTAGGCTTTAGGGGAATATTAAAGAAACGTGAGAAGGAATCTAGTCTTAAGACGTAAACTCTTCCTATATTCATGCAAACATCTTATGAGCTTTCACTCATGTCCAAAAGCAAACAAAAACTAAACAAGCATCTTTCTCACATACTTAGTAAAACGTAACACACAGAAGAATTCAAATCTTTAGTCTTTGTTAAGCCTTACCTTGTGTATTAAAATAACAGGGATTAATAAAGGGCAACAAGAAGCCATAAAATAGAGTCTCTCCAAGCCAAAAATGGAAATACAGGAATATACTTTAAAAATCTCCAAAGTAAAGGTCTTTTTTTGCCCTGTGCTTAAGACATTTTTAATATAAAATGAAGCAGAGAAAATCAATAGTATCCAAGATAATATACTCTAATCTGACCCAGTGAGTGTCATTGCTTTTCAACACTTTATGAAATGCAGATCAATATTTAGACACAGAGAAGACTGTAAGAACTGTCAATTCTATCAAAGCAATCTGCTATTTTTGGGAAAGTTTTAGCTACCATAAGAGCAAAGACATCATATATATATATATACACACATATATATATGTATGTATATGTGTATATATACACATATATATGTGTGTATATATATATATATACATATATATATATATTTTTTTTGAGATGGAGTCTTTCTCTGTTCTCACTCTCACCCAAGCTAGAGTGCAGTGGTGCGATCTCGGCTCACTGCAGCCTCTGCCTCCCGGATTCAGGTAATTCTCCTGCCTCAGCCTCCTGAGTAGCTGGGACTACAGGCATGGGCTGCCATGCCTGGCTAATTTTTGTGTTTTTAGTAGAGACGGGGTTTCACCCTGTTGGCCAGGCTGGTCTTGAACTCCTGACCTCAAGTGATACATGTGTTTCAGTCTCCTAAAGTGCTGGAATTACGGGTGTGAGCCACCGCACCTGGCCAAGAGAACATATTTTTAAAATACATTAAGTATATACTAGAAAATATTCAAGACCTCACCTCAGTGTGTTTAATTTGGAGAAGTCCATGAATCATGGAAAATAAAGAAGGAGGAAAGATGAAAGAAATAAGGAGGTAGAAAAAAAGAAGATAGGAGGAAGGAAGGAAGAAAATGCTATATATATATTTGTATATATATGTATATACATATATATATTTATTTATTTTGTCAAAGTGTAGCATTTAATTTTAAAACTCTATGTCTCCATGTTTCTATGACTGTTATTTTCCCTTAGGATTTACTTGCATATGGCATTGATATTCTGTATTTAGAAGTGTAATTCTCCAATATGGTAAAATATTTTAATGCATTGCCAAAATGATCTGTAGCTACTATTAAATCTTGCCAACAATTAAAGTCCAGAAATAAAGAAAAAACTAAAATAGAAATATTCTTTGTCTGAAATTTTATTCACTTTAGAACTAACTCTTCTCCTGGGCTTAAAATGAAACACTGCAGCCCATAAATTCCATAATATATTAATATCCTTTGGGGAACTGAGAGGCTGATGGGTTAGACAATGTCATGCACAAATTTGCTCAAAATTCATAAATCTTACACAGAAGATGCCAAAATGTGCTCTTTTAAAGCTTCAGAATAAAGTTAAACTATAAATGCTGAAAATGTTAGTGTTCCACTTTGGGATTAAAAATGCACACAGACATGAATTCCCCCATGGAACAGTACCTAACCCATTTACAAGCTAAAGCATGTAACAAAAGAAAATCAAATGAAAAAAGTTTTAAGTAAATTGTACTTCCCTTTGTAAGTTTCCCTTGCAACTGATCAGTCTCATTTTGTAGCTCATTTATTTTCTCTCTTACCTCTTTAACTTTCTATATACATAATCATGACCTTGACTTCATTCAGAGTTTCTTTGGGTGTTTTATGTCTTTTGTAATTTTTCATAATCCTCTTAGTTCTTTCATTTTCTTAATCACAGTGATACTATTTTTTTTAAAATGCTTACCGGCCTGTCAATATTATTCCAGTATTGGAGTGGATTGAAACTATTATACAAGGTGTACCTAATTCACATTAGCTATTACTGTGACAATACATTCACAATTCATGTTAAGACACTGTGTAGAAGGGATTAGGGTAATCACTGTGAAAAGATATAAAAGCCGGTGCACAAAACACATCTAAGGACATTATGTATGGTGAGACCAATATCTGGCAAGGGCAGCTTTCCTTTTACAGTCTGTCCTACTATCGGGCAGCTGTGAAATTTATTCAGGGAAATATATAAAATGTTCTGGGCTGGAAGATCTTACAGGATGACTATCCTTTAAAAAAAAAAAACAACAACTCATAATCCCTTACCTTTTATCTTAGAAAAATAAAGCTGAATAAAATTTCTATGAAATAATATTAAAAGGAATACTTAATTCTATCAAAATGAGGGATTTGGGATAACAATCACCAAATGATAGGCTGATTCTAGTCTCATTCAATGATCGGTGCTTTTAGGCATGTGTATGTGCAGATATCTTAAAGGGAAAGTTTTAAGAGATCAAGGCTGCAGTGAGCTTTGATCCTACTACCACACTCCAGCCTGGGTGACAGAGCAAGACCCTGTCTTTAAGAAAAAAATTGAAAAAAGAGAAGGTTTATGGTATTTATATATAGTACAAATAAGACCAAAAATAAATATTTGGAAAACCCATTATCATTTTTCACTTCTTATGTGTATATGTGCTCTTCTTTGTAACAATCTGCCTACGCATATGTTTTCAGCAGTCAAGATCTTTATGACATCTAACTTTTAAACTTTTCCTAACATCAGCTTTCTATATCAAGTTATCATTTTTCCCTATTTAAAATATATCTTAAAATTATTGTTATTATTATTAATTTTTAGACGGAGTCTCGCTCTGTGGCCCAGGCTGGAGTGCAGTGGTGTGATCTCGGCTCACTGCAACCTCCACCTCCTGGGTTCAAGCGATTCTCCTGCCTCAGCCTCCCAAGTAGCTGGGACTTTATGCACACACCACCATTCCTGGCTAACTTTTTTTGTACTTTTAGTAGAGACGGGCTTTCACTATGTTGGCCAGGCTGGTCTCGAACTCTTGACCTTAGGTGATCCACCTGCCTCAGCCTCCCAAAGTGCTGGAATTACAGGTGTGAGTCGCTGAGCTCAGCCAGAAATTATTTTTGAAAAATAAAAATAAAATGTGTCTCGGCTTCTACCAAAGAATCCACAGGGAAAAAGAAAATCCTAGTACCCAACGTTTTCAGCTAAATATGAAACCAAAGAGGTTAATAAACTATTTTCTCTTTTAATCTCATGCCAAGCCTTTGCATGGTTAAGATATTAGGGTTTTTAACTACACAAAAAACTTAGTAGAGTTTTCCTAACAAAGATATTCATAGTGACTATGGAATATCAAAAATAGGCCGACGAAGCACTTTCAAGGTTTGGAGGTACAGAACAGAGTGACTCTCCGTGCCATTTATTCTATCAATTTCAGAATAGTCACTTATGTTCAAACAGATCATTTATATGCATAACCTGAGATTATAAGGATGAATGTTTACTACTTATCAAATCCATTAAGTTTTCTGAACATGGAAGAAAAATCCCCTTCACTCTTCTTATCAGTGTAGAAAGACAGATCTGTGTCTAAACCACCTGACTAACATAAAGATGGAACCTTTGGGGCTTCAAAGAATAACACCAGATCTCACACTGCTGGACCTAAAGGAGCGGCATCTTTTCAATCCTGTCTTCTTTTCTGCAAAATGGACATAATAGTAAGAGCTATCTCCTGATGGTTGTGAAGATCTGAGAGGATGCTTACAAAGTGGTTGGCATTGTGCTTAAAATATAATAAATCCTCAATGGAATGGTTGTATTAATGTTGTTAGTGCCACTCATATTACTTGCTATTCTATTGATTAGTATACTTTGTTATATTGATCTTCAGTATTATTGTTAATACTATTATTAACTCTCATTAATATTCTGTTGATTACTACCCTCATTCTTCTCAATCATGGCTGCAGAGGGCAATGAGAGGACTTCTTGAAATTACTCATGGAAAGAAGGAATCCATTCCCTCACGGAAGCTTAGGGGCATGCTGAGTGAAAGCAAGGACATTTCAGTGAATAGTTTTTCAAGCGGAAACGCCAAGATCAGCCTCTCACGTACTTGCAACCACCTGAAGGGAACCATGTTGTCCCAAACGGTAGCTTGGACATAGGATATAGAATCCACAGCCACTATTTGAAAAACAAAAGTCTAGCTTCTGAGGTCTAGTAGCCTATCTAAATAAGATCAACCCTTCCGCAGTTATCTGTAAGCAGCTTCTTTGGAAAACTGCAGAATACGAAATCAATCTCAAGTTCTTTGGTGCTTGAATTTATGCATAACGTTAATAAAAACCTTTGGATCTCCCAAGGAAGCAGGGATTCATTTAGTTGCTGGAGATATTCATTTAGCCTGTGTGTGAGTGCCTCAGTACTGGAACCTTAGACACTGATGTTCTCAACAACCATACAATCTTTTTGCTATTTGCTGTGGTTTGATGCGCATTATAGCTCTCCAGGAAAGTAAATGAGCAGAATTCTATGTGTGTGCTGTGTAGCTCAGGGAGACAGAATAAGAAGCAGGAAAAAGGAAAAAAAAAAAAAAAAAAGAAAGAAACCCTGAAAACAAAATTAACAACAACAGCTCGGTAGAGCTTTGAATTTCATTTTAGTTTGTGTTACGAGAACTAATAAACTGTGCCACATAGGACAGAAAGAAAACAAAATGAAAACACTGAGCAACACTTGTACAGGGTACTTATATTTCACTGCTTTGCACCAATACTGGCAAAATATGGCTCAAACAATGCCTTTAACATGGACAGAATCACGCTGCTTAGGAAAATGGATATTATAAAGCTGTATTTATCACACTGACTGCCCCTTAGCTACCGCAGCACCAAGTCTCCTGAAATATAAAGCTGTATGTCTTGAATGTGGAACAGAACACGTTTAGTTGAGGGAGTGCGCACTGGTCCTGACCTGACCTGTTCCACCAAACCATCTTTGCAAACAGACTCTGCTGTGTGGGCATATGACACTTCCACGAGTTGTATAGTTGCAAGGGCTTTGGTCTTAAAGTGTTGGGGGATGGGATTCAAGAAGAAGTTAAGGTTCCCTTGGACTTTAAAACTCTGTGATTTGCTGGCCGGGCACGGTGGCTCACATCTGCAATCCCAGCACTTAGTGAAGCTGAGGCGAGAGGATCAGTTGAGGCCAGGAGTTTGAGACCAGCCTGGGCAACATAGTGAGATAGCATCTCTACAAAAAATAAAAAAAAAAAAAGTAGGTGGGCATGGGGATGCATAACTGTAGTCCCAGCTACTCAGAAGGCTGAAGTGGGAGGATTGCTTGAGCCCAAGAGTTCCAGGCTGAAGTCAGCCATGATTGCACCACTGCACTCTAGCCTGGGTGACAGAGTTAGACCATGCCTGCCTCTAAAAAAAATAAATAAAAATAACTCTATGATTAGGCAAAGTTGGTGCTGCTATTTTTTTTGAGACACTGGATGGCTTTAATAGGAGAAGAGCAAACAAGTGACTATATACTCTACTGGACCATATTAGAAGCAACCCTCCTGGCAGGACAGCAGGGTGATAAAGAGCACACAGCATGCCTGGAAATCAGAGCCCTTGGTGCTATAGACCAGCTACATTCCTTAGAAACCATGTGACTATGAACAAATTACTTAAATCCCTGAGCTTCTGAGACTTCAAGTGTAAAATGGGATTACAAATAGTACTTTCTTCTTAGGGTGCTGTGAGGATTAAATGAGTTAAACATGCAAAGCCCTCAGAAGACTGCCTGGTATATTGTTAATAGCCCAATAATTGCTAGATAATTTTATCATTATTATCAACTACATGGGAAGTTGTGCACCCCCATGCCCACCTACTTTTTTTAAATTTTTGTAGAGATGGGATCTCACTATGTTGCCCAGGCTGGTCTCAAACTCCTGGCCTCAACTGATCCTCTCGCCTCAGCTTCACTAAGTGCTGGGATTGCAGATGTGAGCCACCGTGCCCGGCCAGCAAATCACAGAGTTTTAAAGCCCAAGGGAACCTTAACTTCTTCTTGAATCCCATCCCCCAACACTTTAAGACCAAAGCCCTTGCAACTATACAACTCGTGCAACTATACAACTCGCATCAACTACATGGGAAGCAAAACATGAATCACATGATCAGAAATGTTAAATTTTATGCCTTCTAATTAGAGATGCTGGTTCACCAAGGATAAGCTTTTTATTATTATCATTTGGCTTTACTTGAGAATTTTAAGAAGCCTGGAAGAATTTATTCACAGGAATTTAAAAAAAAACTATGCCTAGTTTATGAAAACATATCAAAATGCTTCTTTTCTTTCTTCTTTTTTTACTTTTACAGAGGCCAAATTTGCATATTTGAAATGCAGGAATTTTAAATGTACAATTTGCCAAATTTTTATAACTGTATATACCAAGTAACCATCACCCAAATCATATGAAACACTTCCATTCCCCCATAAAGTTCTCTTGTCTCCACCTACAGTCATCCTAACAGCCCCGACCAACACCGCATAGGCAACCACTGTGCTGATTTCCATTATTGTAGATTAGCTTGATTTTACTTGAAATTCACATAAATTGAATCATACTACATGTACTCCACTGTGTCTGGCATCTTTTGCTTAACAATGTTTTAGGACGCATCTGTTTTATTGCATGTATCAGTAGTTCATATTTTTTTTCTGCTGAGTAGTAACCCCTTGTGTAACATGCACTCAATTTGTTTATTCTTCTGTTGATGAACATCTGGACTATTTCTAGTTATTGACAATTATGAATTATGTTGCTATGAATATTCTCTTACAAGTTTTGTGTGTCTGTGTGTGCGTGTGTGTGTGTGTGTGGACATGTTTTCTTTTTAAAATAAATACATAGAAGTGGAATTCCTGGCTTAAAAGGACAGAACTTTATAAGAAACTGCCAAAGAGTTTTCTGAAGTGATTGCACAACATCACACTCCAATCAGAAATGTATAGAGTTCAAGTGCACCATATCCTCATCAATATTAGTGTTGTGTAGTGTTTAGCTATCCTAATGGGCATGATATGGTATCCCATTCATGTTTTGGTTTATTGTTACTTTATAGGAGTTATTTATATTTTCTGGATACAAGTCCTTTGTAATATAAGCATACTGTAAATATATTCTCTTATCTGTAACCTGCCTTTTCATTTTCCTAACAGAGTTTTTGATGAACACAGAATTTAATTTTTTTTTTTTTGAGATAGGGTCCTGTTCTGTCACCCAGGTTGGAGCTGGAGTGAGGTGATCAAGTCAGTCTCCCAGGCTCAAGTGATCCCCCTGACTTGGGCCTCCCACATAGCTGGGACTACAGGCGTATGCCATTATGTCTGGTTAATTTTTTAATTTTTTTGTAGAGACAGAGTCTCGCTATGTTAGCCAGTCTGGTCTCCAACTCCTGGGCTCAAGTGCTCCTCCTGCCTTGGTCTCCCAAAGCGCTAGGATTACAGGCATGAGCCACTGTGCCCAGCTCCAGGCTTTGAATTTTGATGTTTATAATTTTTAAAAAAATCCATCTTCTTAGAGATATTAAATTTATTAAAATTTTCAAAAAAAAAGCTTATGACTGTGTTAATATTCTCTGTTATTTGTCTGTTTTCTATTTTATTTTTCTACTCTTATTTCCTTCTTTTAAAATTAATATTTTTAATAAAATTGTAATTTTAGGCACAATTATTTTGAGATAATCTTAATTGGCTTATCTACTTAAATTGAACACATGAGTTTTTAATTTTAAACCTTTTTTCCTTTCTAATCCTTTCTAGTATAAACATTTAAAACTATAAATTTCCTTCTAAATACTTTTTAGCAGCATTCTACAAATTTTGGTATTTTGTATCAGTTATCATTCCATCAAAATATTTTGTAATTTTTCTTATAGTACTTTTCTTCAATACATATTTTATATATATCAAACATTTATATATATTTGTATATATTTGTCAATATTCATATATATTTATATATATATTAGAAGTTTGATTTGCATTTCACATATTTGAGGATTTTGTAGATATATTGTTCTCCCAACTTCATTAAGCATAATTGACAAATAAAAATTGTATATATTTACAGCACACAATATACTTTTTTGTTATATATATACATTGTGGAATGATTAAACCAAGGTAATTAACATATCTATTCACCTCATATACTTATCATTTTTGTGTGTGGTGAGAACATTTAAGATCTACTTTCTTATCAATAGACATTATATTGTTACTGCTTCTCGTTTGATTCTTTTGCAGTCAAAGAGTGTAGTCTATAAGACCACAATCTAGAAATTTAATATTTTTTATGACTCAACATATGGTCTACTTTGGTGACCGTTTCATGTGAACTTGAAAAAAAAAACCCTCCAGGGACACTGCTGGATTATGACAAAGTGGTTGTCAGTATTGTTCAAATATATATCCTTCTTAATTTTTTTTTTTTGTCTAACTTAAAAAAATTATAATGGTTCCTAATGAAATGACACTGTTTTCCTGTTTTTTTTTTTTTTTTTTTTTGAGACAAGGTCTCACTCTGTAGCCCAGGCTGGTGTGACCATGCGCTCACCATGGTGTGAACTGGTGTGACCATGACTCACTGCAGCCTGGACCTCCTGGGCTCAGGAGATCCTCCCACCTCAGCCTCCCATGTAGCTGGGACTACAAGTGCACGCCACCATGCTCGGCTAATTTTTTTGTATTTTTAGTAGAGATGGGGTTTCACCATGGTGCCCAGGCTGGTCTCAAACTCCTGGGACCAAACAATCTGCCCTCCTCGGCCCCGCAGATTGCTGGGATTACAAGCATGAGACACTATGCCTGGCACCTTTTTTTCCTTTTCATATTTTCCTCTGTTAATTCTCCTTGTCTTTAAATCTAATTTAAGCCTACTTAATTTGATATTTATATAGGCATTCCAGCTTTTCTGTGGTTATATTTGCAGTGTACATATTTTTCTATAATTTTACCTTGAAGTATTTTATATCTTTGTCTTTATTTTTCACATACATTTCTTATACACAGCATAGAGTTGGATCTGGCTTTCTTAAAAGTCAGTGTGATAGCCTATGCTTTTAATGAAAGTGTTTATTTTATTTACATTTGAAATAGTTACTAGTATGTTTGTATTTGGTCTGCCATTTAGCTATTCATTTTCTTTGTGTTCATCTGTTATATGGTCCTTTGTTCCTTCTTTCTTGTCTTTTTCAGGTTAAACAAATATTTCTTAGAATTCCATTTAAATTCCTCCAATGAATTTTGAGCTGTATGTTTTTGCATTTTTTTTCTTTAGTGGCTGGTGAGTATGTTAACTGTGTTAAAAATCACTTATGGCTGACACTTTATCCAACAAGTTGTTAATTTATTACTGTAACTGAAATAACATTCGGTCACAGTAGCTTACAAAACTGTTACAAATTAGTTTCAGATAATTAACTGCTGTCCTTAGTACTCAAGTTACATTAAAAATCTTGCACAAATAATAATTCGAGCTCTGAAGAATAAAACTAAAGCAAAAATTAGTCTTAACGGGAGGAGCAAACCATTGAAAACCTAGCTGTTTCGAAGAAGATTAACTAAATTTACCATCTAATGGATTAAACTACTCTCTTTAAAGCATTATGCCATTTTGAGACTAGCATATCTTTTCTCTCCATCAACCATCAACATCAATTCCTTTTTTTTTTTTTTTTTTTTGCTTAAAGTGGATCAGCATATTACGTGAGTAATACGCATGGCTAATTCAAGCACACGTGAACAAAATTCAGTGTTGAAATCATACAACCTCAAGGAATGCTACCAAGTTTAGGAGGCTGCAAACACAACCTGATGGGCCTTTTACACATCAGCAGTTGGCTTCCTTCCCATTCCTGTTTCATGTTTTATGGGTCTTTCAACTCCTAAACACCATGACCTCTGCCCTCTTCCCACTCACTCTCACCATATTACTTGTGTCTTACTATATGGAGAAAAGAGCAATCTTAGATGAAACCCCCTCAATTTCTCCCTCCTGTCTCCCTTCCCTCATTCATGCTGATTGGCTCCACCCATGCTTGTGGATATATCACTTCACTCCCAGTCATCTTTTGACTCTTTTTCTTCTTATGGGGTCTTTCTCCTCAGCACCTGTGACAGGTAAACAACAGCATTAAGAATCTCTACTTCCCTTCTTCCATTTTTCTTGAAAAAGCAGTCTGTCCTTGTGGACTCCAATTTCCTCACTGTCCACAGAATCCTCAAATTCTGCCTGGAGATTGTACAATGGTGGACTGTTATGCAATCCAGTCAAGATCAACAAATGTCTTTATGCCACCAACTCTCATGGTCACTTTTCTGTGTGTGTTTTTTTTAACTTGACTTGTCTGCAGCATTGACACTGTTCACTACTTCCTCCTTGAAATTTTATTCTCTTTTGGTTTCTGTGATACCAAACTTTTCTGTTTTCTTGCTGTCTCTATGACACTCTTGATTTTATTCACAGGACTTTAAATCCTGTATTCCCTCTCTAGTCTTTGGCCCTCCCTCCCTTCCTTCCTTCCTTCCTGCTTCCTTCTTTCCTTCCTTGTTTCCTCCCTCCCTTCCGCCCTTCCTTCCTTCTTTCCTCCTTCCTTCCTTCCTTCCTGCCTTCCTGCCTTTTTTCTTATTTTTTAATTTTTTTTTGAAGACTCACTGTCACCTAGGCTGGAGTGCAGTGGTGCAATCATGGCTCACTGCAGCCTTGACCTCCCAGTCTCAAGCAATCCTCCCACCTCAGCCTCCCCAGTAGTTAGGACTACAGGTGTGTGCCACCATGTCTTGCTAATTTATGTATTTTTTTGTAGAGACAGGGTTTCCCTGTGTTGCCCAGGCTAGTCTCAAGCTCCTGGGCTCAGGTGATCCACCCAGCTCAGCCTCCCAAAGTGCTGGGATTACAGGCGTGAGCCACCGTGCCTAGTCACTCTTTTCATCTTTATACTATCTTCCCATACCTAATTCATCTCCTTAACTTCAACTGTCATTTATACGCTGCTGATGCCTAAATTTGTATCTTATGGTTATATTTCTCAAGTTAATTTCAGGCTTATATAGAAAAATGCCTACTGACATTTTCATTTAGATATCAACATCAACATGCTCAAATTAAATTCACTGCTTACCCCCTTTCTCTTCCTGTATTTCCTATTCAATGGCACCACTGTCCACCCAGATAACTTACGCCCATGTCCTGGGAACCACCTTCGTCACTTTCCTATGACGTAAATCACACATCCAATCAAATATTAGCTCATGTAGCTTCTACTTCATTAGTAAATACTTCTCTTGTGCATTCTCTTTTTTTATTCCCATGGTCAACTACTACTTTTTTTTAGCCTCTGACCATTGCTTCTATGGATTACTAGTATAACCTCCTAACTAGATTTTCTGGCCTCTCAGTCTTACTCCTGTCCCTCCTGTTCCCTGCAATACTTCAAGGGTCAACTACTAAACATGTAAAATGTGTCCTGACACTCCCTTGTCAAAATGACACAAACGGTTCCCAAGATCTCTAGGTTAAAGTTCAAACCCCATTGCCTGGCGTAAAAGACTATGAATGCTGACACTCCACTTATTCTGATACTTTATGGCTGGTGAGGTTGAGAAACAAGCCCACCTTCTCAGCCTCACCAGCCTTAAAGCACTATGTATATAACTTTACCCCAGGAAAATCAAATCTGGCAGCTCTTTAGAGTTATCCAACCAGATCTTGATGTTTCATGCTTCTGAACCTCTTTCTATGTCAATCCCCTTCCTGAAATTCTTTTCTTCTCTCCCTTTCCTCAGAAATCCTGCCCATACTTCAAAACTTGGATCAAGTATCACCTATTCTTGTAATTTCATTTTTGTTTAGATACCCCTTCTCTGTTCTTATATAGTTTTTCTTGACTCTATCTTTGCACTCTTCACACTATACGTAAATATCAATTTACTTCTCTATGTCATCCCCTTAGGCCACTTGCTTCTTTAGGACAGGCATCAGACCATGTAGATCTTTGCATCTGCATCACCTAACAATGGGCCTGGTACACAATAGTTGAAGAAATGTTTCCCGAGCAAATCAAACCAAGTCAAATCAATTCAGCATCAAAGTTAATTGATGTTTTAGTGACATACATATTTTAGTGGTATAGGGCCATCTACTACAATAACTAGACATTTCACGTTTAAAAAAGAATAATCACTTTACACATGTAGAACACACCGAGAAGGGGCATTGGAAATATTGGGTAACACAAAACCTGTTCCTGGGGCCCCTCATATATCTCAGATTCCAAAATCTAATGGTATATGGAAGTTTCTTTCCTCCAGTAGAAGGTTCCCTGGTCCGGGTTTCTGATAGGAACAGGGCAGGTAGAAAATGAGACAGGAGGCGGACACTGAAAGGAAAGTAGGTATCCACCAAAGGGAGGTGGTCAATTATTTTGCTGATGGCAAATGGAAAGTGCATTTAGAGCTACTTTGTGGAAGCCATCTGTGTGCATTTCCTAAGAGGCACTCTGCTATATCATCTCGTTCTGTGTCCTATCGGCAGCATAAACTCTAACTACACATTCTATCTACAAATTAACCTACAGGGGAAAAAGTATATCCTGATGTGATTTTTCTTTTTCTTTTATTTTCCTATGCTGGACAACAATTTGTAAAACTATTAGGCTGAACAACGAAATTGCAACCTTTCTGGGTCAAAAGTGTTTTGTAAAAATCAGCAATTTCATATGGTTCAACAAAATACAGAAAATGTAACTAACTACCTTTACCAAAACAAATACATTTGTCAACAGCTTAAATCAGGGGTGTCCAATATTTTGGCCTCCCTGGGCCACACTGGAAAAAGAAGAATTGTGTTGGACCACACATAAAATACACTAACACCAACAATAGCTGCTGAGGGTTGGACAAGCTTGGCTTAAATGGACTCATTTTCACTTACTATATTAACATGAGTTAGGAGGTATAATGGATATAATGCTTTTGGATTCCTTTCCCCGGCAGAGTAAGATGTAGTTTCTACATGTAGAAAGAAATAATTTCTTGTTGCCACCAATTAAAATACTGTTTCAGGAAAGCCAGGAAGTATAGGTGAGGACCAATGGACCAATAGGTAGTTTCAGAGTAAAATACGTTATTCTTCTTTTGGTCAAATATCCATTCAACTCTTGATACTCCAAGTGTGGTCTGTGGCTTGGTGGCAACTGCATTATCAAAGTGCTTGTAAAAAATGTAATGCAAAGGTTTGGGCTTCACCCCAGAACTACCATATCAGCATATGCATTTTAACAAGAATCTCCACCCACAGTGATTCTGAGGGTTCTTAATATTTATGCATTGAATCAGACCATTTATTATCAACTTAACACTGGAATAATCTGGGAATTAAAAAAAAATTGGTGCTCAGGTTCCAGCCCTAGAGGCTAATATTTAATTGTTATGGAGAATAGTTTGAGTGTAGAAATTTTGTAAGTTGGAATAATAAAATAACAATTACATCTCAGACTGGAACCAGGGGATTTAAATGTACAGAAAAAGTTAAGAACCACAGCTCTAGATAAAAGTTTGGGAGAGAAATCCTAAATTCCAGGGAAATCTCAAATTAACATTGTAAAGTAGAAGAACTTTTCAGTATGATGATACATATATACTTAGAATAGGGTTAGTGCTGTCATGAAAAGTAGTCAAACAAACCAAACATAAAACTAAATGTCAAGATGTTTTACAGTTTTAAAAACAGAAAGTGATAGATATTCAATAGCCTGTTAAAATGAAATAACAGTTTCCCTTTGCTCATAGGACTATGATCTACACAAAAGAAGTGTACAAAAAAAATCAACAAAAAGTAGAAAAAAAGGGAAAGATATGTTGCTTTGATGATTTATGTATGAAAGTCAAAAAATAATTTGACTGAATGACAAATGACTAGACACTTGATCTATCACTACAGACTTGGTAATAAAAATATAAGCTTAGAAGTATTCCAGGAAAAAGGCAGAATAATGTTCTAAAATTTTATCTCGGGATGAAAATTCTTATGATATCTTCAGAAATAGAAAGCTAAATGCAACAGAAATAGAATTTAGACCAGCCATTCCATAGGACTTCATTCAAAGTATATCTGTTTTAATTCTTAGAAATCAATCACTTTGCAGATTTGTACCTCTGTATTAACTTAAACATGATCTTCAAACTGCTTAACATATCAACTTTGGTATCTCCTTGATGGGGACACCATTCTCTGACTTAAAAATGCAGCCTTTCAGAGTTCAGGTTCATAAACTTCGCAGCAATAAGAAGAAATGATAAAAATGCTGTCACCTGGAGTGCTGATACTTTAAATATTATCAACAATTAAGAACTTATATTTAAATATTTTTTAAGCAAACCTTAACTCGATCAAAGAGAAGAAACTTTAAATGAACCAAGAGATAATGCAGTTTTTGGTATTTTGATAAATCTCAGTTAACCAATTTTGAATAATGAAATCAAATCAGAATTTCAGAGCTTGAAATAATTTTAACATCTGCAGTGTAGCAGAGTGGCACAATTCAATTTGCTAGACTGAGTTGAATCTGGTTGAAGACTTTAGTTTTCAATTAAAAATCCTGCCATTGATTCAACTTGCAAATGTCTTCTCAGCCCTGGGTATAACTTTATCCAGTTTGCATTTTGAAGACATCTACATTTCTATTTAGGAAGTGAATGCCACTTGGAAGCAACCTAATCAAATGTCAAAGAAGACATTTAATAGTTGTACCTGCTAAAATATATAGCTAGGTCATTTTTTTAAAAATATAACTCTTCTAGTCAGCTACTTCTAGGATTTGAAAATCCAAAAGAAATGTTATAAATGCATATAAATGCATTTCCAAAAGAAAATGTTGTAAATGCATATAACCATTACTCAAAGAAATACAGACATTTGAAAAATACAGCCGGGTGCAGTGGCTCACACCTGTAATCCCATCACTTTGGGAGGCCGAGATGGGTGGATCACCCGAGGTCAAGAGTTTGAGATCAGCCTGGCCAACATGGCGTAATCCCATTTCTACTAAAAATACAAAAATTAGCCGGGCATGGTGGCATGTGCCTGTAATCCCAGCTACTTGGGAGGCTGAGACAGGTGAATCGCTTGAACCAAAAGGTGGAGGTTGCAGTGAGCCAAGATTGCACCACTGCACTCCAGCCTGGGGGACAAAGTGAGACCCTATCTCAAAAAAAAAAAAAAAAAAAATACATTCTAGGATTTTAGGTACCTCTTACAGGTGAATTAAATCCACATTTCTAGAGAAACCAAGAAGGCTTAAAGAATCTTAAATCAGATTTTGAACATAAACTAGAGCATAGAGCTGTAACTTAAAGATCACATGACAAGGATTCTGACAACACTGAAACACACAAGAGAATTAATGCGTTGTGATTTTCACAGAAAGGATTAAATGGAAATGAATACACAATTACATGAGAAAGGGAAATTTCACTTTCAAATACTTTAAGTATAATCAGTTGTTATAGAAAAGGTGAACTATAGTAGGTAAAAGTAAAATAGCTTATTGTGGCATTTCCCATGGGAAGGTTGATTGTAAGAGATCTAGGCTGGGCAGGATGGCTTACACCCGTAATCCCAGCACTTTGGGAGGCCAAGGCAGGTGGATCACCTGAGGTCAGGAGTTCAAGACCAGCCTGGCCAACATGGTGGAAACCCTGTCTCTACTAAAAATACAAAATTAGCCGGGTGTAGTGGCACACACCTGTAGTCCCAGCTACTCGGGAGGCTGAGGCAGGAGAATCGCTTGAACCCAGGAGGCAGAGGCTGCAGTGAGCCAAGTTCGCGTCACTGCACTCCAGCCGGGGGGACAGTGCGAGACTCCATCTCAAAAAAAAAAAAAAAAAATTCAATTCTGTGAAAGAGAAGGACTACCATGATGTTGTTAAAGACTTGGAATTTGCATCAAGGCTAAATAGATTCACATCCCAGCTCTGCCATGTGCTAGCTACATAACTTAACATTTTTGTACCTCTGTTTCCTTGTCTATAAAGAATAAATAATAATAGACCAAGTCAGGGATGTTGTGTGAAGTAAAAGAGTTAATTTAGGTGTAGCATTTAGAATGGTGTTTGGGACACAGCAACCATTCAATTCAATAAACATTCTTCCTCTCTCCTCTTCTTCTGCCACTTTTTCTTCCTTTCTCTTTCCTGTCCCTTCTCCTCTTCTTCCTCCTCTTCTTTCACATAAACAAGAGACAGATAAACTATCTGATTATACCTACGTATTACTCTAAACTTAATATTACACATGTAACTAGAAATATTTCAGTTGGAGATAAAATGATGTCTTTACATAAGATCTTCTTTTTAATTTTTTTATTTAATTTTTTTTTAAGGACAGGGTCTTGCTATGTTGCCCAGTTTGGCCTTGAGCTCCTGGGCTCATACAATCCTCCTGCCTCAGCCTCCTGAGTAGCTGGGACTACAGGCCCATGCCACCACACCTGGCTCTGCAATGGATCATCTGCGTTTTTAGAACCAGCCATTTCAATGGTCAATCAAAGCTCTATCTTACTAAAGAGACCTGAATTTATTAGGTATCTTTCTCTTTTGTTTCAATTTTTCATGTTCCTTTTTCCAGATTATTTAGAGAGCTTAGAATTTCCACTCAACCCTGAAGACTAATAAAACTTCTCCAATCAAACAACTATCCTGAAACTTTAAGAGGCTCTAACTGGACCTAATATAAATGTATCAGGAAACTCACTGCACAATTGAAGATTCATCAAGAGTGACTTAGCAGATTGTAACTCTGGGTCCTCTCAATGAGAAACCCTGTTGTGTGACTTAGGTGTCCAGCTGCTCAGAAGTATTTAATGCTTACATATCAAAGATGAAAGAAAAATCTCCTGGAAACTGAATGTATAATCATGTCAGCAGTGGATCCCATTAAGAAAATCAACTATTTTAACCCATGGAAACGACCCAGAAACACTCAGAGAGAAAGTAATGCAATAACCAAGAAAGACAATGTAGGGAAAGGCAGTCATTTGTTTCTAGCTACTTACTGACTACTTTGAAAAATGTTACCCTTTTTCCAGAAAAGTACAGGCCCCTAAATAAAAATGCTTTTAAGAACAGCCAATTAGTCACCAAAAAGTAACTATGTGAGATGACAGACCTGTCAATCTGCTTTATTACTGTAACAATGGTATTTTCTATATGTAGTCCCATAAATTCATGTTGTAAACCTCAAATATACATAATAAAACTTATTTTAAAAAACAGCGGTCCAATTAAATAAATTAAATCAAGAAATCAAATGTGCTGAAATTCTTTGCAACAATACAGAGAAATTTACAAAAATGTATTAGCTTGCATGTTTTTAAAAATCAACCTCAGTAAATGTCAGAAAATATTAAATTAGGCACACTTATTCATTATTACCTCAATCTTGCAGAAATGTTTATTAAATTGGAGTGAAAGGACAATTCTGAAATGTTTTCAATATGCTTAATTAAATAATGAAGTTAGATTTAAATTGGTAATCCTTCCTGCATCTCCACATTCCATAAAATAAAAAACAATAGCACACTAACTTAGTCAGGATGCTATAAAAAGCAATGTGTGATTTCCCTTAAGTACCCTTTTGAAGAACCGTTTATCTTAACACTAGTCAGGCTGGTCTGTTCTAACTGCACTTGAATGTTTTCAGGAAAAGTGCTTTGTTAACAACCATAGATATAAGAAGAGTCTGAAGTCTAATTGTGATATTTTGGAATTCTCATGAATGCCTGCTGCATATCAATTATGTAAATATCATCTGAGAATCCAACAGTTGACTCTCTAGTATACCAAAAATCCTATGCTTAAATCGTAGGATTTACTTAACAATTTCTTAGCATCATAAGGCACTGCTTTAAGAAAATCTTCGAAGTTTTATGATTCTTTGATGGCTCAAACAAAACTAAGTATTTTCATTGGGATAAATGGTAATGTTCTAGAAAACTCTTTATCAAAGTATATTCCATAAAACATTAAGTGCATGACATACTACTCATAAAAAAAGTGTTGGCCGTGCGTGGTGGCTCACGCTTGTAATCCCAGCACTTTGGGAGGTCGAGACGGGTGGATCACCTGAGGTCAGGAGTTCAAGACCAGCCTGGCCAACATGATGAAACCCCGTCTCTATTAAAAATACAAAAATTAGCCAGGCGTAGTGGTGGGTGCCTGTAATCCCAGCTGCTCAGGAGGTTGAGATAGGAGAATTGCTTGAACCCAGGAGACGGAGGTTGCAGTGAGCTGAGATTGTGCCACTACACTCCAGCCTGGGCAACAACAAGTGAAACTCGGTCTCAAAAAAAAAAAAAAAAAAAAGTGTTAAGAGCAAGGAGTGGAGACATGCCAGTATGAATTCTTCATAACCGTCTTGAAGATTACTCAGGATGCATGTTCTCTCAAAGCAGAGATTTGTCTAAGCCTTGTTCACTTCTGTAGCCCCAAGCCAGCAACAATGCTTGGCAATTAGCAAGCATTGAGCAGAAATCAATGAATGAATGAATTATCAGTTTTCCAGCAGGGAAATTTCTTTAACTTTTTTTTCCAGAGTCTCTCACACTTATTCGATCACAAGAATCCTTTGTTTGTTTTTTCCTATTAGCAGGATAGAATATTTTAGATAAACAAAATAAAGAAAGAAGGAAAGGAAGGGAAGGAAGTAAAGAAAGGAAGGAGAGAGAAAGCATAGAAAAAAATCTAATAAATATACATATAATGACCACCCATATTAAGATTTAAAGGTAACAAGTAAAAGAGAAGTCTCTTGGGGACTCTTCCCCCATTCCATTAACTTTATACCCCATCTCTTCCCTCAAAATGAGGTAACCCCAACATAGGGCTTATGTCCATATGCTACTAACATCCTCCTCTGGGAAATTCTTAATTGAAGGATTGCTAAAGTCCCTTTATGCCCTAAGATTTTAATATATTTCTAGCTAGTATATATTTTGCAGATGATCATTTCTAAAACTATTCACTTACTGCATTAATACAATGATGAATAAGAAATGAATGAAATAAAACACTACAAAATGATGCAACACAATGGGAAATTGATACAATAATGGTATTTATGAACAGGCTAACTGTTCTCTCTTTCAGATGGATTGATATAAACTCTAAAGACAAATATAGATATAAACAATGGCCTAAAAAGGCATGGAAGTACTAGCTACTTAACCTAAGCTGAGGGGTTTTGAAACTATTCTCTACCATTATAGAGAAAAACATGCTTAACATGTGTATATTGGATTTTGACTTACTCAAGAAATCATCTAGGGCTTTAAAGGCAAAACCATGCCTAGATCAAAGTCACAATGTGCTCACATTTACATAAAGATGCTGCCAAGAAGAGGACACCCTTTCCCTGAGCTGAATAAACAATTACTAATGAAAATCTCTTTTATTAAGACCCAGCATACATGAGCCAACATAGTTTAAAAGGAAAAAGATCTATTTCTAAAAACATAGCCAATATCGTTCACAATATTTTTTCAGTAAAACTTTTTTCCCTCAAATTTTCCAGTACCATTATAGATATTTCTAAATTGTCTTGGAAAACCTTTAAGTATGTTACCAACAAGATATTCTTTCAGATATCTAAGTTTTGTTCTTTGCTTCATAGAGCTGATAAAAAGACCTAGGACAATATATTTTCATACTTGCTGTATTTCTAATTTTATGCATAGAAGGTGCTGACCAAGGAGACAATTTAGTGAAACACAATTGAACCCAATACCTGTAGCTGTGTAGATAACTACACACCACTATAATACAACAAAGACTAGACCAACAAAGAATAGCAAGATGTGTGGTTGAATTTTCCACTTTATCATTGGGAATTGGTGTCACAGTTTTATACACAAACACAAGGGTGAGGATTTCATTTCACTTTCAAGCCAACCCACTGACTCCTTCCCATGTTAAATCCCAACGGAGAATAAAACACAACCTCACCTTTTATCTAGAAGCCCGTATTGCCTTTCTCATAGTAAAATAAATGAAATGAATTCATATTTAAAAGATGTTTATGAAAGAAAAGTATCAATTCCTACCTCCATTATCTTTTAGATGTAGTGCTATCTTGGTATCATCTGGAAGAGAAATTCAAAGTTACTATAACAGAAAAGGATTGATTTCAAAGGAGCATAAATCTTATGACTAGTAATTGTCTACTAACTGCCTTGGTCGGAACATGACTAGATTTTGATAATTTATTGTGGTAATTTCTAGTGCAATGAGAGCAAGTCCTTGCTTTACATGATGTAGTTCTAAAATTTCCTACAGAGATTGTAATGTCAAGATTTTGGTAACATCTTGAATGATCCTTAAGTTCTACAAGAAAAGTAAGCAGTAATAATTAAAAGTTAAAATACAGCTATTTTTAATTCTCTAAAATCACTTATTGTAATTAGAACCTATAGTTATGACCTTATTTATTCATTTTAAAAAATCAAGATCAAGGAAAATCCAAATTCATTGTGACAGTTAAGATTTGTCAATATTTACAAATTTAACTCCAAAAGTTAAATGTTTACCCATTGCTAGAAAAGATGACCAAAATTCTATATAAAGAGATCTTATCCTGACTGAACAAAATGTAGGATATGCTTTTTTATTTTACTGGTTATGTTTCACTCTAAAGGGTAGGGTTTAAATTATAGGAATATTTTCGTGGACTTTAATATAATAATCCAAAATAATATGGATTAAAAGATAATGTTGCTTTTAAAAGCAGTAAAATGCACTTAGCAGCTGCTTTCCACCCCACTTTATTCCAGTTCACCTTATAATATCAAATTAAATTCCAATTAAAAGTTCCATATTTAATTTTTTATTCAAGCCAAAGAAAGTGAGGCTTATAACAATAAACAAGTAAGACCCATTTATCCCCCTCAAACCTGATTCGTGGCCAGTCTTATGTTTCTGCCCTCTCCCTCCTGGTGGTATCATTCAGAATAGAAAATTATCGTATGTTGGGTAATACACTTTCTTCCTCCTGAGCTGTGCCCAAGCATTAACACTCTCTAGTATTTCTGCCTACCTTAGAAGAGGAAATAGTTGTTTTCAAGGACAATTTCTATGACACATACAGTGTTTCTGTATAGGTTATAGACCAATATATTTTATTGACTGCATTCTGGAAAACATTAGAATTATATATTAATAGAATTATTTATTGTTCAGAATCCAGAATCAACGGACATTTTATATGCATTTTGCCTTTCTAACCTGTGATTGTGAAGTTGGATTTGCTTAGTACAAAATTTAGCCACACAGGAAGAAATCTGTATTTCTTTTCTAGGAAGGAGAGGACAAGAAGCCAGAATCAATGGTAAAAGCTATGTCTTAAAAAAAGGCACAGTGCATTAAAAGAATCCCAGCATTTACTTTTAGTTCATAATAATTTTGTCTTTTTCCCCTTTGGAAATCCCTTAGAAATCCAGTTTGCCAAAGAATAACTTTAGAGAGACCTAGAGAGTAGGAGCTATTCCAGTACATGTCAACACAGTGATTTTTCCTTCCTTCAGGGAAAAAAAAAAAAAAAAAAAAAAAAAAAAGCAAACTATCTCTTGGGTACCTTCTGTAGGGAGGCTGGTGGGAAACTGAGAAGTCACTGCTCTTCTGGTGGTAGTTAGGACCCTGAACTGGGTGGTTGTCGCTCCTACGGTTGTGGTGGTTCGAGAAGAAGTTTCCACTGGTTCTGTATTCTCACACATCTTCTCTTTTGACTAGTAAGAGAAAAGAAAAGGAAAACAAATGGAGTGATCACAAATCTATTTTTAGAACTTACATCAAAGAAGCTGGGCTGTAAAGCACAAAAGCCTCTCATATCAAGACAAGGAATAAATTACTTTTGTACAAGACTATATTAATGATTTTGCTAATTTATGAAGTTTATAAAATAGGAAAGAGAAAAAGATGGATGGAACAAGGCATTTCCCTTTTTAGATATTTAGGTTTCATCATTTACTGCTGTTAAGCTTTCATATTACTGTTTACCTTGCCCTAAATTTTACATTGGTATATTTATAAAAGACACACTGTCAAAAGGGAAAATTTATACTAGAAGAAAAACAGGTGCATAAAGATAAGGTTTAAAACATACTCAGGTTTGTGGAGAAAAAGTGCATTCCTTTCGTATCAAACTGACAATGCTAAATCCGAAATATTTGCTAACTTCCCCATACTACTTCATTGTTTCAAAAATCATCTGTCACAAGTTGAATGAATGTCTAAAATTTTGTTTTCCTTTATGAAATATTCAAAACCACATAAGCAAAGGATTGAACAGAACTCTTGTAATCACTCAGCCTATTTTCCTCCTTAGCAGAGCTATATTGAAAACATCAGGAAATGAGACATAGTGAATTTTTTATTTTTAATTTGTGAAAACAAATCCTACAACCTTCACTGGTAACAACCTCCAACATCCAAACTTTTATAGCTTAGAAGTTGGTGTTTCTATCCACCTTTTGTGCCGCAGTGGACTCCCTCTCTCAGGTGGGCCTTGAGTAGAAAATAACTATTCTGGACATGAGTGGTTCTCATCCCACATTTTAAAATTATTGTTAAATAAATATCATTCTTAAACTTCTCTCATCATTAGTGGAGCGCTAGGTGCCTTTCCCCTTGTTAATGCAGACTTCCTGAGACAGCCTCCTTTTCATTAATAGGATATGAAACAGGTTTATTCTCCACTTCAAGTCTAAACATACTAGGGTCTCATTTAATTCCCCAAATTCCAGTTCCTGCACCTCTGAGCCCCATTAATCTAATTATTTCCTTTCAGATACCACTTTAGTTGTCATCCCCACACCCTGGACTATATCTGTAGTGGAAAATGTTTTAGATCTGAAATCATAAGCTCAGTTATCCTTTTTCCATCTATCCCTGTACCTGCGAACTCCAATTCTTCTTATTCTTTGACTACTTAGAAAGCCTAAGAAAATGATTTTGTTTTTAAGTTTCTTTTTCCCCCATTACTTCAACCACTCATTTCAGTAGCTTCAAGCATCTTGCTCTATTTTTTTATTTTTTTTTTTTTTTAGTTTTTTTTTCTACAACACCTTTAAAGAAAAGATCTGCCTTTTCCCTGCCTGCTCCAAAGCCAGGCACAGCTGGAGAATAATCACACAGACCCGCCATGGGGGCTCCACAAACATCTCCTGCATCCTTAGCAGGGCCGTGCATACCACTTGGCAGCATTGCTGTGTCTTGCTAATCACCTCTCCCATTATGCTCAGTATGAATTTCAAGCTCTCTCCACTTTACCTAAAACTGCAATCCCATCATGATTCTCCCGGTTTTACTCCTTGGGTTCACCTTCCATTTCCTTGATAAATAGGCATGATCAGCAAGATTTCTTTAAATTTCTTAGTGAATCAGCATACTTACTTGACTCTGGGCTGACCTATTCTTTCCTTCTGTGATAATGGATGGGGACCTTTCCTTATAGCCATCCTTTCAACCTATTTCTACCTATGTCCTAGCTCAACTCAGCCCACCTTCACAGGTATTGTGAATTTGCTTAGGTGATCATAGTCCTTTCTCTACAATATTTGCCACCCCTAATTCTCTGCTGGCTTCTTATCAACAACACTTAAAGGTACACAAGCATGCCTAATCTTATTTTGCAAACCCAAATTCCAGTTTGCAAAGGGAGGCAGTCCCAGAAGAGGGACTGCCTCCCTCTTCTCCCCAATGCATCCTGACATTATACTGCTTTCCCTCCATTCATACGCAGTCATATTTCCAGAGAGATCAGTCTGCCTTGGTCTTCTCAGACTCCCAGCTTTCCCTTTTATGACAATCTTGCTCTTACCTAATCCAACTGAGTTGAAATTTCTCGTACCAATGTTTCTAAATATCTCCTTAGCTAAATATCCAACATCTTCCATGGTGTCCTACTGACACCTCATCAGCCTATGGTGCAGATGTCCACTCCCCTGTCTTGGTTTCTGTGACACACCCTCTCCTCAATGTTCTGACACCTCCCTCACAACTCCATCTCAATTTCCTTTTATTTATGTCAATTCCTTAAGTGTTGGGGTGGTTCTTATGGATCATTCTTGCTCTGTCACTTCATTCTATGCATTATCTTTTGCAATCTCTTCTACACCCATGACTGCAATGAACATCTTTATGTTGATTATTCATAAATCTATATTTCCAGTCCACATTCCTCTTTTGGATTTCAGGCCCAAAAAGTCATCTATTGACCAGGTGTCTGCATGTGAATGTCACACACATCTCAAACTCAAGGAGTATAGAATGGAACTTGCCATATATTATTCTCTCTTTGTGTTTCTACTGTCAATGAACAGGACCTAGTATTCCGTAAACAGGATCTAATAATGTTCAGTAAACACCCTACGTTTAAGGTAAAATCCTAGGCTCAGATTGCTTTTGGCAGTAACGGCAGACTAAGGAACTAAATAGCCCTCCTATAACAAAACAAGTAGATTCTGAATAAAACTTGAATTTTAAAGCCTTAGGATTTGCAGGAGGTAAAGAATATCCCAATGGTGCCTTTCCATTGTTTATTCCCCTCCCCACTCAAAAAATAAAACAAAGCAAAAGCTATGTGCTATAAAGACAGTAGGAGCTGTATACATTAAGGGAAGTTAAAAAAGCAGAATTTGCCCTGAGGAAAAAAATCCAAAATCAATATCGCTCTAAAGAGAACAAGCCTTGCAGCAGTAGTAGACAGGGGAGAAAAATCTGAACTTCTCCTCCTCACATTAGGGCAGAGACTTATGGTAGCCTGAAAATCCTGAGGATCCCATCATCAAATCTTCTTTGGGGGAAAACATCACCTATTTAGGTCTTAGAATAGGATCAGACAAATATACACTAAAAAAGAAAAAAAAATAGCTGTCTGAGAAAGAATCAGCAAAAACAATGACCACACTATTTAGATCACCAAAATTTTAGATAATGGGATCATCCAATATGGAATATACAAAAATCATACACGGAATATTTAAAATCATAAAAGATAAAATTGAGAAATGAACGGTTCACATGAAACTATAAAATACTTGGCAGATGTAATAAGTGTCAAATTTAATTTTAGATATGAAAAATGTTTGTTGGAATTTCTACTTCAGTGAGTAGATTACATAGAATATTAAACAAGATGAAGGGAGAGTTAATAAACCGGTAAATACATCTGAAGAAATTGCTCCAAATACAGCACAGAGTAATAAGGAAAGAGATTACATATAATAGAGGTTTAAAAATATGAGGAAAAGATGAAAATGGCAAGCTTTCAAAGAAGTCAGAAGGTGAAAATAAAGAGAGTGGAGAAGTATAGCTGAAGAGTACATTTATCAAGCTTGACACCCAACCAACAGGAAAACACACATTTTTCTTGAACACACATAGACCCTTTGTACAAAATGCCCATGTACTTGTTCATGAAAAATTTCCAATCAACTTTAAAGATCATAACATGTTCTCTGATGATGACTCAATTAGTCTAGAAGTCAATAGTAAAAAAGGTAAATTTTAAAAGCCTCTGTAATTAGGAAATGTGATCTAATTCATAATTTAATGTATTTCCAATAAAATGTTAGTAAGATGTATTGATAGATGGATTACAGATCTCGACAAGGTGAGTTTAATATTTATATGAAGGACAAAAGCCCTAAAATACCCAAACACTTGTGAAGAAGAAAAAGTAAGGAGATTTGTCCTGTATATAGTAAGATTTCTTATAAAACAATAGAAATTAATACAGTGGGACACTGATCTAAGTACTGACAGAGCTTTAGAAGAGGAGAGCCCAGAAAATATACATAAAACAGGTGACTTTGCAAGATATTGCCAAAAGAAAGGATTAGTTAACAAATGGTGCTTGAAATTTGGCTATCCATCAAGAAAAAAAACCCCACGAAACTGAATCTCTACCTTATATAATACATAAAAACCAATTCCAAATGGAATAGATTTTGACGTGTAAGACAAAGCTTTAAAATATTCAGAAAAAAATACACAAAAATAACACCTAGATGGAATTTGGTAGGAAAATTCTTCTAAAAGAAGATGCACAGGCATATAAAACTCATCATAAAAATAAAAGATTCATACATTTGACAGATTAAATTGATAATTAATGTTAGTGAAATAAAATCATAGAGAAAATGAAAAGATAAACCAAATTTGGGAGAAAAAATATACATCTGAATTACATTCTCAATCTTTACATATATGGAGATATTCATTTTCAACATTTTATATTGAGGTAACTGATTATATGAAAGAAATGATTGTCTCAAAACACAACTATGGCTTTGTCAATAGATACTCTTTGGAACTACGTTATTAGATAAGTGAGGTGAGACGGATGAGCACACACTGCTGTCATTCCCTAAATGAAATGCCAAAAGGTTGGTTATAGCTACACTGGCAATACTGCATTTAAAGTTCAAGAATGTTTTTAAAAATGTATTGCTCAAGATCTTTATGAAACATGCCCCCCAAAAATGAATTTTTAAAAAGTCTCTAAGTAACCATTGAACAAATAGTTTTTAAAACAGCATTTTGGCATGGCTTGCTTTGCTAAACTTTTGTAATTGTTAGCAGTTTTAATTCAAAATTGATACCCCAAAACTTAATGAAGGGAGAAGAAGTAAATGCTTTTCTTCATAAACTTTATAGGATATCTTTATATGATCTTGAAATGATAGTATAAATGCGAGTCACTGCAAAGCTTTTAAACGGGTTAAAATTGTTTCTGGTATCCAATTGCTTACACGACTTCACTGCATCCTTGTCTCTATCATGTTTCCCTCAGAGTTAACATTATACCATCTCTCTATGCCAACTAATGTTATACAATTTCTCATTTATTACAGCACATCAATTTGCTGCAGTCTTCCACCCTCCACAATACCACTGGTCTTGCTGTTTGAATTACAAAGAGGAACAATGGTTTCGTACATCCTAGAAAAATAGCAAGCATTTAAGAGAACTCCTCTACAGATTCCAATCCTGGCCCTACTATTCCCTAGCCATTTACCTGACTCTCCAAGAACCCACACTTCACCCCTCCCCACAAGCTCCCCTCACTCCTCCCCTTTCTCTCCTTGGTAATATGGGGGTAGTGACAGTGCAGGCACTGTTCTTCATAGAATGAATATGACAATGAAATGAGATAATACATATAAATAGTTAAGCCCCATGTCTGCATCTATTAGGGGTTGTAGCAAGTTGCTACAATGTAATGAAAATGTTATCTAATTTAACAAAAATAGCCAGCTGTTATCGAACCCCTAATATTTGCAGACATTGGGCTTATAGAAGGATTCTTCTCCTTTCATTAAGTTTTAGGGCATAAATTTTGAATAAAAATTATTAACAGTTAAAACACATGTATATGACAGCTTGGTCCCAGGATTCTGTCACAATAAAGCATGTGTACCTCTTCAGGGCATCCACTGTCCACCCAGTCCTGCCGATGACGATCAAATCCACTGGAACATCTTCAAAGAAGACCACAATGCAGTTCAGAAAAGGAAGGATAGGGTGCAGGGTGGTGGACAGAAATTAAAAGTAAAAGATTAGTAGGTAGTTCATTCTCACATTTTCAGTTTAGCATAACATTAACTCTTCTATAGAACTCGCAACTGGAGAAGCAGGGAAATATTTAGAGGGTTGCTAAATAATCACTCATTCCTTAGGATGTCACTGTTAGGATCGCACATGGCAACCAAATCACTGTTAAAGCAAACTGCACTGTACGGAATACCTAGATCCCTGCACAAAGATAAGACCAATCGCTCTTCTATGAAGTGGATTTTCTTTTACCTTGTATTTTTTTTCTCATCATTAAAACAAATAAATACACACTTTTTTTGCAAATATTGTATTTCATGATTTCAGGTTCATTCATTCATTCATTTTACTCATTCATTCAAGACCCACCATCACACAAACTCTTTCCCTTTTGTGCAGTAAAATGTTAACTTGGCAGTTGTGGGGTTTTCAGACCCTGCATGTTCCAAAAAAAAGACTGGCCCTTGACTTGCTCTTGAGAAGTAACCTCTAAACTCCTGGACTATCCTGCCTATTAAGAGTGTCTACCTCGGGTCTTGAGCCATGCAGATAGTTTATGCTGACAATTTGATTTATTGTGAATATGTGACTTCATTTACTTGGGACCCTGGGCCATGCTGTAACAGTTTGACCCTGGGGAGAGCTGACGACTGGAAGATAAGATTAGTCACAAGGGCATTCTATCCTGATGAATGAACCCTTAATAAAAACCCTGGAGACCAAGCTTGGGTGAGCTTCCTTGATTAGCAGTACTTGTTGTGTATTATTGCACATTGTTATTGGGGAAATTAAGTATCATCTGTGCAATTCCACTGGGAGAAGACAACTGGCAACTTGCACTGGTCTCTCCTGGATTCCACTCTACGTGCATTTCACCTTTGCTGATTTTAACTCATCTCTTTTTCCTGTGGCAACCTTGAGTATAACAGCTTTTCTGAGTTCTGCGAGTCTTTCTAGTGAATCATGGAACCCGAGTATCTTCTTGGGGACACCCAGTTGCACTAGAAATAGGTCATGTCTAAAATATCTAATTTAGCAAGCATTGTGTTAATTAGACTTTGTTCACTCATACTGTCTTCCTTGACTGGAATAATTTTCTGTCTTCCCTACGTACTCTTACACAGCCCAATAATTTTCTAAGACCCAGAAATTACTATCCAGAGCACATTCTGATAAAGCATTGCTACCATAGTCGCTCCTTTTAGGAGGTTTCAGTTATCCATGGTTAACTATGGTCTGAAAATAGGTGAGTACAGTACAATAAGATATTTTAAGAAAGAGAGGAAAAGATCACATTAATATAACTTTTATTATACTATATTCTTATAATTGTTGTATTTCATTACTAGTTGTTAATTTCCATGGTGTCTAATTTGTAACTTAAACTTTATCATAGGTATGTATATACAGGAGAAAACATAGTATATATAGGGTTTGGTATTATCCTTGATTTCAGGCATCCACTAAAGGTCTTGGAGAAGGGGGGCTACTGTATTGCTGTGAATACATCTTACTTTAATTTTTGTCTCTTTTATGTAAAATCTCATGTACTTATGTGTTGCGGGAAGTCAGGGACCCTGAACAGAGGGACCGGCTGAAGCCATGGCAGAAGAATGTGAATTGTGAAGATTTCATGGACACTTATTAGTTCCCCAAATTAATACTTTTATAATTTCTTACACCTGTCTTTACTGCCATCTCTGAACATAAATTGTGAAGATTTCATGGACACTTATCACCTCCCCAGTCAATACCCTTGTGATTTCCTATGCCTGTCTTTAATCTCTTAATCCTGTCATCTTCGTAAGCTGAGGAGGATGTATGTCGCCTCAGGACCCTGTGATGACTGCATTAACTGCACAAATTGTAGAGCATGTGTGTTTGAACAATATGACATCTGGGCGCCTTGAGAAAAGAACAGGATAACAGCAATGTTCAGGGAACAAGAGAGATAACCTTAAACTCTGACTGCTGGTGAGCCGGGCGGAACACAGCCATATTTCTCTTCTTTCAAAAGCAAATATCTTTCAAAAGCAAAAAGAAATATCACTGAATTCTTTTTTTTTATTATTATACTTTAAGTTTTAGGGTACATGTGCACAATGTGCAACTTTGTTACATGTGCCATGTTGGTGTGTTGCACCCATTAACTCATCATTTAACATTAGGTATATCTCCTAATGCTATCCCTCCCCTCTTCCCCCACCCCACAACAGGCCCCGGTGTGTGATGCTCCCCTTCCTGTGTCCACAGGTTCTCATTGTTTTCCTCAGCAAGGAACATCCCTGAAAGAGAATGCGTCCCTGAAGGTAGGCCTCTGAAATGGCCGCTTCAGGGGCGGCCGTCTTCTAAGGTTGCAGCTGCAGGGATGAAATAAGCTCCAGTCTCCCGTAGCACTCCCAGGCTTATTAGGATGAGGAAATTCCCACCTAATAAATTTTGATTAGACTAGTTGTCTGCTCTCAAACCCTGTTTCCTGATACGATGTTTTCAATGACAATGCGTGCCCGAAACTTCATTAGCAATTTTAATTTCGCCCCCGTCCTGTGGTCCTGTGGTCCTGTGATCTCACCCTGCCTCCATTTGCCTTGTGATATTCTATTACCTTCTGAAGCATGTGATCTCTGTGGCCCACACCCTATTCGTACACTCCCTCCCCTTTTGAAAATCACTAATAAAAACTTGCTGGTTTTATGGCTTGGGGAGCATCACGCAACCTGCCGACATGTGATGTCTCCCCCGGACACCCAGCTTTAAAATTTCTCCTTTTGTACTCTGTCCCTTTATTTCTCAGACCGGCCAACACTTAGGGAAAATATAAAAGTACCTACATGAAATATCGGGGGTGAATTTCACCCGATATCTGGCTGAATTTCCCCCGATACTTATGTCTTAATTACCAAACTTAGTTGAGAACGTTTGAAAGCTAGGGTCTTATATTGATCATAATATCCACTATATCTGATACATAATATCTTTTTCATATGAGAAATTCAAACTACTTTTGCCAGTCCATTGAAATTAAAGATATACATTGCCCCTGAATGTTAACATATAAACATATATGATATACTTTGGCTGTGTCCCCACACAAATCTCATCTTGAATTTCAGCTCCCATAATTTCCCTGTGTTGTGGGAGGGACCCAGTGGGAGATAATCTAATCATAGGGGCAGTTTCCCCCATACTGTTCTCATGGTAGTAAATAAGTCTCACAAGATCTGATGGCTTTATATGGGGTTTCCCCTTTTGCCTGGCTCTCATTCTTTCTTGTCTGCACCATGTAAGATGTGTCTTTTGCCTTCCACCATGATTGTGAGGCCTCCCTAGCCATGGGAAATTGTGAGTCCATTAAATGTCTTTTTCTTTATAAATTACCCAGTCTAAGATATGTCTTTATCAGAAGTGTGAAAAATGGACTAATACAATATATCTATATATAATATACAAAAATCCATGTTAATTATATTACTCTAAATAGATATCTATATATTTTTCAAAATAAATGGAAGCTGTTCAACTTTTGCCTTATATTTTCTTACAGTGCTCAAAGCATTACTTTGCAATCTTTCTTTTTTTTATTATTTTTAACTTGTTTTGCAATGAGTCCACATGATAGCTCTTTCTAAGAACCCTTGCCAGAGATTATGCACCATGGGATGAACAAGTATAATTTAATTCAAGTGGAATGTGAAAACAACCCTCCTGTCAACACAGAAGACAATCTCTCATTCTCTCAGGGCATGATCCATTGAAGTTAAGCTATTTTATGCCTACCATCTGTGTTGAACAAGCTTAAGTGTGGAGTAAACATCAGTGTGGGATTTGGCATCCTAAATTTGAGAATCCCCAGTTGGTCAAGGCCATCTCTGCTTACCCAATGAGATTTTGATGTGTGGAGTCTATTTAATTCCAGATGAGTTAGATGAGTGCTCCCTCCTATATTTTCCTTTTGAGTTTGTTTAAACATTGAAGAATGTACTGACATTCTGTTTTGGAAGATGGGGATGTATCAATTTTCTACAGAAGAAAAAAACATTTTCTTGGGAGCCACCTGACCATAACCATAAGTAATTCAATGGAACAGATCGTTCTTAAAGCACGGTTTGTTTTCACTTATTCTGTTTCAAATGTATCCAAAGCCAATGGGATGTACAAACTTTTACCTTATATTTTAACAAGACGGTGCCAAATCTTAAATTTGCATATCAACTGAAATTTTACCTTGGAATAATTAGTCCTTTAAATTATTAAATTAATCCCAGGGAAAAGTGCAGAAATGCAGTTTGTTTGATTTATTAATTAATCCCCCAATTATGTTGTGTGAAATTAAGTTTTACTGAAAATATAAATCAATTAAGTAATTCATCATTTATTTAAGACAAGAATTTCTTATTAATTGAAATTTACTAAGGGCTAGAATGGAAAGGACTGAGAATGGCAAAACAAGTGAGATTTGGTTTGAAAAGCTCATACTTTTTGTGGCATATAGTGCCTTAAAAATGAATAAAACTGGATCCAGCCATTTTAGCATTTTTTAGAGGCCAGTAATCTAAATGGCATCGAAAAGCAATTATAAGCACAAGAATGTGTGTGTGAGAGACAGTTGTATAAACCACTAGGAAAAGACACCTTGATATTATTTCTGAATTCTAAATAAACCAAAATCACTTTTGAGAACAGCTTCCTGTCCCCACTGAGGTGCTGTGTGTGTGTGTGTCTGTGTGTGTGTGTGTGTGTGTGTGTTTCAAAGCACAATGACATTAACCATATCACTATCCAGCACATTGTTTTCCAACATTTTTAACGGTGATTCACAAAGAGGCTCTCCCACATTGGAATTACCTGAGATGCCTGTCCAAATGCAAATTCATAGGTCTAACTGAGTAAGATTCTCTGGCAATTGGAACTCAGCAATTTTTATTGTAAATAAACACCTTCAGGGGATTCTTACCACTCTGACCTCCTCTACAATATATTCAGGCCTCTTGCTCACTCCTGTAGCCCATGCTCTACAACCCATTCATACCCTCCTTTTGCTCTAAGCACAGCAAATTCTTTTCCCTTCCCCGAAGGTGCTGTGCTCTTTCATGACTCTACCTTTGAACACACTATTACATACGGCTGGCCTACCCAACTGGCAAACCCAATCCAAATCAACCCCAATCTCCTCCAAGAAATAGCTCCTTCTCCTTCCACCCAGCAGATTCAGCAACCCTTGCTCAGAGACCCCCCAACACCAAGTGCAAATGTCCACTATTATACTACAATTGGCTGCTTTTGAGTTTATCTTACAAAGCTTTCAGGAGAACATGATTAAAAGTGAGGCTTTGGAATCCAATTGTTTGAGTTAGTATTTTGGCTTGGTCACAAAAAAGGTGTGTGATCTTAGATAAGTTATTTTTCTTTTTTTTTGAATGATTGTATTGCATGTTGACATATTATAATTGTATACATTTATGAGGTACAGTGTGATATTATGATATATGTATGTAATGTGAAAAGATTACATAAAGCTAATTAATATAGCCGTCATCTCAGATACTGATCTTTTTGTGATAAGAACATTTGACATTTACCGTCTAAGCAATTTTGAAACATAAACTACACTATATATACAATATAGTCATTATATGCAATATATAATAGATAGGTACAGCAAAAATACACAAAAATACAAAAGATACAATATGCTATACTCACTGTGTTGTGCAATATATCTCAAGAAACTTATTCCTCCTAACTGAAATGTTGTACTCTTATTTTCCCTTTCTAAGCCTGTTTCCTCATCTGTAAGATGAGGTGGGGGAGGTTATATAAGGATTAAAAGTTCAGTATTTGTCTAGTAAAGATTAAGTAACTGTTAGCTTGTTTAATACCTAATTATACCTTTGTACCTAATAATACCTCTGGTACATGGTATGCATGTACCAAATCTGACTATCATAGAAAAATGAGTAAATGAGGTTTTCACTTCATAGACAGGATTTAGAAAATGTTTAGGAGTTAATTATATGTACCATATTAATGTGAAATGTGTTTTATAACATAAAGTCCCTTATCATTTTTGGGAACTAATATCATAGAATATTATGAGAGAAACTCTAAGTTGCTCTCACATATGGGCCAAATCTTTATTCAAAATGGACAGAAATTACATGGTTTTGTAAATATTTCTCACATAATTGATTTCAACAAAATGTGAACTCCTAACTACAGCAGGGTTTTAATGTTTTTATGTCCAAATTATTCTCTTCTCACCATTATCTAATTCCAAAACAAATTAATAGAGAGCTATACAGTACTTCAAATTAATTATACTAATTTCCATTCAATTTCAATGGTGTGTTGATTTCAAAGCCCCCAGGGAACATACTAAGAGAATTCCATTAAATAAGGCAGCCTAGAAAACAAGCAATGTTCTCCCAGCTTGTGGCATGTATCAATTCAAGAGATAAAAGTATAAATCTCATCAAATCTCTAACTTGTGTCAGTTTTGCAGAAAGAATTTCAGAAATAGGAATTATTTTGCAAGGGTAATATATTCCTATGTAGGAAATAGAGTAAATGTTAAAAGATACATAAGCAATACATAAGGATCAAAAATGAAGTGCTTGTCTTACTGAGCAATTGAACATGTTTCATTCCACCAGCGAAATGAAACATCCATGAAGAATTTAGCAAAGAAACTACACAGAATCTTAAGACCCCATTAGAAATCAGTTTATAGATCAGGGGCCGGCAGACTTTTTTTGTAAAGGACCAGATAGTAAATATTGTAGGATTTGAGGGCTACGTTGTTTCTGTCCCAACTAGTCACCACTGTAGCTTGAAAACAGACACAGATAAATGTGTAAACACATTGGGTGTGGCTGTGTGCCAGTCAAACTTTATAAAACCAGAAAGTGGGTCATATTTTTAATTCATTTACTGTAGTTTGCTTAACTATGCTCTATATGTAAAAACAAAGCTCTGTAAAATTATTAAGATTTTTGGACAAATATTACATCGAATTATCTGGTGATTTATATGATCCTTTTAGCCTTAGGGTATTTATCAGGATGTGTTATCTTAATGGAAACATCAACTGTGCATTTAGTAAATTTTCTTGCCACAGTATGCAAAGGTATGAAAAATGATCCTCCAGAATCAAAGAAATGGAAAGATGCTTTAAAAAGAAGCATCAGTATTTTAAATGAGATGATAAACAGCAGTGATTATAGCCAATAACATGTTTTATTATGACATAAAATAGGTAACTGGTAGTATAGAGCTGTAAGATATGGGAAAATAATTTTCTTTAGAAATACTGAAAAAGTTTAACTGAAAAATGGTCATAAAATTTAAAATGTTACTTATAATTATCCTTATTTCAAATTATAAATTAGTAAAAAATCCTATCTCATTTCCCATACAGGCATGCTTGCTCCTAGTTGGCCTCAGGCATGAAATGGACAAGTACATTTCTAAACACATCTCCCCTAAAATCAACAATCTTGAGCTGAAAATTTTCAGAATTTTCATACCTGAACCATTTATTATATACTGCTCTGGGAATGATAGATGACTATTCATAACCTATTACAGAGACATATTGTAGGATCACTTATGAAGTTTTACATCATTAGAATATGCAAGAAGGTGGAGTGTGTTTTCTTCTGATAAAAGATCTTGATGCTACTTGTAGCTGAAATTATAATCCAATGTTCATAAGAATAGTTATCTGCAGAATACAAGAACTTTGCTTTAGAGATGAGTTTCAGATGGAAAACTGGGATCACTTTACCTAATCACCAGAATGTAGTCATCCGTACACGTGGCATCTTGCAGAGGTGCAGGTTTTCCAAAGTAAAGGCTCAATCTTTCCTCTAGTTTTCTAGAATCTAGAGTAGCCCTAATATGTATGTATTTACAAAGCATAACAACATCAGGGACTTTTATTCTTCCAATTCTGTCATCTCACTTAAAAAAAAAAATTCGTATTGGGCTGGGCACGGTGGCTCATGCCTGTAATCCCAGCATTTTGGGAGGTCAAGGCAGGAGGATCTCCTGAGCCCAGGAGTTCAAGACCAGCCTGAGTAGCCTGGCAAAATCCTGTCTCTACAAAAAAAAGAAAAAGAAAAATTAGCCAGGCATGGTGGTGCATGCCTGTAGTCCCAGCTACTTGGGAGGCTGAAGTGGAAAGATTGCTTGAGTGCAGGAGGTTGAGTGTAGGAGGCTGAGGCTGCCGTGAGCTGTTATCATACCACTGCACCCCAGCCTGGCCAACAGAGTGAGACTCTGTCTCAAAAAAAAAAAAAAAATTCATCTTATTTCTCTCTCCTCCAAATAATAGGCAAAAAAGGTATTTCCATTACTTTTTAGTTGTTATCCTATCTTTCATTGATAAAATTTCCAACAAGGAAAATGATTTTTGCAATTGGCTTTGCATGCTGGAGTTCTTCTTCCTGTGAATGTCACCTCTTTATAACTAGTCTGTTTTCAGTTTGGGAGTCTGTAGGACAGGAAAGAGTTGACACTGGGTGAAGCTACAATATTGAGTCTTATCTGGAAATAGGTGAATCTTCTCAGAAATCGTTCTGATTAAAAGCCACTGATGATGTTGGCAAAATGTCCTCATTTGTGCATTTTCAGGGCTTTACAGGGATGACAAATATATAAAAAGGTAGACAGAAATACAAGTTGAAATTGCGATGCATTAAAACAAAGCCAGTTACACAATGGGACAATCCACTAAGCCCAGTTTAGGAAACAGCAACTCTAGCTAGATTATTAGATACTTTGGTATTTATTTTATGTCTAAATTTTAAAAATTTCTTAAAATACTACTTAGAATGGGAAAGAGAATGAAGTATTCATTCATTTGAAAATAGCTAAAAGTTACAGTGTTCGACTCTAAAGACTTGACTGATTTGCTCGCAAAACTATTCTCACAGTGAAATCCAATTTCTATCTTTGCTACCTGTGTAACTTCTTAAGTGATGCTAGAACATATTGAAATATGCTGGCTAAGGGAGTTTTAAATGGTGCAAGTTTGGGTGTGTATTGACTTACACAATCCTTCTTTACAGAGCATTGTGGCTTCAAGAATTTCACAAGTTTAAGCCCCGCTGGGTTACTGCCCTTGTTACATTTTTAAAAACCAGCAGATGTGGAAATAGTGAAACCCGAATTCCTCACTGACTTTCAGTTTCACCTGCATCAGGTGGATGGAAATGCATTGGCAACATAAAGTATGAGATTTCTGAAATCTTCAATTAAAATTTCTCCAATATAGTGTCTTTGAACCTCTTTAGAATAAACCATAGTAGCAAGTATATTTAACACTGTGTTTGGGGATTTACGTGTATATCTGTGTGTACGTATTGAAGCTAAATATTTGTTGCAATGATTCCTTTTTTTCTTGTTCCTTTTTTATAAAGATCCACATAAAGCACAGATATATTTTCTATGTCATTATATTTCATTTAAAAAATGCTGCTTGTCACCCACTGGGTGAAAATGCTGAACTGCCGCACACAATTTGAAAAATATTGTCCAATAAATAATTCGAACTCTAAATAATATGTATATGTTAAATAGCATTGGCTGGTTTTAAAAATAACCATTTTGAAAGAAATTTACAAAAAATTCACAAACTAAAGTAGGTGTATCCCAGTGCTAAGATGGTTTTAGTTTTACGTTCAACCTCGTCTTTATTTAATGCATATTTACTTGTACCAATGAATTACTCAATTAATCGGAATCACAACATGTAATAGCTTGCTTTTCCAAGTTGATAGTCTAGGCATTTTCCCATGTCCATAAATATCCTTTGAGAGGAAATCTTTTAATTGATATATGACAATTTTACATATTTAATGGGGTATGTAGTTATGTTTTAATACATACAATGTATAGTGATCAGATTAGGTTAATTAGCATATCCATCGTCTCAAACATTTGTCATTTCTTTGTGTTAGGAACATTCAATATTCTCCTTCTAACTATTTGAAAATATATAGTATTGTTAACTACATTACAATATAGAGTTATTGTTAAATAGTTATATTGTTATTATATATGTTATATTGTTATATAGTTTTGTATCATTATAATCTATTATACTGTATATAAAATAGAACATTAGAACTTACTCCTATCTAGCTATAATTTATATCCTTTAACAAATCTCTCCCTTTCTCCCTCTTTCACCTACTCTTCCCAGCCTCGAATATCCACTGTTCTGCATTTTATTTCCATGAAATCACCTTTTATTTTTTAAAGCTTCTGCATATGAATGAGAATGTGTAGCATTAAATTTTCTGTTCTGGACTTCAAATCAGTGAAACACTTAATGTAATGTCCTCCAGTTCCATCCATGTTACTTTAAATGACAGGATTTCCTTCTTTATAAGGCTGAACAGTATTCTATTGTGTATATATATACACTACATTTTCTTCATCCATTGATCTGTTGTTGGAGAGCTGGGTTAATTCCATATCTTGGCTATTGTGAACAGTGCTGCAGTAAACATGGGAGTGGAGATGTCTCTTTAATATACTGATTTCCCTTCCTTTGCATCAGTGTCTAGTAGTGGGATTGCTAGATCATCTGGTAGTTCTATTGTTTTTTGAGGAACTTCCATACTGTTCTCCACAGCGGCTGTACCAGTTTACATGCCCACCAACAGTGCATAAAAGTTCCCTTTTTCTCCATGTCCTTGTCAGCAGCATTTGTTACTTTTTATCTTTTTGATGATAGCTACTCTAACTGGGGTGAGATGATACCTCATTGTGGTTTTGATTTGCATTTCCTTGATGATTAATGATGTTGAGTATTTTTAAAATTATATTTGTTGGCCATTTGTATATCATCTTTTGAGAAATATCTGTTCAGGTCATTTACCTAGTTTTTAATTAGGTTGTTGGTTATTTGCTGTTCGGATGTTTGAGTTTCTTGTATCTGGATATTAATCTTCTGTCAGATGAACAGTTTATCAATATCTTCTATTTTGTAGGTTTTCTCACTTTGCTGTTTCCCCTGCTGTGGAGAAGCTTTTTCGTTTGTTGCAATGCCAATTGTTTATGTTTGTTTTTGTTGGTAAGAGGTAATTTTTAATGACAGCATACACCCCATTACACGGTTTTATGCAGATTTATTCAAGCTATATATGAGATTACTTATGTCATTTTAACCCTTATAAAATACACAACCTCACCTTTTTTGGATTTATGTTAAAATGACATTTCATGTTTTAATTAACATTTCTTATATTACTCGTGAGGTTAAATGTTCATTGACTCTTTGTATTTCTACATTTTTAAACTGTACAATCACTTATTTTCCCCATTTCTTTTGATTGGGCTGTTCTTTTTGTTAAAGCAAACATTTCTATACACTAAGAGCATTAAATCCCTGTCAAATATACCATGTGTCTGTAATTTTCCCTTTAATACTATTTTTTTTGTTTTGTTTTTGGCATACAGCAGTTTGTATATTTACATAGTGAAGTCTTCCAACCTTTTCTTTTAAAATTTCTTTTATTGCTTTTCTGCTCAGAAAAGCCTCTCCTACCTTAGCATTAAAGAAATAACTGCCAGATTCTCTCCTAGCTACCCCATTATTTCATTTCTTAGTTTATTTCTCGAAACTCTTTTAAATTTATTTTGGAATAGGGTGAAAAGTAAGAACCAAATTTAAAAATACATATTTTTTTTCCCCAAATAGATGACTAACATTCTCAGAATCCTCTGTTGAATAATACCTGGGAGTTTAAATCCTCCATCCTTGTTTTCATTTTTATTTTTTCCTTGAGTAGTCACACACATTTAATTCTTCTCTGAAATTTTTATAATCACATTCTAACGTTCCAAATAATAGTGCTATTGTGAATCTGATCGAATAGATGTGGAAATAGTTGACATCTTACTAAATGCAACTTTACATCCATTAAATGTTTATTCAGGTGTTAGTCAAGTGCCTCATTAAATATTCATTCTTCTTATATAATTTCCATAAGTTACTAATTTTGTTAGTAACTATTTTTGCTAATGTTAAGAAGCTTAAATCATTGCATTTCTTAAATAGTCATTTCTGATATAGAACGCTATTGACTGCTGTGTAGTAACTGATTCTTTTATCTACAAATAATAACTTTTGTTTCTCCTTTCCAATAGTCTTATCTCTTACTTATGTTTCTTTTTTCTGCAACTAGAATTACAGAATTATGCTACATAAAAATGGTGATCACATCCTTGCCTTTTTTGTTACTTTAATGTTTCTTGGGCTTCAGTGTTTAGCATATTTTTATGTTGTAAAATGATATTTATTATTGCATGTAGTAAGTAACCTCTGTCTCAGTTTGCTAATGTTAACTTAAAAAAATGGTTAAATTTTATCAAATATTTTTTCCATCTGTCAAGATGACCAAGTGATCTTCAGTACCAGTGCTACTAATTGCATTAATAGATTTCTTTAAATTAAACCATATTTATATTCATAAAATAGATTTATTATTTGACTATGTTTTAGTTATTTTAACTATTGACTGGATTTTTAACTATTGAGGTTTTAAAATTCTATACAGAATAAATAATACAGGATATCCATGAATAATCTACAGCTAACCTCATACATTATGGTGAAAGACTGAATGTTTTCCCTTTGAGTTAGAAACATAACAAAATGGCCAGTCACCGCTTCCAATCAACATTGTACTTTATCAGTATGAAGAAGCAAGTTAAGAACCCAAGAAAGTGAAGCTTTGGGAGAATAAATCATTAATCGCTTTCTGCCTTGTGTCTTCTTCATATGAATGCAAAGTAAAATGATAAATCAACTTACAGCTGGATTATGTGACAAAAACAAGGTAAACACATCAGATTATAGCAGAATTATTGAAATGTTGACACTCATAATAACCCTCATCAGAGATATAATTTTTTTATGATGTTGGAAAGTTGAAAAGCTAATGATTTCATTAATACAAAGTCAGCTATAACCCAAAGGATATCTTAGGGTTAAATGACCAGAGTTGGGTAAATTTTTGTAGTAAGGTGGAAATTGTAGATAACTAAGAGTTAAAAGTTGAAGACATTTCTCTTGTGAGATTAGTACCCCATAAATATATACACCTACCATGTACCCACAAAAATTAAAAATAAATTAAAAATAAAACATTGGGATTAGTATATACAAAATTTATATCTATAGTCATAGAAGAGTCGTCAATATTGAGCTCAAGAAATGATGGGCTTTAGAATTTCCAGAGGAAGGTATTTGCTGGGGGTTTAGATGAGAGTGAAACGCAAAGAACAATTAATAAACACAACATTTTCACTGACATTTTGCATTGCCTTTCTACAAACTACTTTCCAAATCATTTCCCTCTGATTTCTAACATACTTCAGCTGCTTGTCTTCTGTTTTACCATATTCCCTTTTACCCTCCCATCCTACTCACACCCTCAGAAATATTCAACCCAAGCTGCCTTCCCTAGGGAATGTTCTCTGATCAAGGAGTATTCTTCTCTTAACTGGAACTCCAATCAAGGTTACAGCACCCACCTTTAGGACAGAAAATTTATTATCTAACAGAAGTTTAATAATTACAAATATGAATACAAAACTTCTGTTTATCAAGAGCTATTAACATTTAAGATCAGGCTAGTTTTTCCAATATTATTAGGAAAATATTTCTTCATTGATTGTTCTTAACTACGACTTGGGCCACTAACCAGAGTATGGCTGAATGCATGTTTCAACAATTTGGCTTTTTATTTATGAAAGATCTTCAACCTCTTTAGAAACACCATAGAATCCCAGCTACTTGGGAGGCTGAGCGGGGAGAGTTGCTGGAACCCAGGAGGTGGAGGTTGCAGTGAGCCGAGATCACACCACTGCACTTCAGCTTGGGCGACAGAGCAAGACTCCATCTCAAGAAAAAAAATAAAAATAAAGGCCGGGTGCGGAGGCTTATGCCTCTAATCCCAGCACTTTGGGAGGCCAAGGTGGGTGGATCACGAGGTCAAGAGATCAAGACCATCCTGGCCAACATGGTGAAACCCCATTTCTACTAAAAATACAAAAATTAGCTGGGCATGGTAGCACATGCCTGTAGTCCCAGCTACTCAGGAGGCTGAGGCAGGAGAATCAGTTGAACCCAGGAGGCAGAGGTTGCAGTGAGAGCCAAGATCATGCCACTGCACTCCAGCCTGCTGACAGAGCAAGACTCCTTCAAACAAACAAACAAACAAAAAACAATCACCATAGATCTTCAAAGATAAATAATAATCTGAAGCTGATATATGGTTTTTTGAAGGAAGACTATGATTGCCATTAGGTAAATGGTTTTGTTTTTTCTGATTATGTATACATGAATGAAATGTTGCATATTTTTTACTTTAGAAAAAGATGCTTATATTTATTGTTATATAATTCCTAAGAGTAAAATTAGTTATTTTCATAGCTTTTGGCATCTATAATTAAAAGTGACTATTCCATTAAACAACACTGCTATATTTCCAGTTAACTAAAAGTACAACTTCTGAGGCTTGTTCTAGGCAGAAAATTAGCACATCCTGAAGAATTTGGGAGCACATTGCATCGTATTAGAAAAAAAAATCCAACTTTGCCACATCTGACTTTCTTTTCAAGTGCAGGCACTAAGAACAATGGAGCCTCTAGCCGTGAATTAACAATTAACAAGCCGATTAGTGATTTCCAACACTTTTACTTCCAGAAAAAAAAGCCACATTTAATATGGCTATAATGGGAAGAAGAGAGGGAAAAAGTGCAAGTTACTAACACTGTTTGAACGTGAAATAGTTGACATGAACCGTGTTCAACAATTGTCTGTTATACAATTTTCACATCAACTTGACACTATTTCTCAATATTTTTTCCCATTTAACAACTGCAAAACTTGAAGCTGCATTATTTAGTGGAAGGAACATGAACTTTAGAATTGCATGCATAAAACTGGGGCTGGTATCTCTCTCTGCTATCTACTGGAGATTACTGGGTGGTATCTACAGCAAGCTATTATTTGAGATTCTTTTTCAGTAAGAGAGAGATTTTGAAATCTAACTTTGCTAGGTTTGGGTGTGTATTAAATGAGATAATGTAAACAAGGCACTCTTTTGGTGTTTTACATAGAAGGTGCTCAACAAATGTCAGTTATTTTATTCTATACCCTCCATGGCACCTAGCACAGGTCGAGAAGTGCTTATGGGAAGTGCTAACTGAAAATAAGATGTTATTATTTGACATATAGAGAAAATCCACATGAAATCCTCCAAGTCAGGACTTCAGCCTCTTTAGCCACAGAAATCAGTTATAAAACAGGGAGGGAAAATCTTCTCTTTCTGATAGATGAATTCTATCAAAATCTAAAAGGTCCTTTCCAGCATCCAACTTTGCTATCTTGGTAGGACGGAGTTGAGAGTTGAGTTTTCCAGGAAAGGAGGAGAAAAAGATCTCTCCCCATGGCTGTGAGCTGCCAAAGCAAACAGCCCATAACAAATAAAACTAGTGGAAGTGTCAGGAATCCGTTTTGGACACCCTTTCTTAAGAATTCTTGACTTCATACCAAACGTTATACTTGAATAGCACCTTTACATGCATAAAGGGGGAAAAGAGAGAGCTGTAACTTTTACTTTGTTGGTGCCTTGGACAAAGGAACGTAACATCTTGGGGGTTGAGGTGTGCTGTACCTCTGTAAAATGCTGTCCTGTCACCAGTAGATTTTGTTCAGTGCTGTTCAGTTTAATGGCTTCTGGTGTTTTAAGGTTGTCTATCTTCCTCGGGAACATCAACCATGAATGAATCAACTCATCTCTGTTCTGCCAAGATAGCAAATTTGGACTGTGGAGCAGAACTAGAAATTATTTTAGATGAGGCAATTGCCTCATCAAGGAAACATCTTTTTCCTAATTTATTAGTTTACTACAAATAAACTCCAGAATTTAATTTGGAGTGTTGAGAATTACAGAGAGATGGATAAAGACAGTATTTCTTGTTTCTCAGAGAACTTGCATAAACTTTACTCTGTTTTTGAACCATAAACATTTAGAAAAGAACAATAAATGAATAGAGAAGACCATTATCATTGCCCCCATCTCTCAAAGAAGGGCAACCAACAACTGCCCCAGAGAAATAAACAGCTTTGATTTGCACCCACTGCACCCGCTCGTTGCTTAAGAGACAAAGTATTTCTAATCACGGTTGATTTGGGTCCTTGGAAATGATCTGCAGAAAGAATGGCTGGGTGGATTAAGAAGGTTAGCATTTTCTAACCAGGAAAACATGCATGAATCACTGATCTTCGAGCTCTGTCCAGAGTTCAAGGATCAGTTTTGCAGTCTCTCAGTGGCTGCGGTAGCCCTTTCAATGGAGGAGAGATAGACTTGGCTGTGAGGCCCGGACCACAGGCTGCACCCAAGGTGATCTCATCTTATCTGTTTTATATTTGGAGTTTTATTTTTCAAAAATGTTCCTCCTGCTTAAGGAAAATAACAATTTGAGAACCATTTTATGAAATCATTTGTTCACTTCACCCCATTAATTCATCTAGGCTTGTTATGATTATCTTTTATAATGTAATACAATCTTTCAGGTAAGCACTATGAGCCCACTTAAAATATGATAATGTGATATTGATAGGGGACTACAAGAAGAGAAGCACCTTTTTCCGTAGAAGGTGCAATGCAAGGGAGTATAATGCCACATAATAGTAATTGAGCAAAGCTCACAAAAATCAGCAGAACATTGTCTGTTAAAAGGTATTTCTTCCTGTGTCCAAGTGGGGCCTGTCCTGGGGTGGGGGGAGGGGGGAGGGATAGCATTAGGAGATATACCTAATGTAAATGACGAGTTAAATGGGTGCAGCACACCAACATGGCACATGTATACATATGTAACAAACCTGCACGTTGTGCACATGTACCCTAGAACTTAAAGTATAATATATATATATAAAATAAATTTACCTCAAAAAAGATATTTCTTTAATGAAATTGACTTTTACATCTTTCAAAAGATATCATATTTGTGAGGTACCTTTTCTAAGCACCAGATTAAATTAGAATATCTTTTAATAAATATGTGGTAATCTATATTAGTTTCTACTAATCGTTCAAACTTGAAAATAGCCATTGTTCAATTTCATTAATTTATTTTGACCAAAAAACATTATGTTTTTCCCTTCATATTTAGAGTTCATGGTAAATTCAGCCTTGTCATCTGAACTCTTAAGGATGATTATTCCCAGTTGAAGTAAATTGATTTCAGTGGAAAAACTTTATCAAGGCTTATAGAGTTTGCTACAAGGTTACCAAGATGATACCCTTAATATTTTAAAAACTTCATGCTTGAGAATTTTAACTACACACACACACACACACACACACACACACACACACACAGCTGAGTTCAATTCGTCTCTCAAAGTCTAAGTTAATAACAATGCTTAAAAATTACATATATATATTTAGTAGTGCCTTTAATATAAAGAAAGCTTTGTTTTCTTTTAAAATTCTTGTTATACCCTCTTTATTATAAATTTGTGAGCTTGCCTGGGTCAGTTTCTAAGATTGCACCAAGCTCAGGTCCTTAAGTAGATTGCCAACAAAGAATTAGTAAATTCATTCCACTTTAAAGCATGGTTCTGGTCATAAAACAGTGTTCTTCCCTATTTCCTTGCTTTTTCTACATCAGATTTGTCAGGCATACAAAATATCAAATTACTAAATGCTAATTCCATTAGACTGTTATGCAGCTCATGTGTACCAATGTTCTATGTCTTATTAAAGACAGCACAAAAAAACGAATTTTAAGAATTTGGGTGTGAAGCAATTTTCTGCTTCATAAAATACACTTAATGTCATCTTATGTTAACAGAAGCACTCTTAGACTTGTAGTTTTTTCTTAAAATTTGCTTTTCCTGAAACTGACTTAGAATTTCAGAGCACACCCCTTTTATCCAGACGAAAAATATTTATAGCAAAAGCTATGTAAGCATATGTAAAATGCATATATAGTGTTGAATCTTCATGTTCTCTCTCCTTCCATTTATAACACCCATCAACTCAACACCTTCAAAATCATCTCCATTATTCATCTGCAAACACTATTCTATCAGTCTGACTTGGTCCCTCACTTGCTGTCTGTTGTTTCCTTTAATAATACTCATTAAAAGTGTTTATATAGCACACTATCACTGTTTACACCATTAAACTGCTTAAAACCAGATAGTCAATATTTTTTTCAAACTAGATTGTTGTGATTACATGTTTGACTTTTTTTCCCATTAATCAATACATTTGTTATGTATCCTCCATTTATCTGGCAAACTTGTACTGTAGTAGGCCAGATACGGTGAATATTCTGGGCTTACAGGCCATATGGTCTGTGTCACAAGAATTCCATTATGGAGAATAATTGCACTAACATAGAATTTCTAGTTCTGTCTTAGGTTCTGAATGTACCAAATGAAGTAAAAACTTAGACAAGAGCAGGGATGACTGGAGGATGTCCAGGAATACCAGAATAATTCTAGGGAAGGGGGCCATATAATTTATGGGGCAAACCATTATATTTTTGTAAGAGAAAGAGGCACTCACTGACTAAATGGGACATTGGGACAACAAACCTAAGACATGTGGTGTAGAGGGGACTAATCTGATTCTCATCATTCACAGACAACATTGGTCTCTTTATAGATTCTGTGTTCAATTTCAGACAGTCTTTTTCGTCAAGTTTTCTTGTATACTTGTCTCCTATTACAAATGCATTCTTGTCCACTTTGTTATTTTAGATAACTTAGGTGTATGTTTGCATACTAAAATCTTAAATGTCTGAAGTATTTTCAGCCCATTTTTTCTAAAATGTTAACATCAAAGATTATTCTCTCTTTTCATAGGTCATGTGTCTGGCTCTATGTGGGTGCTGTAGAAATATAAATATATGCTCCACTTTCTGATCTATGAGTAGAAAATGTTGCAAAAAAAGTGATACAGAAATAATTTTCCCATGAAAAATAACAAATTCTTCAAACACCATTTTTGCTACATGCCATTTTAATTAATTATTCAGAAATCATTTTGTCATAATTCTCTGTGTGCTATTTTTATTACTTTGTCCAGTCTGTGGTTTTAATTTTTTTATGAGGACCCTACCTTGTCAATTATGCACTTTGCAATAACCTCAATTATTTTCAAAGGCAATTTTATATGTATCTTTTATAACATGCCATTGGAATAATTTTTGAACGGAGGTTAGTACACATAAGCTAGTAAAACGTTTAGAGTAGGCCAGGAAGGGCTTCTTCCCCTTTCCTGATGGACACAACTGCTTAGGATTGATTAGCCAGTCTGTGCACATACTTGGTAAGGCTACGTGTAGCAAAAATTTCAACCTTAGCATTTGCTTTTTCATCTCTTCTACAATCCATGCAGCCTAAAAAAATTTATTTTAAGTCCTGCCTCCACCAGTTCCTAGTTTCATAACCTCGGGTAAGCTTTACCACCTTCCTAATTCTCATTTACTTAATTTATAAAACAAGGATTCTAACTCTTAACTCTTCATGCAATTGTAAGGTTTGAATTAGATCAAATAATTAATAGACTTCAGTGACAGTAAAGCCTTTCATGGAATGTGTGGCACATAGTAAATACAAAATAAAAGGTAGCTATTATAAATATTTTAAGCATCTCTAGGTATAAGGCAGGCTTACCCTTAAAACAGCCCTCCCGTCCTTTCTTACAAAGCCCCTGTGATTTTTTATTTATTTACTTGTTTATTTTTTATTATTATACTTTAAGTTTTAGGGTACATGTGCACAACGTGCAGGTTTGTTACATATGTATACATGTGCCATGTTGGTGTGCTGCACCCATTAACTCGTCATTTAACATTAGGTGTATCTCCTAATGCTATCCCTCCCCCCTCCCTCCACCCCACAACAATGAGAACACATGGACACAGGAAGGGGAACAACACACACCAGGGCCCCTGTGATTTAAAATCAGCAAAAGCAGCAGGAAATCTGGGCAGTGACAAAAGAAACCTCTGTGTTAGTGGAGTGCAGGGAAAGGAGAGAATAATTCTGATGAGGGCATGGGTCAATACAGAGGTCTTCTCGGTGATCAGAAGACATTATTTTAGAAATATAAAATCTGTGTATTTTTAAGAAAACCTATCATTAGAAATTGTTGCAGCCAAGGCCATGGTTCATGCAGAGAATAAGAATAGTTCTTCCTTGACTGTGAAGTGTCATTGAAGAAAAAATTCAAGAACTGAGGGTAAAAGTAAAAGTGGCTTTCTAGGAAGGAGAAAAAAATTAGTCTCATTAATCCAGAATCTGCCAATTGCTTTCTATAATATCCCAGAAAAAGAAAATTAAAATGTTGACCTTTGTTCAACCAATAAATCTTATTTTTATGCTAAATTATCTTTACCTTTGTTTTGCCTAATAATATATATTAACTTGATCACATTGGCTTAAAATAATACAGAATGATTCTTCTGGATTTCTTGCACTTTTCCATGAATGACAGAATTCCTAACACATAATTTCCTTCAAAACTCTTTGCAGGTCTTCTTAACGGGTAAGATTGCATCTCCGACTCAGAACTGGACAGAAAATAAATGCTTTGGGCTTCAGAAAACACAATCAAAATCTTAAGTAGGATGTTCCTATTAAGAAATATAAAATAGTCATATTTCGATTTTCTGGGGTATAGCTTTTAATGGAAGCGAAACATCAAAAACTACCCTGATTACATTTTAATAATTTTCTTACATAAATATTAAAAGAGCTGGCTTGAGTATGAACGTGTATTTTAAATGTCTTTCTATATTTTAACATTAGATTCCCCACAAAACAAATAATCAAACCATAAATTACTTTTTAAAAATGTTCTCATTTACCATCATATCAGCTTTTACAATAGAAAACTGTTAATGTAATGTTCCTTTTATACTCAATACTCAGTTTATATATATATATATATATATTTATTACACTTTAAGTTCTAGGGTACATGTGCACAACGTGCAGGTTTGTTACATATGTATACATGTGCCATGTTGGTGTGCTACACCCATTAACTCGTCATTTACATTAGGTATATCTCCTAATGCTATCCCTCCCCACCAACTGTGAGCTTTGCCTTTTGTTTTTAAATTTTTATATCCTTGTCCTCTAAGGATATTTTTTTCCATACCAATTTAGCACCTACTGTTCTTAAAGTGATTCCAACTTCATTTTTGGACAATTAACTTTTAATTATTTCCAGGGGAACTCATTTTATTAGTGCAAGCAAGCTAAAGGAATGAAATATATAATTTTCACTAAAATGCTCCATTTAGATACTCCATATATGTTTGTTAGATTGAATTTGTTGAAGTCTAGCCTTTCTACATTATAACCACATAAAGTGCAACCACCAAAGTTGGTTAACATATAAACAAAACTTTAACATTACTTGGATCATCTTGAAAAAGCAATTATAAACATATGTAATGCTAAATAATTCTGCAGACTTTATCTCCAGTTTGCCAAATGGTACTCAGATGGGAAGCAAACACTGTATTTGCTGACTGGAAAATCAAAGATAACTTAAAAGAATGTCTTGATATTTCAGGTGGGACTTAGTTATTAGGAGAACTTGGCTTAAGCACCTATTTCTTCCGAGTTTGGAAAAAAAGAAAACCGGTTTCTATTCTTTATCCACGTCCCTCATTAAAGACTGGTAGATGACTCAGTGGCCAAAAGAAGACAGAGACCAAAATGCAAAATAGATTATTAATAAGTAGATAGATAATATAGGTAGCTATAAATATACAGAGTTCAACACTATTCATATTTTGAAAAAAGACAAGAATTACAAGCATTTTATATCCCACATCTAGTAAGTCAAGTACTATCTTTCCAGAGGAAAGTTATGCAGCATATAGATTCGGCACTGATAATTTTCTGCTTCTGAAAAGTTTTGAATTTTTCTGAGTGCCCAAATTGCCCTAATAAACTTTTATATATATGTGTATATATATATATGTGTGTGTGTGTGTATATATATGTGTGTGTATATATATGTGTGTGTATGTGTATATATATATATATATATATATATATATGGCCTACCTTTCTTTTAAAAAGTGTGTTCCTTTGTTTATCGATGGTTTTATTATACACAATATGTGTGTGTGGTAAAAATTCAAATCTTTCAAAGATCTGATTATGATGAAATGGTAATACGTATTTCTCTTTATGCCAGTTTCCAATTCATGACAGGTTCTCCAAAGGGAAGCCCTGTTATTAGTACCTTATGTATTTTTTTCAAAAGCATTATTTACATCAAAATATATTTCAAAATGCTTTTATGTTATGGATAAAATAACATCATACCTCACTGTATTATTATATTTAATCCACACAAAAATAATTAGTACACTTTTGTTAAACTCAGGTTTGGAAGGCTTAAAAGGAGGTAAAAATAAACTTTTACTTTGCATTCTTAAAAGACAATCTTGTTTATGCTATATTTCAGGACAAGCAGCTTAATAGAAAAGCGAAGATTCTTCATTAAAATTTGAAAAAAAAAACTGATTATAAAAGGTCTTGTACTAAAATAAATTCAAAGTTCAATTTATCTCTTATAGCATTGTAAGCTAAAAACAACCATCTTAGTTGTATGGCATTTTTAGAACCTCCTTAAATTTCTTTAAAACACTGATTACCACTTGGATAGCAATAATTTAATATCAACTCAGAACTAAAGAAAGTTCCAATCTTTTTAACTAGTTCACAACATTCTAAAATCTTCTGATTTATTTATCATATACACTACACTTATTCAAAAGCTTCTTACTTTCTTTTATCAGGCTCAACTTCATTAGCTCTTAATATGTTTTAATAATAAATATATCTACAGATTTTTTCTATAATATTTCTCAGTTCCATATTAAGGATGAATAAGTGCTTCCATACAACTTAGGCAAAATCACTGCAGCTTCCAGGCCCCTTAGCTCAGACATACAAGATCAGCATTTCTACTGCCCTAGTCCTAGACTACCTCAGCATTCCCCAAAAAGGCTTATTAAAAAGCCAAATCCCTGGGATCCACTTTGGACCTACTGAATATGAATCTTTAGTGAGCTGTAGAGCAATCTGCATCTTGACAAAATTCTGTGCCAATTCTTAACTGTATTAATATTAATATTATGCTGTGAAATAAGCCAGACACAGAAAGATGAGTACCGCATGTTCTCACACACATGGAAGCTAAAAATGTTGATTTCATAGAAGTAGAGAATAGGATAATGGCTACTAGGGGTAAGAAAGGATGGGGAAAGGGGGAGATACTGAAAAGTTTGTTAATGAATACAAAGTACAGCCCGATAGAAGGAATAAGTTCTAGTGTTCTATTTTTGGGCAATTAACTTTTAACTATTTTAATATATATTTAATAACACATATTTAGTATATATTTAATAACATTCACATTTATTTACACTTATATGAGTTGGGGGGAAACGAGTCAAATATCCTTTTATTATCACTGGATGAACAGCATCTATTATGTACTTCTCTATGAAATATATATTTAATTGAGTATTGAATATAAAAAGAACTTTAGATTAACAGTTTTCTATTGAAATGGCTGATATGATGGTAAATGAGAACACTTTTCAAAAATAGTTTACAGTTTAGTTATTTGTTTTGTGGGGAACGTAATGTTAAAATATAGAAAGACATTTAAAATACATGTTTACACTCAACCCAGCTCTTTTAATATTTCTGTAAGAAAATTATGAAAGTGTCATCGAGATCGATTCTGATTTTTCACTTTTGTTAAAAGCTATCCCCCAGAAAAGTGAAAAGATGACTATTTTACATTTCTTAATAGGAACATCCTAATTAAGATTTTGATGATGTTTTCTAAAAGCTAAAGCATTTATTTTCTATCCATTTCTGAGTCAGACATGCAGCCTTACCCATTAAGAAGACCTGCAAAAAGCTTTGAAGTAAATTATGTGCTAGGAATTACAGTTATGTCAATAACTGTAATTAACAATTTATTGTATATTTTCAAATATACAATAGAAGAGCAGATTTTAAACGTTCCTAACACCAAGACATACTAAATGTTTAAGGTGATTGATATGTTAATTATATTGATTTGATCATTATACATTGTATACCTGTATTAAAATATCACACTGTACCCTATAAATGTGTATAATTGTTATGTCAATTAAAGATAATAAAAGCAAAAAGATCTACAAAAAAGAAATTTTGAGAACTACTGAAATTGGGTCCATTCAGCTTTAAGGAATATCAGAATCTGATATATCTAGAGGCCAGATGTATTTTCCATTCTGGGATACAGAGTAAGCAGGCTTTATTGCTTTGTTCAAGGTGAGATTGTTTATTGCTGGCTGTGCCACTAGGTATCCAACCAGACATTTCCACGTAATTCACCTAAGGTCATAAAATATGGCCTCCTTTCCCATAGTATTCTTGGGATTTTTTTTTGAATCTTTTGAATAACTCAGGAATGCTTCCTCAACTTTTGAATGCTCCTCAACCTCAGGTACCCGGCAGCTGAGTACCTCCTGACACAGAAAGCCAAATACACTTACTATAGAATACACCATTTGACCCTGCAATCCCATTACTGGGTATATACCCAAAGGAATATAAATCCTACTAGAATAAAGATACATGCACACATATATTCATTGCAGCACTATTCACAATAGCAAAGACGTGAAATCAATGTAAATGCCCATCAATGGTAGACTGGATAAAGAAAACATGGTACATATACATGATGGAATACTACGCAGCCATAAAAAAAGAAGAAGATCATGTCCTTTGCAGGAGCATGGATGAAGCTGGAGGCCATTATCCTTAGCAAACTAACCGAGGAACTGAAAACCAAATACTGCATGTTTTCATTTATAAATGGGAGCTAAATACGAGAAAACGTGAACACAAAGAGGGGAACAACACATACTGAGGCCTACCAGAGGGCGGAGGGTGGGAGGATGGAGAGGATCAGAAAAAGTAACTATTGGTTGGTAGGCTTAGTACCTGGATGACAAAATAATCCACATATCAAACCCCCATGACGTGAGTTTACCTATATAACAAGCCTGCATGTGTACTTCTTACCTAAAATAAAAGTTAAAGAGAAAAAGAATACACTCTAGAGAAAGAATCTCATGTAGTTCAGACCTACGCTAGTGTGGTCATCAATTTCAGACTTATGAGCAATTTATGCACTGTTGTTAACTGCAAACAATTAAAGTCTAATCTCTCTTTGACGCCTTCAATTAGAAATGACAGCAGTTCTCTCTTTCTGTCTATGATGACTAGGTAGCATGACAATAAAGTATTCCAATTAATATTTTTCAATTAAATAATTTTGTTGAATCTGATATTTCAGCAAGGACTTTTTTTAGCAAAGACAAAAATGGATTTTGTCCAAATTAGAAGTAGATTCGTATTTTTAATTTTAAACTTGGCATTCAACTTATATAGTGAAAGTTATAACATTTTTAGCTATCAGAATATTACTAATCAGTAATTCTGATAAGCAAAAAGAAGGAGTGTCAACTTACAAGGAAGTCAGCATATTGGAACCTGGATCAACAAAAGTTTGTAAAACTCTTAATGCTTGGTGAGTTCTAAATGTCTATCTGAAATTAGGTGCTTTGGCAAGCAAAACTTTATCCTATCCCAAACCATTAAAATAAGCCTAAAGTTGTAATTAATTTTAGAACCGGGCTCTTGGATTTCCTACATAGCTTTCATTTTGATTATTAGGTATGAATTTCACAACTAATCACTAAAGTGAGTTAATTTCCTTATATGAAACAATCATGTAAATTTATAGTCTAAAAGTAGCTTCAAATATGAACTTAGACCATAATGGCAAAAGGGTTATAAGCAATGCTTTGTCTCTAGGATATAAAAGGTACCTTTGAACAGGAACAATTATACTGACTCTAACTAGTGATTTATTTTAATTTACAAATTTTACTCTTGGTCATATATTCCAAGAATATCTGGCTTGTCATTCAACAATTGTGGTGTCCTAATTCTCTCCTTTCAATCTTAAAATTCTTATAGCTAAATTAGTCCAAGAGAATGCTTTATATGCCCCTGAAGGATGAGCATGGAAGCTGCCCCTTGTTGGAAGGCTAGGCTCTGTGGTGAACAAGTAGGCAAAACTCAGATAAAGTCAAAATATGCTAGGAATTCCCTTGGTATGACATTCTTCAGGAGCCTGACACATTGTCTCTTAATACACCCAGTTTTTCCTGCAATGTCAGAATGGACTGTGAGGCCTTGGGTTGACCCTACATAAAGTTGTTGGCTTACTTTGAAAACCTCACTGTATGGAAAATACCCATAGTTTTTTTTTTTTTTTTTTTTTTTTTTTCCTTTCAGTTCTGGGATGTATGTGCAGAATGTGCAGGTTTGTTGCCTAGGTATACATGTGCTATGGTGGTTTGCTGCACCTATCAACCTGCCATCTAGGTTTTAAGCCCCGCATGCATTAGGTATTTGTCCTAATGCTCTCCTTCCCCTTGCCTCCCATCCCCTGACGGGTCCCAGTGTGTGATGTTCCCCTCCCTGTGTCTGTGTGTTCTCATTGTTCAACTCCCACATATGAGTGAGAACATGCGGTGTTTGGTTTTCTGTTCCTGTGTTAGTTTGCTGAGAATTATTGTTTCCATCTTCATCCATATCCCTGCAAAGGACATACCCACAGTTTTATTAAAATCACACTTAATGCTGCAAATATACCCACTTAAAGGGGCACATAGAGACAAAACCAAAGGAAAAAGGCATATTCATGTTTCTCTGTTACTTTCATTCAGAAGCAAAAGATTAGTGATTTGGGAAAGGTTGGATTGGTTGAACTACTTAAATTTGTTTTCTGTCTCTGTCTGTTTCCAAACTTAGTTTAATTTCTGTAAGCTAAATGAGCATATGATATGAATGCAGTTTATTTGCAAAAATTAGCTGCCCCTATGTAAGAAGGAATTATTTTAACCCTTAATTAATTTTAATCAATAATACATTTTCATATTATTAACCAATTAGCCAACATTTCTGACTTGATAAATTTTCAGATTTTTTGAAATATAATACACATGATTTATTTAGATTTCACTATGTAAAACTATATATCGTTTGTATACAATTTTATATATAATATAATTTATATATTACATATAATTTTTATATATTATGTTTTATATACACATAAAACAAGTATAACACTGGCGCCTACTTTTAAATCAATTAATTTATGAAATATAGGTGATTCTTTTTGTTTCTCTTTTCATTACTGCAAAGGAATTAAGTTCATTCAATGGAAAATAACAGCAGTTCCAGAGTACACTCAGGGAAATGCAGTAGAAATAACAAAGTTGAAAAATGTAGAAAAGTTGTTAGGAAATATCTTTTTTCCATCATCTCATATTTTTTCCCAAATAATTATGTGATACTACTATTCTGTAAATACATATCTTTACCATTAATAAGGAGGGGCTTATTCTGTTTATTCTTTTAATGGATGGAATCATGGAATACTTTTATTTATATGTTTTTACCAGGAGCAAGCTTATAACTTTGATTGGATCAAAGAAAATATGAGGTGGAAAATTTTGTTTTAAAGTGAGGCACCAAAAGACTAACACCAAGAGGTTAAGTGTTCAACATGCCTCACTGCGAATATCTTATGCCATGCTCCAATTTACTTCTCTCTATAGCAATTTGGTTAACATTGACAAAACCCAGTGGATAGTAACAGCCAAAATGGGCAATTAGAATTCTCAGGAAAGTAGATATTCCTGGCCTCAATTATCTGCATAATTCAGTCCAACCATAGGTGTAAAATATCTGCATTTGTCCAGACACTGTGTTGGGTATTGTGGAAGATGCTAAAATGAGTAAAAGTGCGTTTCTACTCCTTAGAAGAGCTTATGTTTCCTTATTTCTCCTTTGCTGGTTCCTCCTTCTGTCTCCCAATTCAGGTGGCAAAAATTCAAATCATACAAAAAGTCCATAATAAACAGTAACAGTCTCATGTCTCTCCCTCTTCACTTGTTTCCTGAGTGACAAATATTGTTGTTTCTCACATCTTTTCAGAGGTTTTCTATGTCTATCCAAACATACCTGTATGTAAATGTATTTAAAACAATTCTATGTAATGAAAAATTAGCATCATACCTTATGATGCCATGCCACAAGGTCAGTTTCTGAAACCTCTTAAGCTGCTTTCAATTTATACTCTCTCCATAGCTGATTTCATTCAGTCCCATGAATTTAAACACTATCTATATGATAATGATTCTACAATCTGAACCTCTAGCCTTTCTTGGAATTCCTGGCTTACATATCCCCTATCTACTCAACATTTCCACTTGAAGTCTGATAGGCATCTCAGACTTATCTTGTCCCAAAGCAAACTCTTTATTTCTTTTCATCCTAGTCTTTATTTCTTGTGCTGTCTTACCCATCTCAAAAGAGTGCCAAAATCCACCAAGTTGCTGAAACAGAAATCTAAGAAATATCCTTGATTCTTCTTTTTCCCATCTACTTCACTTCTAATTCATTAGTAAATAATCTGTTTCAGAAAACCAAACACCTCATGTTCTCACTCATAAGGGGGAGTTGAACAATGAGAACACACAGACACAGGGAGGGGAACATCACACACCACGGCCTGTCAGGGAGTAGGGGACAAGGGGAGGGACAGCAGTAGGACAAATATGTAATGCATGCAGGGCTTAAACCCTAGATGGTGGGTTGATAGATGCAGCAAACCACCATGGCACATGTATACCTATGCAACAAACTTGCATGTTCAGCACATGTATCCCAGAACTTAAAGTAAAATTAAAAAAAAAAAGAAATGTAAAATAGCCAACCACTATAGAAAACCAATTTGATAGTCCCTTTTAAAGTTACTTATTTACCACCCAACCCAGAGAAATGAAAACATCTGTCTGTAAAAATAGTTGTACATGAATATTCATAGTGGGTTTATTCATCACTCATAAAAGCCTCTAAAAACAACCCAAGTCTTCATCTACAGGCAAATAGTAAATAAATTGTTGTGTATTCACTCACTCAGCTATTAAAAGGACCAAATTTCTGATATTTGAACTAGTATAGTATGGATTAATTGAAAAAATGTTACGTTGAGTGAAAGAAAGCTAAATTCAGAATTGTAAATACTGTGTGATTCCCTTTATATATAGGTGTAGATTGGGCAGAATAAATGTATGATGATAGGAAGAAGATCAATGGTTGCTACATAAGGTGGTGGTACCAGGTGAGGAGGAATTCGCTGTAAAGGAACATGAAGGAAATCTGTATTTTGATGTGGTGATGGTTACATGGGAATTTACGCTTTTTAAAGCTGCCTCATACATTTAAAATGTGTGTATTTTATTATATGTAAATTATACTTCAATAAACTTCATTCACACACACACACACACACACACACACACAAATAACCGGTTTCCTTCCCAAACACCTTGCATTCATTCATCTCTCCTGATCCTCAGAATCATCATCCTCGTCCAAGTTACTATCATACCTCCTGTGCACTATTGCACAAGCTCACTACCAGCCTCTTCCTTTTCATTCTAAACCACTCCCCAAACAAACAAATAAACAAACCAACAAAAACTCTGTTCTCCATGAAGCAGCCAAAGTTCCATTTTTTTAATATGGTAAAATCACATCCCTTCTTCGCATAAGTTATAAAGTCTAAATGCTTTCCATTATTCTGAGGATAAAACTCTCCCTAGCTTACAGAGTCATCTGTGTCCCAGCACTTGGGTAGCTTTCTGAGCTTATCTGATGTCACTCTCACTCCAAACCAGCTGGGAATTCTCCCAATGCACTAGGCTTATTTCCTTTCCTCATCAGGTCAAGCTTGGACCCACCATAGGGCCAGTGCGTGGGCCATTCAAATGGCATTGCAAGGCTCTTTGCTTTCACTTCGCTGTAGCTGCCTACCCATCATTCAGATCTTTGTTTATTTATTACCCCCTCCAAAAAGCCTTTCCTGGCCGCCGAGTCAAGAACAACTACTGGCTCTTTCAAATCCAGCAGACAATCCATCACTATCTGACTTTGTTTGCCTAATTATTAATTCATTAATTTTCTGGCTTACTAAGCTAAACTCCAAACTCCATGAGAGTTATGGTTTTGATTAAAACTTGATTATAGCTCTAACTACCTCAGTGTTTAGATCAATGCCTGACATGTGTTATGCATTCTATACATTGTTAAGTAAATACATGAGTGAATGAATACTTTAAGTGCAAAGAACATATTTTCATTTAAAAACTAATCAAACCATGCTCTCTTCAAAAGAGCAAGGTTACTTAAAGACGATATCAAAAAGTAAACTCCTGCTATTGTTACCAATTTTGCTATATTATCCCCTTACATTTTCCTGTTTATTTCTCTTACCATAACACTCATCACTATTAACTCTGCTTTCTATATATCTATTTGCTTAAACTCTGTCTCCGTATACCAAAATGAAAGCTCTCCTTGGGAAGTGATTTTGTCTGTCTTTTTTCACTACTGAATGCACAATCTTGGTAAGTGACTTGAACAGAGACACTCACAGATTTTTGTGGAATGAGTGAAGCTATAAGGTACAGTTGAAAGTGATTGATTAGGTATTCTCAGTCTGCAATGAGGAAACATAAGCACTCTTAGTTCAAAGAAATGGACCAAGTAATTTTAGTAAGCACTTGAGATCATGGATCTCCTTATGTTCCTCTAACTCAAATTCTCTCAGAGCTTGGGAAAGCCATTGCAAACATTTTGCCTTAGTTTTTGCTCCTTGAAAAATGGAAATTAAATGAAATAAACAAACCAATTAAAATTATCTTATCTTTTTAGAGCAAGCCCTACTTGAGAGTTCAGTAATTACCACCAACCGATTATCATTCAGGGATAAGTAAGCACAAAGAAGAAAGTAAGAGCTATGGGAGAAAAAAATCAGAGGGGCAATTTTTGTGCTGCTTAGGATAAGACTTCTCCTGTTTTGTTGAATTTGTTCATAAAAGCTCTAAAGTCTGGGGAAATGCTTCTGGGCAGCAAAGCAAAGTTTCGAAGATTACAGGTCTAAGGAGAAATTAATAAAATGCAGTGGGGAAATTAAGTTGAACAAAAGTGCAATGAGGCATAGTTAAACCGATTAATTAAACAGGTTTTGATATGTATATAACTGGGTTGCTGAAGAATTAAAAATAAATCCAAGATTTTAAGTAAGTGTTCGGTATTCAATAAAACACCAAAAGGTAACATTCAGAAAACTTGTAGTTTTTTTTAGTAGCGTTCTTTGATGAATTTCTTTCTCATTCATATGCCTCACCAACTCTCTTTTCCCCAGTAATCTTAAAGAAACTATGCTTTCAATAATATGCAAAAGTCTTAGACTTTGCTCGATTTTCCTCTACATTCTTCTTACGCCAGTTTCAAAACGATGATACTTTCTTGTGGTATCAACTAGGAAAGATTTATTTTTCAGTAATATGTCTACAATTTTTCAGAAAGCAATGAAAATTATCTTGCTTAATGCACCTGCAACCTGGCAGGTGTGACACAGAGCAGGTATTGAAAACACAAGACCAAAAGCTGGGTGTCACAAAGACGGAGGTTTGATTCCAAACTTATCACTTATGAGCTATGAGACCCTGCACACGTAGCTCAGCTCCTAAAAATTTCAGTTTCCTTCACTGTGAAAATGTTAAGTTTGATATTTGAAAATTCCTTGGCTTAATGTCTGGCAGAGACATCTCTCAATAAACTGAAAGTATTAACAGTAGAAGCAGATTCCAACTTGCAGATATGTTTCGAATGTCAAAATTGCTTGTTTGGAAGTTTAAACATATATTTCATCAAAAATTATATTAAAAAATGAAATGGTCAGTGGTAAGCAGGTTTCTAGATGAACCTTCAAAACCTTCATTTACCATAAAATGATTTAAGTCAAAAATTCTTCTAATTGTCTTCTGGTTAGGGGGGTCAAATGGTCCTTGTTTTTTTTCTGGACTTTCCTGGTTTTAGCATTGAAAGTCCCTCATCTTGGGAAACCCTTTGTGCTAGACAAATTTTAGCATGATTCCTTCGTTTGGAAGCTAATCATTATTCCTTTGTTCATCCATTTTTTTCTGCAGTCCCAGGTATGTTCTTAGGCTCTGGAGATATAAGGGCAAATTGGATATGGTCTCTGCCTTTAATAAACTTAGAGCCTAGCAAAGAAGACGACAAATGAACAAGCGTCAGCAAGCCCTACACAAAATGCTAATGATGGCGGCTTGCCCAGGATGCAAAGAAACATAGCTGATAGGCACCTCATGCAGACTTGGACGAGGTGATCACTGAAATGGATCTGAAGTAGGTATGCAGCTCAAACCAGTGCCTCCTATTTAATTCCTTTGGACATTTTCCATTTCTGAGCTGAGAGTTCCTTAAATATACATATTAAAATGCCGTCTCTTTAGATTCCCTTATGTCGTTATCTAAACAGATTTTGAATAACTTCTGATATGCATATAATCTTTATGGAAAACTTAGTAAAATATCAATATAAATAACCAGAAACCTTTGCTTTTATAGCAGTTCCTCCTACTTTGGATATATAACTAACTTAAAAATCTCCTTTTAAAACTGCAAACTACCTGCTTGCTTTTTTATTATTTGGAATTAATTTCACAAAGGAAATAACTAGAACGCCCTGTTAAATCGAAAACAAAACAGACGTTATCATAAATAATATTGTTCTAGCCATAATACTGCAGTAGTTGCTCTAAGGTTAGTGAGTTAAAAATGTTTCCCAAAGCTTGTGATCAAAATATCGGCATTTTATTTTTGCATTCTTCAATAAGTTTTAAAGTATTCCTGGAGCATGTCTTTATCGTTACAGCAAATGCTATAGCAAGAAGATGATAAGACAGACTGCTCATACAACCGAAAGCTCGGGTGTAACATACACGGATTAACAGCATGAATATTCGGTTTCCCTCCTGGGGAAAGAAACATTTTTCATAGACTCCGAAGGTGAGAAAGGGACTTATTCTCAGGCAGACTGTAAACTTCATGGGGGGCAGGGACCATGTCAATATTGTTTACTGCTGTGTTCCCAGTACCCGGAACATAACTGAGGCACAAAATGGTTGAGTAAATAACAAAACAAATTTACAAGTCTTCATCCTGTATTTCCAACAAATGATTATTCAGTCTCTGAAAAGCTCTAGCAACTGAAAAACCATCTTTGCCACTTGTCAAAATCAGTAAACCTCTTTGACACCAGTAAATTATGCAGCTTAAGTTTCAGGGTTAGCTAATTACAACATGACATCAAAACCACATGTTCTATTTTTGTATTAGATTATATCTCCAATCTTGACTAATAACCTTTGAGATATTGCATAGAAATTTACTAAGAATGTTCATGTGATTATTATAAACCACCCTTGCTATGAAAATATATCTCATAACATGCTTTCTGTAGAATATGAACCAAAATCTTTGGTTTATAGGCTCATCAACTGCTCTATAATCATCCTGTATTTTAAGTCCCACAGAGAATTATAAATATATGTCAGATAATGGCCTTACTGACTATAAATGCTGTTAGTAATTTTGAGCTCTCAAACAAAGGAAAATAGTAAAATACCCACTTACGAGTTTTGTTTTGCATTTTGATCATGATATCTATATATTTTATACATACAATATTGCTAATGCATACATATGCTACACTTTTGACATCCACTTCAAATTCAGTGGGACTTTTTTTTTCTTATTTTTTGTAAAAATGGGGTCTGGCTATGTTGCCCAGGCTGGTCTTCAACTCCTAGGCTCAAGTGATCCTCCTGCTTTGGCCTCCCAAAGTGCTGAGACTACAGGCACGCACCTGCCATGCCCAGTTAATTTGTTAAAACTTTTTTGGTAGAAACAGGTTCTTGCTATGTTGCCCAGGCTGATCTTGAACTCCTGGGTTCAAGCATCCCTCCTACTTTCTCTCAAAGTGCTGGGATTACAAGTGTGAGCCACTGCACCTGTCCATAAGTTATTTTTAATTTCTAATCTTTTAAAATATCTTTTTAAATTTTATTATTATTCTTATTATTATATTTTTACCTTTGAAGTTTACTACACCAACTGCAGTTGAAGCCAATCTGAGAAGATACACAGGGGCCACATCTGTTAAACTGGAGGCATGCTAGGGAAGAGGAAAGAACAGATTCACCAAGACTAACAGGCAACTTGGAGGGGAAAGAGATTACTCAACCAGAATAAAAATCACTGCCCCCTAATCCTCAGGAGCAAAATGCCCATGCATGCCAAACACAATTATAATGGTAATTATTTAATATGATTATTATAACTATTGAACAGATCAGATCATCAAATTTAGAAATCATGTTTTCCACCTAGGTTTACATATTCGCTTACTGGGTAATGGGGTCATCTCCACAGCCGAAATGTTGGTAATTTTTGACATTTGTAGCTCTACTCGGTGGTATTCATAAATTGTTCTTCTTCGAACATCTAGAAAAAAAAGGAAAAAAAATCAATTTTTAACCTTTCCTCGCTTACAAAACAACAGCATTTTAATAATGGATATAGAATTATATACATATAGCCCAATGTGGTTTTAAAATTAAGCCTCATCCTGTGAGAAGACTGATTACAAAATATGTAAAAATCACATGTCAAGTAACCAGAAGTCTTTTTATCAGCGAAGTTGAAAGTGTTGATTAGGGTCTCAGATATCTCACTTACCTATTAAGGCTTCGACTCATTCTCACTCAGACTATACTAAAGATTTTTTTGGATAAATTTACATATTTTCAAAGATTTTGACTCATGAAATCAAGAAGGTAAGATGATACCATTTCTTCCATACTAAAGCTAAAGTGTTTAGAAATGGGTAATTAGAAATGTTTCACACTCTAAATAAAGTTAATGGAGAATAACAATGTGATTGCTTTAAAAGTTTAGAATAAACTTCTTCAATAAAAGTAAAACAGAAGTTAAATCATTCTTCCATTTCCTGGTGATCATAGTTAATAATATTGCATTGTGCTTGAAATTCAATAAAAGAATAGATTTTTAAGTGTTCTCACGACAGACACACACACACACACACACACACATAACTGTGCGAGATGATGAATGTGTTAATTAGCTTGATTGTGGGGAACATTTCAGCATGTATAAATATATCAAATCATCACCCTGTATATCTCAAATACATATGATTTTTATTTGTCAATCATATCTCCATAAAGCTGGAGGGAAAAAAGGAAGTTAAATCACTTTAAAAATAAGGATTGCTATGTATTAAATATACAGTATCATATCTAAGGAAGGTTAATTAGCATTTATATTGCACGATGTAGTTTAAAAATCATTAGCAAATCCATCAATGTCCCTGAGGAAGAAGATAGATGGAGACTTTGACAAGAACTCTAATCATTTAAAATATAAGCAAACATATTTTAACATCAAACCACAACAAAACATTTAAATATACTTAAAATCCCCTTTTAAGCCTTATACTAATGTGCTCGCCTGGGTTTGGTCAATGTAAGTGGAAAAATAATGTTGTCAGCATTTTATTCCTCTCTTGAAATGCCTGTACTGATAAGAATGCATTTCCGGAATAACACCACATCTATCAGTAATTAGTGGGGCTATAAACTGTTTTTATTTTTATTTTTGAGACAGGGTCTCCCACTGTTGCCCAGTCAGTGGTGCAATCATGGCTCAATGCAGCCTGGACATCCTGGGCTCAAGCGATCCTCCCACCTTAGTCTCCCAAGTAGCTAGGACTACAGGCATTTGCCACCATACCCACTTAATTTTGTCCTTATTTTTTGTAAAAATGGGGTCTGGTTATGTTGCCCATGCTGGTCTTCAACTCCTGGACTCAAGTGATCCCCCTGCTTTGGCCTCCCAAAGTGATGGGATTACAGGCCTACTCCAATGCACCCCCATGCCTAGTTAATTTGTTAAAACTTTTTTGGTAGAAACAGGGTCTTGCTATGTTGCCCAGGCTGATCTTGAGCCCCTGGGCTCAAGCAATCCTCCTACTTTGGTCTCCCAAAGTGTTGAGATTACAGGTGTGAGCCACTGAGCGTCATAGTGGTTAATAATGTGCTCTGGAACATTCTGTCTGGGCTCAAACCACAGTTTTGCTGTGAGGAATCTGTGTTGCCTCAGGCTCCTTTGCTAGCTTTTCTGTGCCTCAGTTTCCTTATCTATAAAACAGGGATAATAGCACCTATATTACTGCATTGCTTTGAGGATTAAAATGAGATAATATAGGAATATTGCTAGACAGTCCCTTTCACATTGTAAATGCTCAATACATATTAGATACACTTTTTGCCTAACTTTAATATGACAACCTTAGATCATACAAGTTTTTTGCTGCATTTAATAATATAATCTCTATAGATCCAAACTCACTGAAATCACACTACAATCCTGGAATCAAACTTCTAGTAATTTTTCTCCATTCCTCACTTAGAGAAAGTTAAATTTATATTGAAATCATTACACCCAACGATGACCTCCTCTAAAATATAGAGCAGGGAGTGTGGTGGCCCAGATGATAGTGAGTTACCTTTTAGTAGAAGTGTTCAGAAAAGGAAGATACCTACTCATCCGAGAACTTGCAGAGGCTGTCAAATGTTTACTAACAACCTATAAGTATCTCTCCTTCCCTCTACTCATATCTTTTTTTTTAATTATACTTTAAGTTCTAGGGTACATGTGCACAATGTGCAGGTTTGTTACATATGTATACATGTGCCATGTTGGTGTGCTGCACCCATTAACTCGTCATTTACATTAGGTATATCTCCTAATGCTTTCCCTCCTCGCTTCCCCCACCCCACAACAGGCCCCATTGTGTGATGTTCCCCTTCCTGTGTCTTTTTTTCCACTTCTAATTACTCATCATGACATTATACTGCAGAAGGGGTGGAGAAAGGGTCGAAGCAAACCCTTTTGGGGCTAGGAGTGGCTCTGGGTCACAGGCTGAAAATATCTCAGGCGTATCACATTGGAAAACACTGTTTAAGAACTCTAATCCAGTGAAATTTTGGTATAACTGAAAGATGCATATACATTTTTCAAAAAGTAAACTTCATAAAAATCAGAGGAAATGCTGGTTTCATGGTACATAGTAAGGTTTCATGAAGTATATAAATCACATCATTTTTTTTTTAGTTTTTAAGACAAATAAAAAGATGGCTCATCTTCTGTCTGTGTCTAAATAGTATTCATTCCTACGTATTGCTTTCCCATGTATTTTGCTAAACAATTAAGTTCTTATCAATAAATAAATAATGTGGCCTTTCCATAAGATCACTAGGAGGGGGGGTTCTTGAGTCTTTGCACAGTACCTGTCATATTACTTGGTGCTTAAAATACTACTATTCCTTTTATTTCATGTTACACTTTGAAATTCTCAACTACTAACAATGATTGAGAAGCTTCTGAGAGTTATTGATCGTGCGTATGGAGTAAAGAGAAAGTGTGACCATTTTTTGCTATGCTAGTTCTATTACCTGCTCAGAAACCTCTAACTATTGAGAGGAGTTGAATTTAACAAAACCCAAATTAATGAGAATTATTGTTGTTTGATGACCTGCCAATTAACGACAACTTCCAAATGGTCATTTATGTAGTATTTCAGAGATACCTCTGTCAGAAACAAGTAATTAGAATTGTGGTTACCCCTGCCAATACTAGAAGCTTTCATGTGATTCCAAAAATATATTTCGCTCATGGGTCTTCTTCAAGAATAAGCCAAAATAAAGTTGAATTAAACGTTCAGTCTTAGCGATGGTGATTCAACTCCAATAGATCAATACTCACCCATTAGTGCCTTTTAAAAATTAAGAAAAATTAAATCTGAGCGGATTAACACACAGAGAGAAAATGTGATCGAAAGCTTAAGGCGATGTGTTGCAAAGTGCAAATACTGCATGTTTTAGAAAGCCTGATCAGCATCAGCAGGAGGGACAATGTGATCATATGGAAACACCAAGAATCTTCTTTGATCAATATCCACTCTAGCTGAACTGAACACAGACTAATGAGTACCTTGAGGCATGATTAGCCATGATCTAGTTTATTTTTCTGTCTTGAAAGCATAACATTCACACAGAGACTATATGAGAAATCTCCTAACTTGGCTTACTCATATTGTGTAAGTATTATATTTTGTCTGAATTGTCAAATGAATGATTCACTAACATTTCCCTATTTATGTGTTGCCAATGCTTAATGACTGGCTCCATATGGTTGTATCTTATTTCTTTTCTGGTTCAAATCGAGTCCAGCACAAGCACCGTTTACTGAGTACTCTTTAATGGAAATAGCCTGTATCGTATAACCACAAGATTCATTTCCAGCATGAAGACTCAGGAGAAGAGAGACTCTTGAGATACAAATGACACTATTATAGTGGCTACAAGCTTCCCACAGAAAAGTGCAATGCATTAGCAGAATTAGCTAGTTGGAGTTGTTAAATAAAGTAGCTACAAATAAAAAATGCATTTGCCAGAATCATTTTTAAAATCTCTCTCTGTAGTTCTAATTCTCTGAAATAATAATGTCATTAGGCATTCAATAAAACATAAACCTTAGTTGAGCGTGAAATGCTAATTTAAGCCTTTTAGATTTTCCTGTCAACATTCCCTCATTGCTTGCAAAGTTTCAGGACACTGGTAAAACTTAAATGGCCAGAGTTCCTAAGTTACTTGAGTAAGCATGAAGGAAATAAAAAATAGGACCTAAAACAACCTTCAAATTTATTTTTCTCTCACGTATACTTTCCTAATGGCTTAAACCAGCTGCATTTCCTGCCTTCCTTTGATAATTACTTTGCCCTGGACTTGAAATGTTCCCAAGACATTAACTGATAAACACTCAAGGTGATGGACACCCCAAATACCCTGACCCGATCATTACACAGTCTATGCAGGTAAAAATACTCACATGTCCCCATATGTAAAGTATTATGCATCAATAAAAGAAAAAACAATTAAGGAATAAAGAGAGAATCGTAACCAGCAGAGGGACAGTAAATTGTCCACGCAGTGTCACAGTGGGCCGGTGAGGCAGGTGGGCTGCGGGCCTGTGACAATATCACGGTTCCATTGCTGAGGGCTGCTTGTCCTGAACCTGGTGTTTTTGCAGGGGAACATGCCTCCCTGCTCCTGAGACTTATGGGAAGAAGGCATGATATATATTTGCCAAGTCATTACATCTCTCTCTCTCTTTTTTTTTTTTTTTTTTTCCTTTTCACAAAGGAGACTGTGACTTCATTAAATTGAATTGGGTGTGTTGGGTCTCAGAAAACAATATCCCAAAATGAAGGCCTCAGAGGCAGCCACTGAAGCAAATGTTTTTCCTTTTCTTTCTTTTAAATTCGTATAAATGTAAGGGGTAGCAGTGCAATTTTGTTACATGGATATATTGTGTAGTAGTGAAGTCTGTGCTTTTGGCGTTTCTGTCACCCAAATAGTGTACATTGTACCCAATAAGTAATTTCTCATCCCCAAACCCTCTCCCTGCTCCCACCCTTCCCAGTCTCCAGTGTCTTTCTTCCAGGCTGGTCTGGAACTGGCGGGCTCAAGTGATCCTCCCACCTTGGCCTCCCAAAATGCTGAGATTACAGGCACGAGCCACTGCTCCCAGCTAGACACAGTTCTAAATTGTTAAAAATTTACTTTCTCTAAAAGTATTGTATAGGATTAAATGTTAATAAATCAAAAAAATGAAATAAAAGAAAGAATTTAACCACAAGTCCATGAAGAAAGCCTTCCCTGTTCATAAAAATTTTAGAAAAATTCTCAAATATGTAAAAATTGATTAATCAGTGATTTCTATGCCCAGAAAATTTTAGATTTTTTTACTTGTCTTTAAAAATCAAGTCAGAGTCAGTCAACTAGCTTACATTAGAAATGGATGCATTAAACTAATAAAATATCATTTTGTACAATGCTCTCTTTCTTGGAAGTGTTTTATGAGTAGTTACTTTATGAGAAAACATCATGATTTCTATTTATTTCTGCTTTTGTTGAGCCTTTGGTGAGCTAGTGTATACTTGAGAATGTAAGCACCTAATGAAATTGTGCTGTTAAGAGAAGCAATTTTATCTTCTGAAAAATGAATACTTTTGAAGGGTTTTCCATTTTGAGGTGAGCAAAAGTAAGATGACATAATTTACTGGAGATCTGTCGATTGATCTGTTTTTAAGTGAATGAGAAGACTACAACTTTGAAAATAACAAACGAGGCCTAGTTCCTCTGAAAGGGCTTGCACTGGGTTCTAGAAAATATTATAGAATAAAAAAAAGTTCAAGTTTTTCCAAGATTATTTGTATTTTTCGTAAGTTTTGACCACATATTTTCATTATAGCTGCTACATAATTATAGTGAATGTGTCCTACCACTAAATCAAAATTGCAAATTGTTTTCTATGGGAAAAATTAGTTATAATGGTTATGTTTGAAAATTTGTTATTTAATAAATACACTTATATTTGAAAATTTATTATTTAATCACATCTAATATTCTGGTGCCTTTTAAAAAGCAAAGAAGAAATAAGAATAATGTTTACGTAAATATTACACTTGGCATTTAATATTTTATTTAATTAAATATTAATTAAATAAATTAATTAATGGATATGGTCTATTGTTACCCTATCCAACATGATAGCCACTAGGCACATCTGGCTATTTAAGATGAAGTTAATGAATTAAATTCAATTAAAAATTCAATTGCTCAGGCTCACTAGTCATATTGCAAGTTCATAGTAGCCACATGTGGCTACTGAAATCACACTATACGATTCAGATTCACAACATTCCCACCAGCACAGGAAGCTCTGAATAGCATACTGGTCTATGCTATTACTATTATTTTAAATTTAAGCTTAAGATAGTGTGCATATTTCATGGGCAAAGCTGTGTTTTTGTTTGTTAAGGTTATTTTATTCACTGTCTAAAAGTAATTTTAAAAAATTACTGCCTGTGCCGGGCATGGTGGCTCACACCAGTAATCCTAACACTATGGGAGGCTGAAGCAGGAGGATCACTTGAGGTCAGGAGTTCGAGATCATCCTGGCCAACATAGTGAAACCCCGTCTCTACTAAAAATACAAAAATTAGCTGGGCGTGGTGGATGCACCTGTAATCCCAGCTACTTGGGAGACCGAGGCAGGAGAAGCACTTGAACCCCGGAGGGGGAGGTTGCAGTGAGCCAAGATCGTCCCACTGTACTCCAGCCTGGGTGACAGAGTTAGACTCCAACTAAAAAAAGAAAAAAAGTGGTGCCTAGTCTGTAATCTTATAAAGAGACCACATACAGCAAAATATATACCTATAATTGTTCCTCAAAGAGTTCAAAGACCCTCTTTGTAGTATTTTTAAAATATATTTGCTCTGCTAGTTGTCAGTTTTATTTGTGAAAATGCTTAATGTTTCTTATGGAGCTATGAATAATAACCAGCCAAGCAAAGGTGCATTGTAACACAAACAATGTCAATAAATTTAAAACAGTAGATACTGATACGAAGAGGCCTGATGTTAAGAAAGTACCAAATAATGTACTGTGAGTGAGAAAAATAAAGGAATATTCTAAGGGACTCAGATATAGTCACTGTCATAACTTGGAGTAGAACCATTTTAAGTGAGGTCAGCTGCTTTCCAGACTGGTTTCTAGTGCAAGGCCCTGCATGGGAGTGTTAACGTAACTTTCTCTTTACTTAAGTGGCATGGCCTTATCTGTTCCAAATTAAAGAACCACATGGCATGAGTGGATTTTCTGAGTTTCTTGCTAGAAGGATTAAGCTCATTAAGCTCGGAAAGTAGAGAAACAGTGAGGCCCGATGGGATAAGTCAGCACCCCACAGATGATGATTGAAATTCAAAATGTTACATTGGAGGAGAGAGAAACAAATTAGTGCAAATGGCACTAGTGAGAATCGTGCGTGTATCCAGGAAGACCTCTGCATGTTGTGTAAGGATTTGGAAGGACATAAGCTGAGGCTGAGAAAGAATTACTTAATAGAGCTATTTACCAAGAAATTATGGAAATTACAAACAACACATGAATATATGACGGTGTTAAAACTTTCTGGTAATCGAAAGACAACAATGAAATACCATTTCGTGCTTACCAAATTTGCAGAGTTAAAAATGAATATTAGAAAGCTCTTTGGGAAATGGGATATTTCTAATATAACAATGGGTAGTAAACTGGTACAACCTTGATGGAAAGCAATTTGTCAAAATACATTCAAAACAATATTAACATTCAGTATCCACAAATTCACTTTTTGAGAATCAGATACATGCAAAAATTTAGAAACAAGGACGTTTAGCACCATTTTACTGATAATATGCGATGCAAACTATGTAACCAACCTCTTTAGTGACAGGTTACATAAATTATGAAACAGATAAATTTCTTATAACTATTAATGACCACATTTTAGACAGATATTTAACAGTGTAAAAAATATGTTTTATATATGAAGGTGAAAACAGGGGGCAGAATAATTTACAGCATAATGCCAATTTTCTTAATGTGGGTATCTTCATATATGTGTATATTACAAATAAATAGTTGGATACAGATACGTGAAAACATTTATTACTATTTCTCTGTAGTAGATTTCTAAGTAATTTAAATTTTCCTCCTTGGGTTTCCTGTTAATTTATAAATTACTCAGAATTATAATGTGCTATGCTTCTAATCATAATAAGTATATTTTTACATTCATATTTCTGAAATGAACAACCAAAGTCAGTCCTGTACTTAGACCTGTTTTTCATAGCTGTACCTGTGGATGTTGAATTAGCTGATTTCTATGGTTCTTTCTGTTTCTAAAGATTTACAAATACATTTTATGAAAAACAGTGATTTCGAGACATACAGATGGACAGACAGGCAGACATAAGTCTTATGAAGAGACATAAAACAACACACATCAACATAGTCAGAAAGCACTGAAGTTCCAGAGACACACTGTCACTGTGTTTCTTAGTGGGAATCTCCTGTGGTTCCACTCTGAAGGGCACTCAGCTTTGGCAGTGACATCTAAGTTAGTATCGCTGTTTTTTAAAGTGATAACGATGATGGAAAAAACAGTAACTTTAAGTACAAGTGTACTACTTACTCTCTGCTAGGTAATGCATGCTGTGTACACATTGCATTTTTAGGTACTAAGATGCTCATTTTATATAGAAAGAAAGTTACAGAAATCAATTAAAAGTTTAATGTTTCATGACCAATAATCAAATGACAATATTCCTTATACTTGCTTTACTTTTAATTTCCACCTTTTTTAACATAAGTCTTAGTTTTACCATACTTTTCCCTCTCTTTTTGAGGGAGCAAAGGTATTTCTCTTGTAAACTCAGAAGGATTTATCAATTTACTAACAATGCCTGAATTCCCTTTGATATTGAAACTATCAGATCACCTGATCTTTTATGAAAGAAAATAAAGCTACTTTAATTAATCATGCTTGAAATTTACATTGAAATCATTTACTATTTGGGGGTCTTCAAAAACTGAAAAACAAGTGTTTTGTTGTTGATGTGAGGAAGAATGAATAGGGAGAAATTTTAATAATAAATAAATTAAAATTGCTTTACAGCATTTTGAATGCTTTACCAAATCTTCACCAAATCTGATAAGAATGATATAGTAATGGTGATCTACTGGGAAATACTATTTTCCAGGCTTGAGCTCACATTCCCATGTTCCCATGGCTACATGAAGCCAAAGGTTTAGGTAATATAACCTATGTAACTAAAATGATTAATAGAATAGAAAACTGATCTTATGAGAACAGGGTTCTATGTAACACACCTTGGAATACAGAAGAAATGAAACTACTCACTACTTAGAATAATAATCAGTTGTTCCCTAAATCCACTTGGTGGGGGTAAAAAAGTTAACAGAGGCAAAGTATTTAAATTCCCTACAAAGACAATTCCTAATAGTGAGTGTTGCTAAATAAGGGAACTGAATTTTGAAAAGGACTTAATATCGGTCTAAATTCTGATTGTTGAATATGTAACATAGGTCTGTAGGAATCAACTTATTTCTCACAAAAGAACTGTACTTGTATAACTTGCATTGTGCTAATCTTGGGTTATCCTAATCTCTGGCATAAAGATGCACTTTCTGTTAGCTGAGAATACAATGCAACCGTGTATCTCTTGTTATACAGAAGCTCATGCAACAGACACAGTTATACTTTATAAATGTGGGAGAGACTTTTAAGGAGATAAAATTTTGTGTTCCCAAAATGATTTTTAAGTAGAACATATTGATTCTAATTTTCTTGCATAAATATAGTCGCATCTAACAGCAACAATGGCAGAACTCGAGACCCAAATCTTTCATTCCTTCTTGGCTAATTTTCTCAGGATGGAACAGTAAGGTTAACAGAAAATGTGACTGCTTTTCCAGTATGCAAATTGTGTGAGGGACATTTTTCTCTGAATTCTACGTTTGAATTAAGTTCTTTTAGATAACTGCTGAGTCCCAAACTTTAGACATAATCTGGTCTGAAAATTCATATAAATGTTGCCAATTTATTAAATGAGATTTGTATTTGAAAATATTTTTCCCCCAACACGTAACAGTTATCCTTTTACAGCATAACAAAGGATGCAAAATTACACTTTAGGGCCCTGATATCTAAGTACAATTTTATCATTGGGAATATACCAACATAATACTTGCATATTAAACTACATTTGTAAAAAAAATTTTTGTATTTTGGTTGGTGTTTTTTTCTTTAAGCAATAATATATCAGAACAACAATATGGACTAAAAGCCCTGCTGAGTAAGCCGCAAATAATTTTTTTCAGCAATTAAAAAAAGCAACTAATAAATTAAAGCTAGTGTTTCTTTTTACTTGTGCAATAATTGACTCAAACCATGCTTGATTTAACAACTCTGAAAGAAAGAATGTGAGAACGGCCATCCTCAAACACAAGCCAACTTCAGCTGTCCTAGGGCTCAGCCTCTTATTTAAGAGCTCTGTCAGGATGCCTTTATGTTGCCTACACATACTCATGTATCCTTGCTTTGTTCACAGTACAATTTAGTTTCTGGAAAACCTGCTTTGATTTAACAATTCCCTTGAATATTGCCTCCCACAAATTCTCAGCTAACAAGGAGAAACCCCATGTTCTTCATCAAGCAGAACCACCACGTATCAATGCCATTCAGTTGTAACATAACCATTCAGTTCTAAGATATCTTACGGTTGTAAGATAACCCTTATAATATTTCTGCTAATCCGTTGCTTTAAAAAGTAAAGCTTCCACTCCAGTTGCTGTCTACAGTTGAGAGTTGACATAATTAAGTATAATCACCTCAAGTCACAACCAAAGAACATGAGCATGTGATAAATTATCTACCACTGTAACCAAATAAAAGAAGAAAAAGAACTTTGAACAAAAGAGAAAAAATGATCTCATCTTGAGATATATTTTATTATCTCCCCTTTCTTTAAATAAGAACACATAGGACACAAACACCCCCCACCCCAACTTCACGTACTATGACACCAAAGCATCTCTCGGGACTGTTCTTGGAGTGAAGGAGATTCAAAAACCAGAAGCTTTCAACAGATGCCTATTTATAGGGTCAGAATGGCTAATGCAGTTAGCATTTTGGTTTCTAATATAACAAACAGTTGTCCAAAGCAACACGTCCCTTTTTATTCTATAAAATGTAAACTAGACTAGATGGGCAAACGTAATTTAAAGAAAATACTTATCTTCTCTCGTGGTAGGTAGAGCTGCCCCCGGATTTTTATTTACCTAAATTTGTACCTTTTCTTTCATCTTCCTTTAGACTCCCAAACAGTTTTACACAAATACATTAAATATAAGATAGCACAGGGACATGGATGAAATTGGAAATCATCATTCTCAGTAAACTATCACAAGAACAAAAAACCAAACACCGCATATTCTCACTCATAGGTGGGAATTGAACAATGAGATCACATGGACACAGGAAGGGGAACATCATACTCTGGGGACTGTTGTGGGGTGGGGGGAAAGGGGAGGGATAGCATTGGGAGATATACCTAATGCTAGATGACGAGTTAGTGGGTGTAGCGCACCAGCGTGGCACCATGTATACATATGTAAATAACCTGCACAATGTGCACATGTACCCTAAAACTTAAAGTACAATAATAAAAGAAAGAAAAAAAAAAGATAGCACAAAGCTGCGGTTTTGCTCATACACTTAAGCCAAACATATATGAAAAGTCATATGCCTATCAATCCAATAATCTGTCACTGTTTTATGTCATTCTCATTAATAAAAGAACTGTATCTGCCAACTATCCCAAAGAATCTGGCTGGGCATGGTGGCTCACGCCTGTAATCCTAGCACTTTGGGAGGCTGAGGCAGGAAGACCACTTAAGCTCAGGAGTTCAAGACCAGCCTGGGCAACACAGCAAGACCTCACTTCTTCAAATAATAAAAAAAGTTAGCCAAGCATGAGCATGATAGCGCATGCCCGTGGTCCCAGCTACTCAGGATACTGAGGTAGGAGGATCATTTGAGCCTGGGAGGTCAAGGTTGCAGTGAGCTGTGAGTGCACCACTGCACTCCAGCCTGGGTGACAGAGTAAGACCCCAAATCAAAAGAAAGAAAAAAGAACCAAGAAAAAGAGTCCAAAATTACACATTTTTGGCTTCACTATTTAATTTGTCTTTACCTGAGTTAGCTCAAGGGTGACAGAGATAGCCCAATCGGAGTTATAAAGCAAACAACAGAATTAACAAGCATTAATCAGCTAATCGATTAGCTATTTTTTTTTTAATTCAGGTACAGCTGCCATAGACCAATCTCCTTTAAATTTACCCCCACAGAGGCTCACTCATTGCGACTGCCCTTCTTCTACGTACTGGGAATTTGTTGGATCCTGTGGACAACGACAAATGCATCGGACAGTCCGACTTTCACTGGATGATTGGTTGAACTTATCTGTGTGACCAAGACAGGAATCTGGAAAAAAACAAAGCAGGTAACTATATGTTAGATCTGAATTTCATACAGGGAGGAAAGGTAGTAGGATCCTCTTGTTTCATGGACAAAACCATGGGAAGGAGATAAAAGACTAGAAAGGGAGTCAAAGGTATTAGAAAAGAGAGACATACGAAACCAAAAAATAACATCAGTTTAGTGCTATTGAATGAATAGAAGAGACAGGGAGTTCCTGGTTCTAAAGAAGGCTACTTGATGTTGAAAGTAATAGATTCTCAGATAATATAATTGATGTTAGATGCTGCAAACCTATCACACATATAGGCACACCATGAATTCATTTAGTGCTGGCTATAATTTTGGAAACAGATTTTCCTCTTACTATTTGTTTTCTGAAAAAAAACTTTACTGTATATTTGTTTTTATACAGTTTTAGAAAATCTTTGTTTATAAGCAGTCTTATAGATATAAAATCTAGAGAAAAACAAATAAATGCACTGTTAAATATACATTTGACAATATCATTGTTGATTAATATCTAATTAAATTTGGCAATCATTTCACCATTCTGGTTGAAACTACTATGAAAGACTTCTAAGTTCTTATGGGTCATCTCAATGTCACAGTTCTTGTATTTGAATCTCAATGAAACCAAGATCTGAATACGATAGACATTTCTAATATTTACAGTTAAAAAATTATGATACATTGAGAATATATGAAAAATGATATAAGAGTTATAAATGACATGAACTCTTGGGAGTCCATGTTTCCAGATTCAGAAAAGATCCATTGGAGATATGATTACTCTCTTTATTATCAGTTTTACAGAAACAAAAATGGGAATGAAACCATCTTCAATAAACAAAGAAACAGGAAAGTAAAAGAAAAGAATAAATGCACCGAAAACGTCTTTAGGCAGAATAAGCAGATTTTGGGTGATCTGTGGGCAATTCATTAAATAATATATTAGATCAGATATTGCTGTGTAAGCCATAATAAACAGCATAACAATAAGAAGGGGAATAAGTTGGAGAGAATATATAATAAGTGGGAGAGAATATATAATATAATACAATACAATACAATCTATAATAAAAACTCTCTGACTTATTTTTGACCACGACATCATGAAACTGTGAAAGGGCTATTTTGTTAAAATGGACAAATTAAGAAAAAAGTTCATTGCTTTTGGAATTTGTGGAATTATCTTGAAACAAGTAAATAGAAGATGACATTTTCCCTTAATGTATTATTTCAGGTCTCTCTTAAACAACGTTAAAGTGTTTGCAAATTTTGTGTCAGTATGCTCAATTCTTAACCAATATAAATTAGTCTTCTGGTATTTGGATAACAGAAACACACAAAACAAGCAAAACAAAATCAAAATTTATATCCAAGTCTGATATACTTTATTTTTTATTTTTTATTTTTGGGACAGTCTCACTCCATCTCCCAGGCTGGAGTGCAACCTCCGCCTCCCGGGTTGAAGCTATTCTCATGCCTCAGCCTCCCAAATAGCTGAGATTACAGGCGTGTGTCACCACACCCAGCTGGATTTTTTTTTTTTTTTTTTTTTGTATTTTTAGTAGAGATGGGGTTTCACCATGTTGGCCAGGCTGGTCTGGAACTCCTGGCCTCAAGTGATCCACCCACCTCAGCCTCCCAAAGTGCTGGGATTGCAGGCGTGAGCTACTGCGCCTGGCTGATATATTTTATTTACTGATTTACTAACCTAAATTCAGTATCAATATGTGAAATCCTCTTTCTTAGTGAGCATTATACTGTTTCCCAGTCTTATACCCCATGCTGAGTACTCTAATATGAAAGTAATTTGTATTTAAGACAGACTTACAGTTAAAACATACAAGAAGATGGAAAAGCATAGGGAAAAATTCCAATTCACTTATATTTTTGTATCCTAATAAGACATGATCATCTCATTTTTAAGCAGAATCTATTAATAGAAGCAAGCATCTATTAATGCCATCATATAAATGCCACTGTTCCTGTCATTTGTCACTTGACCCCCTTCTCCAACTTCTGTGAGTTCAGTTTTCCTCTGCAAGTTGAAAAAGGCTTTACCAGATGATTCTGTGGTAATTTATTGCTTGTCTTCTTTTCCCATACCCACAGCAGTACTTGAGCTTATACTGCTATCAACTGGAAAATCCTATTATGTCATTATGTATAGTACATGTTTATGTCAGAGCTTGTTTTTTAAGTCACATGTCTTGGTTCCTGCAGCCCTCCCAGATGCATTCTCCACTCTCCAGATTATGCATTCCACCTTTTCTTTCTTTCCTTCTTTCCTTCTTTTCTCTTCCTTCCTTCCTTCCTTTTTCTTTCCTTCTTTCTTTCCTTCCTTCCTTCCTTCCTTCCTTCCTTCCTTCCTTCCTTCCTTCCTTCCTTCCTTCTCTCTCTCTCTCTCTCTCTCTCTCTCTCTTTCTTTCTTTCTTTCTTTTTCTGACAGAGTTTCACTCTTGTTGTCCAGGCTGGAGTGCAATGGCACAATCTTGTCTCACCACCTCCCGGGTTCAAGCAATTCTCCTACCTCAGCCTCCTGAGTAGCTGGGATTAAAGGCAAGTGACACTGCGCCCAGCTAACTTTGTATTTTTAGTAGAGAGGAGGTTTCCCCATGTTGGTCAGGATGGTCTTGAACTCCTGACCTCAGGTGATCCGCCCACCTCGGCCTCCCAAATTGCTGGGATTAAAGGTGTGAGCCACTGCACCCAGCCGCATTCTACCTTTTCTGTCTCTCTTCCCTATCTCTTCTTCCCTTACCCAGCCATCTTTTATTTTTATTTTTTTTCCTCAATCTCTTTCCTTCCTTTCACCCCCTTCCTTTATGTTTTGGGTCTATGTCAAGCCCTCTCCTCCAGTGCTTTTTATTGGTGGTGGGTTGATTGCAGTAATGGCCTCAATCAATGGCTTCCTTGTGCCCAGACCCTCTGTCGTCCTCTCCCACTCAGATTCCAGGCTCAATAATATGGCAAAAGAGGAGAGCAGGAAGCTTGAAGCAAAAAAAAAAAAAGAGAGAGAGAGACTTGAAAAACTGCTTACTACTTCCTTTCTTGGACCCTTGCTACAGCCAAGAAAATGTACACTACTGGTCTTCTGCAGATGTATACAAGACACATGAAGGATTTTTTTTTTTAATTTTTATTTTTTTGCACCAAAAGTTATCCTTGCCTAGCCAGCTCCCAGCCAGTCCACCAGATAACAGCTTACACATTCAGAAGCTCAGCTGAGATCAGCAGGGTCCAGCCCATATCAGTAGAACCAGCAAGCTGATTTATAGGCAACTTGTGAGAAATAAGAAATGGAGTTGTTTTAAGCCACTACATTTTGGGGTGGTTTATTACACAGCAATATCAATCAATACATTCTCTGTTAAAAGTCAAATAGCCAATAGAATAGAATATGGGTGTTTCTCCATAAAATGAGGTAGTATTGCTCATCCTAATTTTCTGGGAATCAGATAAGTATCTATTTTTAAGACATTGGGTCTCACTGTGTTGCCCAGGCTGGAGTGCAGTGGCATGATCATAGCTCACTGCAGCCTCAAACACCTGGGCTTAAGCAATACTCCTGCCTCAGCCTCCCTAGTAGCTGGGACTACAGGTGCACACCATCATGCCCAGATTTCAGATAAATATCTAATTCTAGGTATAATTAAACTTGAAAGATTGGAATGTTCCAGTAGAAAAGTTTCACTTTGTGCAGCATTTTTTTTTCATTCTTCTGTCTCTTTAGTTTATTCTTTTGTCTGTGCATTTCAAAAACTAAGCCCAATATACATAAATTACCTAGATTTAGATTCATTTAACAGGAGAAAAATTTACCCGAAACCAAAATGGGTAGCCTCACGGTGTACTGAGTTTTCTATCACTGAAAATTATCTGATATATAACTGACCAACCCTCTAGGAAGATCACTATAAGTGATCTTTGATTCTTTCAGTTATCAAATTAAATTTTTTTCAAATGATTTTGACTTTTCCAAGCTTCAACAAGTAAATTGTTAACAACGATACAAACTAAAATGATAAGGGTGAAATACTCTACCTTTATGTAAGGAGAGTAGAAGTTAGGTAGAAATCATCATTTGTAGTCAAGAGTTATGCTTTAACTTGTTGCCAGTTTTTTAAGTGTACATATTCATGGGTTAATGATTTCTGATTACTGCATCTGTCAAACCACCACTACCATATAACTCTACTATGAGTCTTAATATAATTGGGGATTAGACAGTAGAAAATAGATTCCTAAGAATGATGTCTACTAGATATAAATTATTTTCCCCAAAAGGCATACACACTGTCCATTTGATAAGATAGAATCCATTCATTCATTCATCAGATATTAATTGAATATATTTTCTGTATTATTGTAGGCACTGGAATTACAGCAGATAGGAAAACAAAGACCCTTCTCTCACAGAGCCTACATTCTAGAGAACAGGGACAGGCATTAAAACAAGTGAACATAAAACCTATAGCATACTAGAAGGTGGTTAGTACCAAGGAGAAAACTAAAACAGAGTAAGAAGATAGAGAGGAACAGGGATCTCTAGGAGAGAAGAGAGTCGCAGAAGCTCTCTCTGAGAAGGTGATTTTTCAGCAGAAACTCGAAGGAAGTAAGAAAATCTGTCATGTGGATATTTGGGAAACAACTGTGGGTAGATGTACCGGCACATGTAAAGGGCTTGACTGAATTTTAGGAGTTAAAAGGTTGTCTCTACAGCTGGAGCAGAAGTAGTAAACAAGTGTGTCAAAGGTGATGGGAGGTGGTAGGGGCAGATCATAGGGAGCGTGTATTCCTTGCAAGCCATGACAGTGACACTGGATTTTAGTCCAAAAGATACAGAAAGATTTGGGAGGTTTTGAGCAGAGGAAAGGACATTCCTTTATTTTGGAAAAATATCACGCTGGCTGCTGGGAAATCAAGACTGTAGAAGGACAACGGGAGCCAGACAAACTAGTTAGGAGGGTATCACAGTTTTCCAGGTAAGAGAAGGTGCCATGCTCCACCCCAAAGTGGTAACAGTGGTGTAAGTGACAGAGGCAGATTCTGGAAGAATTATGTATGCACTGCTATTGAGACTCCCCATAGATTTAATAAAGACAGCGAGGGACAAAAGCAGAGTAAAGGATACCACAAAGGCTTTTGGTTTCAGTAGCAAGAGCAATGAAATGGTGTTTTCATCAGGAATGTTATAGGTTGTACAACTCCAGAGGACTCACTCACTTCACGGTCTATGAGAAGTGTCCTTTCGATATGCAGGGAACAACATATGCAGCTCTCAAGACCAGTCCTGAAACATTCAAAGACCAGGAGAGGAAGCGCTGGAGAGGGATGACCACTTTATGGCAAAACCACTGGCTTCAAATGTTCTCCATTAAAATTTTGTAGAGCTCATGAGTAAGAGCCCAGGATTTCTAAAACTGTACTCTTTTGTCCTGATTAAATATTAAAATGAAAATGTACAAGAAACTTTCAACTACTTATATTTTCCTAGAAGCCACCCAAGGCTTTTATGAAACCATTACATGCCAGATTTTGAAAAAACTGATTTTGCCAAGTGAATTAAATGTCTAATGTCATCAAAGATTAATGAGGAAAAGGTGAACAATTCCAGGCTTTCTCTAAAATTTCCTATGGAACATGTCTGCCTCTCCACACCTGATATTTTCCTATCATGAGACCAGTCTGCAGGGTCCTCTGTCAGCATAAAATTAGAGACTATATTATTAAAAGGTACATTTAAAATAAACTACTTTTAAAAATATTTATTTATTTATTTATTTATTTACTTATTTATTTGAGACAGAGTCTCATTCTGTTGCCCAGGCTGGAGTGCAGTGGTGCAATCACAGTTCACTGCAGTCTCAACCTCCAGGGCTCAAGTGATCTTCCTGCCTTAGCCTCCCGAGTAGCTTGCTTGCTAGTTCTTTTTAATTTTTTTTTTTTTTTTTTTTTTTTTTGCAGAGACAGAGTCTCATTATGTTACCCAGGCTGTAAAATGAACTTCTTTTTGACTAATAACAAAGACATTATGTGTGTGCATATGTGTATGTATAAACAAGCTATTTAGAAGTATAGCTATTTAGAAGTATAGCTATTTAGAAGTATTGGGCAAATTAGCACAAGAATGAACATGTTATTGTCATGATCACGTATTTTATAGAAGACTCTGTATTTAGAAGGATATGAAGTGCCAAAGTCAATGAACATATGGACCAAAAACATGTTAAAGCACCAAAACTTTAAAAACTTTGATTACAGGAAGCGATTTTCTTATCCTTTCTACAAATTTATATTCATCCTCAAAATGTCTCGTGAGTCATCACGAGATCCTGGGGGTGTCAGGAAGCCAAACTGAAATAATAAAAACTCTAAACTACAGAAGTTTTTTTTTTTAAACAATGTAGCTTTATTATTTTTAAGTGTCTATAATAGTTGCCTTAAGATTAAAGCAAAGCTAAATTTTAACTGGGCCTCTGTATGATCTGTATTGAATCGCACATTTCTGAGGAATTGGTTTTACAATTACATTCTCTCCACAGGATAGAAATAAAAGGAGCTTTCACACTGGTTAAAATATGCTTCCATTTTGACCCCTAAAAGCATTCATGAATACTTCTTTTAAATAACAGTATAATTTTTGCTCTATATAACAAGATAGAGATAGGTTTATTACTTGGTATACATTTTTCTATAACAGATATTAAAGCAAAGCAAAGTAAGCATAGAAGCAGAAAGTGGTTGCAATTGCTACACAAAATCAAGGCAGGAAAAGATGTCAGGGGTAAAAATAGTAGAGCAGAGCACACTGGCCTTTGGAAGGAGAGTCAAAGACAGAAGCTCCTCTCTTCTCCACTCTGTGGTATCTTTCTCCAGCACACAGGAACCCCAAACAATTCCTTAACCATGAGCTTTTTACATCTGTCTCTAAACCAGGGAGATAACAGCATGCCGCTTAAGTAATAGTTAATGGAATTTTATTTTCCTCTTTGTTCTGCCCTGAAAACATCACCAAAACATTCATTTGTTTCCATTACAGGCCCAGCTATCTATCCAGTAGGCAGCACAGTATCTCAGCAAGGGTTTGATTGTATAGTATGTGTTCCAAGGTGTGAATCATATGCCTATCTAACCTTAACTGGAAAAGAATTACTCCAAACTCATTTTTGTTTCCCTGCTAATCTGCAATATGGTGTTCAGTAGCTTAATATTAAAAACAACAGCAACAACAAAATCCCACAATAAACTCAAAGGTTTCTGTTTTACCCATTCTTATCTGCCTGTAACCCTTAACTTTCTCCTTCGTTTTACTTAAGTATCTGACCTGGCTTCAGTGTTATCAGCAGTGAATCTAATTTTTAAGAGTCATGATCTCTTTTATTATTATCAAAACAACAACCTGTAGCACAAGCTACCTTGGAGGCTGAGGCAGGAGAATCACTCGAGCCCAGGAGTTGGAGGCTGCAGTGAGCTATGATAGTGCCATTGCACTCCAGCCTGGATGACAGAGCAAGAAACTGTCTCTACAAAACAAACAAACACATAAAGTCCAAAATATTAATGGTGAGTTGTCTGTAAACTACACTTGAATAGAAGGGCTTTCAGTTAAACTTGACAATGTAAAAATCCATTTGCTTTCCAGGGTATCAGTAACAATTTGCACAATTATTTCCATCTTTTTTTATTGTACAGCTCCTGAACTCTCATCTGCCAGGTATTGAGCAATGCATCTAACAGCGTGACAGTCAAGGTGAGCTATCATCAAACGATCAATTCCTAACATGCCTCCTGCCCCCATCTCCACAATCATAATCTGTAGAAAATCTGGAAGCAGTCAACTAACAGCATGAAGATGATAAGTAAAATCCACCTCCACTTTAAAAAAGAGGTTTCAAACTTCCTTTCTACATAAGCTACTGTGTGCCTTGGGTAAGAGAAGAAATTCATGAGGGAGAAATTGGAGGGTGCACACTTTGAGTGAATTTTCCAGGCAATATTTGCAAGACAAGGGCTTCCAGGGCTTTCCGAGTCCTCAAGGAAAAAACGCACATCTATATTTTTACTTGAAATATTTTAATATTTAGATGTCGGCAACATATCTGTTTTACAAACGTGTACACTTAAAACATAAAAACATACACAGAGTAAAAAGTGTGCCCTCTGAGTTAAGACTGCTCACATTGAATTGGAACACGAAGAGTCTGAACTTCACACAAAAGACAGTGACGCAGGGTGCCCACTTGAAGAAGCTTGTGCCATTGGACTCAAGATAGTCAAGACTCTGGTGTGGATTTTACCTGGGACAATAGCTAGATAAGGAAACTTATCTAAACATGGCTTGGGACTTAAACATCAAGGGAAAAGAAAGGAGATTAAGGAAAGTCTACACCCTGGGTTTGGGGGAGACACAAAAAATTAGCTAGGCATGGTGGCATGCACCTGTAATCCCAGCTCCTTGGGAGGCTGAGGCAGGATAGTCATTTGAACTCGGGAGGCAGAGGTTGCAGCGAGCTGAGATCGCGCCACTGCACTCCAGCCGAGGCAACAGAATGAGACTCTGTCTTAAAAAGTAATAATAATACATAAAATAAAATAAAATAATTTCCTCTGGGACATTGATCTTTCTACCTGGCTACTTTATTTATTTATTTTTACACACAGCATTTGCCATCAGAACATGATCAAGGGAGAATAATTCAACTTATTTTCTTACACTAGGAAAAGTAAACAAAAAATTAAAATGTCAGGCACTTCTATATGTGAGATAGCTAAAAAATAAAATATCTCTACAAATACAAATGAATTAGATCCCACATGAAGCTGTGTAGATAAAATTTTAATATTTTACTTGTTTAAAATATAGGGAAGTCCTATGATATAAAATATCTGTCTCTACATTTTCCTTAGAATTATTTCTTGAGAGCTTTTAATCAGCATTTTATTCAATCTGGTTTTCTTTTCCTTGTATTAGATATATATGTACATATATATTATTCTTTTCTGCTCACACATTTATCAAATGTCTTGGCTGTATACACTATATTCACACATCAAGTATTCTCACAGATGTAGCAATAGTTATAGAAGGAAATTACCTTATATCTAAATGGTGGTGGTCTCACTGTTCTGTTCTTTTTGGCCTTCTCTGACTTTCTTGAATTACCTTTTTTCTATAAATTCTACAAGTTCAGCCAATGTTCATCTTTCAATACTTTCAGGCGGCTAACCATGAGTGAAGGGTCATTACAGTTTAAATAAGAGAAATAATCTTCAAAGAAATTTTAAAAAATGCATTAAGAGCCCCATTGAAACTTACAACTAATTGGCAATGGTGATTTATTAACTATGCATTCTTCCATAGAAGCAGCAAATGTGACACCAAGGAACATTAGGTTTAAATACTTAAATAGAATAGATTAAAAAGTGATTTTACTTAATAAACAGTAAAGTTCCTCTATATTGACCTCCTCTAAAATTTGCTGCTGAAGGAAATGGTAAAGTATTCAACCAAGAAAATGGATAGAACAGGCTGACTCCTGGGCTAAGCCAGTCTTGTCTCTTCTGTGATTTTTCTCCTGTTGCCATCTAGTAGGATTATATGACATTTTTATTTAAATTACAGTTTCCTAACCTAATGACTATCCTTATTCCTCACATAAGCTAGTGAAAAAAAAGAACCCGAGTTTGCAGTTGACACAAAAAAAGAGTCACATCCACCTATAGTTTGTGTCCAGAGTGATTACAAATGCCAAGTATATCAAGAGAATAGAGATAAGACAAGTCAAAGAAACTGCAACTTCTACAAAGTAAGAGTATCCTAGGATAGACAGCATCAAGGCCTGTAAAGACCCTTATTTCAAATCTCCAGGATTTTTTAAATACATTTTTTTTTTTTTTTGAGACAGAGTCTCCTTCTGTCGCCCAGGCTGGAAGGCAGTGGCATGATCTCTGCTCAGTGCAACTTCTGCCTCCCGGGTTCAAGAGATTCTCCTGCCTCAGCCTCCTCAGTAGCTAGGATTACAGGCGTGCACCACCATGCCCAGCTAATTTTTGTATTTTTAGTAGAGACAGGGTTACACCATGTTGCCAGGCTGGTCTCCAACTCCTGACCTCAAGTGATCAGCCCACCTTGGCCTCCCAAAGTGCTGGGATCACAGGCGTGAGCCACCGTACCCGGCCATTGGAATAAAATGTTTTTTTGAGAATTGTTAGTTTCCTTGTTACATTATCAATAGACCACAAATTTTAGAACCATATCTATTATAATCAAGCAAAAATCATCACTATTTAATGGCAACTTAATACGAAGAAGCTGAGATTTAGGGTTATAGCTAATTACTAATAGAATAGGAAAATGAGAGTTTGATTTCCAAACTCCATGTATTTAAGAAAGGATCCGGTTTTTTTTTGGCCTATGTACAGGTTCTTTCATTTAAAAAATTATAGATTAATAAGATAAATGCTGTGGATAGGCAAACCTTACCTTTGCTCCCAAATGGCCTTGATATGCTATGATATGATATATTAGGCTATGGTATGATAATGACTGGCTAAGGAAGACTGTCAAGGATATCAGAATGAATGAATTGATTCAGTCACTTATTGAAAAGAAAGTTTTTAAGAGGGCATTCTGGTACAGTAGCTAGGCCTTAGGGCTTTAGAGTCATATTTCTTTGGATAAATCTTTGTTCCATATCTTTGGAAAAGTTACTTAAGGTCTCTGGGTATTTCAGGTTCCTTTTCCGTAAATGACAAAAGTAGCTACTCATGGTTTTTGTGAGAAGTATACATAATTTATTTTAAATGCTTAGGTCGGTGCTTGACATATATGAAGAGCTCAAGAAATGCTAGATTTTATCAACTTTGGAGGTTATTGTTAAATGTGAATGTGACTTTCACTTCTGGTTATGGCACACAAGATTAAGATCATTTCTACCACTTAAATCAAGCAGGAAATGTGAATAAAATATGGAAAGCTTCCACTGAAAACTTCAGGTAGTTATCAAAGAGCAAGGTCTTGAAAAGACAAAATCCCAAAGAAAGGAAAATGCAGACGTAAACCCAACAACACTTTTCCCATCAAAGCATTTGCCAATGTATAAGCAAGTGTTAGAGAGTGAGAAGGTCTCACTGACTTAGCCCAGAGAGTTTAAGTAACTACCCTATACACTTTCTTTTCAATACATGACTGAATGGTTCAATGGTTCATTTTGATATCCTTGACTGTCTTTCCTGGCTAGTCATTTTCATTCCATAGCTTAGCACCTCATATTATATCAATCATTTCATAGCCACTTGTGAACACAGGTAAGAATGATTTGCCTTTCCACAGCCTTTGGGCTGTCTCATGGAGCTGAAGAAAAATACATGCATTCAGGGGCACTAAGGAAAAGGTCCATAGCAAAAATTCAGATCTTTAGTGGAGATCCCTGAAGGACTAGAAGAGTAAGGGCTTACCAGAAATATTCTGGTCTCATAAGAACTGATGCTCAACTTTGAAGGGGCTTAGCTGTACAGTATTAAAGTTATCTGTTCTGTACCAACTGCCAAAAAAATAAACTGTCTTGTAGGAAGAAAACATTATCTACATCCTCAAAGTACTTTGGTACTTTGTAAACCATGTCCAATATTTTATTTTAAAAATCACCTAGCATGCAAAGAAATATGACCAATGAATGAAAATCTAGAGGAAATAAAAAGAAAACAGGTGATAGAGACAGACCTGTAAGACATTTAGATATTGGAGTTATTAGTCATAAGGTTTAAAATAATTGTTATTAATATAGTCAAGGAAATAGATGTTATAGTTAATTTTATCAGGTAATTAAATCTGTCTAAAAAACAACTGGATACTCTAAAATTGAAAAATGCATTATAATGAACAGTTGGTAATTTGAGAAAAAGAACTTTAAAAAAATATTATTCTTATTGTATTTTGGCTGATTTCTAAGCAAACTCTATCTTTGAAGTTAATTAAAATATGCAGCTGTGTAACAGTAAGGGCCCATAATTTAAAACAGAATTTCAAATCTTTGGTTGAACAACACAGAGCTATAACCTCAGGAAAAATAACTTAATTACTTAAGGGAATCCATGCCTCCACAAGTCTTCTCTCCAATATGATTCTAGAAAACAACAGGGTATTGGTGAAGAAACACTGAATATTATGAGCAAATCTGTATTCATTCTTATTTTAAGCAGCAGTTGTACTTCCCTATTTCAATCCCACTATAAGCAAGATTGTTATAACTCTAAATGTATTTTCTTATTTATTGATCATTCATCATTTAGTGTGCACTGCAAAAAAATTATGCTATTGAAGAAATGACAATATTTGCAGCATGAAAGGATTGGAGGTCATGTACATGCTTAGCATGGTTGGCACATTTAAATACTAAGATAAATTGAATGAGGGCATTGAAAATGAAATTTACTTAACTAAATTTATTCAATCCATTACTAATTTTAATGTAAAATTTAATGGTAATTAAAATTTACAATTTTAAAACAAGCCCCAAATTGGTGGTGGGTTTTGTGTAAATCAGAATTTTTCTTCTCATTCACATAAAACATAATGAAACAAAACAAAGCTGGTGTTAGCCTATTAGAAGAAACTTATTACAGAAAGAATTACACGTACTTCCCTATGTATAATTTGGCAAGTTTAGCTTGGACAGGAACAGAAAATTTTACTCCTTGTAATTATATGCTCTTAGAATTTGGTTAGTTCTGCAAATGAAGTAGGAATACCTCTCTTATCTATACTTGTAATTGTGTGATATGACAAGTCTAATAAGCAAGATTGTTAAACAGCCAATATTAAGAAACGCTTATTGGAAAGACAAATGAGACATAGATTTGTGAATTGTTTTACATAATCTCTTTAGGCAGAGAAAATGGTTGAGATGTCTTGGGATCATCAAATTAAATTCTGGATTTATTCTTAACTAGCTCTGTGACCTCAAGTATGTCATTTAATCTCTCTGACTTACCCTGCTCAGCTATAAAATGAAGATAATCATGTATGATCTATTTCCAAAATTAAGTCATAAACATTTATTGAACAGCTTCTATGTACCACCGCTATTGTAAAATACTTAGGATATTAAAGCTGTAGGAAACTATTGAGGAATTAAATGCTATAATGCATGTGAAAGTACTTTGTAAGTGGTAATACATTACGCAAACTACTATTTTATGCTATCATGTGATTAGGAATATTTTTCCAGCAGTGCCAGGAGCTTCTAGCTCTCACCTCAAATGCAAGGGGACTCTCTTACGACAAATTTTACAAATAACAATTTGCCTTAGCAAAATAAAATACATAACAATTATTGGGAAGCAAAAAGTGGTAGACTAGAAAAGTAGAAACTGCTTTGTATCGAGAACAAAGAAAGAACAGAAAGGCAAATAATAAAGTAAAGTAAATAATAAAGTAAAAATGACTTCTTTGAACTCCAAGTGCAGAGGGAAGACATTCTTCAGGACAAGAGCCTGGGAATATCAAGAAAACATTAAATTTGCCTGTCATCTTGAAATTCCCCATAACAAAACAGGAAAACCATAGTGGAACTTTTTTCTTTGATTAAAATGAAGAAAAGAAAAGGCCTTTAAAAATACCAACCAAGAACAGAGAAAAGGAAGAATTCTGCAATGTGAGACACCTTTGAGAACAGCGTAAAGAAAGATGACAATTTCAATAATAAAGACTAGCAAGCGAAGCCACAATAAGAACACAAATTTCTGTTTTGACAAAGCCTCCAGGTGGTGAGACCTAAGTCTCCAAACTTACTGACCTTGCGTCTTTACAGAGACTTGACCAGTGTTGGTTCAAACCGTTGAAAATGAACATTGCAAAACGTCACTGTGCAGTTACAGCAATATACTAGATTGCAATGAAAACTAGAAATGAATAAGTCCTTTTGAGAACTATTCTCTCAGCTTCCAGGGAGTGTGACATAAAAATATAGTGGGCTCTGATATAAAAACACAGCCCTGATGTTATTTCTTTGAGGAATCGCCACACTGCTTTCCCCAGTAGCTGAACTAATTTACACTCCCACCAGCAGTGTATAAGCATTCCCTTTTCTCCACAACCTCACCAGTAAAACTACATTCAGGCCAGCAATCCCATTACTGGGTATATAACCAAAGGAATGTAAATCCATGTAACCAAACACCACCTATTTCCCCAAAACCTATTGAAACAAAAAACTGGGTAGAACAAAGAAAATTTTTAGGGCAGGGAAGATTCTGTAGGACACCATAATGATGGATGCATGACATTATACATCCTTAAAACCCTTAGAAAGTACAGCATCAAGAGGGAACTCTAATCTAAGAACTCTGAGTGACATTGATGTGTCAATGTCAATGTAGGTTCATCTATTGCAACAAATGTACCATTCTGGTGGGGTATGTCGATGATGGGGGAGGATGTTCAGCAGGACAAGAAGAGTATGTTCAAACTCTGTGTATTTTCTGCATCATTTTCTGTGAATCTAAAACTACTCTAAAAAAGTAAACTCTATTAATTAAAAGAATAAGTAAATCATTCTGCCACACAGACACATACATATGTATGTTAATTGCAGCACTATTTATAATAGCAAGGACATGGAATCAACCTAAATGCCCACCAATGATAGACTGGATAAAGAAAACCAGGTACATATACACCATGGAATACTATGAGGCCATAAAAGAAATGAGATCATGTCTTCTGTAGGGACCTGGATGGAGCTGGAGGCCATTATCCTTAGCAAACTAATGCAGGAATGGAAAACCAAATACCAAATGTTCTCACTTATAAGTGGGAGCTAAATGATGAGAATGCATGGGCCAAAGAAGGGAACAACAGACACTGGGGCCTACTTGAGAGTGGAAGGTGAGAGGAGGGAGAAGATCAGAAAAAATAACTATCGGCCGGGCGCAGTGGCTCACGCCTGTAATCCCAGCACTTTGGGAGGCCGAGGCAGGAGGATCACCTGAGGTAGGGCGTTCAAGACCAGCCTGATCAACATGGAGAAACCCCGTCTCTACTAAAAATACAAAAATTAGCTGGGCATGGTGGTGCATGCCTGTAATCCCAGTTACTTGGGAGGCTGAGGCAGGAGAATCGCTTGTACCCAGAAGGCAGAGGTTATGGTGAGGCAAGATCTGGCCATTGCACTCCAGCCTGGGCAACAAGAGTGAAACTCCAACTCAAAAAAAAAAAAAAAAAAAAAAAAAAGAAAAGAAAAAAAAAGAAAGAAAAATAACTATTGAATCCAAGGCTTAGTACCTGGGCGAGAAAATAATCTGTACAACAAAACCTCCAGGACATGTGTTTCCCTATATAAGACACCTACACATGTACTCCTGAACCTGAAATAAAAATTAAAAGAAAAACACCATACACTTGGACAAAGAAACATAGAGTAAGACATAGTCTATAATTATAACCTGTTTACACAATTGCCCCCAAGTAAATGAAAAATTTCATTAAAAAAGTTTTTAAAGGAATAGAAATATCTGACATGGTTACAGAATTTTTAAAAGTTGGCCTATTTAATTGTAATTAAATTATGCCGCACTTTATGGAATAGATGGATTTCAGAAGATTTGACCAAAGGGCATTCTTTCTTTATCCTCAACATCCCTTTTATAATCTAGGATTCAATTCTCAAGGAAAAAGTAATCCCTCAGCTGAACATAAGATATCGAGTCTGTAATATTATAAATACCCATTAACCTATGGGTTAATAATGCTCATTAGTAATTCTCACAGTTCAGGTTTCTCTCATAATTAGAGACTATCTAAAACATTACATTTGTAGTTCCTGGAACTTTATTTTTATATTCTTAGTCCAACAGGCCTTACTTACTTTGTCAGAAGAGTTGGAAATCAAACACACAGTTATTCTAGTCTAAATATTCTGTAAATTTAAGGCTACAATTTAGTAAATTTTCATTCTTTACTTTGTCAGTTTGTTAAAATGAAACAAACCTAAGTTTAAATTTCCTTGTTTTTTCTGTCACTTAGGTCTCTAATTAATCTTTCCTATCTGGTTTCAACAAACATTAGCCAAAGCACAGCCATCCTAGAACTCTCTCAGTACTGGGTCCTTGAGCCACATAAGTTTTCGTGTCTATAAATGCTTTTGAAATTAGAACCAAAATATAACAAAGAAATCAACCAGGTGAAAAAAAAAAAACTAACTAAAGAAAATACGTAAATATAAACATTTACATTTAGATGAGAAATCCCTCCAAATTGAATTTTTTTTCTTAGAGACATTTCACTCTAATTACTCAATAATTAGTCAATATAATTACTCAATAATTTTATGAAATTGATGAGTCCTGATGCCAACAATATCAGAATACAAAAGAGCTAACAATCAATGCACCCAGAAAATTAAAACTAATCAAAACATTTTTTATTAAGCAAAGGAAACCAAGAGGCAAGAAAATGATTTGAGGATCATGGCTGTAAAATGTCCCTTTCTTGACATTTGGAGGAAAGGCAGCAGTCAAGAACAAGGGGAAGGGAAAGAAATTATCAACGCATCACTTACTTCTTTGTATCCAAAGATGATTCGTCCATCCATGAGCAGGGTTGCCTGGAATGTGAAGCTTCCCAGGTTATAATTATCCTGGAGATGTACATGGTCCCACTGGACCACAAGTGCTGTGCCTATACACCCATTGAAAAAAGAAGAAATGCAATGAGAAAAACATACCAATCAATTCTGGTGGGAGTTTTCACAAAAATGTTTTTGCATCTGGCCTTCAAATCTGGTAGTTGTACTATTTCGATTTTATGTGGTTAATCAAATTCTGTTATTGAAATAGCATTTGGGATTTTTTTTAAAGGATTGAGTACTCTCTAAATATTTAGTAAAATAGAACCTCATACTAAGGTCAATAATTGAGCTAATGCAGTGTGGGGGAATTTTGCCTTAGGAATTTTATTAATGTTAATAGATACTGTCTGCTTAAATTTCCATAAGCCACTTTCAAAATGCAGCCCAAGTGGATTGAATGAACTTCAAATACATTTGACAAATGCTGAGAGAGAAACACATCTAAAAAGTTAGGACCACATACAAAAGACCTGAAAATGTCTTTTCCATACTTAAAATTATACTTTTCCACATTGAAGGAGTTCCTTTAACACTAATGGGAATTTTCTCCTTGAGTTCACAATGCTTGTATTTCTGTCTTTGTTGTGTTTCTTCCAGGAAGCTGTAAGAAGCTCAAAGGGCCCTGGACTAAGATTTTTGAAGTCCCCTTGAAGCACACTGGGATGAAACTTCAGTGCTGTATATTATATTCTGAATCACTCTGTCAGTGTTTACCATAAACGATTGGGCATGAAATAAAAACTGAAACATAGTTTAATAGTCACCAGTGAGAATTCAAATTTTTGTTTTAACTGACATTGTGTACTCTCTTTTTTTAAAAAAAAAGAAAAGAAATGAGCTGCTAAGACTTTTTCTTCACTCTAAATATTAGATTTTTCTGTTTGGTTAGAAAAACTGTTGCCCAAAAAAGTTGTGCTGAAAATGAAAATCATAGAACTAAAAGAGCAAATCTTATCTCCCAGTAATAAATATCTGATATATTTAAAAATTACAATTGCATGGAAGAATTAATTTTCAGTAACTATTTGGTGCTATTAGTAATATCTCTTGAGCTGGTTGACAATTTTAAATAGACACATTATTTCAAATATTTTGAACACCCAATTGTAAGTCCTGAAAGGATGTTGAAGTAAAGAAATGTATTTCTTTTGAGGCAAAACTTTAAAAGTAAAAAAGAAAAAAAAGTTTTTTAACTTGACCTTGGTGCTTTTAGCCATTATCACTGCTGTGAGTGAAGACCACTCAGGTCTCTTCCTTCCACGGGCATCTCCGTGTCTATATTGTCCTGAGGGAGGGAGGGAGGGAGGGAGGGAGGAAGGAAGGAAGGAAGGAAGGAAGGAAGGAAAAAGAAAAGAAAAGAAAGAAAGGAAGGAAGGAAGGAAGAAAGGAAGAAAGAAAGAAAAAGAAAGAAAGAAAGAAAAGGAAGCAAGGAAGCAAGGAAGAAAGAAAGGAGGGAGGGAGGAAGGAAGGAGAAAAGAAAAGAAAGAAGGAAGAGAAAAGAAAAGAAGAGAAAACAAAAAAAATAGAGCAAAAGAAGACAGTAGCCAGGAAACCTCCCATGATTTTATAAGTATAGGAATTTTCTGATTGTGAAATGCCTCCTAACTTCTTTTTCCTTCACACATGTCTACAACCCTCAAGCTCTAGTCTATTCCTTATTTTCTAGTTTCTATCGCACTCTGGTGATGCAGTGAAAACAATGAACCAGAGGGCAGAAGACTTAGACTTGCATCTTGTCTCTATAAAACTTTCCATGTGAACTTGGACACAATTAATCTGCATGAACCCGTTTCCTTTCCTATAACATGGGGAGTATAGTTTTTGCCTTCAAGACATTCCTGCATTAAATACAAGAAAATATACTTACGCTTGATTATTTATGAAAATAAGAGGGCTATATAAATTAAAGTTTTTAATGCCAATTCTGAGGAAGGGATTCCTAATATTTTGTTAGTAGCAGGTTGTTAAAAACCACACTGTTGACCAGGTGCGGTGGCTCACAACTGTAATCCCAGCACTTTGAGAGGCCGAGGCAGGCGGATCACGAGGTCAGGAGATCCAGACCATCCTGGCTAACACGGTGAAACCCCATCTCTACTAAAAAAAATATTAAAAAATTAGCCGGGCGTGGTGGTGGGCGCCTGTAGTCCCAGCTACTCGGGAGGTTGAGGCAGGAGAATGGCATGAACCCGGGAAGCGGAGGTTGTAGTGAGCAGAGATCATGCCAGTGCAGTCCAGCCTGGGCGACAGAGTGAGACTCCATCTCAAAACACAAAAAACAAAAAAAAGTGTACTGTTTGCACATGTTAAGTTTTATATTATGTAATAGCATAGCTCTCTCAACATTTGCTGATTTAAATTTTCTAACCTGCTGCTGTCTTTTCCAGAGAAGTTTGCTTTCCTAAATTGTTGAGTTTCCAATCTTTAAGTATCCTGTCAATGATTCTAACTAAACTTGAAAATATTTCAGCAAGTTGTTGTGGTATTAAAAGGGCTTCGTGAAGAGTCTTACAGTGTTTAAAAGTGTTTCATTCATTTAATAAAACGTAAGTTTTCATTATCATATTGTTTGAACTCAATATTCCTCAATATTTGATTCCTATGGAATAAGTCATTACACAGAAGATATTTCAGTGGGTAAACAATACATGCATTCTTGAGTATTAATACTTTTACAATTCTCAGACATAAAACTCACTTTACGTATGTAATTATTTTTATTCATTCATTGAATAATTATTTAGGACCTACGTCCTAAATAATAAAGTGTCTATGCAGGGTACTGGAGATAAAATGATTTCTTATAGCCACAGTCCTTGTTTTTAAAGAACTTAAGAGTTCAGTTGGAGTAGTATACATCAATTTTTAAAAATCATTCAAATACGAGTAAAATTCAAATATTAAGAGCTACCTAGGAACAAGGTATATGAAAATATATGAAGAGAGACTTATTTAATATGCTTTATGATTTTGATAGCAACAGTATAAAAACTTGGTCATTAGAATCATGTGCCCATGAGTAAATGACCCTAACATCACCTAGTGAATGTCGGAGTTTGGAAAATAGTCAGTGTTCACTAAATCATTTATTGTTTCCGTAGGATAGACTCCCAAGGCAATTTTGCATGGTAATCATAGAATAAGTTTCAGATAAGTTTCTGGCTGCAGTTTTGCCTCAAGAATAGTGTACTTACAGTCCACTTGCACATCCTTGGGTGTTAGCACCTCATGAGTTTTTAAAAAATGGAAGAGAAGAGAATATAATAGTTCTTAAAATAACAGAGATGAATCATTATTGCAGCTAACACTTAGAGTTACCTAATATTGGATCATACCTTGGTGTTACTCAAGATGTTCAACGTGTATTTCCTAAGGTGAATGTCTAACTATGTTTAGTTTCCTCATTGTGCTATTTTGACCTGTAAAATGGCTTTCATCACACTGGTCAGGAGATGGCTCTTAGCAAAGTGATCATATTTCTCCAAGGCTACAGCTACCATCAAGTCTATTCCAACCATGAGCAAATTTCTTCCTTGATCATCAGAAATAAGATAAAAGTAGAAATAACTCTGTTCACCCCAAATGCTTGTATTATTTGCAGGCATAAAATTGTCTTTTAAACAAATAAATATCATTTTTGAATGATAAATACACAGAAAATTCTATATTTAATCATTGCAATATAAACTCTTTGTTACCTATAATTTATTTTCTCTACCAAAGTTACAGCTTTCAATAAGATGTTGAGATGAAAATTCATTTATGTCTCCAAGACCTTGAATTTCTCGCTTGGATTTTGGCACCACTTAATGATTTATTATAGTTTTTTTCTCTATTTTATATGTCCCAAAAAGTAATAGCAGGGATACATTGCTCTTGGTATATTTGATAAATCTTGACAGGCTCTCACTCATTTTCTAAAGTCAAGAAAACTTTATTTTCTTCAGTTGAACTACCCACAACTAACTACTTTATACTTCTTAAAATATGTGTTCATCTTATTGATACATACAAGTCATAAGTTTTGGAAATTTAATGTCAATATATTATGGCACTTGCCTCAACTGGAAGATCAGAACTAACAAAATTATTCTTATTTCCATTTTTTTCTGATGGGAAAATTGGAAAACTGACTTATTGAAATAGCATCAAATAAATGCGTTTGCTTTGTCTGAGGTCTTGTCTACAGCAACTCAGTTTTACTGTGTATAGTAGATGTTAATAAATGTGTTGAATGAATGAATGCCATTTGTGTACTTTATAAATCTTAGCAGTATAATATTTGTCCTCTCAGACCATTTGCATCAAGCAGTTTACACACCAAAAAATAAACAGTTTACAAAAACATTAACATGAATCTGATGCTTGAGGTTTAAAAATATACATGCAGCAAAAAATAGGCTACTCAACACATACCATTATCAAAATATCTGACAGTTGAATTTCTGGATACACTGGGATCGAAATTTGCCATTAAAGGTGCTATGTACTGTGTGGCTGTTAGCATTCGATGTACGACTTCTCCAGTGTATATGAAACCTAGAATTAGAAAAATAGGAAACATATTCAGAAAAAGAAGCCCATATAAAATTATGATTAAAATACTTCCAACTCAATTACAGTCATATTATGAAAATAAAATGTCATGGTAGCTGGAAAAAAAGGAACATATTTAATATCTTAGTATCTAATTAACAATACTTGGTCTGGATTAAGTAACAAATTCTTGTATAATTTGGTAGAACCTTGCAAATCCGAAATCTATAACATGTACAATTTTAATTGGGGGGAAAGTGACCATTATCTGGATGAGATTATTAGGCTAAAAATGCTAATACAGTATTATAAGTAATTCAAATATTCAATTTGCTATTATTAATCCCTTGTTATTTTAACAATAGCTTACCACACAAGTCCTTTTAATTAGTGAATTCATTTTCATGGTATTTATGTAAGCTACCATCTCAGCATAGGAATTTTAGAAACGACATCTGGTAAAATGCAGAAAATGTTTTGATTCTTTTTTTTTTTCTTGAAAGTTGAAAGGGGGCTAAACACCCATGGTGACGTTTTCAAATTGTTGGTTTGCTCAAGCCTCTATATTATCAGCACACTGTCAAGAAGATAAAGTCTATATGTTTGCAGGTAAGGTGGTAAAACATTGACAATGCACAAATGCCTCTCTATTTAGAGATTTAATCAATGCCAGTCTATTCTAGCAGTTGGATAATGAGAGGGAATTTATTATGGAGAACTTTGGCTTTGAATTAACTTTCAATAGCTCCTATGTTACATGTCTAACCCACTTTCAATTATTCACACTAGGTTTATTTACTTTGTGGATTATCCATGACAAATTGTTAATCCTGTGCTGGCTTCTTGCTTTCAAGGTCTTTAGCTGTCTGAAAGGAGAGTCAGCTCAGGGATTGCTAACTAATTTTAATATTAATCTAAGAAATACACAATTGAGATTACACATGCAAATGCACACACACAAATAAAATGCAAGGCAAATTATTTGTGACAATGCAATTGTAATGTTTGGGCAGTCATCAGTTAATTAGATACCCGACACTAATATAAATCATTTTTCTACTTTCACAGGAATTAATAAGATAATAATATTTAAAGCTCAAAAAATGTTAAACTTTGATCACTCATTTTATGGTCTGAATAAATATTTCATTGGCAGATTGCAGTCTTCATTGTTTCAAATTCAAAATTGTGATGTCTAGGTAAGTTATTGCAGAATTAAACCTGTAGTTATTTACTTAGAAATTAATTTCTCTCTTTTTGGCAATATCTTCTTTCCTTTGAATACCTTTTAACTTTTCATCAAAAGCATAATTGAACTCTAGCTATTCATCTAAAAAAATTTTTAACTGTAAAAATCTTCAATGTGTACTTTTATCATCATGACTTTTTGTTTCTTATGTGACTCCTTGTTTCTTATTTGCCAAGCACTATCTTTCAAAACAAATACCTGATGCTTTAAGCAGAATTTTGTACATTTGTAATTTCACACAGCTCAAGCATATTAAACATATTATGGTGATTTGGTCATTGCTTTTATTATATTTCCTTCTAGATTTTCAGAGTCATACTCCTAATATTCAAAGTGCAATATTACATCCTTAACATTATAAATATGAAGAGTAACTCTTTTCCAGGGTCTCTATTTTTTCTCCTATCCTCTCCAGCATGCATTTATAATTTATCATTAGAATGAATACAAAAATTCTATAGATACCATCTCTGAAGAGAAATGTTTGAATTAGACTCTGAAAGTGTTATTTCAGAGAAAATAGCTCCAAGTAGGTTATTTTTCTTCTTTATATTCTCCAAGTACAAATAGAAGAAACTGCTTAACTTGGAGGATGGAGGGCAGTTATTCAAGGAAGGAAGATAATTTTAAATAAATACAAAATCCATTCTCCAAGACAACTTTGTAAGAAGAACAGCAGCAATCCCTAGAAATACACTGTTGCAAAATGTAAGAGCATTGATGATTTCAGACACTTCAAACTTACTGTTAGTATTTAAGTAAATAAGATATATGTACTTTCCCCTCAATGTTTCTACATAGATTTGCCAAGAAACTGCTCCCACTCTCAATAACCCAATTTTTAAATCACAGAAACCATTAACTGTTATTTCTTTTGATCGGGAAAATGTTTCCCAAATCTACAATTTATCAAATGTCAAAGGTGAAATTTCAAATTGTTTCCAAAGAAGTAAGTAGAAATACAGAAGAATTTGTTAACATGTAAAAGCCATAGATATGGTTTTTAATTATTTTATTACTAGAATATTAAAATAAGTTATGTCACTATGAGTATTACGGTTGCTACAACCAAAATGAACAAGAAACTGCCACCACAATTATTAGCATGTCTGGCACTACTATTACTACTACCACTATTAGTACCACCACCACGAAGACTTAACATGAAAAAAAAAATAAAAACCCCAAGAAGGAAAAAAACCCTACTACTCTACAAAATGAGTTTAATTTTACTAATTCAGGGAATATTGTTTGTTTTTCTTGGTCATATTGAAAGTTACTTATATCAATATCTCACGTCAGTTTCTAATGACCAAGAAATAAAATTCTTGACTTCTTGGTGAAGCCCATCTAATGATAGGCTTTACCTAGTTCTCCTTAATTTTCCAGATTTTAAAAATATCACTTCAGTAGTGGTTAATAATTGAGTGGAGAGAAACCTTACAAGCTTTCAGGGCAATGTAATTAGGTGTTAAATAAGAAAGAGTTATGCAAATTAATGCAACAAAACTCCAAAGCTTTAAAGGTACTCACAGATACCAACACCCCATTAGACATTTACTTCTTTTCTTTGGCTGTTCTGGGCATTCCCAGCTAAAGATTAGACGGATAGATAGATAGATAGATAGATAGATAGATAGATATTTTATATATATATATATGTTATTTTTCTGGTCCTTCATTTTTTGGGGTAATTTAAGCAATATGTTTGTTTGTTTGTTCATTTATTTATTTATATTTTTATTTTTTTGAGATGGAGTCTCGCTCTGTCGCCCAGGCTGGAGTGCAGTGGCGCGATCTCTGCTCACTGCAAGATCCGCCTCCCAGGTTCAGCCATTCTCCTGCTTCAGCCTCCTGAGAAGCTGAGACTACAGGCGCCCTCCACCACGCCCGGCTAATTTTTTGTATTTTTAGTAGAGAGGGGGTTTTACTGTGTTAGCCAGGATGGTCTCGATCTCCTGACCTCGTGATCTGTCTGCCTCGGCCTCCCAAAGTGCTGGGATTACAGGCGTGTGCCACCACGCCTGGCCGTTTTAATTTTTATTATTATACTTCAAGTTCTGGGATACTTGTGCAGAACGTGCAGGTTTGTTACATAGGTATACACGTGCCATGGTGGTTTGCTGCACCCATCAATGCGTCATCTACATTAGGTACTTCTCCTAATGCTATCCCTCCCGAAGCCCCCCACCCCCTGACCGGCCCCCGTGTGTGATGTTCCCCTCCCTGTGTCCATGTGTTCTCATTGCTCAACTCCCACTTATGAATGAGAACATGCAGTGTTTGGTTTTCTGTTCCTGTATTAGTTTGCTGAGAATGATGGTTTCCAGCTTCATCCACATCCGTGCAAAGGACGTTAACTCATCCTTTTTTATGGCTGCATAGTATTCCATGGGGTTTATGTGCTACATTTTCTTTATCCAGTCTATCATTGATGGGCATGTGGGTTGGTTCCAAGTCTTTGCTATTGTGAATAGTGCTGCAATAAACATATGTGTGCACGTGTCTTTATAGTAGAATGATTTATAATCCTTCAGGTATATGTTTTAACTATTTTATTTACATGTCTTTGTAGCCATTTGAAGAGCTAATCATACAATGTCTCCTTTGCTTACTATGTGATTCTACTATAAATAGCACTCATCTGCTCATCTGCCTTTGCAGAAAAGTGGTCATTTATGCAGATAATTTGGGACTGAGAAAGACACCTTCATTTAAAAGAATCAAGTAAGAGAAGCAAACATATTTTGTTCTTTGAATCTCAAATAATAGCGAATACACGGCCACTCCATTTTGCCTTAACAACTAGTAAAACCAGAGTCAAATTCTGAGATCAGTTGTAATCAACAGCTTTGTTCTTGTACCTTGAAAACTTTCCTTGGGCTGCTTTCCATAGGTGGTCTCTAGTCGTGTGAATAATCTGTTTTTACATCTGTAAGCCTCATCGAGTCATTTAGGGGATTCTATCATTGTAGATCTTGTCAGGAATAAATCCCATTCAATCATTATAGATTTATTAACCATAACTATGTATTTACTAATCTGAAAAAATATTATTCTGATAATGGTGAAATTAACCAGTATCTATATAGGCCTTCACTAATTATATTATATTCCTTTTTGTTTTTTTTTCTCTGAGACAGAGTCTTGCTCTTTCACCCAGGCTGGAGTGTAGTGGCACGATTTTGGCTCACTGCAAACTCTGCCTCCCAGACTCAAGTGATCCTCCTGTCTCAGCCTCCTGAGTGGCTGGGATTACAGGTGTGCACCACCATGCCCAGCTAATTTTAGTATTTTTAGTAGAGACATGGTTTCACCATGTTGGCTAGGCTGGTCTTGAACTCCTGGTCTCAAGTGATCCACCCGCCTTGGCCTCCCAAAGTGCTGGGATTACAGGTGTGAGCCACTGCACCCAACCTTCATGTATTTTCTTTGTTGTATTCTTGCACTAACTTTAAAAAGAATAATGGTGCAATTAGTGTTATTTCCATTTATTAAATGAAGTATTTAATAAGGCTGGGCAATTTGCCTAAAGCCACATGGGTAGTATAGGTCTCGCAATTCCAAATGTTACAGACTGTTTACAACATATTTTTGCAGTCATTATGTGTCCAGCCTTACAAAAGATACATTAGAAGACAGAAAGTTAGGCAGTATTATTTTTACTTCTCTTGAGGTCATTTCTAAGGCAATCACTCTGTAGGAATGCTGACAATCCCCATAAACAAGTTAAAATTGCCACCAGATGACAGTTTTCACAATTATCCGATAAGTCCTCACTTAACATCTCCAGGTTCTTGGAAACTGCGACTTTAAAGTAAAATAGGTAAGGCAACAATTTCAGCACTGGCTAATTGATATCAGTAAGAATTAAGTTCCTGTGGTATATTTCTGGATACAAAACCTCACCAAACTTCTAAATAAAGTGTTCCAAAAACACTTCTGATATTAAATATTTAAATAAAATTGAGCTCTACGTACATTTAAGAAAGGTTAACAAAAACAGATAAGATAATTATTTATCCAGTTATTTTGATTCTGGGTCACAGGTGGACTGAGCCTTTCCTGGCAGCTAAGGGAGTGAGGCAAGTACCAACCCTGGACCAGATGTCATCCCATCCTAGGGCACATTCCCACATACACCCACACTCAATCATACTGAGACCATGTCGACATGCAGTAAATCTGATGTGCACATCTTTGGAATGTGGGAGGAAACCGAAGTACCCAGAAAAAGCCTACACAGACATGGGGAGAACGTGCGAACTCCACACAGACAACGGCCCTGGCCACGAATCAGTTTTTTTGTGTTTCTTTTCTCATCAACATTGAAGAATGATGTTGAACAGAACAACTTTATTCAAGGATCTGCTATGTACTCTCCCTCATTGGATTTTATACTTAAACAAGGAGGTTGAGGAAGAAAAGACCTGTTCTGTCTGTGCGAAAATTCCAGCACCTATGCCTTAGAGCAGGGTGGTGGCCACCTCAAATCATGCTACTTTTAGTGTAATACCAAAGCCTCTGTTATTTTAATTGGAAGATTTCATAAATAGATTTATATTATATTCCTCTATTGCAATTCATAAAATGAGATGTAAATTGACATAGGAATCACACACGATGCGATAATTCATTTCCTAGTAGAATAAAATGACTTCCTAGTGATGTGACTAAGTTACTTAAACTCTGTGTACCTCAGTTACCTAACCTGCTAAATGAGAGTGTAACAGTCAATATCATTGGGTTGTTGTGATGGCTGAAAGAGTCAGTACTACAAGACGAATGCTTAAAAGTTTGCAGAAAACCAATGAATCACTTATATTTGTTCAAATTTTTATCCCTTGACGCCTTTTCTATGAAGTATTTACAAGTTAATCTTGGACTAATGCTAGGAGATTTATATAACTTTAAAATTGTGCTTCAGGCCTAAATGTATGACATGTATCTATCTGCCTTATTCTTGTTTGAGTTAAGGTACATTATTGATCCTAACTACAGGATAATAGATAACAAAAACCTGAGGGTCCAAAGTTCTTGGTTTGATATATTTCTCCTTACATTCTGATGCAACAAGCACTTTGTAAAAATGTTAACCTCCTATTGGTTGCAAGTGGTTGTTTTGTTTAATTGGAAGTGTCACAGTAATAAAGGATGCACAAAGAAGCTATAATTGCTTGTGAAACATTCCATAAAACTTGAATGTGTAAGGTACTCCATAAAATATTCTACTTCATCATCTTTTAGTTAATATTTTGGACCCAAAAGGAAAGGTTGGAGTTGATGGGTATGCCTGTAGGGCATTGAACATTTGTAGTTTAATGCTGTCTTCAGGGTGCAAATGATAATGGTATATGTCATCTTTGTTATAACGTTATGTACTGTTATCTCTACATATTAATCAAATAGATCTGAAATTTATGATCTTTTATCCATAAGGATTTGAAGACCCACCTCCTCATCGTGATCTCTCACTAACCTTATATATATTCCACTTCTTCTATTCATGAAGAATTGAATTATTTAACTGCGGGTTTGCAGTTATTGTGAATAGCTCAGTGTTGGTGGTGGACAAGTTGCTTGAACAACTTGATGAGGTCTCAGAACAATTCAAATTATGTTTTGCACGAGTTCTATTTTGTAAGTCATGATACAGGTCATATACTATAAACTACCTTCTTTAATACAAATACTTGTCAGATTTTTTAACAAAACCATGTGTGGCAGCAATTGATAATCTGAAAATTAAAAGTTGTGGTAAGTTATTTGGTAATGTAACTGTCTGTCAGCTGCTACAGCACAATGACAGGTTTTACATAACAGACTTCCTCTGAATAAAATTGGTGGTAGTAGACCACATAGTTCACTATGAGGATATCGGCTTGTATTTGCAAACTAGACGGTTAATAGAAGAAATGAAGGGAAGAGATAGAAGCATTCAGAAATTCATGTGAGTTTACTAATCTCTGGTTCCTAGGAAGAAAACTATAATATTGTCAATCACCAAATACTTTCCCTTTATAATTCCAACCAGCTATCAAGTTAAAATATATGAAGGGATTTTTATATTAAAATATATCCATCAGTTCTTAGGAAGCAAACTATAATATTGTCAATCACCAAAGAGTTACCATATTTATACTTGTAACCAGCTGTCAAGGTAAAATACATCAAATAGATTTTGTATACAAAATTAAAATATATTTACATGTGTTAACATATATCACATGTCATAGACTTCTTAATTTTATTGGCACCACTGGGGATTATAAACCACAACGAAACCATTCCTTGGGGGAAAAAAGCAACAAGTGACAACTCTGTTATCAGCTGCAAATTATGTTCATAAAATTACCAATATAAAAATTTGTGTTGACCATATACAGAGGCTCTCCACAGCTCCAGAAAGAACAGGAGCTGAAATGTGTATATGAAGAGGGGAAGATAGACAAAAAACAAACAAACAAACAAAAGCTGAAAATCAAAAACCAAAAAGCCCAAACCTTCTTCCTGATTTTTCACTTTGAACTAACAACAAAATTGTTGATTTCAGTTCTTGTTTCCTCCATCTTGTTCCTCAAAGAAATTCATGTAACATGTTCTTAGTTAATGTTAATTCCTCCTAATGGTCACTGTCAACAGCTCCCCTCCCCACCTCCCTAAATGCTTCGGATTATCTAGGATTTCTAGATATGGGTTCATTCAGAACCATTTCTAGACTGCAGACTATGCATGCCAACCCTTGCAGTTTTATAGTACACAAAGTACCTGGCTTTTCATGGAGACATTGAACTGGCCATCAAGTTTATTTCCTCTATCAAAATAGAACCAAGTAATATTTCAAAAGCCTTAATCGTGCAGGTAGAGTAATGGCAGCAATATGGCAGAATAGGAGTTTCCAGTACTTGTCCACTCTCAGAAAATCAATTTATACAACCATCCATGGACAAAAATACCTTCACAAGAACTAAGAGATCCAGGTGAGAGATTATAGCACCTAAGTGGAGCCCAGAAATAAGAAAAGACAAATTGAAGAAGATAGGTAAGAAAATTTCACATTACCCACATCAAGTCTTCTCCAAGCCTATGCAACCCAGTGCAGAGAAATATACCCTCCAGGTGAGTAAAGTGAGCAGCACCAAGTTTCGCTGTAGACCCCAACACTGGCCCATCCCAGTGAACCCCTTCAGGCAGGCTCATAGAGACCTGAGCTCCAGGCTGGCCCATGTGACTCCAGACTCCAGGCCCACCCCAAAACCAGGCCAACACTTGCAATCCTAGGTTACAGGCTGGCCCCCATGGCTCCAGGCTCCAGGATGAATGATGTGGCACCCGGTACAAAGTAGTTTGGCCTTCACAGACCTAGGCTTCACGTAAGCGCCTGTGAACCCTTGTGCCAGGTTGATTCCCATAGACCCAAGATGTAGGCCCAAACTCATTGACCCAGGATCCATGCCTGTCATGCAGACCCAGACACTAGGATTGCCCAGTTAATCGAGGCTCCAGGCCTGCATCTGCAGACCCAGGCACCAGGTTAGCTCCTGTGGACCCAGGCAGTAGGCCTACCCAAATGCTTATCTAGCCAGCCTGCCCAAAAACTCCAGAAGTAAGCCTGAACATAGATTTTGTCAGCCGCTGGCACAGAATTTCTGGATGGACTGAGTGGTGAAGGACATTCTTTGTCAACATCAGTACATAAAGACTGAAAGAAGTGCCTACTTCTTCAAATGCAGATTACATTACCAATGCAAGGTAACAAGGCTCACAAATAATCAAGGAAACATGATAGCATCAAGATAACCAAATAAAGCACCCATAACAGGCCTCAAAGAATTGGAGATCTATGAACTGCCTGACAAAGAATTGAAAATAATTATCTTGAAGCTGAGTGAGCTACAGGAGAACACAAGTACAAAACTAACTGATATCAGGAAAGCAATACATGAATAAAACAAGAAGTTTAACAAAGAGACAGAAACTATGAAAAAAAGAACCAAACAGAAATTCTGGAACTGAAGAAAACATTAACTGAACTGAAAAATTCCATAGAGAGGTTCAACAGCAGACTTGTTAAAGCAGGAGAAAGAATCAGCAAGCTTGAAGACAGAGCATTTAAATTTACCTGGTAAGAGGAGCAACAACAAAAGAATTTTTAAAAGAGTAAAGAAAGCCTACAGGAATTATGAGACATCATTAAGTGAACCAATATATTCATTATGGGAGTTCCAGAAGAAGCAGAGAAAGAGAAAAGGCAAAAGCTTATTATGCATAAACAATAACAGAAAACTTCCCAAATCTGGAGAGAGAAATGAACGTTCAGATCCATGACGCCCAAAGAATCCCAAGTAGTTTAGACATAAAGAGATCATCACAAAAACATGTTATTAACAAATTCTCTGAAGTCAAAGACATAGCGAGAAATTTGAGAGCAGCAAGACAAAAATCTACTCATGACATGAAAGGGAAGGTCTGTAAGGCTACCAGGGTGTTTCTCAGCAGGAACCTTATAGGGCAAAAGAGAGACAAATAATAAATTCAAAGTGTTGAAAGTAAACCAGCAATGACCAAGAATACTATAACTAGCCAAGTTGACTTTTACAATGAAAAAGAGAGACAGAATTTCCCAGACAAACAAAAGATGAGGGAGTTCATCACCATTAGGACTACCTCACAAGAAATGGTAAAGAGAACCTTTAAGTTGAAATGAAATGATAGAAACTAACAACGCGAAAATATATGAAAGAATTAAACTCACTGTAAAGGTCAGAATGCAATCACACTCAGCTATTCTTATATTCCAATAGTGCTCCACAACTCACTTTTAACTCTAGTATAAAAGTTTAAAGACAAAGGTATTGGAAATATAGCTATAATAATTTATTAATGAATACATAATAAAAAAGATAAAATTGTGAAGTCATCTACAAAAAATATGAGAAGACAAGTTAAAGTGTAGTTTTTGTATGTGGAGGAAGTTACATTGTTATCAGTTTAAAACATATGCTATGACTTGAAGATGTCTTATGTAAGCTTAGTGGTAACCACGAAGGAAAAATTGATGGTAGACATAAAGATAAAGAAGTTAAAGCAAATCACGACAAAAAATTATCAAATCAAAAAGAAGGCAACAAGAGAGGAAGAAAAGAAGAAAAGGGCTATAAAATAGAAAACAATAAAATGGCAATAGTAAATCTTTACCTGTAAATAATTACTTTAAATGTATGGATTACATTCTTCAATCAAAAGACATATAGTGGTTGAATGGATTTTTTTTTTTTAAAGATCAAACTATATGTTCTTTACAAAAGACTTAACCTTAGCTTTAAGGACACTCATATGCTGAAAGTGAAAGGATGGAAAAAGATAGTCCCTGCAAAAATAGTCCAAAAGAGAGCAGGAGTAGCCGTAACTATATCAGACAAAAGAGATGTTAAATCAAAAACTGCCACAAGAGACAATGATAAAGATATCAATTCATCAAAAGGACATAAAATTGTAAATAGTTATGCCCTCAATATTAAGAACATAAATATATAAAGCAAATATTAAGAGAGCTAAAAGGAGAAATAGTTCACCAATACAATAATAGTAGAGGACTTCAATATTGCCACCTTCAGCAGTGGATAGGTCATCCAGACAAAAACAATCCATAAGTATACAGAAGACACGAACAAGACTGAAGACCAAATGAATTTAACAGAGATATATAGAACGTTTCATCCAACAGCAGCAGAATATACATTCTTTACAAATGCACATGGAATATTTGTTAGGATAGATCCACGTTAGGTCAAATAAAAGTCTTCACAGATTTAAGAAGATTTAAGTAATACCAAGTATCTTTTCAGACCACGATGAAATGAAATTAGAAATCAATAAGAGGAGGAAAATTGGAAGCATTTGCAAATATGTGAAAATTAAATAACATAGTTCTGAACAACCAATGAGTCAAAGAAGAAATCAATAGTGATCTTAAAAGATATCTTGAGACAAACAAAAATGCAAATATAACTTTCCAAATTTTATGGGATGCAGCAACAGCAGCCCTAAGGGGTAAGTTTATAGCAATAAATGCCTACATGAAGAAAAAAGAAAGATTTCATAAAAGCAACCTAATATGACACCTCAAGGAACAAGGAAACAAGAACAAACTAAGCTTAAGAAAGGATATAATAAAGAGTTAGCAGAAGGAAGGAAATAAAAAAGATCAGAATATATATGAATGATATAGGGACTAGAAAAAACAATACAAAAGATTAATGAAACTAGGAGTTGGGTTTTTTTTCTAAATAAACAAAAGAGTAACTTTTAGTTAAACTAAGAAAAAATAGAATAATAAAACTGTAAGTGGCCGGGTGCAGTGGCTCACGCCTGTAATCCCAGCACTTTGGGAGGCTGAGGCAGGTGGATCACCTGAGGTCAGGAGTTCAAGACCAGCCTGACCAATATGATGAAACCCTGTCTCTATTAAAAATACAAAAATTAGCTGGGCATGGTGGCATGTGCCCATAATTCCAGCTACTCGGGAGGCTGAGACAGGAGAATTGCTCGAACTCAGGAGGCGGAGGTTGCAGTGCACTGAGATTGCACCATTGCACTCCAGCCTGGGCAACAAGAGTGAAACTCTGTCTCAAAAAAGAAAAAAAATTATAAGTGAAAGAAGAGATTACAATTGATACCATATAAATATAAAATATCAGAAGAAACTACTATAAAAATTATATGCCAACAAATTCGATAACCTAGAAGCAGTGTATAAATTTCTGGAAACATACATATTACCACGTCGGAACAGAACAGTACAGAAACACTAAATAGAATAGAAAATATGGATAAAAGAAACCAGAACAAAAAACAGAATAGAAAATCTGAAAAAAAAAAAATAACAAGTAAAGAGACTTAATCAGTAATCAAAAACCTCCAAACAAAGAGATGCTCAGGACCTCATGGCTTTACTGGGGTAAATTCTACCAAACATTTAAAGGATATTTAACACCAATACTACTTAAAATCTTCCAAAAAATTTGAAGAGAAAGAAACACTTGCAAACTCTTTTCTCATGGCCAGCATTACCTGGATACCAAAGTCAGACGAAAACGTTACAATAAAAGAAAACTACAGGTCAATATCCCTGATGAATGTAGATGCAGAAATCCTTACCAAATAATAGAAAATCTAATTCAACAGCACATTAAAAGGATCACTACCCATGATCACATGGGTTTTATCCTTGTTTTAACATACACAAATCAATAAATGTGATATACTACATTAATAGAATGAAGATTAAAAATTATATGATCATCTCGATATATGCAAAAAAGCATTTGACAAAATTTAACATCCTTTCATGATAAAAACTCTCAACAAATTAGGTATAGATGGAATATAACTTAAAATAATAAAGAATATGTATGACAAGTCCACATATAGTATCACACTCAATGATAAAAAGCTAAAAGCTTCTCGGGATTAGTAACAAGATAAGGATACTCATTCTTGCCACTTCTATTCAATATAATATTAGAAGTTCTAGCCAGAGCAATTAATCAAGAAAAAAGAAATAAAAGACAAACCAGAAAGGAAGAAATAAAATTTTCTTTGCAGATGACATAATGCTCTATATACAAAACCCTTAAAACTCCTCCAAAAACCTGTTGGCATTAATAAACAAATTCAGTGAAAGTACAAGATACACAATAAACATGCGAAAATCAGTTGTGTTTCTATACACTAACAACAAACTATCCAAAATAGAAATTAACACTCTCACATACAATAGCACCAAAATTTAAAATATTTAGAAATAATTTTATCCAAAGAGATAAAAGATCCGTAAACTGAAGCATTGGTGAAAGAAAATTAAAGAAATCACAAATAAAAGGAATGATATCCTGTGATCATAGATGAGAAGAATTGAAAATTAAAAATATTAAACTTTCCATGTGACCCAAAGCAATCTACATATTAAATGCAATTCTTATCAAAATCCCAATGGCATTTTCAAAGAAAAAGAAAAAAAAAATCAAGAAATTCATATGGAACCACAAAAGGCCTGTAACTGCCAAAGCTATCTTGAGCAAGAAGAACAAAGCTGGAGGCATCACACTACCTGATTTCAAAATCTACTACAAAGCTACAGAAATCAAAACAGAATGGTTCTGGAATGAAAACAGTCACACAGACCAAAGGAACAGAATAGACAGCCCAGCCCTAAACCTAAGCATTTATGGTCATTGATTTTCAACAACTATGACAAGAACACAATGGCTGAAAAGGTAGTCTCTTTAATAAATAATGTTAGAAAACTAGATATCCGCAAGTAGAAAAATAAAATTGGAGCATTATTTCACACCATATACAAAAATCAACTCAAAGTAGACTAAAGGCTTAAATGTGAGACCAGAAACTGCAAAACTATTAGAAGAAAACACAGGGAAAATGTTTCCTGACATTGATCTGGGCTACATATATATGTGTATATATATACACATATATATGTGTATGTGTATATATATATATGTGTATGTATATATGGGATGACCCCTAAAACAAAACACAAATGGACAAATGAGATTTCATGAAACTGAAAAGCCTTTAAAGAAAACGATCAACAGAGTCAAGAGAAAACCTACAGAATGGGAGAAGACATTTGCAAATTACATATCTGCTAAGGGGTCATTATTCAAAATATATAAAGAACTCCGCTCAATAGCAAGAAAGCAACCCAATTAAACAATGGACAAATGACTTGAACCGACATTTCTCAAATGAAAACACACAAATACCCAATAGGTACATAAAAAATGCTCAGCATCACTAATAATTAAGGAAATGCAAATAAAAACCAGAATAAAATATCATATATTTTGGGATGACTATTATGAGCAACATGAAAGATAACAAGTGTTGACAAGGAGGTGGAGAAAGGGGAACTCTTATACATTGTTGGTGGAAATGTAAATTAGTATAGTCATTATGGAAATAACGCAGAGGATTTCCACAAAATTAAAAGTGGAACTACTGTATGATAAAGCAATTCCACTTCTGAGTATATATCCGGAGGAAGTGAAATCAGTATGTGCAAGGGATAGCAGAACTTCCATGTTCATTGCAGCATTGTTCACAATGGCCAAGATATAGGATCAACCTAAGTGTTCATCAGTGGATGAATAAATTAAGAAAATGTGGTATAGGTACAAAATGGAATACTATTCAGCCTTTAAAGAGAAGGAAGTCATTTGTGTCAACATGGATGAACTTGGAAGAAATTATGTTATGTGCAATAAGCTGGTCCCAGAAAGGCAAATACTATATGTAGAATCAAAAAAGTTAGACTCATAGAATCAGAGAGTAGAATGGTGGCTGCTAGAAGTGGGGGGATAGGGTAAACACGGACACATTGGCTAAAGGGTATAAGGTTTCAGTTTTTCAGAATAATAAAGTTCTGGAGATCTCATATATAGCATAGACAACTATTGTTAATAATACTGCATTGCATACTTGAAATTTGCTAAAAGAATAGATCTTACGTGTTCTTACCAAAAAAAAGTAACTATGTGAGGTGATGGATATATTAATCAAGCTTATAGCGGTAATTGTTTCACAATGTATATGTATATCAAAACACTATATTGTGCATCTTAAATATATACAAATTGCATTTGCCAATTATATCTCAGTGAAGCTGAAAAAAAGTCAATACCTCAAGAAAATAAAAAGTCTTACTCCTACATGGGGGACAAAGAGAGAGTTGCTTTGAATTATTTACACTCCTAGACTAAAGATATGGAGATCCTGTTGTCAAATGCTGGAGTCACATGCTGCAGCCAAATTATGGGTGAGAGATCATCCCCAGGACATGAGGTCTGCTTGGTCTTTGGGTAGACTGCCCTGTGTTTGCAAAGCGTCTGTCTTGAATCCACCTAATACCTTTGACCATGCTCCCTGCAGGGCAGCCTTTCTAGAAGACAGTTATTCCACTTCCATGTTTGTGAGTGTTGGTTCCCCCTGGAATTTCTGTCTAGGTTGACCAGAGCCTACATAACCCATTTGGGATAGATACTGTCTAGAACAGCTCTACATTATTAGCAGGGCTTCCATCCTGGTTCTGTTCTGCTCTAGAGAGGGAAGCTCATGCATTATTCTGCCTTTCACTTCAACCATAATGCCCCCAACCTAATGAAAATAACAGTCTTTTTCCTTTTTCCCTTCCTTTTGTTTAAGAGATGGGGTCTTGCTATGTTGCCTAGGCTGGAGTTGAACTCCTGGGTGCAAGCCATTCTCCTGCCTCAGCCTTCCTAGTAGCTGGGACTACAGACATGTTCCACTACACCCCATTTTCTCTCTTTCTTTTCTAAGGACTTAAAAATTATCATTTGAAATCCATTTTTAAAATGTCCAGAAACAGCCCTGGAAGGAAGATGCCCATATATAAAGAGGGGGCTGCCTTTGGATAGGAGTCCTTCTTTCTACATCATCATACCTTATTGTACATGTTGAATATTCTATAGTAAATGAAGCCTTATTTTAAAAATCAGTTCTATTTAAAGTAAAAATATTACATAGCAGGAGAATATCCCTTTCAGATCCTTGCCCAAAATCCAGCCTCTGGTTTACAAAACAAATTTTATTGTACAATTTTGAAATAATTACACTTTCCCAACTCTCATTCTTCCAGAAATGTTTTTGTTTTCCATGATTGTTTACACAGTTCTAGGAAAGACAAAGATCTCATCTCTGAATTTTACCAGAATCCATCCAAATCAGAACACGCAATGTCCTGAATGTGCTGACAATCTCTTCACTGTCTTTCCCTTTTCATGGCAAGATAAATCCCATTCATTTAGGAAGGAAAAAAGCTCAAAAGGAGTAGAAGAGCTTTGCTTTCTCAAAGACAGCCATCTGCATTGTACCAACATTCCCAAATCGAGAGTCTATTCCTTCCTTCTTTCTTTTTTTTCCACCCAAATATCTAATGTATCCCAATAATTTCTTTAGATGCTTTGGGTTTTAATTGCCTTAGCACTTATAGATTCAAGCTAATGTCATATCCTTATACATCCAACCTAGTGTTTTATATATATGTATATATAACACATATACAATATATACATAATATATACATACATAATATATACATATATACATATATTATATAGTATATATCATATATTATATATACATACATAACATATATGTATATATCATATATTATATATACACATATATGTTATATATACATATATAACGTGTGTTCTATATACATATATAACATGTGTGTTCTATATACATATATAACGTGTGTGTTCTATATACATATATAACGTGTGTGTTATATATACATATATAACGTGTGTTATATATACATATATAACGTGTGTTATATATACATATATAACGTGTGTGTTATATATACATATATAACGTGTGTGTTATATATACATATATAACGTGTGTGTTATATATACATATATAACGTGTGTGTTATATATACATATATAACGTGTGTGTTATATATACATATATAACGTGTGTGTTATATATACATATATAACGTGTGTGTTATATATACATATATAACGTGTGTTGTATATACATATATAACGTGTGTTGTATATACATATATAACGTGTGTTGTATATACATATATGTATTATATAACACATATGTATATATGTATTATATAACACATATGTATATATGTATTATATAACGTATATGTATATATTATATAACGTATGTGTATATATGTATTATATAACGTATATGTATATATGTATTATATAACGTATATGTATATATGTATTATACAACGTATATGTATTATATAACATATATGTGTGTGTATACATATATGTATTATATAACATATATGTATAGATACATACATAATATATGTTATATATACACATATATAACATATATTATATATAAAACATACATATTGATGTTTTATATAGCCTGTGTATATACTATTAAATATGTGTATATATGTATACGCAAATGTACAAATGTATGTGTGTATATATGTAGTGTTTGTATAATAGGTTGTGTGTATGTATAGCACATATAAAATATGTATTATTGTAAATATTATATATATATATATATATGTTCATTTCTCTCTGCAAGGAGTAAAAATGTAGTGGAAAGGCTCACATTTGAGTTCTCCTTTCCGTCTTACAAGTTGTATGACCTCATGTCATCACTTACTCTCGTTGAGTTGCAATCTCCTCTATAAAATGAGGCTAAAACTAATCCCTTTAAATAACACTGCTGTGTACATTAATCAGTTTAAAAAAAAGACAACATAAATGCAGCTGCAATTGCTCGAAACAACACAAATATAAGGAGCATTGCACTGAACTCTGACATCCTTTTAAAATCAGAGCTCTATAGAGGCTCTCTCTATAGCTGCATTGATTCCTCTCTTTGCTCTTGATCTTTGCAGTCCTATGGTCAGGCTCAAACCTCTGTGATATTTCCACCTTTATTGAGACATGTGCCCTTTTGCAATCTCAGAGTTGTGATCGTGCCTACATTTTCTCAGATGTTTTAGTAGTCTGGTCCGCCAAGGTGATGGTATACAATCTCTCTATCCAGCCCTTCATCCAAGACTACAAACAGGTTGGATTTTGTTCAAGCTTTCAATCAGTTCTACACCACTTCAAATACACCATCCAATTGTGTTTGCTCGGCTAGGACCAGGCTCATAGGATTCATTTCAATCTTCCTTAGGTGCTTCATTTCACTTTTCGGATATGGCGTTGTTAGTAAGTTAAGTCAAGATCTCCACAACATTCTCTTAGAGTCCCACTGCAAGGTGGTAGTACCACCTCCCTAATACTCTGCTTCTCAAGTGCCAGTGGATATTAGGAAACAGGTGTGTGGGTAGGGGGTTGATTGTCACAATGTCTGGGGGACATTACTGGGATCAAGCTGGGGGAGGTAGCTGTTAAATGTTTTGGATTTCTGCTCAATGAAGAGTTGTCCTATCCAAATGCCAACTGCAATATTTATAAGCAATTAAGAAACTACAAGTTGTTGCTGGTTTCCACGGTAGTCTGCCACTATATTACCCTCTCATAGCTTTCTAAACCAAAGGTCATTACTGTCAGGCCTCTGAGCCCAAGCTGAGCCATGATATTCCCTGTGACCTGCACGTACACATCCAGATGGCCAGTTCCTGCCTTAACTGATGACATTCCACCACAAAAGAAGTGAAAATGGCCTGTTCCTGCCTTAACTGATGACAATGTCTTGTGAAATTCCTTCTCCTGGCTCATCCTGGCTCAAAAGCTCCCCCACTGAGTACCTTGTGACCCCCACTCCTGCCCGCCAGAGAACAACCCCCTTTTTCCTTCACCTATCCAAATCCTATAAAACGGCCCCACCCCCATCTCCCTTCGCTGACTCTCTTTTCGGACTCAGCCCGCCTGCACCCAGGTGAAATAAACAGCCATGTTGCTCACACAAAGCCTGTTTGGTGGTCTCTTCACTCAGACACGCAGGAAATTTGGTGCCGTGACTTGGATTGGGGGACCTCCCTTGAGAGATCAACCCCTGTCCTCCTGTCCTTTGCTCCGTGAGAAAGATCCACCTACGACCTCAGGTCCTCAGACCTACCAGCCCAAGGAACATCTCACCAATTTTAAATCGGGTGAGCGGCCTCTTCTTACTCTCTTCTCCAACCTCTCTCACTGTCCCTCAACCACTTTCTCCTTTCCACTCTTCAATCTCTCCCTTCTCTTAATTTCAATTCCTTTCATTTTCTGGTAGAGACAAAGGAGACACGTTTTATCCGTGGACCCAGAACTCTGGCACCGGTCAAGGACTAGGGAAGGCAGCCTTCCCCTGGTGTTGAATCATTGCAGGGATGCCTCTCTGATTATTTACCCATGTTTCAGAGGTGTCAGACCATGCAGGGACACCTGCCTTTGTCCTTCATCCTTAGCGGCAAGTTCCGCTTTTCTGTGGGAGGGGCAAGTACCCCAACCCCTTCTCTCCGTGTCTCTACACCTTCTCTGCCTTTCTGGGGGGCAAGAAACCCCCAACCCCTTCTTCTTCACCCTTAGCAGCAAGTCCCGCTTTTCTAGGGGAGGGATAATTACCCCAACCCCTTATATCTCTGTGCCCTGATCCCTTATTTCCGTGCCCCAAGCTCTTATATCTCTGCACCCCAATCCCTTATTTCCATGCCCCAACCTCTTATATCTCTGCACCCTGATCCCTTATTTCCTCGCCCAACCTCTTATATCTCTGTGCCCCAATCCCTTATTTCCGTGCCCTGACCTCGTATCTCTGTGCCCCATCCCCTTTCCCACTTTTCTGGAGGGTAAGAACCCCCGAACCCCTTCCCTCCGTGTCTCTACTCTCTCTTTTCTCTGGGCTTGCCTCCTTCACTATGGGCAACCTTCCACCCTCCATTCCTCCTTCTTCTCCCTTAGCCTGTGTTCTTAAGAACTTAAAACCTCTTCAACTCTCACCTGACCTAAAATCTAAGCATCTTATTTTCTTCTGCAATGCCACTTGACCCCAATACAAACTCGACAGTAGTTCCAAATAGCCAGAAAACGGCACTTTCGATTTTTCCATCTTACAAGATCTAAATAATTCTTGTTGTAAAATGGGCAAATGATCTGAGATGCCTGACGTCCAGGCATTCTTTTACACATCGGTCCCTCTCTAGTCTCTGTTCCCAATGCAACTCATCCCAAATCTTCCTTCTTTCCCTCCTGTCTGTCCCCTCAGTCCCAACCCCAAGCGTCTCTGAGTCTTTCTAATGTTCCTTTTCTACAGACCCATCTGACCTCTCCCCTCCTCCCCAGGCTGCTCCTCGCCAGGCCGAGCTAGGTCCCAATTCTTCCTCAGCCTCCACTCCTCCACCCTATAATCCTTTTATCACACCTCCCCTCCTCACACCTGGTCCGGCTTACAGTTTTGTTCCATGACTAGCCCTCCCCCACCTGCCCAGCAATTTACTCTTAAAAAGGTGGCTGGAGCTAAAGGCATAGTCAAGGTTAATGCTCCTTTTTCTTTATCCCAAATCAGACAGCATTTAGGCTCTTTTTCATCAAATATAAAAATCCAGCCCAGCTCATGACTCGTTTGGCAGCAACCCTGAGATGCTTTACAGCCCTAGACCCTAAAAGGTCAAAAGGCCGTCTTATTCTCAAAATGCATTTTATTACCCAATCTGCTCCCGACACTAAATAAAACTCCAAAAATTAAATTCCGGCCCTCAAACCCCACAACAGGATTTAATTAACCTCGCCTTCAAGGTGTACAATAGTAGAAAAAAGTTGCAATTCCTTGCCTCCACTGTGAGACAAACCCCAGCCACATCTCCAGCACACAAGAACTTCCAAATGCCTGAACCGCAGCGGCCAGACATTTCTCCAGAACCTCCTTCCCCAGGAGCTTGCTACAAGTGCCAGAAATCTGGCCACAAGGCCAAGGAATGCCTGCAGCCCAGGATTCCTCCTAAGCCGCGTCCCATCTGTGCGGGACTCCACTGGAAATCGGACTGTCCAACTCACCTGGCAGCCACTCCCAGAGCCCCTGGAACTCTGGCCGAAGGCTCTCTGACTCCTTCCCAGATCTTCTTGGCTTAGTGGCTGAAGACTGATGCTGCCCAATCGCCTCGAAAGCCCCCTAGACCATCACGGACGCTGAGCTTCAGGTAACTCACACAGTGGAGGGTAAGTCCGTCCCCTTCTTAATCAATACGGAGGCTACTCACTCCGCATTACCTTATTTTCAAGGGCCTGTTTCCCTTGCTTCCATAACTGTGGTGCGTATTGACAGCCAGGCTTCTAAACCTCTTAAAACTCCCCAAATCTGGTGCCAATTAGACAATACTCTTTTAAGCATTCCTTTTAGTTATCCCCACCTGCCCAGTTCCCTTATTAGGCTGAGACACTTTAACTACATTATCTGCTTCCCTGACTATTCCTGGATTACAGTTACATCTCATGGCTGCCCTTCTTCCCAATCCAAAGCCTCCTTTGCGTCCTCCTCTTGTATTCCCCCACCTTAACCCACAAGTATAAGATACCTCTACTCCCTCCTTGGCAACCGATCATGCACCCCTTACCATCTCATTAAAACCTAATCACCCTTACCCCGATTGATGCCAATATCCCATCCCACAGCATGCTTTGAAAGGATTAAAGCCTGTTATCACTCGCCTGCTACAGCATGGCCTTTTAAAGCCTATAAACTCTCCTTACAATTCCCCCATTTTACCTGTCCTAAAACCAGACAAGCCTTTCAAGTTAGTTCAGGATCTATGCCTTATCAACCAAATTGTTTTGCCTATCTACCCCATGGTGCCAAACCCATACACTCTCCTATCCTCAATACCTCCCTCCACAATCCATTATTCTGTTCTGGATCTCAAACATGCTTTCTTCACTACTCCTTTGCACCTGTCATCCCAGCCTCTCTTCGCTTTCACTTAGACTGACCCTGACACCCATCAGGCTCAGCAAATTACCTGGGCTGTACTGCCGCAAGGCTTCACAGACAGCCCCCATTACTTCAGTCAAGCCCAAATTTCATCCTCATCTGTTACCTATCTCGGCATAATTCTCATAAAAACACATGTGCTTTCCCTGCTGATTGTGTCCGATTAATCTCCCAAACCTCAATCCCTTACAAAACAACAACTCCTTTCCTTCCTAGGCATGGTTAGTGCGGTCAGAATTCTTATACAAGAGCCAGGACCACACCCTGTAGCCTTTCTGTGCAAACAACTTGACCTGTTTTAGCCTAGCCATCATGTCTCCGTGCAGTGGCTGCTGCCGCCCTAATACTTTTAGAGGCCCTCAAAGTCACAAACTATGCTCAACTTACTCTCTACATGTCTCATAACTTCCAAAATCTATTTTCTTCCTCATACCTGACACATATACTTTCTGCTCCCCAGCTCCTTCAGCTGTACTCACTCTTTGTTAAGTTCCACAATTACCATTGTTCCTGGCCCGGACTTCAATCCGGCCTCCCACATTATTCCTGATACCACAACTGACACCCATGACTGTATCTCTCTGATCCACCTGACATTCACCCCATTTCCCCGTATTTCCTTCTTTCCTGTTCCTCATCCTGATCATGCTTGATTTATTGATGGCGGTTCCATCAGGCCTAATTGCCACACACCAGCAAAGGCAGGCTATGCTATAGCACAAGCCACTAGCCCGCCTCTTAGAACCTTTCATTTCCTTTCCATGGTGGAAATCTATCCTCAAGGAAATAACTTCTCAGTGTTCCATCTGCTATTCTACTACTCCTCAGGGATTATTCAGGCCCCCTCCCTTCCCTACACATGAAGCTCGAGGATTTGCCCCCACCCAGGACTGGCAAATTAGCTTTACTCAATATGCCCCGAGTCAGATAACTAAAATACCTCGTAGTCTAGGTAGACACTTTCACTGGATAGGTAGAGGCCTTTCCTACAGGGTCTGAGAAGGCCACCGCAGTCATTTCTTCCCTTCTGTCAGACATAATTCCTCAGTTTAGCCTTCCCAACTCTATACAGTCTGATAACAGACCAGCCTTTATTAGTCAAATCAGCCAAGCAGTTTTTCAGGCTCTTAGTATTCAGTGAAACCTTTATATCCCTTATGGTCCTCCATCTTCAGGAAAAGTAGAATGGACTAAAGGTCTTTTAAAAACACACCTCACCAAGCTCAGCCACCAATTCAAAAAGGACTGGACAATACTTTTATCACTTTCCCTTCTCAGAAGTCAGACCTGTCCTCAGAATGATACAAGGTACAGCCCATTTGAGCTCCTGTATAGACACTCTTTTTATTAGGCCCCAGTCTCATTCCAGACACCAGACCAACTTAGACTCTGCCCCCAAAAAACTTGTCATCCCTACTATCTTCTGTCTAGTCATACTCCTATTCACCGTTCTCAACTACTCATACATGCCCTGCTCTTGTTTACACTGCCGGTTTACACTGTTTCTCCAAGCCATCACAGCTGATATCTCCTGGTGCTATCCCCAAACTGCCACTCTTAACTCTTGAAGTAAATAAATAATCTTTGCTGGCAGGACTATGCTGAATCTCCTTAGGCACTCTCTAATCAGATGTCCTGAGTCGTCCCAATTCTTAGACCTTTAATACCTGTTTTTCTCCTTCTCTTATTCTATTTAGTTTTTCAATTCATACAAAACCATATCCATGCCATCACCAATAATTCTAAATGACAAATGTTTCTTCTAACAATCCACAATATCACCCCTTACCACAAAATCTTCCTTCATCTTAATCTCTCCCACTCTAGGTTCCCACGCCACCCCTAATCCCGCTCGAAGCAGCCCTGAGAAACATCGCCCATTATCTCTCCATACCATCTCCCAAAATTTTCGCTGTCCCAACACTTTACCACTATTTTGTTTTATTTTTCTTATTAATATAAGAAGACAGGAATGTCAGGCCTCTGAGCCCAAGCTAAGCCATCATATTCCCTGTGACCTGCACGTACACATCCAGATCCCCGGTTCCTGCGTTAACTGATGACATTCCACCACAAAAGAAGTGAAAATGGCCTGTTCCTGCCTTAACTGAGACATTGTCTTGTGAAATTCCTTCTCCTGGCTCATCCTGGCTCACAAGCTCCCCCACTGAGTACCTTGTGACCCCCACTCCTGCCCGCCAGAGAACAACCCCCTTTTTCCTTTACCTACCCAAATCTTATAAAACGGCCCCACCCCTATCTCCCTTCGCTGACTCTCTTTTCGGACTCAGCCCGCCTGCACCCAGGTGAAATAAACAGCCATGTTGCTCACACAAAGCCTGTTTGGTGGTCTCTTCACACAGACACGCATGAAAATTACTACTTCAGAATGCATCACCCTTTCCCTTCAACTCAGCACATGTCTCTTACATGTTCGTTACTTGATTGTTTTCCCCATCCTCATATACTCTCCTGGATGCCTCTACCCTCAGGTTCATGGTTTTCTCATGAGTATATTTATTATTGACACATACTCCTAAATCACCTCTCCCAGCAGATTAATTTACCTTCAAGCAATATTTAATTCCCAAAGAGTTTCTACTGGAAAAGGTATACAGTGTCAGAAATTGCTTTTGGAATCAAAAAAAAAAAAAAAGGCTTCAATGTAAATTCTGGCCCTGCCATTTAATAATTGCATTGTTACAAATAAATTATTTAAATGCTCTGATATTCAGTTCCCTGCCTTCAAAATGGAAATACTAATAGCCTCTGTGAGAATTATATGAGATAAATAATGAAAGAAACCTAGTATAATCCTGTCCCTGGAATATGGTGGTTTATCATTAAATGTTTAGTTTCTCTTCTTTGCCTTTCTTCCCTGTCTGAAGTTTCTGTAATTTCCTTAAAATTACCCAACATTCTACATAGTGGCTGATCATGACCCCATTTCTTGAAAAAAGTTTCCTGGGACCGGTTTTGGATTAAAGAAGAGCTACACTATGGATTTAGAAAAACGATTCACTTTTGTGCAGTGCCGCTCCTATCAGTACTCCTGACATGTCCTATTGGTCCCTTGGTTCTGGCCAGAATGTGACATTTAAGAATTAGGTCTATGCCTTGACATGAAAACTTTGGATACTTTACTAGTTCATAATCTGTCCCCGATTGCAGTTGTGTTTGCCATATACTCCTCCTTCTCTCCCCCAGCCCAGGAGCCATGAGATACTGTAGTCAGTGAGAGGGCCAAAATAACCATAACAAAAGAGCATTGACCTGGTTGCATATTCATATTGCAATTCACTCTTTGTACTTCCAATATGCCCTACGATTTGAACACATAAGACACTGCAAACTGAAAGAAAAACTCACCCTATTTGAGAAAAGAAAGGAATTTATACCACATTTGGCTTAGTTTTTATAAAAGGGTGTGTGTGTGTCTGTGTGTGTGTGTGTGTGTGTGTGTGTGTGTGTAGGCATATATGGATGCATGTATATACAGACATATATAGACACATATGTATACATGTAGCTACATATATAGAGACGGAGACAGAAAGAGATGGCATGTTAAAGTACATTGATTTTATACATCAATACAAAACACATATCGAGTATCTTTAAATCTGAACTGCAGTAAAATCCAGGAAGCATCCAGCTTACTTAGTCTAAAAGCATTTCAGCCGTGGTCTTTTTCATTTTGTTGACCCAGATACACATACCTTTCAATATCTTGGTTAATTTCATCTTGACTGAGATTTTCAAAAATGCATTTATTTTCACAGACATAATGTGTTCCTCATAAAATTCATCAACTCTATTTTAGGAAGCACTGCAATTACTGAGAACAGGGAGAGACTGAAAGAAGCCCTAAGTCCTTCTAGCCATATCCATGACTCACTTTTTTGAAAATTCCATCCTATTCTTACTGCTGGGCAATACATAGTTGAATTTTCATAAATATATGGGATTTTTTCAGGAGTCAACTCTGATTCATCGGTCAACTTGTTTATCCCTGTGTGGATGGCTCCATGTTTCCTTGTTATGTCTTTAGACCTGGCGAATCAAGAGTCCATCAACTGTCTGCCTTGAATGTGTGAAAATCACTGTTCCTTTGTTCTCTCATATAAATTTTGTCAGTATACATGTGCACTCACACACACGCATGCACACACAAACACATAAGATAATCATATTATATTTTGACTGAAATTGCATTGGAGTTATAAGTCGGTTTGAGAGGAATTCATTTCTTTTAATTTTGAATTCCCCAATCCATGAACATGGTATTTGTCATTATTTATTTATGTACTCTTGGAAATCTTTTAATTTTTTATGACATTTTTCACAACATCCTTCACATAATCTTTATATGTCTTTTGATTTATTTAGCTCTTTTGAAGCTACTGTTATTGAAAACTTTATGTTCAATTATATTTTCTGACTGTGTATTCAGAAACACAACTGACTTTATATATTGATTTTATATTCTACAATCTCGCTCAACTGCTGAACTATTTTTTTTTTTCATTTTTAAGGGATTTAGTATGTGATAATTATATTGTCTGAAAATGAGAATATATTTTTTCTTCCAGTCTTTAAATATTTTATTTATTTTTTCATTTTTATTCATTGTGCATTATTTTAACACAGAAACAATAAACTCTTCCTTTAAAATAGATACCTAAATGATAAATAACAATCTGTAGAATTTACTTGCAATTAGGCAATAAGCAAAATACAAGTCAGAGACCTAAAACAACTATCAAAAAAATTTTTGTAAGACTGAATAAAATATTTTGTAGAACATTTAGAAGGGATGTCATTGCTTACAAACAACAATTCTGACTTCAAATTTCTCCTTTCTATGTCTTCTTACTTCTAGTGACATCATACACACTTTGGAGAGAAACAGGTACATTTCTTTCAAGCCACCAATCTGTAGGTATCCAAATACCTTACTTCTAATGTTACTTCATTAAATAACTTATTTTTCCATTCCCTTAACAACCTTTTTACTTCTATTAAACCTTAACATCTGATTATCCAACCAAAGTAAAGCATTAAGAAGTGCTCTCAAAAAAAAAATGGCTTATTAACTTCTCGATTTACTGTGACTTTGCCCAGAGCAGATTACTGATAACAGGGAGAAATGGGTATATGGAAAAAAAAGGCAGGCAATAGAACCAGAACTGTGGGACAACCCGAGAACAGATAAGTAATAACAACACTACATCTCCTCTTAGTTTAACTGGTGCAACCAAGAGAAAAAGACCTTCCAAGTGCAGCTTCAATATTTTACTGTTTTCCGGGGGGGAAAAAGAATCTTAGGGTTATTTTTCCCATAGCACCTTTACATTTACATCTACAGAAAGGCTTGGGGGCAAAGCTATGATCTCCTTAGGTTGAAAAGAGGCACTTCTGAAAGGGGACTGCAGGAAGGCATGCAAGGTCTTTTGTGATTGATAACCTGGTTTCCTAACATGCAGCTTTTGTAGAGGAGCAGCGTGAATCCACATCTCAAACACACTTTTGTGTAACTGGTTCAGACCAATCAGAACTGAAGGATGACTTTTTAAAAATTCCACTTTCTATCTGCTAAAGAAGAGAATAAAAAGGGTCATCGTGCTGCGAGGAATTCTTTCCATGGACATTTATCTGCAGCTCCCGTTTAATGTGTGAGTGCACCAGTCAAGATGGCTGAAGGTAGGATTTATCCCGGATAACCTGACCTGACCATGACAGTGCACCTTGTCTAAGTGCTCAAAGCTTCACGAAACTGGGGCAAGCCTATATTAGAGAAGACACTCAATCGTACTAAAATAATACTTTTTAAAATTATTTAAATAAAATGTAATAGTATTTTAACCTTTTCACAAATTTTAGATATGGGAAGTATGGGGGAGGCGTAGACAAAATGTTCTAGAGTTCATTGTCTAATCTTCAACACTGTGCATTTCTTACATTGCCATTGTCAAAAACTCTACCCGGGTAAGTATGACTATTAATTCTCTCCTGCCTATTTAAATCCTCTCTCAGGAAAGATATAATGGGTTTTTATGTACTAACATGTGAAGGGTATATATTTATTACATAATCACCCTTAGGACTATTTACACATTATTGAGAAAGATGACCCTCGTTAAGCTAAAAAAGTGATCTCTACTGTTGTTACCAAATAGGGGCTGAAACAGCTCCAGTGTGTGGCTACTTATTTCTGGCCTTAGATAAGGGGTCAGCTTAGGTGCCCCACACTCAGCCCAGACCATCTCGCAAAAGGAAGAGGACAAGCTGACATGAGTCAAGGTTGCAAATACCTCTCAAGTGGCCTTTGCTATCCTTTATAAGCTTTGCAATGCTGAAGGTTTCTAAAGACTTGACATGAACACTCCTCCTGGGTGTGCCGGTGACAGGTGAAAGAGTAACGTGCTGGCCCTCTGGTTTATGGCAACACGACTACTATCCAATGTCTACAAAAATGACAAATCCCCAATGTCATCAGAATCTAGCCATTCAGGAAACAACTGTATTTGAAGAGAAAGTGGTAAAAAAAAATTGCATTGCGGATTTATTTATCTCCTCATTGGTTGGATGAGCTAGCTTTTAAGGATAGACGGGTCAGTTTACTCATCTTTGTATTCAGTGCTTTACTTGGCACAATACATAAGTCATACATTGGGTTTCAAGTGTGAATTGCTGAATTTTCAAACACAGCAGCTTGCCATGTAAAGCCCTCCCTGGTCTGGTCACTGCCTGGCTCTTCAACTTTACCTCTCACCACCCCTCCAGATGTATCCTGTGCTCCAGATACTCACAGTTCTCTCCAGGTACCATGGGTTTATGCATTTTCACAGGCTGCTGTTTCTGCCTGAAATATACTTTCCTGCTTCTGTGCCCTGAAAAATCCTATTCATCTTTTAAGCTTCTCCTCGTCTGTGAAGACTTCTTTCATTCTCCACAAACCCAGAAGGCCTGATTACACCCTTTGTGGTCCACACCTGTGCTCATTCAGACGTCTGTTACAGGTCTTCTCACACTGAGTTAAAATTGTTTGTTTTCACATCCATTCCTAGGTCTATTCCCCTCTCTCACCACCTCTTACAGACCCCAGAGGACAGGGACCATAACATTTTCATGTTTGTATTTCAACACAGCGTCTGACATTGATCCGTGTACTCACTGGATTTACAAGTAATCATTGACTGCTTAGTATGTTTAAAGTATTGTGCTGGGCATTAGGGCTAAAGTAGAGAGAAAAGCCTTCTCCGGACTTCACAGAGAACGGTGCATGATGTGGCCAGAGAGCAACAGGCTGAGGTCAGATGGTGGAAGGCTATGCCAGCCCACAGCAAAAGTTTGGGGATGTTTTTCAAAGGCAATGGCCAAACACTGAAGAGTTCAACAAAGACTTGACCAGATTTGCCTAATTGTTTTCTGTTTTATTTTATTTTGTTTTGACATGGGGTCTCACTCTGTCACTCAGGCTGTAGTGCAGTGGCACAATCTCGGCTCACTGCAACCTCCACCTCCCAGGTTCTAGCAATCCCCCTGCCTCAGCCTCCTGAGTAGCTGAGATTACAGGCACCTGCCATCATGCCTAACTAATTTTTATATTTTTAGTAGACAGGGTTTCACCATGTTGGTCAGGTTGATCTCTAACTCCTGACCTTCAGTGATCCACCCACCTCAGCCTCCCAAAGTGCTGGGGTTACATGCATGAGACACCACACCCAGCCACATTTGCTTAATTGGAAGAGCATTCTGATAAGCACCACATTAAGGAGAATGTTTTCTTCCAAAGAAGAATGGAGGAAAAAATTGAGAAGGGTACATGGCAAAATCAACTGTGTCTGTTTTTTTATTTTTCCCCTTCAAACTAGGGAATGGGTACACTAGTGTTTTCCACATTATCTATTGTTTATGCAGCTGAAGTGGTTCAAAAAAATTTTTTTTTAAATAGTAAGTTCATTCAGCCAGAATGTGTAGAAAATGAGTAAGGAGGGGTTCACTGTTGAAATGAGAGAATAATTCGCTGTCTATCTCAGGAACCCATGGAAGGATGGAATTGGCTGCAATTAGGAGTGGAGTGGGCAGAAGTAGACACATTAGAGAGTTTTTCAAAAGTAGAACCAACGTCCTGATGGCTTATTGGATAAAGGGCGAAAGGGCTGAGGAAGGCGTTCAATGGAAGATGATGGTACCAGTTACTACAGCAAGGAAATTGGAAGAAAAAAGCTAAATTTGGGTTTGAAGGCTTGTTTAGAGTAAAAGTTAACCCAATCTTGGCAAGCAAGCTAGCTAGCAAGCTAAGAAAGCTAACCCAATTTCTGTAACCCATACAGTGTAAGGTATTACAATAAAAAGAGTCATTTGGTGGTTTTCCATCACTGAACATCTACCTGTTGAGGCAGTTGTCTTTGCATTAAGCCGTTGCACTTTGAAGTGAAAAGTCTGGAGATCTGGGAAAAGAATCCGATTCCTCTGATCAGTATTCTCCATTGCAAAGCCTACAGATGGGAGGGACTACCTGCTAAACTAACCATGAAACTGAATTTGCATCTCTGTACCTGATAAGATGAAGATGCATGAACACACACTGGCAAACTACTCTTCCATGAAATAAAAAGATATCACTTCAAGGGTCATTTTATTTCATTTTGACTTATTTTTCCATAGTCTAAAGAAAACCTTAAGCAATGAGCTTATTTGATAAAAGCATTAATTTTCCTGTTGGCAATGTGTTTGTCTATAATATTAGTACTTCACAAGTATTGTATAAAGAGCTACAGCACATATATTCCACGGTAAAAATTTTCTTTCCAACTTTCATGTGGTCTTATCTTTCGAATAAACTAAGGTAGCCTAAGTATTAACATAATGTTAAATTAAGGCAAAGTGAGAAAATTTCTATACTTAAAAATCTATAAAGCAGAACTCTCTAAGTGTTATAAATCCACCGTGATAGAAGTGTGTTCTGAGGGTTCCCAACTTAATACAGATGAACAAATATGACAGCTTAACAAATTAAAAAGGTCACTAAATATGCCCATGGGATACTGTCTCACTGAAGCAGGGGATGATGGAGAGGAGGACATCGAGTCAGAGCTCAAGGGAGAATTCTTTATTTCAGGAAAACAGTGATCAAGTCTGTACATTCAGGAAGAGGAGAAATTTGAAATCCAAAATGAGGCTAATGTCAGAGTGAATACTAATTGGAAAGTAGAACCTTTTTTTTTTTTTTCATTTTCCTATGTGAACAATTTAAGTTCAGTAACTGAAAAACTTTGTGAGTGACTTTCAAATATAATTCAATTGCTATCTTGGTCTTTTCAGACTACCATAACTAAATATCATAGACTGGATGGCTTAAACAACAGAAATTTATTCTCTTACAATTCTGGAGGCTGGAAGTCAGAAATCAGGGAGCCAGCATGGTCAGGTTCTGGGGAGGGCTCTCTTCCTGACTTGCAGACGGACCTTCTTGCAGAGGACACAGACCTTCTTGCTGTGTCCTCACATGGTATATGCAGATGGAGAGACAATGACTCTTTGTAAGAGGGCATTAATGACTCTTCATAAGAGAGCATTAATCCCACCATGAGTCTCCCCCTCAATAAATTCGTATAACCCTAATTACCTCTCCAAAGTCTCATCTTCAAATATGGTCACATTGGGAAAGGGGTTTCAGCATATGAATTTGGGAAGAATGCAGACATTTAGTTAAAAAACTGTTAATCAAAATATTGCCAGTGTTAGAAATTACTTGAAGTATACGTTAGGATCTGTGAACTTTCTGGATGTTAGAAGAATCTCAAAATACTTGTCCTCTGGGAGAATGAACTTTCTTACAAGAAGGAGTAACCGTGAGACTCGCATCTTGGGATTTCATGCAAAGTTTACAAAATATATTTGGTCATCCTTAACTAGTTTGAAAATGAAGTAAACATGTCTTTCCTGCAATGATTACAGTGTGATTCTTTTTACACTGTTTATTGAGAAAACAAACATTTCAGTTTGACATTTTTGTTTTATCTTTTGAACTAAACTAAACCAAATGTTAGTATATGTATGTGTATAATTTACTTAGAGAACACCTATGGTCCAAGGAAAATGTATTTTTTTCTGAATCACAAGATAATTATTTTCAGAAATCCAAATTTAAAAAGTGTCCTTATCTGTAAAATGATAAAATATTGTAATATTAGTTGCTGGTGTGTGTAAAATAAATACTTCTGTTTTTAAAGTAAATAGAGTCATTGAATCATTAACAAATGGCATGAGGGATTTACCATCAAGGTTAAAATTAATAAGCTGATGTGAAAGTACTAGAAAATGATACGAGACATGTTAAGGCACTTTAGAAGGTATTCCATTGTGAGTACAATGGTTTGCAAGTCTATCACCCACACAAAACTGAACATTCCTCTAGAGCAGGGGACGTATCTGTCATCATAACCCCATCTGCCTAGTGTTCTGTGCAGCCCACCATGGTTCTCCATAAATGCTGGCTGATTTCTGTTGTATAACTAGGCAGGAGAGAAAGTAAAGACACTATTTTTGTTTGGTAGAATTATGTGGGTACCCTGGTCAGGGGGTGAGCATAGACAAGGGAGCCCAATAGGTGTCAGAGGTGACTGGAGTAGTACAAGTGTGAGGTGACATGGAACTTGGCTGTTGGCAGAGAGAATGGAAAGGGAGGGATGGCTCAAACAGAGTCTGTGTGGGGAATAAAAGAGCAAGGCCGATCAAAAACAAAACGAAACAAAGATAATTGTAACATGCAGAGATCCTGAAAAACTGGGAGAAAAATAGAAAGATTGATGAACTAGAGAGCAAGGGTTAGGAGAGGAGATGCTGATTCCCCAATCCTGAGGTCCTCCAAGGTCAGCTGCCGGGAGGAACAGTGTGGGGGCACAAGGAGGGGCTGACTGTGACAGTGACCGGCGTTCAGAGCCGAGCCAGGGGGCAGGCTGCTGAGACCAGTCTTGGTGATGCCTGAGAGTGGGAGGGAGCCAGAGAAGGCAGGAATATGCCAGGAAAGATGGCATTACAGAAATCAATGAAGGTGATTTCCAAAAAAAGGGGATTCCACAGTATAAATACTACCATTGAGGCAAATAAATAAGGAGACAATTTCTGATCAAGCCATTCCCTGTTATTACTTGTGAGAAAGATTGCGGGAGAGACAACAAATTTATGGTGAAAGGGGAGGATAAGTGTTAAGTGGTACTGTCTGTCATTCACTGCCCTCCTTGACCCAGCACTAATTAATCTATCCTGTCTTCTCTCCAGGATAGGCAAGGGCAGGCCTTCTATTCTTCATTCTTTTTCTCCAATTCCTTCCTGCATGCTCTCATCTCTGCTTCCCTTTTCTGGAGAGCACCCCTCCTTGCATAACACCACCTGCCAAAAATCTCACCTTCTCTCCAGCTTTGTCTTCTTCCTGAGCAGTCTCCATCCCTGCCAGGCAGATGTCTTGTGTTCCCTTGAACTTTCCTGTCACTTTTCATCTTTTTTTCTGGTATGTGGAATATTTTGGATGCCTACATATATATTTTTTGTGTGTTGACTTGTTTCCTTTGCTAGACATATGCCTTCTGAGAGAAAAAGCAGCAGATTCAGCTTTTATTACCTCTCCGTGAATGCTTGGGAATGAGAACTGTGCTTCACACATTTCATTTATTCCTCCGTTTAGCAAGCTGAGGGCTGACTTGATGCCAGATGTTGTTTTGGGAATTGGATTCAGGAGTAAAATGATAGGGAGGATCTTGCCCTCTGGAAGGTTACTTTCCATGTTTGGAAGTTAATTGAATAGTTAAGTCATTCGAGTTCTAAAGATTCATTGCAATGGGGATCGTTTTCTAATTATAGTAGTTAAAAAAACATTTAAACCTTCTTCACTGAGATGGCCTTATAATTATCTTCTATGTGAGAGAAGATATCTGAAAGATGGCTTTCAAATAGAAAATTAATGCTTACAATCATTAAGAATATCAAACTGATATTTATGGAGCTAAGCTTACAAACACTGGAGCAGAATGTCCTAGATGAAGAAAGACTCTGGTATAATGAGTTCTTAATGTTTTCAGTGTATCACTGGAAATATAATGTAATGTATCAGTTTAAGAGATAAGCTGCTTTATCTCTCAGGGAGTAACAAAAATATCTAATATGCTCAAGTTACCAATTTGTATGGAAACATTTAAAGCCAATGCATGGCCACAATTCCCATGGCAGACAGCAAGATGCTGCTTTATAAAAATAATGCCTTATAACAAAAGGATGACACAGTGTGTCATTGAGACAATGTGCAACTCAACAGCTACTGCTAAATGCCTCCTGGCAACAAGAGGGTGAAAACTCATCTTGATATTAAGATTAACTGGCATAAGCAAAATTTTGGGAAAATGTAATATTCTATTTCACAAAGACAAATAAATAAATATCGTAACCGCCTCCCTGAGCGCCAGGTTAGCATTTCAAATAACAATGAATGGGATTCCTCTCACTTATTTTACTAAGCAATTTATTGTCCCAGTATTAGGCAAGATCCAAAGTTCTTCTTTTTCTCCTTGGAGAAATGTTCAAGACATTTGTTGATTTCAGTTCTTATTTGATCTTTACAGCCTTTATTTTATACATAAACAAATGTCCATATAACTTTCCCTTGATTGCATCACAAAACATTTAAAGACACTTAGCAAAACCCTACATTCTTATTCACCTACAATCTTACTTTGTATCTATTACAAACTTGATATTCATTGAATATTTCTTGTAAAAAGTCAGGATAAGGCAGATACGTGGAAGGTTTTAAAGTCAAAGAGATTAGAAGATTGGGGATGAATGGTAATTTGGAAAACTATCAAGTGACATAACCTCAATTTAAAAAAGAGGATGATGAGATTTCTCCCAAATTTAATACTGATAATAACCTATATCCACCCCTTTTCAAGTACTGGCGAAGTGTTATGAGTCCTTTTCTGCCATTATATGATTTTACCTTATCCACCACGCACTGATTTTCTTAATTGCCACTAACAATTTTCTCATCTCCTCCACATAATACGTATCCACTGTCTACTGTACAGATGATATTGCGAAAAGGGTAGAGAAACAAATAAACAAAAAATGCTATTATTTCTGTTTTCTGTGCCTTGATTTTTCCCTTTAATGCTGTAATACTTCACCTTAGTACATTTCCTAAGAATTGTAGGATGCCTTAGAGTTTTTAATATAATGTAAATTTCCAAGAAGGAAAATTGGTATGTGGTAATCCCCAGGCTTATCTGAGAAGGGATCCAATCTTTTTTTAAATTGCTGACAATCTCTAAGCCTTACAGAACCCAACTCGGGAAACATTACATTAGAGAGAAAGGAGTTGAGCCAAAGGATCAAGAAACAGTCACTGCTAATGTTGCCTTGCCGTGCCGACGGATTTTTCATTCAATGCTTATTGGAAGATGAAGTTTTTCTTCTGTGAATTTTTAAGACTGTATTGAAGATTTACTTAAAATCTTTCAAAGTTGGATGATGATATCTATGTAAAGGAGTCCAAAAAGTCTAATAAAAAGAATTGCACAATATTTAATTTGTATCTGAATCATTTACAAAACCTGGTACAAAGATTAATCTAAAATAATTATTAAAAATAATTTCCTTAGGCATAATCTTCTAGGTTTATTTGTTAATTTTTCCTTCTTTTGCTTGTATTTATTGGTAAAATTGTTTTGTTTCAGATAAATATATACACCCTTATGCCTAGGAGTTAAATGTTTTGAAATAATTTTCATTCTGAGGAAAAAGAAACAGCAAAAGCTAAAATACTATAAACTGAATAAACTCTAATACTCAAAAACCTCCAAATTGAATACCTCTTTTCTACATTGACATTCGTATGTCAGGAAGACTGGTGAAAGTCACCTTTGCATAATAACTCTCCCAGAACAATTTTAGGAGATAGATTCTGACAGTCTATGAAGGCCAGTAAAAATCACTACTCTTAGGACAATGTCTCGTAAAGACAGATTTAATCTTACAATTGATTACAATTAAAAACAAAAAAAGAACTTTAGGTGTTGCCTGATAGGTGCTTTTTTTCTGCCTTTAATTTTTAATCCAAGCTATTTCAATTCTCCAATTTTCCATCAATGCATATGCCTTCTTTCAGAAATATCAAAGTTAGTCTCTTCTAGAAGATTATCATCCTTTATTCAGCCTTCGAGGAATATTTGTGGAAGGACTAGATGGATAACGGGAAACAACACAGACACAGTTTCTAACCTCGTGAAGGCTTTTGCTGGAGATGAAAGACATTTAATCAAATAATCAGACACATTGACATATACCAAGGAATAGTAATAGATGCTATCCTATGGAGAAAATATACAGTATGCAGGATACAGTGTAAAGAGTATAGCATGCAGTACATAATGTAGAATACATAGTATATAGTATACAGCACAGATATATACTATAGTATATATATAGTGTATATATATACTATATATATAGCATATAGTGTATATACATACTATATATATAGTATATGGTGTATATATATGTATACACTACATGTCCCCTACATAAAATATAAAGGATAAAGGAGTTTAGAGTTTTTTGAGTGTTAGCATTTAATCATTTTAGCTTTTACTGTTACTTTATCCTTTATACTACATGTAATATGCATCCACGATATAGCAAATAGTATATTGTATATTATGGTATATGGTATATAGTAAAAAGCATATAACATATGTGGTATATAGTATATAGCATACAGCAAATAAGCTACAGTATATAGGATATAGCATAGGACAGCTAGGTGAGTGTTCTGAAAGGCCGAGAGTTGAAGGATGCTTAAGAGGTAATTGGGAAAAAAATAGAGAGGTGAAGGAGAGTTCTGGCCAAAGAAAACAGACTATGAACAGCTCTGAGATGATAAAGAATATGGCTCCTTTGAGAGACTGAAAGGTCCTATGACAGCTCCCCCCTCCTGTTCTTCCCACATGCACAATCCCATATGCACATTGCCAATGAGAGGCTTGGTGAAGGGGGTTAGAGGGGAGCAAGCTATCTCTAAGGACCATCTCAAGGGATATCACAGGCCAGATTCCAGCACTGGCCAATGTGTCAGTCAGAGTTATCTTTCAAAAGTCAATCCAAAAATGAGGGATTCCCCTGCTTAGGAACCGTCCAGCCTCCTGTGGCTCTTATGACAGAGACAAAGACCCTAACACAGCCCAGACCAACCTCATGGTAAAATCAAGGAGCTTCAGGGCAGCAGTGGCTCTGCCTACTTGGAGACCTGGTATTTTGTTATAATTCAACCCATGAGTCATATGATCTATGTGGCCTGATTTTAAACTTATGTCTAAGTGGAGATTCTTCAACCTACCAATGAATTTTACAAAACGTAAAACACAAGGAAGTTCCTCCTGCCATGGAAATGAATGTGGTTAACAAGGCCATGATCATCCAATTCCTTACATAGCTGTGTGACTACTTAGAGGCAAGAATTCTGCTTTATCTTTGAATCCCTGATGTTTAGTTTAATGTCTGATACAAAATAACCACTGGAATTATACATGTGGAATTAATGGAAATTTTAAACTATTCAAGGCCAACACTAATTTAAATAATCATATTTTTCAAGGCTTTATTGATGGTCTAATTTAATCTCCAATTTTGAAATGAGCAAATTAATCTGTGGAGATTAAATAATGCTCTCGTCCACATCACTAGAGAGCAGCTCGAGGATTTGTACCGAGTGTGGCTCTGAATGTGATGATCTCACAAGGCACCAGGCCCGTCACTAGAAGGTTCTTAATGAGGATGTTGAGAGCCTGACAACCAAGGTGATACCCATTTCAGCTTCCTTTGAGAAACTTGCTCCGGGTTGCTGCAGAGAGAAAGGTGAGGTGGGGGTAGGGGGCAGGAGGAGAGACTACAGCCTTGGGTTTACTCTTGACAATCCACTTTGTGAATTATCAGCAGACTGGCTTTTCCTCATCACTCATTCCCCACTCCCAGCTGCTTGGAGAACACAAGAACTGAATTGCACAATGCTTGCTGGAGCCAAATAAGAACGAACAAATATTTGCTTTTTAATGCATATGTCATTGCTTTTTGCCATTAATATGGATGCCATGCTTATCAAAATAGTCATTCGAGGTTGGCAGTGTTACCACTAGTTGTAAATCATTTTACCTGAGAGTCAGAAGATATTTTCCATGGAAATGACATTGTACATTGTGGTTATATCTTCAAGCCAGTCCAAAAACAGGATGTTGTTTTATGTGGCACAAATATTTGTGGTACATGTAAAACGTTTCTGGAACAGAATGAAGCAGCAGTAATACGAAAATGAATACTATTTCACCATATGCCAATAAAAGGCGGGTGGAGAGTCTCAAGGAAACATAAGCATCACCTTGTTCCTTAAGGTCAAGCACTCAGAGAGCCGGTGGTGCTCCCCAGAGTCCAGGACCAAGAAGATCTGGAAGCTCTTTTTTTTTTTTTTTTTTTTTTTGGATGGAGTCTAGCTCTGTCGCCAGGCTGGAGTGCTGTGGTGTGATCTCGGCTCACTGCAACCTCTGACCCCCTGGTTCAAGTGATTCTCCTGCCTCAGCCTCCTGAGTAGCTGGGATTACAGGCACACGCCACCACCCCCAGCTAATTTTTGTATTTTTAGTAGAGACAGAGTTTCACCATATTGGCCAGGATGGTCTCGATCTCCTGACTTCGTGATCCACTTGCCTCAGCTTCCCGCAGTGCTGGGATTACAGGCGTGAGACACCACACCCGGCCTGATCTGGAAGCTCTTATGTTAGAGTTGGCAACATTGCAAGAAGTAAGAGAGATTACTGCTGAAAATGTGTTTTCTCCCCCCATTTAACAATGTTAATAGTGAAATAGTGAGAGAAAACCCACGTGCCAACAATATTTATATATAGGACATTTATGTAAACTAATACATTAACAGCAATGGATACCTACATGGAACCTAGCTGCTGCAGTAAAGAGTTGCTACTTTCATTAGAAAAACAACATATTCAAACAGTGAGCAGTTGAAATAACCTATAAAAATATGTATTACAGAATGCTGTCATACACTGAAGACTAAGTCTTCAGGGAATTCTTACAAGGGGCTGGAGTTGGTCTACAGAAAATTCCTAAAGAACGTAGAAACCACTGCAAGATATTAAAGATAGGAGGCTTAAAATTTTCAATAGCTTTTGAAGTGAGAAAACTTCAGTGTAAAACATTTGACAACAAAAACCATAAAAATAAAAATAATATTTGATCCTATTGCCCAGAAGTAACTACTGCTGCTAATATTTTCAATTTTCTTACATTCTCTGTCAGTAATCTCATTGCGTTTCCCTAGACAATCCATTCTTTCAAGATAAATGTGACTAATTCATATTGTGTCATCTCTCCTCAAATCTACCACCTATGTTCAGACTTCCTAACTCTCAGCTAATGACTTTACTTCTTATCTCACTGTGAAAGCAGAAATAATCAGGAAAAACCTGCTCCAATCTTAGGCCAACTCCTTTCTTCAGGTACTGGACCCCATGTCCTTCTGCTCTGAAAGTCTCTGCTCCTTCAATTATATCTTATAAAAGATGTGTCAGCCGGGCACGGTGGCTCACGCTTGCAATCCTAGCACTTTGGGCGGCCAAGGCAGGCGGATCACCTGAGGTCAGGAGTTCGAGACCAGCCTGGCCAACATGGCAAAACCCTGTCTCTACTAAAAATACAAAAATTAGCTGGGCGTGGTGGCGCATGCCTGTAAACCCAAGCTACTCAGGAAGCTGAGGCAGGAGAATTGCTTGAACCCAGGAGGTGGAGGTTACAGTGAGCCGAGATCGTGCCACCGCACTCCAGCATGGGAGACAACGATACTCCGTCTCAAAAAAAAAAAAAGAAAAAAAAAAAGAAAAGATGTGTCTTCCCAGTTTTCTCTCTCTCTCTCTCTCTCTCACACACAAACCGCCTTTAACCCCACATCTCTTCCAGCTATGATGCTATTCCTTTCCTCTGCACCCCTTTACAACATTCTTTTAATGGTTTGTTAAAACTGCTATCTCTGGATCCACATTCAATTTCCTCTCCACCTCTTCCTTGAACCCACAAGTCTCGGGTGTCTGTGCCCAGGGCTTTTTCAAAGCTGTTCTTATCAATATGAGCAGTGACATCTACATGGCCTATCTAATGCTCATCAGAGCACTTGAAGTCCTTTGTGGGCCTGATCTTCCATAAAACAGTATTAAAAATTATATGACTGCATTGTTATCAACACAAATACAACCCAGGCAGGTTTCATTTTTATATATGCACTGTCATTATATTTATATTTTTCTATTGATTTGAAAATAAATAAAAATTAAAATATTTTGGGGGCCCCTAAAAGTATTGTGGGTCCTTAGCACTGTGGTCCCTGATGGCTGCATTAACCCTGATGGCGAGATTTCTGTCCGCACCTTCTTAGACTCTCAGAGGTACTCCACATAGTTATCGCCTTCTTGACACCTGTTAGCAAATGTCTTCAAAGACACTGCACTCTTGGTTTTCTTCCCACCTCATTGGCTGCTGTTTCTCAGTCTCTTTTGGAAGCATGTTCTACCTCTTCCTGCTTTGTAAACATGGATGTACTCCAGGGCTGGGCCTAGGATACCTTCTCTAGCTGCCTATACTCAATAATTTGGTGTTCTTGTCCTATCCCGTGGCTTTAAAAACTGATAAACTCCTAAAATTATACCTCCAGCCGCCATTTTTCCTCTAGACATTATACTCAAAGATCTTAACTGCTTATCTGACATGTTCATTGGAATATTTTATGGGAATCTTAAATTTACCATGCCTGAAACAGGATTCCCCCATCTTGTCCTTCTGCAGTGTTCTGTACCACAATAATAGGCCCTGCCATTTGCTCAGTTGCTCAAGCCAAAATCCTTAAAACCACCCTGGACTTTTCTATTTTTCTCGTACCCCTTACATAATTTATAGCAAATATTATTACCAATCCCTTCAAAACATATCCAGAATCCTTCTGCTGCTGGTGATGGAATAGGACAGACATATAGTCCATTTAATAGAAATAAAGGAGTGATTAGATTTATGGACTAAGGGATAGTAGGAATAAAAACAATGACTATATCTTGGGATAAAGGCTGTGGTGCAAAGAGAAACATGAAAGAGTGTTCTTTTTACCCTCAGACAGATAACGATAATTATGCAAATGTACTGCAATTTAGGAAACACCGAGTTATCTAAATCAAAATAATTTAATCAATATATGTAAGATGTTGTCTAGGCGGAATAATAACATGGAATGTAGATTGTGGATTTGGTATTACAGCAGACAGAAAACTTCTGAACTATAGAAATAAACAATGACAAGGTTAGACCACAATGGTAGCAGTCACTGAGCTGAAATAGACAAGGATCTCTTAGAAAGGCTGGTAAAAAACTGACTGGGCACAGTGGCTCATGCCTGTAATCTAAGCACTTTGATAGGCGAGGCGGGAGGATCAAATGAGGTCAGGAGTTTGTGACCAGCTTGGCCAACATGGTGAAACCCCATCTCTACTAGAAATGCAAAAATTAGCCGGGCATGGTGGGGGTCGGGGGGCTGTAATCCCAGCTACTCGGGAAGCTGAGGCGGGAGAATTGCTCGAACCTGGGAGGTGGAGGTTGCAGTGAGCCGAGATTATGCCACTGCACTCCAGCCTGGGCAACAGAGTGAGATTCTATCTCAAAAACAATTAAAAAAAAAAGTTTGGTAAAAAAACAAGATATTGTCACTTAATAGACTCTAGAAGAAGAGAATGTTTCCTGAGGAGGAGATGATCAGGAGAACCTAATCCCACAAAGAGGTCAAGAATGCAGGTCAGTCAATGGCCTTAAGATTTGTTAAGGTGTGGGCGCACTACTGACTTGAGCAGCTGAAGTTTTTTGATGATGAACCCAGGAAGCAAAGTAAGAACATTAAGGATTTTTCAATGATAAGTATTAATCAAAGACATTTTTTAGTAGAAGAAGTAGCACAATGACTGCAGACAGAAATTAGGTGAAATCAGCTTTCAAGATTTGAAATACAAAGATTTGAGATATGAAGTGCACAATAGCTGAAGAGAGAAAACAGGAAACTTCAAGAAGCAGAAAGGATTGATCTAGACAGTAGATTCCTTAGGAGTCTCAGTCTAAAGAATAAAACGATTGACTACAGTTGACAGGAGTTTGCTTTATTTGGGTGCATAATTCAATTTCTCCTTTCTTCACTCAGAATCAACACAAACTTTCTGATAATGGCTGAGCTGAACTGAAATGAGAGCCATCCGCCTACTTTGGAAGAATGTGGATAAATAGATCAACACTACCCCCATCCTCTCAAATCTTTATACTCACACATCATTTTTAGAAGCCACTGTACCCCTAAACCAGATGCCATCAATACTTATCTCTGTCACAATTTTTCCTTTTGACATATTTTCATCATTTGGCAGAAAAAATTTTAAAAAGAAAAGAAGAATCATAACTGTCGGCCAATAAATGGCTTGAAATCTTAGTAACAAGTTCAAATTAAATTACCAAACTAGTAAGTGAGAACAACATACAATATAATATGGTGATTGTCATTTAATTGCCAACACAATTCACAACGTGCTGTTAATTTTTTTTTTTAATTTTAGCATGGGTAGATATGATTAGGGCTGCTAATACATAGTATGCAATTTTCATCTCAATTGAGATGAGTACTCAGCAAACACTGTGTTCTGGTAATGGACATTTTCAAGATCACCTGATTGAACAGAGAATCAAAAGGTACAGTGCACCAAATTTTTGGCAAAAAATATTGAAGTAACCAAAAGACTCTCTTCCCCTTCCTTTCTGTCACCTGTGTTGCTAAGCTGTTATCAATTACTCTGCAGGCCAAGGCAATTTCACCTGACATTACATATCAGGGAGAGAGGAGAAGGGCAACAGGAATGACATGTCCAGAGCAACCGTATTATAGTCAACTATCAATTAAATTCAGTGTCTTCTGAATTACACAAAATGCTTGCACTTGGCTGATGACAACACAATGTTCATTGTACTTCCACCCTTTCCCTTGGAGGAAAAAAAAATCACTGACATCACATCACTTCCATGTTATGGATTTTCTGTTATGTTACCATGGAAACACCATTTCCTTTCATTATCTCTCTTTCCCACACAAACACACAAAACGAAAATGGAATTACACATTTATAAACACTTCACTACAAACTCCTCTGGTAACTAGGTCCAGTGAGAAAGAACAGGACTCAATTCTTGCTATGTCAGTCACTGGTTTAACCAGAAATCATTCCTCACTTTTCCCCAGTGCAACATACTGTTTTCCATGATCAGGATTATTTCCGTGGATATAATCAGCATTTGCTAGACTAAGATTCTTTTAAAGTTTGTGCTCTTATTGTGTAGTGACAAGAAGGGCATATTTTGCTTTCTTTAAGGTACTGGTCTAAATTCCTCCTATAAATTTTGCGACAGGGAATAAGTTGTTAGACTCATGCTTTCAATTAATTCAATTTTTGAATAGGTAACATATGAAATAATATTTTATTTTTCTTTTGTGTCACTAATACATACTGGTTTGTGTTTTTAGGCCCCATAAATCGTAACCGTGCAGTATTACTTTTGCACAAAAGGTATTTTGATTTTTTTAAATGTCTACTTTAAAATGAATTACTAAAAACAAAAATACAGTAAAACAGATGATATGATACCAATTAAACATAATTAAAAGAATCTCCCTAGCAACATAATCACTCCCTCAGCCAACTCTAACTAGGCATTATCCTCCCAGAACCTTTCTAGCAGATCTTTTCAAGTGAGAAAAGTTCTGTGAAAACATTTTCTGATGACTCAGAAGCCCTCACTCACACAATTTAGCACTTGTTTTTCTTATTTTGCTCTTCATGGACTATTATTTTCTATTTTCTTGCTGAGCAAAGAAACCCCACACAATCAATATAAAGAAAAACTAACTTTGAAACAACATTCTTTTGAGGATCTGTGAGAAGTGGATGGGAAATGAAAGTACGTGAAATATTCAAATTTTCATTTCTAAATAAATGGTAGGTGGAAGATTTTTAAAACTATGATTTATCAAAATGATGGGCCATCAGGCAGATATTAGTTTTGCAAATTAATATTTATATGGTCATAACACAATCAGACCTTAAAAGAGAAATTTCTAAAATAGAATGAACAAGAAGATCTCTTTTGTATGGCTGGAAGAATATACTACAAAATGTTAACAGTGATAATTTCTGGTTGTTGGTATTAATGGTGATACTGTTTTCCTTCATGCTCTTCAGTATTTTCCAAATATTTCAGAATGTGCTTGTTAGTAATGCTTTTGGCCGCAGTAATAGAGAACTCAGCAGTGCGTTAAACATACATGGGTTTATGTTACTTTATTATTTATTATTATTATTTTCTATATTTTTTCATATCAAAAAGTCTGAAAATGACAGTTGTTAGTATTGTTTAAGCTGCTTAATAATTATCTTCTTATTTCAATTTTCCCATTCTTAGCTGTGTCACTTTTTTGCTTATCAGCTTTTGGCTTCATGATTTAAAAAATACTTGCCTTGGTAACAAGGATGATGTCTAATTTCAAGGTGGAGAATAGGGCCCACGAAAATGTTAGCCATTCCTATTGCATTCAGTGCTTCTACCAATGCTCCCTTCAGAGGACTAACTCCCAATCTGATTCTTTTCTTGTGTCTCATTTGTCAGAATTGGATTATAGGGCCATCCAGGGCTGCACGGAGTGTAGAGATAGACTCCCATAATTGGTTTAGATTTATTATAAGCCACTACCTACATATGATGGGAGCAATGCCATCTTGAACAATATCAGGATGCTATTGGCAGGAAAGAAAGTGAGAATGTGTACTGAATAGGATGTTAGGCTGAAAAATGCCCTAACCATGCTCTCCCATCATAAACATCTTCATGTCTTAATCTCTGGAATCACAAACGTTACTTTATATGGGAAAATGTGTTTTTGAAGATGTGATTAGGTTTAGGATTTTGAGATGGGGAGAACATCCTGGATTCTCTAGGTGGCCCCTAAATGCAATCCATATATCCTTAAAAGAGGGAGGTACTGGGAGATGGGAGATTACATACATACACACACACACACACACACACACACATACACACACACGCACGAAAATGACGGGAAGACAGAGCAGAGAGAAGATACAGGTCTTGAGGATTGGAGTGATGTGGTCACAAGTGAAGGTCTTCTGGCTAGAAGAGGCAAGGAACACATTTTCCTGTAGAGCCTACAGAGGGAAGGCAGCACTGCCAATTCTGATTTCAGCTAAAGGACACTGGTTTTGGACTTCTGGCCTCCAGAACTGTGAGAGAATAAATTTCTGTTGTTTTAGGCCACCCAGTTTGTAACTTGTTACAGCAGCCGTACCGCCCCCCACAAATAAAACAATAAAACTGATAGGAGAGTAATATTTTATATCCGCCATATAGTTAGTCTCTCTCCACCACACACAACACACAACTTTATAAGTAATATAAATAATGCTATATAAATATATAATACTATATAAATATATAATACTATAAATAATATAATGCTATATAAATATATATAACTTAATACTATATAAACATAACTTGAAAGCAATAATCACTTTTAGATGACTAATTTTTAAAATTAAATAATTGTAAAGCAAAGCAATAACTCTTCCTATATTTCCATTTCAAGAGAATATATTTTCAGCAAGATGTTGCCTCACATTTGAACATATCTTCCCGTGGTCCACAGGCACCTATAACAAATTTCCACTGACTTTTGCAGAAACTACCTGAGTGTTTTCAAAAGTAGATTTGGCTGTACAGTATAAGTTGTTGATATCTTACCGGGTTTTGATTCATCAGTGTTTTTCTATTCAATCACAACTTTAAAATTAGAAAAAAAAAGTTACAAGTAAAATCAAAACAATTCATGCAAAGCGCAAAAGGTATAATAGGAGGAAATTTTTAAGGATTACATTCAGGAAATGGGAAAAAGATCCTGCTCTCAATTTCCCTACAGAAACAAGTTAAAATAGTAATAGTATCTCTAACCAGCCATGGAAAATAAATGAGGGCTGACCGAATATTGGTTTTCACTTCAAAGTCGGTTATTAAATTTTTTTCATTTTTCCCTGCAGAACGCAACACGACATGGGCTATTTTCAGACTATGAGGTCTCTTTCATCAAAGTCAGCACTAGCTGTGAAGACCACCTGCTTCCAGTAATTACCGTAAGCACACTCAGTGTCTCCGGATTCAAATGACCTATTTCTTGGTGAAATAAGACATCTCTTAACTTCAACTGCGTTACATATACTCTCAACTCTAAATTACTTATTCACAGGAGACAAATGCCTCTAGATCAATTCAAAGCACTGATCTCGCTCAGTGGGCCCATCAGAACTCGAATCCCAAGGCACAATAAGAAAACAATCTGCCGAGTATCCGACAGAAATGAATAGATAGATCTGAAAACCAGCCACATGGAAAACTGCAAAACTGTTGTTCTGAAATTTTTATTCAGAGTAACTTAAGAAGGGAATTAATTTCGCTTTTTTTAATGTAGGAAAGAAACAGACCCTACATTTAGAAGAGTAGGTTGTTTGCTCAATACTTATAATAATTTCATAGCACCAATTAACACTTTCTTGCCTAGCTTCTGTCCTAAACACATGCATCTATAAATCTGCTTGGATTTTCAAGTTTCAAGATTAAAACAAAATATATCTCAGTAATCAGACATAAAAAACAATTACTTAGCTTTACAAATTAATAATTCATATAGAATATAAGCTTGAGGTCCTTAGGCCTAAATTATTTCTCCTACTTGATTCGTTTCTGCATGTGGCATGGTTGGTGTCTCTCTTTGTTTTGAGACTATTTCCTGCCTTAAAATCTGAGTACTTGTCCTCTTTCTTCTCTTCCACCTGCCCCTTGCCTCTTCATTTGCTTCATTTTCTCTTCTGCTGCTGCTGGCTGTTTAAATACTCATAATTTTCTTCCCTTACTTTTTATCACCATCCTACACTCCTCTCCCTTCCCTCATCTTTCCTTCCCTTCTCTTTTCTGTTCATCCCATTTTTAGGCTTCTATTTTTATCCCAATTTTCTCCTACAATCTTATTTTCTTTCAGCGTGATTTTATTATCTATAAGGTAATAATTCCACAATTAGTTTCTCTAGCCCTGATTTAAAAAGTGGGTGACGAGGAGTCATGCCCAAATCATTTAATCAAAACTGAAACGTGCACAGAGAGATTCGTTATGCACAAGATACTAATTAGGACAAGAAACAGAGTGGAAAGACCTTTGAAAGGTCACACCGTGCCCTCCTTTTATTCCAGCTAAGGCTTTTCCTAAATCAGCATTCCGGAAGTATTCCAGGGAACACTCGTTCTGCAAAATGGCTCTTGAAAAGAAGAAGAAGAAGAAAGAAGGAGTTCTATGGCCAAATTAATTTGGGAAAAACTGCATACTATGTCTCCCTCATGAATTTCAATGAACATTAACATTGTAAAAACTGAAACATCTTAGAAGAGAAATATTTATTTGCATTTAACCCAACATTACACAAACTCATTTGACTCTGCAAGATTTTTAATAAGTCATCTCATCTTCAGAAACATTCCTTTGGCCATTGCAGCAACCTTTTAACTATTTTCTTCTTTAAGCATCATCCTTCTCCAATCCACTCCAAACTACCACCAGGATCATCCATCTAAAACATTAATCACACCTCACAACTCGTCTGCCTAAAATAATCCAGTGGCACCAGGCTATATACAAGATAACATCTGTACTCCTCAGTAGAGCACAGAATTTTTAGTAATTCTATCTTCAGCTTCCTTGCCTTCACTTTTTTTGCCACGAACTAGTCCTTAATCCACTCTCCCTCAGGGTACCTAACACTGTAGTATCACCAAATTACCTAAAATCTTAAAAATGTCCACTTACACCTGATCCTTTCCCTTCTCTCCCCTGTCAGGCTATTCCATATTTTTTCCATAGTTCTTATGTATGCTCCTTTTAAACACATTTTCTCGATCACTTTCTTTTATGTCCAAGTAAGTTAGTTGTTCTTTGCCTTGTGTTTCCTCACCACTTTGTAAATATCTCTAGAAACATGAATCCCTCTGAATTTATTGCACCTAGGAAATTGCAAGCCTGTAGACCTGTACTGTCTAATACTGTAGGATTAGCTACCATGTGACTTTTGAGCACATGAAATGTAACTAGTTTAAACTGACATGCTTTTAGCATAAAATACGCACTGATTTCACAAGAAAAGAAACAAAAAACTTATACCATTAATAATTTAAAATATTGATTTTATGTCAAAATTATATTTTGGAAATATTTAAATAAAATATATTCTAAAATTAATTGTGCCTGTTTCTTTTTACATTTTATGCAACTATCAGATATTTTTAAAATTACATGTGCGGTCACATTTGTGGACCACATTACATTTCTATTAGACTTTTCTAATTGTGCAGTTCTAGAAGGCTTGAGCCTTCTTTTATAATTACAGGATCCAGCTATCACTTGAAATCAATACTCAGCAAATGTTTCTTGAATCAATGAAGAAATAAATTAGCAGCAGTGTTTTTACATTGTCTTATACAATAAAATTCTTGCAGTTCGTTAGCATGACATGAGTCCCAGAGGAAAAAGTCTTCCACATGAATGATCTCAATATTTGATGACTCTAAATGATGTCAGTAGCGACAGCAACAATACCCCTTTCTTAGAAAAGAGAAGGAAAGGAAAAGAAAGAAAAGGTCCAAGATCATATTGACCTTTTAAATAAACCTTATACCATGAACTATTCTAGGTTAGGATGCACATAAAATGACATAACAGCCTCTATAACTTTCTATGAAATGCATGCTACCAGACTTTGATGAGATCAGAAAAAAAAATAATGAAAAACAAACTCAGTTGTAAGGCAGCTCAAGTCCTCTATCACTTCCAGTCATAAATTGTCTTTTATGAATCACTTCGAGAGCACAATTCCAGAGAGAAATGCTATAGAATCTCTTGTCTAAGCCTGGACAGAAAATCAAACCCATATGAGGTTGTGTATTAGTGAAAACTCTCTGTGTGACCTTAGGCGAGTTGCCTACTGTCTGTGTCTCAGGATATGCCAGAGTTAAAGCAATAATTCTGAAAACTATAAAGCAATTGAAACAATCTAATGCTGATGATGACGTTCTCAGATATTTTAAGCCATACCCAAATTACTTTCAAACAATGTACATGGTAGGATGTTCCTTTACTTCAGCTAAAAATCCAAGTGGTGACTTCATCTACAGATGAAGGCTTTATCTACAAAAGATTTAATACATGGCAAAATATTTTGTAAATTATTTCCTCTATTCCTAAGTTTTATCCATGTATTTTAAATTTTTGTTAAAGCCATTTGTACTGTTTCCAATTAATGTGGGAAGTAAGAAGAGTAAGCTGCTATTTACAAATAATTTCACTTGAATTTAAAAGATAGTTGGCCAGGCATGGTGGCTCATGCCTGTAATCCTAACACTGGGAAGCCAAGTCCGGCAGATCGCCTGAATTCAGTAGTTTGAGACCAGCCTGAGCAACAGGGTGAAACTCCACTTCTATCAAAAATACAAAAAATTAGCCAGGCATGGTGGTGCTAACCTTTGGTCCCAGCTACTTGGCAGGCTATGGTGGGAAGATCCCTTGAGCCCAGGAGGCAGAGGTTGCATTGAGCTGAGACCGCGCCACTACACTACAGCCTGGGCAATGAAGTGAGACCCTGTCTCAAGTAAATAAATAAATACAAGATAAACTGGTTTTTGTTTTTAGCTATTTTCTCTCATGCAGTTTTTGTGGTAACTTACGTATAAACTAACTTTTTCTGGAAAAAAAAATATTGTTCTTTATTTCCTTAACTGAACAATAAACTCTCCTGAACTTGGTAGAGCATAAGTGAGTGGCCACCAAAGACTGCTGCTATCATGACTACAAGCATCATGGCTGTGGAAACCAAAGTTCCTATGGAGCTCAGCAAGGGTGGAATCCAAATTTGCCAATGGCTGGCCCATTAGAAACAAGAGCTATATAGTCAAAATATTAATATAGATATTGATAGATATTGATAATCCTAACATCCTATATTAGGATTAATATTCTCCTAATATTTCTCATACATTCTCCTAAATTATTATGGTCTAATATGAAGAATGGGGAGAGAGAAAGAAAACAAAAATAAATATTATGGTGATTTATTTTATACACGAAATCATTCCATAAAGGGATGATGGAATCCAAACATCTACTCATTTTTTCCCTAGACTTGTATCAATAATATAGTTATAAACTCAGATTAATCAATTATAAGGACAGAAGAAATGATAACATGGACATTATATTAGTTTCCCGTAGCTGCTGTAACAAATTTCTACAAACATGGTGGCTTAAAACAACATGCATTTATTCTTTCACTGTTCTGGAGACCAGAAGTCCAAGATCTGTATCACTGGGTTGAAATCAAGGTGCCAACAAGGATGGACTCTCTCTGGAAGTTCTAGGAGAGAATGTGTTCTTTATCTCTTCTGCCTTCTGTTGGGGGCTGGCATCCCTTGACTTGTGGCCACATCACTCTGATCTCTTTCCCCGTGGTTGCATTGCTTCCTCTTGTTCTGCTTGTAAAATCTCCCTTTCCCTTCCTCTTATAAAGTACTTGTGACTGCATTTAGGGCTGACCTTGACAATCCAGCACAATCTCCCCTCAAGATATTTAATTTGATCCTGTCTCCAATGACTTTTTTTCTTTATGAGGTAACATTTACAGGTTCTAAGGAATTGGGACCCAATATCTTTGTGTGGCTATTATTCAACCTTCTACAGATCATAAATAGTTTAATTCACTTCCCAACTTCCTTGTCAACAATCAACTTCTGTGAGATTTGTCCAAAATATATTTCCAAAATTTAAACACCTTGTAAGCATTTTTAACATCTTTTTAAATTTTGAAAACCTTTCTAGTCATGGCCATTCAACCAATATTAACTGAGCACTTACTATAGGTCAAGCAATGCTAACAGTATAGAGTTTATAAAAATATTTATTCAAGCAAAGTGGAATCTTAGTTTGAAAAGTCAATAGCATACATTTCCTCACGTTAACTGTTCCATCAGTGCTACAGACTTTGAAAAATGGATCACCGGATAAGGCTTAAAGTAAATATATTTTAAGTTTTAAAAATCATATGATCAGTTTAAGCTTTAATTTAAAGCTAAAAGCCCTGCCCCTCAATTACTTATGCGGTATTTCATAAATACATTACAGAACTGCAATGTGAAAGGACTGTGATCCTTTCCTTCTTTTCTCCACAGAAAGCATTTGTTAAATTGTCCATATGTTCAGTTCCCTAGGATATAATAGGTAGTAAAATGAAGTTTCGCTTAGTAAATATTTGTCTAAGGTTGGGATTAGATGTATAAAATTCACTCATGTATTTATCCAGTGAATATGTATTAACTGTCTTTACTATGATAGGCATTTGCCTAGGTGCTTGGCTGACAATGACGCCATCAAAGGGTGTGGAGGTAAATGAAGGGAATTGCAGCACAGGGGAACAGATGTTTTACAACAGGTGTGAAGAGCAGGTACTAGAGAGAGTAGTCCGGTAATATGGAACTCAGTCTTGGGGGCCGGGGGTGGTTTCTGTGCAGAAGTGCATCAAGCTGAGGCCCTAGGACCTGCAGGGATAATCCAGGTAAGGAATCTGAGGAGGAGCCCTCGCAGACTTAAAGATTTTAAAACTTCAAGCATTTAAAAAGGGCTGAGCTAAGAAGAGAGTTATTGGAACCTGGAAGTACTTAAAAATGTCTGAAACTCAGTGCGGGAGAAGGGGAAATGAACAGCCTTCATTTCATGAAATTCCTACTGAACAGAAAGGTCATGCCTCATCTTAAAAAGGTTCTTACTCTCTTATGTGAAGAAAAGTTTGGAAAGGCAAGATTAGGAGAATAACAATGAGTCAGAAAACTATATGAGCTATGTAGTGGAGAGGGGAAGGTGAAGACCGAAAGTATGTAGAAAACATTTTGCATTAGAGGAAGATTTAGATGTATAACTGTTCAAGACTTGGTCATTGTTGGATACGATGAGAGCCAGGGAGAAGAAGAGTCAAGCATGACAGCAAGATTTAAGGTTTGGACAAAGGGGTGGATAAAAATACAGTTCACAGGGGGAAAGGTATGCTGGTGGTGAGAAGTGGGGAGTGTGATATTAAATTCAGTGTGGCCTTCAAGGCCCGTTGAACCTACTGCCCATGTAGGGCCTCAGCACAGAGATGCCCAAACATGCTGGTGGACAGATACAACTGAATTCCTATAGAGTTCTAGGCTGAACATATCACATATTGATGTTTTAAAACCGGGGTGTGGGGGGGCTGGCAGTAATTAAATTCACAAAGCTACATTCATCCTGTGTGCAACATAGATAGCAAAATGATTTGTTACCTATTACGTCAGAATACTGTGGCTGAAATTGTATTCATTAGACACTTGATTGCATTTTCTAAGGAAAATACCTTAATATAAGAATTGTGCCAATGGGATAGCACATTCATGATACTAATGATATTGTTTAAAAGTATGCTTTTTAAATTAATATTAACATCTGATAAATCTTTACCTTTTAAGATATATTTTGTGGGGTAATTATTTTCTGGAGCTGTTAATAAGCTAACTAAGTAATGTCAGTTTCTGTCAAAAATATTGTGCAAGTCGTGTACAACATTAATGGAATATTCACAAGTATTATGCACAGAGAAAATATCCAACTTCAGAATTTCAGGACTTTTCTGTAATTTTTTTCTACCTTGCTAAGGAATCACTCTACTGGAGGCATTAAATGTACCTTAAATATTATATTTATGTGGCACAATATGAAGGAAGGTGAGCTAGTGAGAAGAATGCATATAGTTGGAAAAATAAGTTTAAATATATGGACAATATTGTTTCCAGGGCATGGGGGTAAAAAAACTCCACAACTCGTCTCCCTGCATATCTTCCCCTCCATCTCATTCATTGACTGTTCTCACCACCAGGGCCACCTCTTGCTTGGATTTTGTGGCTTCCTAATCCTCTATTACCATTTCAGATGTTGCTGGTGAACATAAGGGTGTTGCTTTATATTCTGTGAGAAAGAGTTGCTGTTACTTGATTTTGGTGGGAATTGTACTTGAACTTGAAAAAATAACCTGGTATCTGAAAATACACATGGGCATTTTTCTGTTTTATATTTCATTCTCCTGTCATCTTCCATGGCATAAGATAGACATATGAACCACTGCTGAACCACCATGAACATCTGTGGGCTCTGTGCACCCAGCACTTAGGACAGCTGGTTTACCAACTGGGAAGATTCAGCTTCATTTGTGGTGAGCCAGCTTCCTTGACACTCTGCGGTGCCACTGGCAATGATAACTAACCAAGGCCATGGTTTACCAGGGTGCCCAAGTCAAGGCAACGATGAGCCTTCCCTCTAATCTGAAAAAAAGGACTTGAACCTAACGGTCATGTCATCCTTACAAAGTCAAGATGGAGTCTGTGTTAAAATAAAAAAGATGGGACCATCACAAAATGTATGAATTTTATTTGTTCTGTGTTTCTTATATCAGTTAATTATTATTCTCTCTTGGGCTCTCTTTTACCTGCAGTGAACTAGCACATAGTAAAAGTTTTGTCAATGCACTATTCTCTCACAAATGCTTCCTTTGTAGTCTTTCACCTTGGACCAATTTACGCACCACTGTTTTTTAATCAAACTAGGAAAATTATGGCCAGGACCCTGTTTTCCATCTACCTTCCATGATACAGACAAAAGAAAACCATAGTAATTTTCTCCATAAAACTTTCAATGACCCCAGCTTACTGGTTAGTAAATAAAGTTAGTTTAACCTTCTCCTAATATCAAGGACTTGTATATAATGTTCCTCATCTGTCTTCCTGGCCTTCTCTCTTAGTAACTCTCACCATGAATCTTAGGGACAAGTCACTGAACTACTCAACAGTCTCGAAACACATGTGTGCAGTTTACCTGTACTTCTACTTCTGCTGCCTGCAATTCCCTTCCCCAGCTTCTCAGCCTACCACAAGCCCACTCTTGCTTCAAGATTCAAGCCAAATGTTACTTCTTCCGTAAATACATTCATGACTCATACATTGGAAATTGATTTTATGTTTGAGCTTGCAAAGCCTTTGCTAACATCTCTACATTGTATTTAAACACACACACACACACACACACACACACACACACACACACACACACGTATATACAGGTTTTTTTTTAATTTAACAGCAGACCTTTAAATTTTACTTATGTTAATGTTCCGTATTTTGACTCTAAGTAGTTCTGAAGATCCATGACATGTATTTGTTATGGTTCTGACAAAGCACAGATTCAATCATCCACTGCTGAAAGAAGACAGATGCTGGAATGAGTTTCACAATGAGTTGTGAGCCCAGCTTATGCCTGAGTATTCCAAAAGCGATGTGCTCCAGACAAGGTCAAATGCAAAATTTGGAGGAAAAATGATATGCAGTATTAATACTCCTAAATCATAGAGCATTCCTTAGCAAATATAAAAGTAGCAAATTTTCATTGAGTGTTTAGCATTTGCTAAGGACTGCTCTAGGCACTTAAAGTATAATATTAATCCTCATAATATTTTTTAAGATAGGTGTGATTGATATACCCAATTTTCAGATAAGACAGCTAAGGAAAAGAAGACACAAAGCTGTAAATAGCAGAGACAAGATGTGAACCAAGGCCATATTATTTCATAGATTGCCCTTTAACCAACAGACTCTGTTGCCTACCTATGAGGTGGAAATTATGAATAGTTTCCTATGGGTGGTGTTTACAATCTATCTCTACCTTTCTTGGGTACAAAGATCATGCCTTTTGGTTTCCTCAACAGTACCCAGCAGTGTCCCATGTAAACAGCAGACTCTAGTACTAACAATAGGCTTTACAACTGTTATGAAATCATAGTTATCCCAGAGTAACAGCTGTTCACTAAAATGCTGAACTCCAGTAATTCTTCTCAACCAAGAAAAATACCTTATTCACTAGTAATTCTGCTTTCCTCTTAATTGCAAGGCTACAAATTCTCATTTGCCTTGGGGATCTTCACTAAAATATTTAATACATACTGGAAACATTTAGCTCCTTCATTGTAGCTATGTAAAATAAGCATTGGCACAGAAATTGCAGCATTAGGAGATATCGTTACTCTACACATTAGGGACCACTTGTCAGAAGCAGAGTTAAAGTAGATTTGAAACAACTCCAGGCTGCTTAGGTCTCTAGTGCTCTGAAGTATTTGAATGTTCACTCTTTGACCCATGGCTGTTTAGATCATTTTGATTTTAGGAAAAAAAAAGAATAATGATTATAGAGCCTGTTCCAGAGGAACTTATCCCTTCCGTTTCTTTCATTCTACATGGGCTAAAATGCACTTCATTAGCGTTCAAGTTAAGGCATGAAGATGGCAGTGTGACCAAATGTCATACCAATGTGTCCTTTGTGCCCTTGATTAAAACACTGGGGAGGTTCATGAATATGTTGGAAGTGGTAGGGAAATTATTAATAAAAAAATTCGGATGAAATACAAATGGGCCATGAAAACCACAGTCCCGTAACAGAAATGCTACTACTAAATGTAGCCTATTTATTTTTCTTTTAAAACAAACTGCAAATATATCGGCCTTGGTTTTAAATTAACTACTTCATTAGGTTAAGAAATTGCTTTTTCATTGCTAGCAAGTGGCTCTTCATCAGAGATAGTATATCCAACTGCCAGCAAGTCAAGGCTTAACTATTTAAACTGCATCTATTGGAGGAAGAAAAATTCCATATGGTTAGAAGCTCCTATTGGATCTGTAACCACTCAGGGTTTTACATATGTAGCTCAAGAAATATCTCCCTGGACAACATCAGTATTTATTGGCTGGAAGTTACTCTCCGTGGAAGGCAAATGGAATAAGAATGATGAATTGTGCTTTACTACATGGAAATGGACAACTTGGCAAATTTTTTTAATTACTCAGCAAGCCAACCATTTTTAGTAGTAATAAATTATCTTAAATATTCTCTGAGTTACAGGTAGATCCTCAATATCTTTGAGCTAAACAGCTCACATGAACACCTCCTCTGCAAGCCAGAGTATGGAGGTGAGGGTGGTATCTGCAAATTTAATATGTGGTTCTCAGATACAATTCTGGGGCCTGTGTAGACCTGCCTAGCCTTGCTACAAAGCAAAGCAGTTTTGACTCCTGTAGGAAAGACAGGCCATGCATTTGAACTAACAACCTGAAATAGATTTGTATGTCATAAAATTCAAACCCTTTGAAATGATCTTTTTGACATTGTTTTTTATTTTTGTTGCGTCTTCAGAATTAGGGGCTCACAGGAATTCCTTACTAATTATGAAGGTATTCTTTATCCTTTAAAATTTGGAAGAAATATCTTCTATGTTCTTTTGCCTTAGATTTAGGATCCAACAGGCTCTATATGGTAGGCTTTAATCTTTGGAGAGACATTGCTTTTAATACAAGCCATGTATAAGTGGCACAACAGTTATTCAGATTGGCAATTACATTGCTTTTTTGAAGTTAACTGCTTAGGCGTGCTACAGGCTTGATTTTTCAAGGAGCTGCTACAAATGTTCACTTCAAGAATGGGTGATTTTAATGAGGTGATTGTGACAGATGCTGTCTCTTTGAATCCTGTTCTCGAAGGGGAGGAAAAAGAAAACCTTCTCTTCTATGTACCATGTTTAGATATTATCCAAATGGCAACAATAATGTGAATTTGAAGAGGCCGTCCCAAATTCTGCATTTGGAAGAAGCTGAGAGGCGCCCGTAAACCCATGCTTTGCATTTAGGAAAATGTCAAAAAGAACATGCAAAATGCCCTTATTTCCTAAAAATACAGCATAACAAGGCTGAGCATAATGGTTCATGCCTGTAATCCCAGCACTTTGGGAGGCTGAGGTGGGAGGATTGCTTGAAGCAAGGAGTTTGAGACCAACCTGGACAGCATAGGGAGACCCAGTCTCTACAAAAAAAAAATTAAAAAATAAATAAAATAAAATAAAATAAAATAAAGTAGTCAGGTGTGCTGGCTTGTGCCTAAAGTCCCAGCTATTTGGGTGGCTGAGATGGGAGGATTCCTTCAGTCCAGGAGGTCGAGGCTGCAGTGAGCTGTGACCACCCCACTGCACTCCAGCCTCGGAGACAGGGTGAAACCCTGTCTCGTCAACAAGCACTAGCTCTCTTTAAATACCATCAGACCACAAACCAGTGAAAATAACAAGTATGTGTCCCCAAAGAAAAACTCAGGATGACAGAAATAAAACAGAGGTGACATTGAGCCTTGTAAGAACAATATCCTGCTTTGCAGTCTAAATCTGAATTTGTCAAGCAAACCATTACAAGAAAGTAATTAGATTCTATTGAGGGATGAGTAGTGGCTTAGTTTTTCCTTTTACCATTTATAGGCAGCTGTAGGAATTTATGCCTAAAACCTCTAATTGCTTTCTTGATGGTGCAAATAGAATGATTTTTATAACTACAGTTTTTACTACATAGTTCTCACTGACCAGATGTTATATAAAGGCAGTCTGTTTCTTAAAGTGCATTTTGTTTCTGTAGGAGTGCACATTAAACAAGAGAATCATCTTGAGGGAGGTGTTGAAAAAATGACATGCCTGGGTCCAAGTGTCAGAAGGTCTTAACTGTGTAGGAGTGGTGGTACCTAGAGGTACTTAGATGGGCTTTGGGTCCGCATATCCATATCACTTTCCCATGTCTCCCCAAATCAAATCATAATAATTAATTCTAAGTACTAATCTTGTATACAGTTTGAAATTTGAAACATTAGAAAATGTTGCTATTTTTACTAAAATGAAACAATCTTAGCAACAAAAATGTGGATGCTATGCAAATTCAGCTTAAATATCATGTAGCAGATCATCCTTCCCCTTCCCTCACCTTCTAACCAGGTTACTGACCCTCAGCACCTCCCGCACGGAAATTCCAGAGCAGGCCCTGTAAGCAGGAAACAGCTAAGGACATTTTAGAGAAACACTCCAGGCAATTCTCTGAGGCAGCGTCTGCGATGCATTCTAACATTTTATCAGTTCTGTGCTAGCCACCTGCTGCACACAAACTGTTGAGAAACACAGCTGCAGTTTAGTCTATGAAACTAAGATTTTTTTTTTTTAACAAAAAACCTAAATCACATAGGCTCCCCCCACCTTTTTTTAAGCACACAGATGAGAGCTTGGTACTAACGGTGCCAAGCTGCTTGGAGAAATGCTGTAGAAGGTACCATTGGACAAAACAACCCAGCAACTCTGGAGGAAAAAAGAAATGCACACTTTTGTCCTTGACCCGAGGGTTGTGCCATTTACATATGAAAAAGGCAAGATATTTATTGCATAGGAAAGACACTGAAAGAAAGATGCCACTGAGATCATATTAAAAAGGTACAGCTTTCTCGATAGGGATACTTTTCCAGAACCAGAACTCATGTTATTTTTTTTTTTTTTTCCTCTGCCACGGCCTTCGTGAGCACCTTCAGCATCTGGTCCTGAAAGCCTTCATTGTACACATTCTTGACCAAATATAAGATAGAGGAAATTTGTGACTGTCCTATCAGGCCAGCCTTTCCTTCTGTCCAACGGTGTATCTACAAGGGCAGCCAGCAGCTCTGTGTCGTTAAACACAACTGTCTTTTTAGAGGAATCTCATGGTCTGGAAGTTAAGGTATAAGGCCAGAGGCTAGTTTATTCCTTCTTGCCTAAACTAGCCTCTGGCCTTATGCCTTACCTGGGCAGCTGCCTTCTACCTGCCTTCCACAAGGAATCTCAGATATTCAGAATGATTCTCCACTGTAGCTTCATGAAGGTATTACTGAGTCTTCTCATCCCACTACCCTGTTACAAGGCCTGCTATAAGGTCAGCCCAGAATGACTCCCCACTGTGGCTTCAGGGAGGTGTTACTGGGTGTTCTCACACCACCTTCCTGCTATAAGGCTTCCTCCTGCTTTTTGGAGCCTTACTCAAAGACAGGGTGCCTCCAATCAGGACATTGTGACTTAAGTGAATTTAAGTATCGCTTTGGTCCAAAAGAGCTCTATTTCCAAAATTTGACTCCTGCTCAGCTTAAAGCCCAAAGTCACTAAGCCCTTTGGACAACCTAATTTAAAAATGTCTGGCCATCCTGCAAGAGGAGCTCCACCAGTCTTGGCCTTACCCATTTCTAACCCACCTCCTTTTCCGCATTGGTCTACTCTTGAAGTCCCAGTGCTTCTTGCTGCCAAATCTGTAAGACTTATGATAACACCTACAAACCACTTAGATTTTCCTGTTTCTCCTTAGTCTGGGGAATCTGTTTTTAGTTTGTAGTTATAACATTGTTAATTAAATAGTTGCCAATAACATAAAAATATGTATTGGTTAATTAAATGGGGATACTTACTATTCCTAGTGGGACTGTTACATTTCAACCAAGAATCATGAAAATCTTTTTTCTGTCCTTCTTTCACTGCAACATTCAGCAATTTGATATTAATTCAGTTTTATCCAGAGGAATCTTGAATGTAATAAACTAGTGTTGTGGGTCCCTTGTTTTAGAATGGTACTCATAAGCCCTTTAATACACAATTTAAATAATTTTTCTTAACAAAATAGGCAATTTTATCAGCAATTTATACTGCCTCAAGCTCTAAAAAATTTGGAAATAAAATAGTTATGAAGAAAGCTTTATACTGCATACTCTTTTAAATATTGTTAATTTTGTTTGACAAATACATATTACAAGATGCTATTAAATAAAAACAAATACATACACTGCAGAAATTATTCCTATCCAGTCTTACCAAAAAGAATTTTAAATATTAATGCTGTTTGAAAAGTAATACATGCACATAGTAATTTTTTTTTTTTTTTTTTGAGACGGAGTCTCGCTCTGTTGCCCAGGCTGGAGTGCAGTGGCGCGATCTCGGCTCACTGCAAGCTCCGCCTCCCGGGTTCACACCATTCTCCTGCCTCAGCTTCCCGAGTAGCTGGGACTACAGGCGCATGCCACCTCGCCCGGCTAATTTTTTGTATTTTTTTAGTAGAGACGGGGTTTCACCATGTTAGCCAGGATGGTGTCAATCTCCTGACCTGGTGATCCACCCGCCTTGGCCTCCCAAAGTGCTGGGATTACAGGTGTGAGCCACCCCGCCCGGCCGCACATAGTAATAATTTGAAAAGCACAGATGATTGTGAAAATTACATCTCTTTCCTACTCCTGATCTCCAGCCATCTGTCAAGTCTCTTAGGGGGTTACCACTATTAATAGTTTCTTGTATATCTGTCTAGAGATTTTTCTGCTCACTTGGAAGCATATCTACTTTTCTTCCAAATTATTTTAGAGATAGCTTATACATGTATAAATACATCTGTCTGTACACATACATACATACATACATACATATATGTACATATATATGTAAGTAACATTTATCTGCATCCTGTGGTGTTCTGTTTTTTTAAATAGGCATACATTAAATATCTCATTCTGTTTAAAGGCCACATAGTATTCTACTCTATGGGTTCCCAGTAGTTTATTTAACCTGTCCAAAACCTGAACATCCTCAGTGATGGGCGTTAGGTGGTTTTCAGTCTTTAGCAGTGGATATCCTTATACACATTGTTCACAAACAAATACACCTACAAGATACATTTTTACGAGTAGAAATCACAGTGTTAGTTATACATTTTATATTTTAGTGGATAACGATACATTGTCATCAGCAAAGCTTGAGAGTTTCTTTACTCCATACCTTATAGAAAATATCGAGCTACAAAACTTGTTTTTTAAAAATCCTTTGAAAATCACTCAAGTAAAAACAGCATCTCTATAGTTTTAACTTGCATTTCACTTATTAGGAGTGATATTATGTATTATTTAATATGTGTAACAGCTACTTGTATTTCCTTTTTTAAAAATAAACTTTTAATTTTAGAATAAGTTTACATGTACAGAAAGTTGCAAAGACAGTATAGGCCTCCCATATACTCCACACCTGATTTCCCATACTACCGACATCATACATCCCTTGACAAAGGTATGATACCTTTGTCAAAATTTTTGAAACAATATTGATATATAATTATTAGCTGAATTATTGATATTGAATATTGATATATAATTAGCTGAATTATTAACTAAATGTATTCAGATTTTTCTGTTTACATAATGTCCTTTTTATCTTCCTGAATTATATCCACAATATGACATTATATTTAGCTGTTATGTTTCCTTATGTTCCTCTTAGCTGTGATAGTTTCTCAGACTTCTCCTGTTTTTTTTTTTTGATTTTTTTTTTTTTTTTTCAGATGGAGTTTCACTCTTGTCACTTAGGCTGGAGTGCAATGGCGCAATCTCGGCTCACTGCAACCTCTGCCTCCTGGGTTCAGGCAATCCTCCTGCCTCAGCCTCCCAAGTACCTGGCACTACAGGCATGCGCCACCATGCCCAGCTAATTTTTTAAAATTTTTTTCTAGTAGAGATGGGGTTTCACCATGTTGGCCAAGATGGTCTCAATCTCTTGAGCTTGTGATCCGCCCACCTTCACCTCCCAAAGTGCTGGGATTACAGGCATGAGCCACTGTGCCCGGCCAGACTTCTCCTGTTTTTATTTAATGACCTGGACAGTTGAGGAATACTGGTTGAGTATTTTGCAGAGAGGTGTAGTTTTATCTGGTTTATTTAAAGTTTGTTTGTTTGTTGGCAAATAATATGCCTACATGTGGTTTTTTGGTGATTTTCCAGTTGTTTTTCTCCGAGCTTCCTAGTTTGACATCTGTCAGTTTTGGAAAGCACTCAGCTATTATTTCAAACATTTATTCTTTCTCTTTTTCTTCTCTTCTGATATTCCAATTAAGTACATGGAGGTTACAACTTTTATTATTATCCTACTGGTCTCTGATGTTCTGTTCTGCTTTTGTTTTTGTTTTTTTCATTTTTTTTCTTTGCATTTCAATATTAGAAGTTTCTTAGTCTTTAGTATTTAGTAGGTCTGTATCTTTAGGCTGTGACTCTCTTAAGGGTGTCTCTAGTGGAATAGTTTTTCCCCCTCCCTGCTTCCTATTCCCCTCCCTGGATATAGCATTCCAGATGTATTTCCCTAAAGTCTTGATTCTTGTTGACTATGAATTTTTATTTCTCCCTCATGTGAGCCTAGGAGACTCAAGGGGCTTGCTCCAGTGGGAGAAATGACTTTCCCCCAGCTAGGATAAGGTCCTAGGAAGGTCTTTGTTCTGGAGAAGGCTCTAGGTGTATTTCACAATGATTACTCTTCCCTTGCTCCAGCAGAGCCATCCGGGAGTTTCACACATCTTCACTGGGAGAACCTTCTGGGGTTCCTGGGGCTCAAGCCCACAGAAGTTTAAAGGTCCCCCTAAGACTAGAATCCTCAGGAGTTTCTGACCCTTAGGCCAATCCACACTGAAATTCTAGCTTTGTGGAAGTTACCTTTTAAGTGTTATTAGCAATCTGTGGTTGCAGTGGCTTCTGCCCCAGATGGGCGGATCTCCTCTGTGTGTCTTTGGATGTGCCTGTGTCTCTACATTTTGGGGACAGTGGTTTGCCTTGTGTGATGGGGTCAACTTGATTGGATTGAAGGATACAAAGTATTGTTCCTGGCTGTGTCTGTGAGGATGTTGCCAAAGAAGATTAACATTTGAGTCAGTGGACTGGGAGAGGCAGACCCACCCTCAATGGGGTTGGGCACCATCGAATCAGCTGCCAGAGAGGCTAGAATAAAGCAGGCAGGAGAAGGTGGGAGAAGCTGACTTGCTGACTCTTCTGGCCTTCATCTTTCTCCAATGCTGGATGTTTCCTGCCCTCGAACATCAGACTCTAAGATCTTCAGCTTTTGGACTCTTGGACTTACACCAGTGGTTTGCCAGGGGCTCTTAGACCTTCAGGGACAGAATGAAGACTACACTGTTGGCTTCCCTACTTTTGAGGTTTGGGGGTTCATACTGGCTTCCTTGATCCTCAGTTTGCTGATGGCTTGTTGGGGGACTTCGCCTTTTGATCATGTGAGTCAATACTCCTTGATAAACTCCCCTTCATATATCCATCTATCCTATTAGTTCTTTCCCTCTACAGAACCCTAATACAACCTGCAATCTCAGCTCTCTCATGGGTCTAATAGAAATTGTTGATTTTCAGTTTGTTTAGCTTTTTCTCGATAGAATGAGAGTGACAACCCCCAAATGCTTTATAATAAATACCAGAAACCAGAAGTTCCTGCAATTTCTTTTTAATAAACTGTCTTTGTCATTTGCTCATTGTTTAGTTGTTACAGTTCTCTTTTTCTTAAATGAGCTCTTTATATATTAAGGAGAACAGTCCTTTCACTGTCATATGTGTTTTAAATATTTCCTTTCCCATTTTTTTGTTTCTTGTTTTTTGTTTCTTTTTTTAATTTAAGTTCTGGAATACATGTGCGGAATGTGCAGGTTTGTTACATAGGTATACATGTGCCATGGTGGTTTGCTGCACCTATCAACCCATCATCTAGGTTTTAAGCCCTGTATGCATTAGGTATTTGTCCTAATGTTCTCCCTCCCCTTGTCCCCTACCCCCTGACGGGCCCCATTGTGTGATGTTCCCCTCCCTGTGTCCATGTGTTCTTATTGTTCAACTCCCACTTAGGAGTGACAACATGTGGTGTTTGGTTTTCTGTTCCTGTGTTAGTTTGCTGAGAATGATGGCTTCCAGCTTCATGCATGTCCCTGCAAAGTACATGAACTCACTCTTTTTTATGGCTGCATAGTATTCCATGGTGTATATGTGCCACATTTTCTTTATCCAGTCAATCATTGATGGGCATTTGGGTTGGTTCCAAGTCTTTGCTATTGTAAATAGTGCAGCAATAAACATTCATGTTTATGTAGAATGATTTATAATCCTTTGGAATCGCCACACTGTCTTCCACAATGGTTGAACTAATTTACATTCCCACCAACAGTGTAGAAGCATTCCTATTTCTCCACAGCCTTGCCAGCATTTGTTGTTTTCTCACTTTTTAATAATCACCATTCTAACCAGCATGAGCTGGTATCTCATTGCAGTTTTGATTTGCATTTCTCTAATGACCAGTGATGATGAGCTTTTTTTCATATGTTTGTTTGCCACATAAATGTATTCTTTTGAGAAATATCTGTTCATATCCTTTGCCCAATTTTGATGGAGTTGTTTGATTTATTCTTGTAAATTTGTTTAAGTTCCTTGTAATATTTCCCAGGTTTTACTTCTCTTTTCTTAAGTGAGGGTGTTTAAATGCCATGAATTTTTAATATATGAAAATTTTATTATATGCATTTTTTTCAATATTTTTATTTATGGTTTCTGGGCTTTGTATCAGTCTTAGAAAAATGCTCCCAATCTCAGGATTATAAAATAATTCTTCTCTAGTTTTCTTCTAATGCATTGTTATATTTTATTTTCATGATAAAATAAATCAGGTTAATTTAAATAATATATTTCAAACCTTGTGGAAAATAAGGGAATTCAGAATATAAGAAGCATTAAATACCAGTGGGAGAAATAAACTCTGACAAATAGTGTTAAAACAAATGGGTACCCATCTCTGTTAAAATAAATGGGTAGAAACCAGATTTCTACTCACTCCTTATAATTATTATTACAAGAGGACTGAAATATAAGCAACATTTTTCAACTGAATACTTGGAAACTAGGGAATAGAAACATAAACACAATGTCATCATTTCAAAGCAATCAGTATTAGCTCTTCCTTCCATTGCTGTGTATTTCTAAAAAATTACCATCACAATACACTTACAATATTGTATCTTGATTATTACGATATAACATTCTTTCCCTGCTAACACATAATCTTATAACACTCATTTTTACATACCTAATGTTCCATGACTCTTATTTTTCAAACTGTATAGAAATTGGGAGCACTCAATTATCTCCAAATTATATTATCAGTTATTAGATTTTATTCTATTTTTTTAGAGACAAGATCTTGCTCTGTCACTCTGACTGGAGTGCAGTGGCATAATCGTAGCTAACTACAGCCTTGAACATCTGGCCTCAAGCCATCCTCCTGCCTCAGCCTCCTGAGAAGCTGGGACTACAGAAGCATACCACCATGCCCTGCTAATTTTTAATTTTTTTTTTCTGAAGAGATAAAGTCTCACCGTGTTTTCCAGGCTGGTCTCAAGTTTTATTAGATTCTATCTAATATAAAATAAATAGCTTTAAAAATTTCTGCAAGATAATCTTTAATTATTAAGAGGTAGAAAGGTTAAAAAGAGAGTGTGAGAACAGTAAACCTGGCTTATGAAAATACGTTGGAGTAAAGATTTGAAAAATAGTTGTGTTTTCAAGGCATTTTGGAAGAAACTAGTAAGTTACCTGAAGAGATTACCATGCTTCAAAGAAGAAGAAAAAGAAGGGGAGAAGGAGGAGGAGAAGAAGAACAAGAGAGAAAAAAATGTTTTTTCAGAGCTTAATGACTAAAACTTCATAAACAGTAAATTCATAAATGGCAAATTTTATGCTTTGTGTATTTTGTCACAATTAAAATATTTTTAATGTTTTCACTCTATAATTTACACTTTTGTTTACAAAATCTAATTGCTCTAAATTATCTTAATTTTATATTTTTCTGGAGTCATCTAAAAGTGCTTTGGATTTTCTCTATAAGCTATTAACGAAATTGTGCTTATTTTTAAAATTAGCTGTGGAAATTGACAATAAGCCAATTAAAAGACATTTTCTTCCATTTTCTTTGCCTTCAGGAGAAGCTTCTCATTTGAACAATAATTCTAGCAGATTAAATGAAAATCTCTCTGTAGCCCTCAGGCTAGTCAGATCAACAAAGTAGTCTAACCCCATCGTAACCCCATTAGAATTAGCCAACAAAATATTTAGATCTATTACTTTTTTATGACTATGTCTCAGTTCCAGAGCTATATAGCTCTAAATGAGAGCATATTTTTTACCTACTTTCACATTGTACCAACTGGTTTTCTGTAATGTATTAAAAAATAGAAAAATATCTTGAAAATAAAGGTAGTAATGAAATAATGACTACACATAAAGAAATCTGTTTCCCAGTTCAAAGGCAAAATGTCACATAGAAATTGGACTAACATTTAACTTTGCATTTGGGGTTGGATCTTTAATACATTTTTTAATTGGGTTGTTAGCAATTAAATAAAACTCAAGGCTAAAAGGCTACCTGGCTGCTACCAAGGGGGATGTCCATTCTCATCCCAGTCATCTTACCCTTGATTATCTTTATGCTTTGATGACTTGTCCCTACAATTCTTGCTATAAAAAGGATAGAATGAATACGTGGGTATAATAATATATATGTCGTACTGATTATAATGCTTGTTACCCAGTTATAAACCATGCTGTCACAATTAGAGAAATATTTCGAGATTCTATCGTGTGTTACAAAATTGCTAAATTTTGTAAGGTTTCCAGACAGTGTCCCAGAGTCCCAAAATGTCATCATGGGACAGTCTTTAGAGAGATTCTGAACAGCACCAAAAAATGATAGGTATAGCCATGGTGATCAAGCGGACATCCCAAGTTATTTACATGCTATTCTACTTCCCAGACATCAGTGGTTGAGCCAGCCTTTAATAGGAGCAGTTAGAGATGACAATGGATTAGGTTCCTAAACACTCCTTGAGACCCCTTCTATGCTTTATGGAGAGAAATCTAATGAATGAGGTCATCAAAGGAAACAACAGACAAACTAAAAAGGCAGCACAGGACTTAAAGAGAAAGCACTTTGAAAAGAAATAAAGGAGGAAATGTAAGTGGGGGAAAAATGCAGTATTAGCATATGCTATCTATGTAGCATTTTCTATGAAACAGGTATCATTAACATATGTTAATTAATTTAGTCATCACAACAAATTTATGCACCAGGTATTTTTATTGTGCTATTTTATAGGCAAGGAAACTGACATCAGAGAGATTAAGTCATTTGCTGAAGATCATACAGTTACGATTGCCTTGGCTTATGAACTGAAGTATTCAGATTCAAAAGTCTATTTATCTTAACCTGGAAGCCTAACTTCTTCTCTAAGAAAATGCAACTCAATTTCTGGCTTAAGTAGGAATTGAGGGAACTCTTTTGAACTCATTTCTGAAATGGCCAGGGTCTAATGTCAGTCCTGCACTATTTACTATTTCTTTCCTTTACTTTCCAGGATTCGACAATGTTAGAGCATCTGGCATATATTGTTACTTTATTAATTGCACAGAGTCACTTAGACACCCTTTATTTTCAATTGGGTGATGTATTTCAGGATCTGTGTAAAATTGCTATTTATCTGAATTACTGCTGCAGTGACTAGGAAAGGCTACAAGCAAAAATATCATTGCCAGTGTTTCCAATAAAGCCTGGATGTGCTGGAAGAAGATGAATGATGCTTTCCTGGTATAAACATCCGTAAGGGAGTATTCTAGCACTAGCAATCAGTGGACACTTCAGTGGCTGTTATGGCAATGGAAGGGGATGAGCCTGGAGACCATGTTTTTCACCCACACCCTTGTCTCAGCTGATCCACCTTCCCCCATTCCTGTCCTAAAATCATGACTTATCCATCATGTGCCAATGCTCTGCTCAGTTTTGTTTACATCTAATTGTTCTCCTTCATTCTACCCATATTTCTGTCTCTTGTATTTTTCTTGCTGATTCCTATTGAGTCAACTCTTGCTCCTGGGTGCTTTCTCTCTGGGTCTCCTACTGGCTTAATTTCCAATTATGCTTCCCACCCCTGCCACAAGGAGCCAGTGCTAATGAAATAAAGCATGTATGGACAGACATGCAGGAGAAACAAGTGGTTGTGAATATGAAATTCGTGAAAGACAAAACAACATAGCTTGGCGCAGTGTCTCACACCTGTAATCCCAGCACTTTTGGAGGCTGAGATGGGAGGATTGCTAGAGGCTAGGAGTTTGAGATCAGCCTGGACAACATAATGAGACTCCATCTCTACAAAAAAATCTAAAAATTGGCCAGGCATGGTGGTGCATGCCTGTAGTCCCAGCTATTTGGGGAGCTGAAGTGGGAGGATCACTTGAGCCTAGGAGGTCAAGGCTGCAGTGAGCTGTGATTGTGCCACTGCACTCCAGCTTGGGTGACAGAGTGAGATCCTGTCTACAAAATAAAGAAATAAATATATAATAATGGTCAAGCTACTGAATCTACTGCTGACACTAGACAGTTTGAGGGAGGAGTAAGTTATCAAAGAAGACAGCTCAGATGAACTCTCAGGTTTTTGGAGGTCTATCTCAGAGAATTATTCAGATTCAGCAGATCAGACATCACGCAATTCATCTTTCTCTCTAGGAATCCTTGAGACTTGAGTTTGTAACTTTAAATCATTGAAGCAAGTTGGAATGAATTTACTTTCATCCAGCATCTATCTCTTTAGTATCTTCCATAACACATAGATCTCCAGATTACCATAACCTGTGATCTCTGTTAATAATAATAATAATACAAAACAACTCCATTCACCTTCTCCCTAGATGCAGAAAGTTAATGGATACACCATGCTTTGTTTTATGGGGTTATACACTTGAAAGAAGATGTTGTTGGTATTTACAAATCAATCATCATGAGTAATAACTATCTTCCTCTCCTAAAAAGCCTTTTATTCCTGTTATTAATCAAGTCCCTATAAAGAGTATGAAATATTATTTGGGACTACAATTAAAATATTACCATTTGAAAGCCAGAACAAAAAAGGAGCAGGGAGATTTGGTAATATATTTCCTGAAAAGCTAATGAAGATAAAATGCATTAATATTTTTAAAAAATCTCTCTTAGTGGGAATTTAAACAGAAAAAAAGCTAATGATTATTGGCCAGATATAGGAAACTACTCTAAGTTTGAATTTTAATATACCATACCTCAAAAAGTAAGGTATTTTTTTTTGGGAGGGAAACTGGTGAACTAAGAGACAAAGGAAGAAGGGAGATTTACATTTTACTTTTGCCTGTTTGACTTGTTAAATGTCCACGTTATTAGTTTTTCAGATATGTACAGGTATTACTTAATAAACATTTTAATCTTTTACGTAGCAAATGAAATAAAATAGAGCTAAAATTTAAACAGCTTTCTTATGAAATCTGTAAGTAGAAACCTGTGTAGAAAGGGAAGGCAAATTCTTCCTATGATCAAGGTAAGTAATACACATTCATTATTAGCTTTTAAATTCATATCACCTTTGCTTTTCAATCTCATATTCAACTTCCCACAATTCCACATATTATCTTAATTAAGAACCACCATCTGTCTACATACTTACATTCTGGGGCCAAAATTATCTGTATAATGTTACCTCTTCTCTTCCCCTTTACATAAAGTTGTAATTAACCCATCTCACATGCTCCCATCTCATCACTGTAATGGTACCCATGACGGACTCAGGTAAAAACATCATTCCTAGTGATAGCTATTTGATTACAAATCAAATCCTCAAACTTAAATCTACATTTTTGAACATTTAAAAGATCACACTAGCAGGCTAATAATAAAAAAGAACCAATTAAAATATTGAAATAGAAAGAAAATAATGTAGTGTGATATGCAAAAAACACATCTTGGTGGTATCACTAATGAAACTGTTTTGATGAAATTCACAGAGAACTAGGTTTCTAGTGCCTGAAATATTTGTATTCTGAAGTATTTTTGACATAGAAAGATAAATGAATGCTTTCAGATTCCACTATCAGTGAACCAGAAAATAAAGATGATATTTCCAATTCACTTTGTACATAAGGATGATTGAAGCTTTTGAATATTAAAATGCTTAATAGGCAAAGATTCTATTTTTATAGTTTATAAATGACCAGATGTTTAGCTATAATTCACATTTTAAACTAGAAACTTAAGCTTATTCGTAGTAAAATACATACAACATACAAAGAGGGGCTGTGGAACGATGTATATGTCTATATTGTTAAACAACTTTCCATTTTTAAATTGTGCTGACCTTAGCAATAACATGAGACATTATCTTGACTTAATTTCAATGTTAAATTTGTGTCTGTGTGGAGAGAGATAGATTTCAAGGAAATAAGGGAAATGGCAAAACAATGAAGTAAGATGAAGAGGATTGTGGTTTAAAGCATTCCCTTTATTTATTTGCACAGCATGGATTCACCATGAAAACATATCACTTTAATTTTTCCCACACCCAATGTAGAAACAGGTTCAAGAGGAATTTGTAAACACAAAAAGAACTGACAGTCAACAAAAGAAGCATCTTTTGTGTTTCTACTTAAAACTCCCAGCCCAGGTCTATTTAGAATGGCCTGTAGTCAACTTTATTTAACCTGACTTGTGGTTTCCATTTTCCGTCCAAGCCTTCCATGGTTAAGAACATTTTTAAGATTTGTAAGGCTGACAAGCATCTGTCAAATAGGACTATCTGATTATAGTATCTGTCTAGTCAATCACGGAAGAGATCCATCAAAAGTCTATGGTTCAGAAGTCCTTGAAGCTGTTCTTAGCTTGATTCACTGCATCCTAGTGGATCCTTTTGTCTGGAAGTCTTTCCAACCACAGTGATTTAACAACTCAAATGATGTGTTTTGCACTGGCTCCATGTGTGTTTTCCCACTGCACCCATCCTAGTTCAGACACTGTATCCCACAAGCAAGTATTCAAACAACTGGTAACTATTTTTTCTGCCTTCACCCCCTTCACCCTAACCTGCCTTCCACTGACAGATCAGGCCAGATCTACTTCTCTAAGAAACCCAATGCTTGCTGGATGTCATCTAGATTTCTTCCTTTCTTTCCTTTTCTTTCTTTCTTTCTTTCTTTCTTTCTTTCTTTCTTTCTTTCTTTCTTTCTTTCTTTCTCTTTCTTTCTTTGTTCCTTCTTTCTTTCTTTCTTCTTTTTCTTTCTTTCCTTCTTTCTTCTTTCTTTCTCTCTTTCTTTCCTCTTTCTTTCTTCTTTCTTTCCTCTTTCTCTCTTTATTTTTTTTGATAGAGTTTTGCTCTTGTTGCCCAGGCTGAAGTGCAATGGTGCTATCTTGGCTGCCCACAACCTCCTCCTCCAGCGTTCAAGCGATTCTCCTGTCGCCGCCTCCTGAGTAGGTGGGATTACAGGCATGTGCCACCATGCCCGGCTAATTTTGTTTTTTTCAGTAGAGATGGGGTTTCTCCACGTTGGGCAGTCTAGTCTCAAACTCTGGACCTCAGGCGATCCAAACTCTGGACCTCAGGTGATCCGCCCACCTCGGCCTCCTAAAGTGCTGAGATTACAGGCATGAGCCACCATGACCGGCAAGATTTCTAACGTTCAAAGTACTCCACAACATTCTTCCCAACTCCCCTTCACTAGACTCATTCCAACCCTCTCTTCAGGATAAACTAATTTAGTTGACAGCCCTCCAAATATACCCAATATGGTTTCAGCACTGTCATTTAACTCAGCATCCCCTTGTCTGGAATGCCTCTTCCTTCTCCACTTCTTCTCAACTGCCTCTTTGCCTACTAAAATTCTACCTTCCTCTAAGGCCAATGCCAAAGATTATCACTTTCCCAGACTCTTCTTAATTGACTGGCCCAACAAGCATGATCTCCTTTTTCAGCAAGCTCCTGCTCTTTCAGCACCTGCAGTCAGCCTTCTCTATTGCTTATTCGCAGCATGCCTGTATTAGTCTTTTCTCATGGCATACCCAAGACTGGGTAATTTATAAAGGAAACAGGTTTAATGGACTCACAGTTGTACATGGCTGGGGAGGCCTCACAATCATGGCAGAAAGCAAAGGAGGAGTAAAGGCATGTCTTACATGGTGGCAAGCAAGAGAGGGTGTGTGCAGGGGAACTCCCCTTTATAAAATCATCAGATCTCCTGAGACTTATTCACTAATCATGAGAACAGCACAGGAAAGACCTGCCCCCATGATTCAATTACCTCCCACGTGGTCCCTCCCACAACATATGGGAATTACGGGAGCCACAGTTTAAGATGAGATTTGATTGGGGACACAGCCAAACCATATCAACACCCCTTCCTCTTTTTTGACTCTAAGCTCCTGAACTTAGCTTATCCTTCTCTGTATATAATGACGCATCTTGTGCTTTGTGTTTTCTAGGGGCTCAAGAAACACTGATTGAATGAAATGAACAAAGAAAGAGCAAGCAAGCTATGTATTTTGCTGGAACCTTTTACATGAGACTCAGGTTTCATTTTGAAGACACCCAGGTCAATGTGTAGATTATCTTGACTCTGCCTCTTTAAATAGAGCACAGATTGTTATATGCAAGTTGCGTGCTAGTGTGTTTTAAGTAGAGAAACAAAAGGAGTGTCTTTACATTAGTGTTTTCTTCAAAGAAGATAGAGATCATTCAGGATGCTAGGTTTTTTTTTTTTCACTTATTTTGAGGATCTTTACAAAGGAAAATGGCACTTTGAAATCGCAAGGATGATGTAGCTATCTGGTTGGGTTTGATCCTGCCAGTTCCGCTAGGAGAAATCTTACTTCATATTGGCTGAATTGCTGACATGAGTTTTAAAGATAAAACAATTTGAGAAATTGAAAATGCAAAGCTGTCATTATTTTTACACTGTGTGTACACATTTTAAGCACATATGGTTCATAGTTAACTTTTTGAAAAATTCAATAGAACACTGTTCACCTAAATTTCAGAAAACATGCCTAATGTCGGTATTTTAGAATCACCATATTTCTATTATATTTTATGACATGAGTGGACAGGATATGATTCATGGCTTATTGGGGCCACCTTTCAATTTTCCTCTTCCCTTTTCATTTAACCCTTCAACAAAATTAATTAAATGCCTGGCACTATACTGGATATATCCGATGAGGTCAAAAGACATACTTCTTGTGAGCAATTTCATTTAGATATATTCCTTTTTATTTTCACACAAAATTTAAGTTTCACTATTGAAGTCACTGGTTCTCCCTAAAGCCAGTGTTTCTTGACTCTGTATTTGGTACCAATAGTATGATTCCTTTTCCTTGGGTTGAAGCAACAAAATCACCAAGGGCTTCAATATTTTTCACACAAATAGTTGCAATATTCTTCCAGTTAAATGTACTAACTTCAGTCTTTCTACACTTTAATGTATTATACACACATCTATATTCATCTTCTTAAAGTTTATTACTTAAGGACTAATGACTCGAACTATCCCTTATGGCATTTTGTAAAATTGTCCCAACCTACTTTTCCAATCTTAACATGCCACATTTTTTGGTAAAGATACCATTGACATAACTCAAACTCAATTATTTACTATCCCAAATATACCCTACCATTCTCCTCATCTGTATATTTACTCAGGATCTTCCTCTCTGTGATCCTCTCTTCCTTCTCTACACAACCGTAGAAATTCTGACATCCTCAAGAAAAACTTTGAACAACAATTTTTCTATAGTCTTAAACAACTCTCACTTGAAACTCATAGATGTCTCAGTTATATCATCCCTGGAAACCCATAGCTTATCATTTGTATTTTCTTTTTCTGGTTTTCATTTGTTTTTTCTTTAGAGACAGGGTCTTGCTCTGTTGCCCAAGCTGTAGTGCAGTGGTGTGGTCATAGCTCACTGCAGCCTCAAACTCCTGGCCTCAAGTGATCCTCCTGCCTCAACCCCTCAAGTAGCTGAGACTACAGATGCATGCCATCATACCAGCTAATTATTTCATTTTATTTATTTTATTTTCAGAGATAGAGTCTTGCTCTGTCAGCCAGGCTATAGTGCAATGGCATGACCATAGCTCGGTGCAGCCTCAAACTCCTGGCCTCAAGTGGTCCTCCTGCCTCAGCCTCCTGAGTAGCTGGGACTACAGGAGCACCCCACCATGGTTAATTTTTTAAATGTTTTTGTAGATATAGGGTCTCACAGTGTTGCCCAGGCTTGTCTTCAACTCCTGGGCTCAAGCGATCCTCCCACCTGAGCTTCCAAAGTAGCTACAGGTATGAGCCACTGCACCTGGGCATATTTCATCATTTGTATTTCCTAAGCAATTCCCCATATTCTCCTTCACTTTGCCTAATATTCCACTAAGCTACACACCTCTAAGGCAGTGGTAGACTTATTTACCATCACTCAGAGTTGGTGCTCAAAAAACTTCCAGTTACTTGTTGATATTTCTGATTACAAATCTTCTTCTGAATCCTAAATATCTTCTAGGTCTTATATTAAAGTATGGCAAAAAATGGCAATACTTAACATGGTCTCCACACCATCCAGAAGACCCCTGGTAAGATTCAGTGAAGGAAAGAGACTCTGTCTATGGTGCTTTGGGCATAGATGCTCACAGCCTCTTTGTACACCTATGGAATTTCTTTCAATTACTTCTTTACTTACTGTTCCATTTTTATGTGTTTTTCTCCTTCTTCCCTACCCCTGCATCATAAAGCCTACAGGGATATTCCCTGGCATTTTCCTTATCGCTTCTAGTAGCGCTTGAAGACTAAAATATTTCTGACTTCTGAGATGTACAATAAAGAATGATAATTACTTTGCTAGGATATTGCTAATCTCTAAACTAACCTCCAAGCTTGTGGAGAAAAATAAAATTTTAAAAATTTGAGCTGGATTTCAGCTTTATTTGAAGACTCTCAAATGAGTTGTCAATCAAAATAGGTAACACTCAAGGAAAAAAAATGATCAAAGCTAATGCACATATGGTTGTGTGTTTTTGTGTATATATATATGTGTGTAAGTGCATATATATGTAAATATATATTATATATATATAATATATATATAGCAACTATATACATTAAAAGAAAATTTAAGATCACCAGCAGTTTCATTAAGCAGCCTTTCCTTCTATCTCTATTCCAATTTCTGCCATTTGGACAGTCTTACCACACTACCAAAAATGAATTAAAATTTAGAAGAAAAGCAGAGGTGATCTAGGTTGAAAATTATTATAAATACTTTTTTTGTCTGCTGAGAAGTTTTTCCAATAACCATACCCTTTCTTTGGTTTTATTTATACCTATGACTTTGTGATAAAACACAATGGTTTTCTCAATAAATATCCATCTTGAAATATAGAGTAACTTAAAAATAATAACTGCAGTCAAACCATAGATTACTTAAGGTGAATGGGTAGAAAACCACTTACCCCCGGTTGCCACAGTGATTTCACGTAGGAAGTGGCCATAAAATGGAAAATCGAAGGACAGATTCACTCTCTGCAAAGAACAACACCAGAGAAAAAAATCAATAATGTGTAGCATAGTCAATGTGAAATGAAGAGCCTTTCACTTAAAACAAAAATGATGCTTCTACTTTACCCCATAATTATTGTAGTTCTCTTTTAAAACCTGAGTCCTCGGTCGTACTAAAGAATATTTTTTCTGGTAATTAAAGTTTTGAAGTATGTGAAAAGAATAAAGTTAACATCACCACGGCATTTTAGTTGTCCACTGAATAATCAGTTCATTCTTGATGATGAGCAACTTATTCTGAGGTTCTTTTTAGTTTGACTAGTTCCTCCAAAATAGTAGAGCATGTTAGGTCAAGATTCATTGGATTAAAAATCAAAATAGATTTTATGTTACATTATTACATTTTTAATTTGTTTTCTATACATCCCATAATGAAAAGCAGTTTCACGGAAGAAGATGTCTTGCACTGGTGGATCTAGACCTGCAGAATTTTTTTTTTTTTTTTTGAGTCGGAGTTTCTCTGTTTTGCCCAGGCTGGAGTGAAGTGACGCAATCTCGGCTCACTGAAACCTCTGCCCACCTGGGTTCAAACAATTCTCCTGCCTCAACCTCCCAAGTAGCTGGGATTACAGGTGCCAGCCACCATGCCAGACTAATTTATTGTATTTTTAGTAGAGATGGGGTTTCGCCATGTTGGCCGGGCTGGTCTCGAACTCCTGACCTTAGGTGATCCACCTGCCTCAGCCTCCCAAAGTGCTTGGATTACAGGCGTGAGCCACCATGCCCGGCTGACCTGCAGACATTTTCATGTTTCAAATACAATCAGCTCTCCAAATTTAGCATATTGTGTCCACTCTTAGAAACACAAGAGTTCTAGGATAAATAATATTGGTTACTGGAGACCTACTTTTACTTGGTTTGGAGTAAATTACAGAGACTCAGGGAGAAAGTTCCTGGATTGCACCCTTTGTTTTCCTAAAATGGGGCCACGAACTTTAGCTCTTAATATTTAACTCAACAGGTATATAGTGTCTATTTTTTTAAAAAATAAATATTAAAATGTTAAAACCCAAAACATATTAAAAATCCTAATCTTTTTTATATGTTTGAAATGATATTAAGTAGATATATTATTATCAGGCAAGAAACAAGAGAAACACTAAAAGTAATGGCAAAAACCGCAATTACTTTTGCACCAACCTAATATAATACAGATGATCAACTGAAATAAAAGTATCCAGAAGGAAAGTAATTAGCTGGTTGAGAGCCCAACAGCACACATGTACAAACTACCTATAATAACAGGCTATTACATTAAAATTCCACAATTGCTATATTATATCTCTCCCAATACACAAATTTTTAATGTAGAAAAGTATATCTAGATTGAATTTAGCTTTTTCCCATTTTGCAAATAATTGCTTTTTTATAGCCATCACGATTTCTAATTACTTATTTGGCATGAAATTAATCACTCAAAATTTAAAGCGACTTTCAATTAGGTTTTCTTTTTAATGCAAGCCTCATCTTCATAAAAGGTTTATGATCACTTTTATTTTGTGCTGACTAACAGGAACAACAAAACTCATTTTCACAGAGCTAACTGAAATAAGTGGTCACTAAGAACCCTAAAATGAAGGAAGAGTTCAATGGCAGGATCATTTATCTCAAAGATGTAAGGAATAATTTTATAAAAGCACTTGCTTATTATATTGTTTTCCATCATTCTAATTTATTTCCATGCTTATCAGTAAATTGGTAAAATTTACCTTATGCATTCTCACTTTCAGAGTCAGAGTTTGATTTAAACATGTATCTCTAATGAACCCTATCAATTACCACCAAATATCAACCAAAACGCTATGACATGAGTTTCTCAGCCACTGCAAGTATTCAAATATGTTTGGAATTAGATTAAGATATAAGTTAAAGACCTTTTCTTGAGGACAAATAGATCTTCAAAGGGAATTTGCAAATGCTTCAAGAATTCTGAAGAGCAACACCAGTGACTGAAATGCTCCCCTATTGAAATGACCAGTTTTCCTTAGTTACCACTATCGTCTGCTTCACTCTGATATGGAATCATGATGGCAATCTAGGAAGATACTGTCTGCTAAACAGTTGTGTAATCCATTCATTTCTTGCCAGTCGCTACTGATACTCTTCTCCAAACATCGGTCACTATCATTGCAATAACTTCCTCAGAAGTGTCATGGCTCTACTTCTCTTTAAATTCATTCTCTAAGCCGGGGCCTCAACTCCCAGGCCACAGGCCATGACCTGTTAGGAACTGGGCTACACAGCAGCAGGTGAGCAGCAGGCAACCCAGGGAAGCTTCGTCAGTATTTACAGCCACTCCCCATGGCTTGCGTTACCACCTGAGCTCTGCCTCCTGTCAGATCAGCACTGGCAGCATTAGATTCTCATAGGAGCGTGAGCCCTATTGTGAACTGCACATGCGAGGGATCTAGGTTGCATGCTCCTTATGAGATCTGATTCCTGATGATCCATCACTGTCATCCATTACCCTCAGATGGGACCTTCTAGTTACAGGAAAACAAGCTCAGGACTCCCACTGATTTTATATTATGGTGAGTTGTATAATCATTTCACTATATATTATAATGTAATAATAATAGAAATAAAGTGCACGATAAATGCAATGTGCCTGAATCATCCCAAAACCATCCCCTCCTACCCTCTGTGGAAAAACCACCTTTCATGAAACTGGTTCCTGGTGCCAAAATAGTTGGGGCTTGCTGCTCTATATTACCTAGCATATCACTCCCCCACTTGAAATCATTCAATCTAGAATTCCATTTTCACTGAGAGTCACACCAACATGGTGAACATGAGTTCTAGGGCACACCATGAACTAGTCCCTGCTACTTGACAACTTTTGCCCTCATACTCTCTGCTCCAGCCAGCCATAGGCAACAACTTTTAGTTCCTTGCACTTGCTACCCTTAGCTCTTGTCTGTGGTACATACACATGACATCCCTTCTGACAACAATATTCTCTCAACCTTGGTCAGTCATGGCTTCCATATTCTTTAAGCCTTGGCTTAGTTTGGATTACCCCTAAAGCCAATCTTGATATAAGGACTTAGGGGCAGACAGTTTATTTGGAAGGTGATCCCAGATGGCACTTGCTCAAGGAACTAGGAAAAGTGAGACAAGGAAAAGAGAAAAAAACAATAGCAGGTACAGTGTTGGACATGTTATCATTATAGCCAGTTGGGCCTCAGTCCCCATGGACTGAGCAAAAGTAGAGAAAAAAAAACCAAACAAACAAAACAAAAAACAAAAACAAAACAAAGCAAAAACATGCCCGGAATCATTTCACTGGAGGTCAGGAGGCTGGGACATTCATCTTTCCAATCCTACAGGAAGGACTTTGTGATTAATTGGGCTTAAAAGTTGGGAGTGAGTGAGAGACATCTGGAGTCAAGCACAGGTTTCTAAGATTTCTAGCTGGTTGACTGGTGAACCACAGGTCACCAATTGAGATTATGAATGCAGGAAGAAGAGCTATTTTGGTTAGCTGTGAGTGAGAAACTTTGCTGTGTCACTAATTAGTTATGCATCCTTTATTAAATAATAAATGACCCCAAATAGTATATAAAACAAAGGACTCTTCTGCAACCAAAAAGGCTAACAGAACCCTGGGCATTGTCATAAAAAGCAATGTCAAAGAAAAAATCACAGCACTTTGGGAGGCCAAGGTAGGCGGATCGCAAGGTCAGGAGATCGAGACCATCCTGGCTAACACGGTGAAACCCCATCTCTACTAAAAATACAAAAAATTAGATGGGCGTGGTGGTGGGCGCCTGTAGTCCTAGCTATTCGGGAGGCTGAGGCAGGAGAATGGCATGAACCCGGGAGGTGGAGCTTTCAGTGAGCCAAGATCACACCACTGCACTCCAGCCTGGGTGACAGAGCAAGACTCTGTCTCAAAAAAAAAAAAAAGAAAAGAAATGTAATACTGAAACAATGGTGTAATTACTACAGTGTAAACATTATGTGCTCTTGGATTTCATCCTTTAAGAAATATTTAACATGAAAGAAAAAAAAAAGATTCAAGAAAATGGTGGTGGGAAGACCCAATAAATGGATTAAGAGGCTTGACAAAATAGAAAACAAAAGCTCAGAAGTAAAATATTAAAGAACATAAAAGGCATAAACAAAATCGACTGAATTTGCTAACTAATTTCTTAAAATCTATGGAAAACAGTTAACTATTCAAAAGAAGGGGGAATGGTAACTTTGAGCCAAACAAAAAAAGTATTACGTCTTCATATGGTAGAAAATAAATTTATGAAACATTTTTTGAAGACTTGGTCAAAGCGTACAGAGTCCAGGTGGTTTGCAGTAAATTTATGGCACCTACATCCATATATGACTGTGCCTTAAGGCCACATCATGCTTTCCCAAAACATACCCCATTACAATTTCTCGGGGCAACAGACTATCAGACTCATTCAGGTCATACTCCTAGATTTCTGAGTGTGCCTACACCTCTTCTTGCCTTCTTTACATATTTTTCCTATGTTAATTGCTATCCATTTTCACACTAATTATTAAATCTCTGCTAATTCTTTTTTAATAACACAGGAATTATAATCCTAAATATACCCAATTCCCATTTGACTTGTTTGCCTATTTCTCAGTGGTATTGCAAGGATGAATTAATTAGTCAATGCCCCAAAACCTTGAATACAGAAGCCTTCTAATAAAGAGCTAAGAATCTGGAGTGGGCACATTTACAGTCCTCAAAGCCATGTTTTAAAATGTCACTAATAAAAACTTCTTTTTGTTTTAGGACAGTTTCTTATTTACCGTCATAAAGCCATACTTTTCTGACTCCCCAAGTCTTTTTATTTCAGCTTTATAAGAAATAATCCTGCTGAAAGTGGCTTGTAGGAAGAAAATTAGTAGTCACCGTGATTTTAATAATTGCTGATCTCATGAGTTTACCATAGCAAAGGATCAAAAGAATACAATGAGCATCCACTTATTCAAGAATGAATTGATAAATTAATCATTAGTTTTTACAGGCATATTTTAATATTCTATTTTTAATCATTCAAATAATTACGTTTGAGGGGCACATATTTGTCTCCTGAAACTCTCAAATAGGTGAGATGTTATTCTTATTAGTAAAGTGGTATTTATGATTTTTTTTCAAAAAACAATTTCAAATATAAGATCAAATAAATATTGAGTCACATTATTTTCAGTTCATTTATTTACGTCAAGTATTAACTCTGGGAAGAGTTGTAAAATAAAAGAAAAATTATATTTGTTTTATTTATGTAAATATTTCTAGTATATTGGCTTATTTCTGGTAAGATTTACATCTCTAATACATAAAAATGATTCAATAAACACCATATACCTATAATAAATTTAACTGGGATGTGATATTTTCTTCCAAGATACATGTAACAATTTACTAACTTTATTGAAACTGTATAAGGTCCACATAAAATTTATTCATCTATAAATGCTTAGAATAGATTATTGTTGTCTTGCTCCTTTACTCATCATAAAACACACATTTTATCATCTTCTTTTAATGGAAGTATATGGAACTGTATTTTTAAATATTTAATCACTTTTTCCAAATTATTCAATGCTTTAGCATGGTTTTGGAGTTGCAGAGACCTGAAATTACATTTCAGCTTTGGTACTTAGTAACTGTGCGATTTCATACATTATTTAACCTTTTTAATTTTTTAAATTTATTTTTTATTATTTATTTATTTATTGAGATGGAGTCTCGCTCTGCCACCAGGCTGGAATGCAATGGTGCGATCTTGGCTCACTGCAACATCTGCCTCCCAAGTTCAAGTGATTCTCCCGCCTCAGCCTCCCTAGTAGCTGGGACTACACGCATGCGCCACCATACCCAGCTGATTTTTGTGTTTTTAGTAGAGACGGGATTTCACCATGCTGGCCAGGATGGCCTTGATCTTTTGACCTCGTGATCCGCCCACCTCGGCCTCCCAAAGTGCTGGGATTACAGGCGTGAGCCACCGTGCCCAGCCTATTTAACCTTTTAAAGCCTTTTAAAGTTTGCTCATCTGTAAAGTCAAGACACTTCTTCGAAAGATTATCATAAGGATCAAATGACCAAATAATACCTGGCCATCATAAGCACTGAGTCAATGAAGTATAACAATATGCTGTGTACATGAAGGTGTCTAGCAATAGTTCTTTAAAACTAGTTTCCTAAACAAGCATAGCTCCTTATTTGATTCCTAATAAATAGCTGAACATTATTTATGTTATTTCAAATACACCAGTGCATTATCACAGCTCTTAAAGACTTAAACCGATTCTGGTAAATTGTTTTTCTAATAGAATCGGTATCACAATTAGACATGTTTCTAGGCAATGTTACGATGTCTTCATTTTTGTTATATTAAAATAATCATAAGTATTGTATATGCAGGTGTTAAAAGAATGAAATTAACATTTAATAGATCGGACATTATGCTAAGTATTTTGCCTGTAGTTAGCAAGAGTGAACGCTAAAATCAGTAGGTAGAAGTGTAATGAGAAGCAGGACATTTGTATAGTCTCAAAGCATCTTTCAACAAGATTTTTTTAATTACAAAAGGAAAAAATGGTAGCTTTACAGTGAAAAGACAAAATCTGGTAGGTATCACCTTAACCAGGTAATCAAAATTAACCTCACCACTAATGAGACATATTGTCATCATGTACCTCATGATATGATGCACGAGGAAGGACAAAATATCATCCCCATTGTAGTATTGCCAAAAACAGAGACCTACATTTAATCATAAAGCAAGAGTAGACACTCAAAATCAGGGACATTGTACAGAATAACTGGCCAATACTCTTTAAGTGTGTCATGTTTATGAAAGGCAAAGACTGAGGAATTCTTACAGATTGAAGGAGGCTAGAATATTTGACACATAAATGCTATATGGGTCCTAGGTTGGATCTTGAATAAGAAAAAATAATTTGCTGACAATTAGCAAAATTGGAATAAAGCCCATGGATTAGCTAAGAGTATAGTACCAACGTGAATTTGTTGATATTGTCAATGGTACCACGAGTATATAAGGAGTTAAAATTTATGGCACTAGGTGAAATCTACATGGAAACTCTTTAAAAATTTTTTGCAAGTTTTTTATAAGTCTGAAATTATTTCAAAACAAAATTTTACAAAAATAAAGGATGAGTGATAAATTCAAATCACCAGTAGGCATTGGAGCTAAGACTTCAATCCAAATGTGTTGGGCTCCAAAATCCTGCATCTTGACAACTGTATAATTTCTATATTTCTTCTTTTATACTACGTGATTCATTTCCTACCTGTTATAAGCTTTCAGTGACTCTGTTTTCTACCTGGAATCTTTAATACTGTCAGTTTTTTGCTCTTAGTAGACATAACAACATAATTTTCTCTAAAATTTAGTAGTAGTAAAACATCATTTGAAACCACCTAGACACATGAGGCCAGAGACACAAAAGAGAGAAAATTTGAGAAAGGCACAGAGCAGTCTAATCAGATCAAATGCACCAAATAACAGGAACTGGGCTAACAGAGCAGCAAGCTGGGCTGAGCCTTTGCACCATCAGCAACACCTGGGCCTAGGCACAACAGGGGGCCCCTGCTCGCCCAGCGACCAGCCCAGCCTCAATGACTTTTTTTTTTTTTTTTTTTTTTAACATTCCAGGATCAGATGTTTTCATTTCTTACCCTCTAAGTATAGTTCCAGGAGCCTGTCTTCTAAATGTATAAAACATTTACTTTCTTTTTTAAAATTCTCAATGGTCATTTCGTGCTTTATTCCCCTATTAAACTGAAATAACTTTGCTTATAAAAGTAATATAGGCCGGGTGTGGTGGCTCACACTTGTAGTCCCAGTGCTTTGGGAGGCAGGAGGATCACTTGAGGCCAGGAGTTTGACACCAGCCTAGGCAAAATAGCAAGACCCTGTCTCTACAAAAATAAAAAAGAATTAGCCAGGCATGTTGGCCTGCAATCCCAGCTACTGGGGAGGCTGAGGCAGGAGGATTGCTTGAGCCTAGGAGATCCAGGCTGCAATGAGCTGTGATCACACCACTGCAATCCAGCCTGGGTGACAGAGCAAGACCATGTCTCTAAAAATATAAAAAATAAAAGTAATATAAACTAAAAAGTGGTTGACAGAAAAATGTTAAAATTGATAGGCTTTCACAACAAGCAAATATCAAAGATGGAAAATAAAATATGGAAAGGCATATATGTGAATAAGAGCATTGAGAACTTCCTTGTTATACCCTAAAGTAAGATCCTGCTTCTAGACCACAAGTGGGCCTAGTGTATCCCAAAATAAAATAGCATAGTGGGCAGGATAACTAATAATGCTTTTACCATGTAGAATTTTTTTTTAAAGGGATTTTAACCATTCTCATACTCTGGGAGGAGTTGACAGACATAGGTCATTAATCCAGTCCCTGAAAACTCTGGAAACCTAATTAAAAGATCAAAATGTCCATGGAAAGGGGCTGATCAATACACAAATATACAAACAGAGAACTGGCTACTTCTTTCAGAATAAAGTCCATCAACTGAATTGATTTTCTGAGTTAGAAGTTCTAACCTCTTCAGCACTTTTTTCATAGCAGAACTTAGAACTTAATTAATCCTGGCTATTGAATGGTGCTCTTCAAGGGAATATTCATAAACTGGAAAACAAAATGCAAACATTTTCAATTAGCTGATGGTGGTGCACATGAACTTGCGAATAAGTGAACAATCACCATATCTTTTGACCTCTCTCACTGCATGGTTCCCAGCAAACACATGACTACAGTAGCTTGCCTGTACTTGCAAACGCTGAGAATTATTCATATTAGTTATGTGATATTTACAACTCAGGCAGAATTCAGAGAGTCCAGCTGTTCAGGGATACAGAGAGAGTGTGACAGGATTTTATAAAGAACACTTCAAGGAAACATGGGGTTTGGGTGAGAGCCAGAAGAAATTGCTTCTAGATTTTTCATGCTACCCTAGAAGCAAGTCAAGAGAGTTCTCCAAGCTTCTCAAACCTCGAGGTGCAAATGAATCACCTAGGGTTCTTGTTACAATTCAGATCCAGATTCAGGGGGCTGAAATCCTGCATTTCTAGCAAGCTCCTGGTACTTCTGATACTGCCTCCTGAGCCCCACTTTGAGTAACAAAGCTCTGTTATATAAGTGGCCTTTGAAACTCCAAAACCATTGCTGTAAGGAAACTTTGGAAAGAGTGAAATAGGTTAAAAGGATGAATAGACTTGTTTCTGGAAAACATAATCTCACTTTACCTGGTAGCACTTGTATGCCCTAAAATTTTCCATTGACAGAACTGAAATCTAGAGGTTCCTGCTAGACAAGTGTCTTTAAAACTATGACTTGCAAAACCTGAAGGTTGTGATGTTTTTGTGACATCCTTGACCAATGATCCTCAAACAGGGCAAGACAAAAAAATATTTTGTGTTTATCGTTCAGATAATGGAAAGGTCCTTCCTTTTCTCAGTTGCTAACAATCTGCCTTTCAGAGAACAAACTCCCTAATTTCCATTCAGTGGAAAATGACTGTTTTAAAGGTAAGTGTTTGCATAATAATTATTATTATCGATGTAACAGATATCTTGGACACTATGCTAGGTATTGCTTTAAGCATTGTATAAATGCTAAATTATTTAGTCCTAATGACAACCTTAGGAGGTAAGTGCTGTTATTACTTCCATTTAATAGATGAGGAAGTAATTAAGAAAGAGTAAATAATATACTCAATGTTAAACCTCACAGTTGGCAAAGTGAGGACTCAAATCCAGGCAGTCTAGTTCCAAGTCCATGTGTGTTGACACTACTTCAAGCTGCCACTCCACTAGCATGTTAGGATGAAACGTTCCTAACACACAGAAATGATGAATCCTCTATGTGATGGGTACCCTAAATGCTCCAACTTGATCATTACACATTCTATGCATGTAACAAAATATCACCTGTACCCCATAAATATGTAAAATATTACGTACCAATTAGAAAATATTTGGAATTCAGTGGGTAAAGTTCATGAGCGAAGTGACTAAATAATTCAAAATTCAATTGCTGTTTGAAATTGAAAGTTAGACCAAGTTCAATTTTAATTCTTCGTCCTCCTTTGCTAACTTCTCTTTTTTTAAAAAAAAATTATTGGAAATCATCCCAAATGAAAGAATAGTTACAAAAAATAACACAAAGAGCCCCCCACATCTTTTTTTTTTAATGCAGATTCGTGTTTTCCATTTTGCTACATTTATCAACTTTCTGATTTTTTTCAAAAACTAAGTACTTTGATGCTTCTCAACACAGCGTCCGAGAGTTGCTCCCTTATGACATCCTTTTTGCATCCTACAGTTTAGCCCACATGGAATCAGGACTAATGTGCTTCACCTTGGCCCAGTTATTAAACTTGAACCTTACTTGGCATTTCTTTTCAGACAGATGCTGCAGGGTAGGAAATTTCTGGCAATTTATCATTAATAGAGAGTGTCTAATAGGGTTTCACTTCCAGTCCCGTTGGCATTTTAACAGAGCACCTCCAGCAAAATGAGAAAAAAAGATGCCTATTCTCTGGGGCTGGGAATTCCGATGGGAATACTATGTCTAGAACACTAGACATTCTGATGGGAATGTAGTTTATAAGCAATCCACATAGAAACCTGGCCATTTTGCGTAGGGTATTATCCATCCATCACCTAAGTGATACGCTATAATGAGGTAGAAAGGAACAGACAAAAATAAAGATATTGGGACCAGGTATAAAAAATATTGTTAAAATATACTGAAATACTAACCTACCCAGGAAAACTCAATCCTCAAACACAATCTTTTATAATTTAAGATTTTTCACAAGAATTAAGATTATTTGCTTTCAGATGTGTTTACTCTAAAAAAAATTATATTCCATTTACAGTTTGCTAAGTTTTCTGTTATGAAACATTTTCTTTCAAAGGAGCCATGTAAAATCTTTATCATTTAATAACTTTAGGATGAGAATATGTTTTACACTCATGTTATGTAAAATTAAACCATCGTAAGTCTTCATAGGCTCCTGAAGACATGGCAGAAAAGATGATAAGAATTAAGTTAGAAAAGAGAATCTCAGCTGAAAGGCAGAGTAAATACCTGCCTTGTTTATTGCACCTGAGACATGGTTCAGGGGTCTCCCTTTTAGCAGGCTTTATGATTATAAAAGTTTAATATGAAACCTTCTAACAAGGTTTATCAGAAACCTAAAATGTTTGCCTCACTCGTGCCTTTAAAAGGTGAATAGATGTTTATCTATCTAGAATTATTTGATAGCCTTCACCGGTAATAGAGAATGTATTATATTACCTTTCATGGCTAATTTTATGTAAAAGAATGGTGCTCATCCTCCACTAAAGACCCAAGATGAAGAAATAAGATTAAATTGTAATGAAATAGGAACTCAAATATGATCTGTCAAATAAGAAGGCAACTTCTTGCTTTGGGAAGCTAAGGTTTGTTATATGCAAAAGAAATGGATCAATGTGAATTTCTTAAGGCAGCTGTCCTCAAGGCTCTCCAAAGTCCTTTCCATGTCTAAAATGTGGTTCCTAGATTCAGGAAGAACAGTAAGGGTAGATTCAATTATTAGTAATATGCATGTATTTATGTAATTATGTCAGTAAAAGGAGTTGGTTAACTTCAGCATATTAGGTGGGCTTAAGGAATTTTTAATCTGTTGTGAGTGCCATCGGCAGGACAGGGGTAGATGGTTCCATGTACTTATTGGCTTCCAGGCTGGTAGACCAGCCCATTTCCCAGGCATGCAGAGAAATACAATTCAGCCACTCTAATCATGTTAATTTTGTGCAATGAAAAAGAGTCAGGCCCTGGAATAATACTTGGGACAAAGGGGATTAACCTCTAGTTTGGTAAGTGACCTAAGTATAATTCAAGTAAAATGAATTAATGGTAGAATTTGTTAAACTACATAAGTAACTATAAAGTGCCATAAAATCTCATTTGAATATATTGTATGTGGTAGGCAGGACAGACATCACTATCAAAACTACATAGTACAGGATGAAATTGACAGGGAATTTAGGGATTTGCCCAAGGTCTCATAGTTGTAATAAACTTGAATTTGGATCCGATGATGCCAAATCCTATGCTTTTGAATCCCTACTATTTTTTAAACAAATTAAACTATGATTACTTTGGAATGTACATCTGTTTCTTAGGAAGTTGAAGACCAGAACACACCTTTTAAATATCCAAAGAGAATTCCTTTAATATTTTATAACTATACGAATGTTCTGAGTATTTAGAATTTGATTAGAGCAAAAGTATGAATAGTATTGAATAAAATATTACATTATGTCCAGTATATTTCTTCCTTTATGTATGTAAAATACTTTATTAAGCTGAAATTAAGCTAAAGAGACATAGGCAGATACAACTTATCCCAATCTGTTATCAAACTTGAGGAAAATCCTACAAGCAAAGACAAGTAAGACCAGGTTGATAAACTTGTGTCTCACTTGAATTGAAGCAACTCAAAAGACAGAATGCAGCAAGTTTATTCAACCAGTCAAACGTAAGAGTAAATAAAAAGCAACCTACTGTTTGACATTATGAACAGAACTCAGGCAAAAATGTGCAGTCTAGATAATAGCCTAATAGAGAAAGTAAATTAAACTGCCTTTCAATTTAATCATTTTGAAAAATGAGCACTTATCAACAGATTTTTGGACGCAAAGAAAAAAATAAATATATCCAATATGAAAAACCAACTTACTAAAGTCGCCATAAACAGCTAAATTTACTTATCCCAACATAAACATTATGCAAATATGAGACCCATGGTAATGCTAGCTGAAGCAATGAGTTATTTTCCTGAAGGGAACAAAAGAACCCTCCAGAAAACTTAATTTTTTAAATGAAATTTTCTATGTATATTCAAGTAGTCAGAAATGTCATCAAGGACAGTTCAATATAAAAATTTTAAACAATCAACACATAAAAAGTCATACAAGTTTCATCAAAAACCTTACCTGCATTATGACAGATATAGAGTGAGATAGACAGAGAACAACACTTCAACCATTTCATTTTGCTGGTGTTTCATATTTAAAGAATCAATCTTCCTACCAACATACAGAAAGATAAAAAAATATTTAAGCCAGAGTATGTTTATGTCTGGCAAACAGTATATTGGCAATTGTTTGGCAAAAATATATACATAGAAAGATATAAATAGAAATATATAGACCTATCAGGCATCTTTACCTATCTATCCATCCATCTATCTGGTTTTTTTTATTATTATACTTTAAGTTTTAGGGTACATGTGCACAACGTGAAGGTTAGTTACATATGTATACATGTGCCATGTTGGTGTGCTGCACCCATCAACTCGTCATTTAACATTAGGTATATCTCCTAATGCTATCCCTCCCCCCTCACCCCACCTCACAATAGGCCCCGGTGTGTGATGTTCCCCTTCCTGTGTCCATGTGTTCTCATTGTTCAATTCCCACCTATGAGTGAGAACATGCGGTGTTTGGTTTTTTGTCCTTGCGATAGTTTGCTGAGAACGATGGTTTCCAGCTTCATCCACGTCCCTACAAAGGACATGAACTCACATCCATCTATTAATATATCTGTCTACCTAGCTATCTTTCCATCTACCCATCCATCTATCCTATACCTATATCTCTACCCATTCTTCCATCCGTCATCCATCCATCCATCTGTCCATCCATCCATCCATCCATCCATATTTACGCATCTACAAATTTATTGATCTGAGAGAGACTCTTAGAGAGACTCAGGTATTAACTTACCCGGGAATGACAAGATGCTAAGTCAGTTTAGCGAGACTCCCCACCCTTGCTATCTGACCATCCTCAATACGGATCAAACCTTCATCCCCCACCCTTGCTATCTAATCATCCTGACCCTCCTTCAGTAAAAATCCTAACAACTCAGTTTGGGCACAATCACCACTAACTTCTCACATCTGACGCCCTCCACTGACGCCCACTCTGCTCTTGGCCAAATTTTCCGTCTTGCTCATGCTACATTCAGAACTGAGCCCAGTTCTGCATCAAGGTTCTTTCCCTCATTGCAATAGCCCTAAATACAATCTGGCTTTAATGCTTTAACTACTTTCTTTGACAGGGGTTATTATTTTTTTGTTGTAAAGAATTAGAACTCTCAAACAATAATACTCAGGAACTGTATGGTTTTGTTGAAGTTTTCAGTGTTCTTTTATAACTATTTCATTTTTATTCTCCACAACGCACTGCGAGGCAGTAAAGGCAGGCATTTTTACCCCCTTTCTTCCAGGTTACAAAATTGAGGTGCAAAGAGGCCAGAATCCACCAAAATAAGTGTTGGAGATAAGGTCTCCTAACTTCAAACACTGGACTCCTTCCACCAGGACAGAGATATATCTGTAGGAGTTGTGAATCAGAATGTCATCAACTGTCATTTCAGAAGACAAAATAATTCTAATATGTCTGGCAGTTGAATCAAACTGTGTGTCCAGAAATAAATTAAATAACATGGACGTAGAAATATAGAGGAAAATCACAAAAACGTGGAATTTGAAATGTCTACCAAGAGGGAAAAGAACAAGTCCAGGCTGGTTTCTAGGTTTATAGTCAGAAACTTTTAGATTTGCAAACTGAAAACTGTGTGGCTCTGAATGAAGGACAAAATACCCAGATAACTGTGAGAATTTTAATATAAAGTGCCTGCCTCGTTGCTTACCTATGGTAGGAACCCATACCAATTCTTCACTTTGCTTTATCTAGAAAGACATGGTCTTTGCCTTAATTTGTCAACTGCAAAACTTAGGTTTTAGCATCTGTTTATTTTGCAATGATTTAAGAAATGTTATTTAAACAAAAATGACAATGGAGAGATTTGAAAGCACATGTAATCAAATTCCAGTATACACAGATGTCATGCAAATACTAATGATTATGGCTGAGATGATAAAAGGAAAGAGATACCAATATATTTGGACATGTCAAATATGTGAATTAAATGATTTCTAAGTTTTATTCTGCTCTGAAATTAGAAGATATTATTGTGGATGGAAGAAAAGGGAAAACTTACTTTATTTCCATCCTCCTCCTCTTCCAAGAATATTATCTAAGATTCCAAAATAGTGTTTGGACCACATTTATATGCAGTGATGGTAAAGAGGGAAATATTTCTTTAAAAAAATGTTCCTAGGTAAAACATCTCTTGTAGCCTCCTGTCTTCCATTTCAAGAAGGAGGGAAGTGTGTGGGAAGTTGCCTTTTCTGGGTCAACATTCTTGCCTTCTCACTCCACCTCTTGCTTACTCAAGGCTAAATCGTTAGCCCTCTGGCCCTGGGACTATCCCTAGCTAAATCTTTCTTTTCTTTTTTTCTTTCTTTCTTTTTTTTTTTTTTTTTTTGCATAATTTGTTGACGGAATATATATTCTTGGGCATGCAAATTACATGAACTGCTGATAAGATTCGAGAAACTCCCTTCTTCCCCTTGGAGCTTAAATTTAAATCCTGTTTCCAGCCAAATTACCAGAGAGCTTTTCATGTCAACGAGAACAAGAGCAAAGCTAATTAATAAGGTTTGGATTAGTGTTTGCCATTTTCCATTTTCCTACGTGCTTAACCACCTCAGTAATATGAAGTATGTGTGTGTTTGTTGCATGTGGACGTGTATGTGGACATTACTCAGCCCCCTGGTCACAATATTACCTTAATATTAAAATTTTGTAATCTTTTGTAACTACTTGATTTTATTCTCAGAAAGTCACAATGGAAATGAAACAGAGAACCAGGCAGGATTGGAAAGGTAGAAAGTCCAGTTGAGGAAATACTAAAATATGGATTACTCTATACAATTTGGAAAGCTCAGGCTAATATTTAGTAATTGCATTTATGAAAGAAGAATGTAGGGAATTTAAAAAATATTCTAGCAAATAAATTTATAAGATCTAAGCAGTAAAGCTTATTTAAATGAAGGAGTTCACATAGCATTTTTTTTCAAATGGAAACTAGTTAATATTACCAATCTGGTTGTTATAAATGGAAGTGTGTGTCAGTGTGTTTTAACTGTGTGTGTGGTCGTGTGCGGTGTGTGTGTGTTTTCTGTTGAGAGTGATAACAAAGTAGATACAGGACCAATGTCTTCTTTATTTCCATAAATAAAGTTTTACTGGAACACAACCATGTCTGTTCATTTACATATTGTCTATGGCTATTGAGCTATAACAGTAGAGTCAAGTAGTTGTGACAGAGACCATAAGGCCTGTAACAACTAAAATATTATCTGGCCCTCTTGAGAAACAGGTTGCCAACCCCTGCTATAGAGTCCAAGCATGGTCCCTGGATTAGTGGCATGAGCATCACCTTGGAATTTGTCAGAAACGCAAATTTTCTGGCCCATCCTAGACCTACCAAATAAGAGATTTGTTTTTTATACTAATAAATAAAAGCACGGGAGAGCACAAGACTGGCTAGCAAAGCTCTACGCTGAGTCAGCCTTGCATGAAACATATCATGAAGTAAAAACTATAATGATGGAATCAGATCTGACAAGACAGAGGCCAAACATATTCAAAATTAAGAGAAAGAGTATTAAAAATAGGGTTTATACCTCCACTGTCATTAACAATGAATCCAACCCTAAGTGTATATTGCATCTTGAGATACAATATAACCATAATAGCACATATATATATATATATATATATATATATATATATATATATATATATATTTAACCTTTATTTTAGGGTCAGCAGTAAGTGTGAAAGTTTGTTACACAGGAGAACTGATGTTATAGGAATTTGTTGTATGGATTCTTTCATCACCCAAATATTAAGCCTAGCAACCAATTGTTACCTTTTCTGCTCCTCTGCCTCCTCCTACCATCCACCCTTAAGTAGACTCCGGCGTCTGTTTTTCCCTACTTTGTGTTCATAACTTCTCATCTTTTAGCTCCACTTATAAGTGAGAACATGGTGTATTTGGTTCCTGTTCCTGTGTTAGTTTGCTAAGGATAATGGCCTCCAGTTCCATCCATGTTCCCACAAAAGACATGATCTTGTTCTTTTTATATGGCTGCATAGTATTCCATAGTGTATATGTACCACATTTTCTTTATCCAATCTGTCATTGATGGGCATTTAGGTTGATTCCATGTCTTTGCTTTTGTGAATAGTGCTGCAATAAACATTCACATGTGTGTATCTTTATGGTAGAATGATTTATATTCTTCTGGCTATATACCCAGTAATAGGATTGCTGGGTTGAATGGTATTTCTGTCCTTAGGTCTTTGAGGAATCGCCATACTTCTTTCCACAATGGTTGAACTAATTTACACCATCACCAACAGTGTATAAGTGTTCCCTTTAATCTGCAGCCTCACCAGCATCTGTTTTTTTTTGTTTGTTTGTTTTGTTTTTGTTTTTTTTTTTACTTTTTAATAATAGCCATTCTAATAGGTGTGAAATGATATCTCATTGGGGTTTTGTTTTGCATTTCTGTAACCATCAGTGATATTGAGCTTTTTTTCATATGCTTGTTGGCTGCACGTATGTCTTCTTTTGAAAAGTGTCTGTTCATGTCTTTGCCCACTTTTTAATGCGTTTTTTTCTTGTAAATTTGTTTAAGTTCCCTATAGATGCTGGATATTAGACCTTTGTCAGATGCATAGCTTGCAAATATTTTCTCCCATTCTGTAGGATGTCTCTTTACCCTATTGATAGTTTCTTTTGCTGTGCAGAAGCTCTTTAGTTTAATTAGATCCCATTTGTTAATTTTTGCTTTCATTGTGAGTGCATTTGGTGTCTTTGTCATAAAATCTTTGCCTGTTACTATGTCCAGAATGGTATTGCCTAGGTTGTCTTCCAGGGTTTGTATAGTTTTGAGTTTTACATCTAAGTCTTTAGTCCATCTCGAATTGATTTTTTGTATATGGTGTAAGGAAGGGATCCAGCTTCAATCTGCTGTATATGGCTAGCCAGTTATCCCAGCACCATTTATTGAACAGGGAGTCTTTTCTCCATTGCTTGTTTTTGTCAGGTTTGTTGAAGGTCTGATGGTCATAGGTATGTGGCCTTATTTCTGGGCTCTCTATTCTGTTCCATTGGTCTGTGTGACTGTTTTTGTACCAGTAACATGCTGTTTTGGTTACTTCAGCCCTGCAGTATAATTTGAAGTTGGGCAGTGTGATGCTTCCAGCTTTGTTCTTTTTGTTTAGAATTGCCTTGGCTATTTGGGCTCTTTTTTGGTTCCATATGAATTTTAAATAAATTTTTCTACTTCTATGAAGAATGTCACTGGTAGTTTGATAGGAATAGCATTGAATCTGTAAATTGCTTTGGGCAGTATGACCATTTTAATGATATTGATTCTTCCTATCCATGAGCATGAGATGTTTTTTTCCATTTGTTTGTGTCTTCTCTGATTTCTTTGAGCAGTGTTTTGTAATTCTCATTGTAGAGATTTTTCACTTCCCTGGTTAGCTGTATTACTAGGTATTTTATTGTTTTTGTGGCAATTGTGAATGAGATTGCCTTCCCGATTTGACTCTTGGTGTGGCTGTTGGTGGTGTATTGGAATGCTTGTGATTTCTGAACATTTATTTTGTATCCTGAAACTTGCTGAAGTTGTTTATCAGCTAAAGGAGTTTTTGGGCCTAGACTATGGGGTTCTCTAGATATAGAATCATGTCATCTGAAAACAGGGATAGTTTTACTTCCTCTCTACCTATTTGGATGCTCTTTATTTCTTTGTCTTGCTTGATTGCTCTGGCTAGCACTTCCAATACTATGTTGAATAAGAATGACGACAGAGGTCATCCTTGTGTTGTGCCAGTTTTCAAGGGGAATGTTTCAGCTTTTGCCCATTCGGTATAATGTTAGCTGTGGGTTTGTCATAGATGGCTCTTATTACTTTGAGGTATGTTCCTTCCATGCCTAGTTTCTTGAGTGTTTTTAACATGAAGGGTGTTGAATTTTGTTGATAGCTTTTTCCACCAATTTCTAACTCTGAAGAAATGTTTGTTAATGGCTTCAATACTCATGGGTAACCAAGAACCCAAGCTATGACAATGGCAGGGTATCTAAAATAAAAACCTCTAACAATTGTATATATTTAACAATCAACATAAAGAGCACCAGGTAAGTTACAACCAGAAGTTCAAGTCCTTCCATTTATGTATGAGGCAACCTCAAGTGTTAAAAGCAACAACGTCACTGCCACACTAACAATAAGAAAAAAATGGACTGTCTACAGTATTATCATTTTTCATGACACAATCAGAGAGCTGTCACAAGGCAACCAAGTAAAACCTATTGCAAAGAGAACAGGCTTCTTTAAGGAGAGGCAGGACACAAACTGTCTTACCTTGGGGGGCGGCACAGAGGAGACAGATGGTAGCCATATTTGTACAGAAGAAGAAATCAGCTAATACTTTAACTGAGGAACTCCTTTCTCTGCCTATAGATGTCACCCATAGTGGCTGACACTAGGACTAGGCCACGTCACAGAATCTCCATGTGCATACACCAACATTCAAAATTCCACGAAGTATATTTTATGCTATTAAACACTATAAATGCCATAGTAGGAAGGTTGTCAAATGCAATAGATCCCAGAAAGACATTGTTAAAATCTAATCTTTATCATTTTCTCTTCTTTTGACAATCTGTTGGAAATTCCACTGTGAATTATTTCTAAATCTGTCATCTTGCCTACCTGGGGTTGCCTGAATATAGAAAAAACTGGGGTGGGGGTGGATGATGGAATTTAGCAAGGAAAGGCAGCTACTTCATTTGCTTCTCAGACGCAGAAAGCATGTGCTCTACACCGAAAATTCAGTGAATCATCATGGTATACTATTCTTAATTTCCATTTAGCTTTTAGCAATGGATCTCCTGATAACAGGAACATCTACATATAAACAAGGAAGACCACTGCCAAAAATTTTGATATTTAACATTTATCAAATCAATGCCTCTTTAAATAACTTCAGCCATTGACTCTATTAGTCCTGTGTTTATATCAATAATGACAAAAGCACTTGAAACGTTAAAGTTGTTTTCTTTTCACTTCAGGTCATACTTAACTGAACATCTCATGGCTTCATCAATGACACTATCACCACTGTTACCCAGGCCAGCAAAACCAAATACCCTTTAAAATGTGAAATCTGGCATTTATCATAAAATGATGACCAAAGAACATTCTGAGAACCAAGTGTGATAAATTTTACACACACAATTTGAGCATCAGCTTTGCTACCTAGGTTAACACCTCAGTTTACCACTTTCTAGTGGAGACCTTGGGCAGGTTATCTGAATTTTCCAAGACTCCTCCGTTCTCTTATCTGCAATGTGTGATGTAATAATATTTAAATCATAGGATTGTTGTGGAGATTGGAAAAGCTAATGCATTTGAGCATTCAGGCTGGCCCTTGAATAGGCTATTTATGACCATGTAAGGAAAGGGAGGCTGGTATTAATATTCCTTCTCATCTCCAGTTTACACATGCAGAAAGCACCTCAGAATAGTTAAATTATTTATTTCAGGAGACACACTTAGGAAATAATGAGTCCAGGTTTAAAATATCAGTCTGATGCTTTCTATATTTTATTATTTTTCTTTATATTAAACGTCTTCATTTAAGATCATAATTTGGTCTATATATGTTATCTAAGTCATAAATGACTTCGGTTAAATCTTTGGTTAAATCCAAGACCAACAGCAATAAACCCATGTAAATGGGAAGATACCAAATTCAAGTAATTTTTAAAAATGTTCTATACACTCATGGATTATAAGAAAACTAAAAATAATCCAAGATAAAGCTCAATTTAGAATCCAATATACATTCATCAGATATACTGAGAAAATTGGTTCAATTAATGGCAGTTTATCAAAACAATTCTATTTCATTTTCTTTAATATCTTATATGCAGTAATCAATCTAAATTACAATTACAGAACTGAATACACTTGAAAAGCGATTACCACAGATAAGGCCATTCTAATATTTAATTATCAAACTCATAAAAGAAATGGTTGTAGGCCAATTAAAGCAATTATTTTTTCACAGTAGGTAAAATGAACCCTGAATGTCCAAACACTTACTGCAGCTTGCCGATGAGTATTGGACAATATTCCATGAATCTTCACTTTATCTTTTTCCATTTGGTCTATGTTCACCCATAAATCCCGGCTGGCAGAATCAGATGGACCATATATTCGAGATATATAGTAATTGTGGTCTGTATCCTCCTGCAATAATAGATAATAATGTATATCAAGAACCGAGATGTTTTACCTACAATTCTTTAAAAAAAATCCTATTGAACTCAAGAGTATTAATAGTTTTTAAAAGAGCAAAATGATTTAACTATACTCTAGGAGAAGTGAATTTGGATTAAATAAGTAAATGTGCACACACACACATACGAACTGTAAGAAAAAAATGTTAATAAATAGCTCTATGATTTGAATAATAAAATTTAGAATGTGAATTTTGTCTAGTTCATTTATTATCTAAGTGCTAATCAGATAAAATAAAATGATTACTGAAATCCAGGCAAACCATAAATCCCATGTATTTTTTCACAAATCATCAATCGAGATATATATGTAATTGATTACAAAAAGGAAAAGAATATTCTATGCAGTATTCTAAATTGATTTTGCCTTGTGACTAAAAGAAATACTATGATCCAAATGTAAACGTGGAGAATAATGATTAAATGTTTTGCATATTTAAAAATTTCAATATATATTTCCTTCTAAGTTTTGAATTTTATGTGTGTGTGTGTTTGTGTGTGTATAAAATTAGTAGTCTTCTTTAGAGGAAATTGTTAAATATACAAGACTTGGAAGGAAATATATACTGGGTACAAAGATCTAATTTGTCACCAGAACAAAAAGGTCCTTTTGAACAAAAATGTCTCTTTTGAACTTTTTACTAAAAACCTAAAGTATAATTACAATTAGTAATAACAAATTCAAACTTCTTTTCTTTAAAAATAAGGTTATATCAGGGCCTGCTTTCAGCTAATGGTCCTAGAAATGGACACAATATATTTTTTCCTTTAATTTGAGTTACTACATTCTACTTTTATTTGAATTCTCATTGTTGGTGTTACCTTAGTGCCTGTCACAAAGCCTTTATTCTTCATGGTTCCCACTCAGTGAGGAGATGTAAATGTTTTAAGAGGCAATTTTGATGAGAAATATCCAGAAAAATTATATAATTATTGGCTAATTCTGATTGCAATGTTTTATAACCATGAAATCAATTTGAGGAGTTAGTAGACAAAAAATATTTTAAAACATTCAGGTAAATGTAAGAAAAAATGTTGAATAAATAGGTCTATGATTTGAATAATAAGGTTTGGGATGTAAATTTTGTGTAATTCATTTATCATCTAAGTGATAATTAAATGTAATAAAATTATTCCTGAAATCCAGTCAAAACATGAATCCCATGTATTTTTTTTTAACAAATCATCAATCAAGATATATATGTAACTGATTACAAAAAGGAAAAGAATATTCTATGCAGTATTCTAAATAGATTTTGCCTCATGACTAAAAGAGAGACTATGATCCAAGTGTAAATGTTGAGAATAGTGATTAAATGTTAACAGTAAGTTTTTTTATGTAATGAAGACCCTAGCACAGTGGCTCATGCCTGTAATCCCAGCACTTTGGGAAGCCAAGGCGGGCGGATCACCTGAGGTTAGGAATTTGAGATCAGCCTGGCTAACATGGCAAAACACAGTCTCTACTAAAAATACAAAAATTAGCCGGGTGCAGTGGCGGGTGCTTGTAATCCCAGCTACTTGACAGGCTGAGGTAGGAGAGCTGCTTAACTCTGCAGGCAGAGGTTGCAGTGAGCCAAGATCGTACCACTGCACTCCAGCCTGGGAGACAGAAAAACAAAACAAAACAAACAAAAAACCCTAGGTATATCTGCAATTAAACTCTGGGTATGGAACACAAATTATATGTATACCTTGGTGAAAGAAAAGAAAGGTCTGCAGAGAAAGAAGAACAAAGTAGATGTAAAGAAAGAATAAGGAAGATCATGCAGCCCCCAAAAGCTCTGAAACTTCAATGGGTTTCCAGCCCTCCCTCTGTTTCAGAACCTCATAATGACACGGATAGTTTGGGTTGTCTGAGGGTAAAACACACTGTGAATGTGTCCGCGGTATGTATACTACTCATCTGTGTATATTGGGCTTCACCATCAGAAGATGTGGAGGTGGGAACCTTCCTTGACATTGGGCACAAGCCATTTTGCTCATGTTATTACACTGGTCACAGTGGTTGGTGGCATGCATGAGCAGATAACCTAAGAAGGAGCAATTACTGAGACATTCAGGAATTTAGGTAGAGAAGTGATCATTTCCCTTGTTCTGATTGTGGAGATGTGGGGGTGTGAGACCTGGAATCACTGGCTCCATTTTGCTACTATGGGGAAATTCTGTCTGAAGATGAGGCAAACACATAGCTAAAGAAAGAATTGCAGGCTGGACGCGGTGGCTCATGCCTGTAATCACAACACTTTGGGAGGCCGAGGCGGGTGGATCACCTGAGGTCAGGAGTTCCAGAACAGCCTAGCCAAAATGGTGAAACCCCGTCTCCGCTATAAATACAAAAAATAGCCAGGCGTGATGGCAGATGCCTGTAATCCCAGCTAGTCAGAGGCTGAGGCAGGAGAACTGCTTGAACTTGGGAGGCGGAGTTTGCAGTGAGCCTAGATCGTGCTGTTACACTCCAGCCTGGGCAACAGAGAAAGACTCAAGAAAAAGAAGGAAAGAAAGAAAGAGAGAGAGAGAAAGAAGAAAGAAAGAAAGAAAGAAAGAAAGAAAGAAAGAAAGAAAGAAAGAAAGAAAGAAAGAAAGAAAGAAAGAAAGAAAGAAAGACAGAGAGAGAGAGAGAGAGAAAGAAAGAAAGAAGGAAAGAAAGAAAGAGGAAGGAAGGAAGGAAAAAGAGAGAGAGGGAGGGAGGGAGGAAGGAAGGAAGGAAGGAAGGAAGGAAGGGGAAAAAGCCAGATCCCTGCGCAAGTCTATCTAGATGTGACCTACTACTGGACTTGTTCACTTCCATGAAACCTTGAATCTTTTTCTATTGTTAAATCACCTTGAATTAGGTTATGGTCAACGAAAAGAATCATAACTGAAAAAACAGGTCTTTTTACTTGCAACCAAACTTAAGCAACTTTGAACAAGGCCACCTAGAATTCATTTCATTGACTATTTTCTTCAAAGCCACCACTTTATATCATTCACTGAAAATTTTTAAAAATTAAAAATTAAATTATGTAAAATAATAATTCATTTAATTTTTCAGGGAATGGTATAAAAGGTGGTTTGGAAGAAAATATTCACGGTGTTTAAATCAAAATTTAAATTTTTTCCCTATTGACAGTATTATTACAAAGATTTCAGGAACATTGAGGTTAAAGATGTAATCTTTAGGTGAATTACATAACAGATTTTATGATGCTGCAAAATTTCCCTATAAATAGGGAATATTACAAAATAGATATTTTCTTTAAGGTGTCAAAATTTCACAATTGAGTTCAGTATAATTTTTGAAATCAGCATTTATAAAATAACCTTGGCATTTTCCTTAATCTCTGGATTTCTGTGATTAGTTAAGAAAGAGTCTTGAAGTTATCATAAAGAACATCATTGCGCTTAAATAATGAATTACCTGCAAAAATATACACGATTTAGTCTAATTACGAAGTCTACCACTGACATACTATGTGAAAATACACCTTCAGTTTTTCTTAAATCAGACCTGCCAAAAACAATATCACATCTTCGAAATACTAGAACTTGGTATTTGACTTCTAGAGCCCACGCTTGCCAAGTTGTCATGGCAACTTTTATTCAAAAAGGAAGACAATTTATTGTTTACTTAGGAATGCAGAGACACACATTATTAAATTCCAGAGAGGTGTTTGGTTCAGATATTCAGAAAAACCATAAAATAGATTTCTCAAAAATGTGACATTTTAGCACTAGTAAAGTATTCAAAACACGTCTTATCCTTTTTTAGGAGTAATGGCACTTAAAGAGTTGTCAAAAGCCACTTTGAGTACAAAGATTTTCATTTTCTTTTCAAAAGTAAAGCATTTCTAACACCATAGAAAATAAAACAAAGCACTACTGTGATATGCCTAGTTGCCAATTCATTTAGGAAACCAACTGTTAGAGAAAGTAGGTGGCACCATGTGTGGTATTAAATCGTATAAATCCATGTTTCTCGAAAATGCATGGAAATGTGCAGCTGTAGACAAACAGAGGACCTACACCAAAAATACGGAGGAAAAGTTATCATAACTACAGCTTAGCCATTCTGTAGCAATCGATCTACATCATTCCTAACCCAAATGCTGCCTTCTTTTCTAGCATGGGTGTGTTGACTTTATGAGGGGTAATGTTTATGAATGCCTCACATTGCCTCATGCAGTAATGATATTTGAACTCCAGCTTCATTTCATTTAGAACTCAAAACAAACAAACAAACAAACAAAAAAGATCAAATAAATATTGTATGACTATCAGTGTAGTAGTCATTTGATATACATGGATACTTAAAACATAATGAAAATTCTTAGTAAGATTATTTAATATTGAATCAATGGGCCACCACTTGAAGATCATTCCTTAATTAATAAAGGAAGATTATAATTTGAATGGTTCTTGCCAAGTCTTAACAAATATATTGCATCCTTATAAGAGTGATTTCACAAGGGCTACACAGTTCATTTAAAGGTAAATCTATTTTAAAATACTACTTGTGAAAATTATACTCCTCAGAAATAGAGTTAATAAAAGAGTTCCCTGTGTTCTAAGAAAAAAACATGCTGGTATAAGAAACCAAAAGGACACGATGAAATAACAACAGGAGAGAAAGAGTGAACTGGCAGTAGTCAGGTAAAGAATTACAGAGATGAACCCACTACTGGCCAGAATAAGCATGACTAAATTACCAGTCAGGACACAGGAAATAGCCCCGAGGTACACACAACATGAAATGGAAAAGAACAATGAAATAAATGTCTGGGATGAATGTTATGGATTGAATGTTGGTGTTGCTAAAATTCGTAAATGGAAGCCCCAATGCCCAGTGTGCCTGTATTTGGAGACAGTCTTTAGGAAGGTAATTAAGGTTAAATAATATCATAAGAGTGGGGTCCTTATTCAATAGGATTAGTGTCCTTGTAAGAAGAGATATGAGATTCATTTTCTCTCCTTCCCTCTCTTTTTAATTCTCTTTTTCTCTCATGTGAGGATACAGAAGGAGGCTGTCCATAAGCCAGAAAGGGAGCCCTCACTAAGAACCCAAACAGCTGGCACTTTGATTTGAGACCTCTACCTGCCAGAACTGGGAGAAAAAGTATTTCTGTTCTTTAAGCCACCTAGCCTGCCATCTTTGGTTAAGGCATCTCAAGCTGACAAGACAAAAGTCATCACATAAATTGCAGGGGAAAAAAAAGGAGATCAGGTGCATACGTAGTTGTTGTAGAAAACAATTAAAGATATATTAGAAAAATATTTTTCTGAGATTAAGACTTGAATTTGCACATCATGTCTCAAGAAAATTTGCCATAGAATTTTGAGTACTACAAAATTTCCTACTGAGGTTTTCAATAGATTAAACAAGGAAATCTTATAGGCCTCTAGAAAGATAAATTGAGTTATCTATATGGAGGAAAAAAATTCAATAAGCTGGTACCTGGTACCTCTCCATAATATCTGATAATAACAATGTTTATGCAATCTCAGAGAATAAAGTTGTGACTCAAGAATTTTTTTGTTCAGTCAAGTTGTAATTTAACTATATAGGCAACACACATATTTCTAACACATACAAATATACAGAGAATATGCCACCAAAAAGAACTTAAAAATGTAATGCCTAACTATACACTAAATCAACCAATGGGTGATCAATGTACCTCTAATAAAAATTCCGTAACTATTAGCTGTATTCAGCATGTGGTTATCTATGGGAAGAGAGAAACTATAGCAAATCTTCTGATGGTGAGCACTGTCTCCAAGAAAATTATGTAAAGGGAAAAATGACCATTTCATTATTATGGTTATAAATCAGAATGCTATTACTATCAACCATGAAAATATAAAAATAACTATCTAATGTTTCATAGCAGGCAACTGACAGATAAATCGGAAAGTACAAAAATAAAGTTTTAAAAATAGTAAACTCAAAATTTTAATGTTTTAGGTAACCTTTTAAGGTACTAGTCTACAACTAGTGGCCTTCAGGTTGTATACCTGGCACTGAAAGCCCATTATTTTCCTCAAACATAGTATTGTCAACTGAAGAATCATGAGGTTCATAAATTTGGAAAGAAAGCTTTATTTCTCCCTTCCAAATTCTAATAAACTTGGGAAAGGTGAGGGAGGGGATAGGATCTTTATCTCACATTGCATTTCATGTAGTCCACTCACAAACCAGCTGAGAGCTACCAGTCATTCTGCAAGGCAGCTCCTGCAAGCTACAGTCTGGCCACCCTGCAATGGAAAGGGTATCCTCCAGCAAAAGTCGAGAGCAAGACGAGGATTTATGTTAATTAGGGTAGCTGAGTATACATATTCAATAAGCTACAGGAGGAGTCATGAGTATTCATGAAAGTAGAAACACGTACAAGTGCATTCAAGCTTTGTGCTTCTTCAAGGGTCACATGTACAAAAAATGGTATTAGCATGATCCAAGGGTGGAGTTTTGGGCCCTCCAACATCAAAAGGTAAAGCCAAGGACACCAAAAATCTCACTGGGCATCCTCCTTGAGTCAGCGAAAATCTGTCCAGACGTGGCAGTCTAGTTTCAGGAAGGGGTGCATTGGGAAACTGGCGAGTGGTAATGTGGAAACAGCAAAGTGGGAGAGGGAATCCAGTCGCTGCCTCAGATGATTGGCTAAGGGTGATAAAGGAATGAGTCATCTGTTTCTTGTTTTCCAGAGCTGATTTCTGCTTATTCCTTAGAAAGAATTCTGGTTAAAGGTTAATGAGGAAGGGGCGCACTGAGGCATGACTGACCTCCCACCCCACCATGGCCGAGAACTCAGCTGTTAAGGTTTCTCTGAGGTCCTCTTGGCCAAGAAAGGTCGATTCAGCTGGTTGGATGCTTAGAATTTTATTTTTATTTCTCAGCACTTACGCTATAATCTCAGTTTTAGAAAGTTGCATCTATTCAAATATGAATGTGTATATTTCTACTCACCTATTTCTCTCTCCTCTGATAATTTGTCTAAAGATATGGGTGGAAGATATTTACCTTATATTGACTGGTTAATTCTGGATGATGGAATTTAGGATTCTCCTCCCTCTCATCTGTATTATTTGAATTTTTTTATAATAAACACATTATATGCAAACTACTTTTTTCTTTTTCTCTATATAAAGCTTTAGAAAATATGTGAAGATGCTCAAAGGTATTAATTGTTGATTTTTTTAATCAAACCGCCAACATATATCAAGAGACACAAGGCCATATGCTATACACAGTAAATAGTTCTATAGAATTTCTATCATAAGTACTTTGAAAAGTTCTCAAAAAAGAATCCTTTAACATACTATAGATCAGATATTCAATATGGAGATTCAAGGTCAATAACCTAAAATTGCTCTGCGAAACAGCTGATATATAAATTTCCATTACCTTTTCTTTCGAATACCAGCTTCGATAACTTAACTGCTGTAGAGTGCAATTTTTTTTACTAATTGCCGTAAATAAAATCAGCATTAAAAGAAATGCCGTAAAATAAACATCTCCACTAAATTTTGAATGAGAGATTGGAGTTCAAATCTTTATAAAGTGATTTTTTGCTGTAAGTGTTTTATAGAAACATCACCAAATCATCTCCTTTTTTCTCTCATTTATATCGACAGTAAACTGGACACACAGCTACATTCTCACATAGTTGTGGGTAGATCAGGAAGGAACCAAGGGGAGGAGGAAGATACAGTGTGGTTGAAGACATTAAACTTGCAGACAGGTGAACTGATCTCTAGTTCTCACTGGCTTGGTCCCTAACAAGCTGTCACTTTAGTGAGGTAAATTATCCAATCAGTTCATTTCAGTGTGGCCTTTCCTGCACATAGATTCCCTCTTTTGCCAGAAGTAAAATCATACAGAAAAAGGTAGGGGTCTTGGACTTAAAGAGCTGACCAGTGGAATGAGTAACGACTCCTGGCTGGGTTGGAAACAGACCTCATTGAAAGCAATGTGAGATAAAGTTCCCACCCCTGAATCTCCACCTTTTTCAATTACCTTAGAAGGTGACCTATAGGGAGTGAGGTGTGGACAGATAATTAAGTCACATTAATTTTTTTAATCAAAAAAAGTGAATGATTGATAGTATTTAGCTTTCTTTCACTGGGTTGCTAAAGAATTATATTAAATGAACATTATTTAAACACATTTGAAAAGCCTAAGAACAGAATATAAAGTATTCAGCATCCTTAAATCAAGCCCAGACAATTTCAGCATGATAAGAACAATCACATATTAGCTTTGAATAGACTTCAGTACCCATCATCAAATACTACATTAATACCTTCTTCAGATACTAAGAACAATTACATGGTATACAATTCAATTTACTGTTAGAGTGTCAGAAGAATTAAATTCAATCCATCTGTCTCCTGTTGGTTATATCAGATTATTGCACCAGCTCTCATTATGCACATCTTTTCCATGTTGTTACAGTTGTTTACCCATATCTTCATCATTTCCCCAAGAATTTTCACCTACTTGATCTATTTGCAGCATGGTCTATCCCTCTAGCGATATCTTATGTATGACTTTTCTAGGTATGATTTATTTTATTCTTTTTTTTAAATTTTTTTTTTTATTTTTTTGAGACAGAGTCTTGCTCTGTCACCCAGGCTGGAATGCGGTGGCGTGATCTCAGCTCACTGCAACCTCCATCTCCCAGGTTCAAGCGATTCTCCTGCCTCAGCCTCCTGAGTAGCTGGGACTACAGGCATGTGCCACCACTTCCGGCTAATTTTTTTGTATTTTTAGTAGAGATGGGGTTTCACCATGTTAGCCTCAATCTCCTGACCTCGTCATCCGCCCGCCTCAGCCTCCCAGCGTGCTGGGATTACAGGCATGTACTTCAGAAGAGTTTAGTTAAGTGACCCTCCTAAAAACGTTAGATTAGTAGAGTGGGGTGTGTGTATGTGTGTAAATTTACTGTAAGGTCAGAATACTGTACAACACATTAAAGACAGGATTCCAGCGGTATTTCCATTATAAAACAGTTTCCATTTTCCCAGTAACCATCTCTCTCATAGATGAGATTGTCCTCTCTGCTATGCCGAGTTGGGTGAGCTATATGGCCATGAAAGCACAATACCCTTGTGATCTTTCAAATTCATAACAAAATTAACACAGCTCAGTTAAGTGCTTGCCTAGATCTACAGGCATTTTGAGGTATATTAGTATGTGTTTATGTTGGTTCATTTATTAAATGAAATAGAGTGTATTTTTTACTTAGGTACTACACCTTTATTTATCTACTCCCTGGTACAAACCTTGAACCTTTTCAAGAATGAGCCCCAAAGACTATTTCCAGGCATGGAGTGATGAGATAGAGCATTAGGAGATATACCTAATGTAAATCACGAGTTAATGAGTGCAGCACACCAACATGGCACATGCATATATATGTAACAAACCTGCACGTTGTGCACATGTACCCTAGAACTTAAAGTACAATAAAAAATAAAAATTAAAAAAAAAAAGAAGATGCCAGAAAGAGAATCTGAGGCAGAGTTAGGTGAACTGCCAACTTACAAGGGATTTCTGAGGGCTTCACAAACCCAACAAAAAATGTGATAAAAAAATGTTTAGAATATGTATGAGATTTCTACTAAAATACATAAAATTAACATTACAATAATGTAGCTCAGAGGAGATTTGAGTTGAAGTACAGTTTCTGACTCTAAATAGGCACTGTAAGTTTCAGGCTTTAGTCTGTATAGGAAGGAGTTGAACTAGATCTCTCATGGAATGCCTTTTAACTAAGCTTCTAAGATCTTTTGGCCAAAAGGCAAACAGAAAGTGATTGCTAGGTATAGCTCAGAAGACCCTATGCCTGATTTAAGCGGTCCTCACTAAAAGAGATAAAAGCATGTGTTTGAATACCTAGTACAGGTAGCTAGTTACAATTAGCACTGGTATCAATTGCATTGTTACATAATCATCCTTGTTGATAAATTGTAGATTGGCCCCAAAGTTGGAGGCGAAATTCACAAATGTGTTGAAGGGAATATAAGAATCTTGGAGACCCTATGCATTTTCTATATAAACGGAATAAATTATGGGTCTTGCGTATGTGTGCACAACTATCTTTCAAATGCACAATATAATTGTGGTGGGTAAAATGCATGTTCATTTTTCAGAGCCACTGATTATTTCTGTAATTCTTGATACTGTGATTTTCCAATCCACTGGAAGTAAACAACTATGGTATGGAGGGCCTTAAAATGTTCTAATAATTAAAAAAAAATCACCATTTGTAAAAGATGGAAATTTCTGTTCTAGATTTAACAGGGCTGGAAATTGTGTACTGTTTACATACTGCCTTAGTTCAGGCTACCATAACAATGTATGATAGACTGGATGACTTAAACAACAGAAATTTATGTCTCACAGTTCTGGAGGCTGGAAGTCCAAGATCGAGATTCCAGCTGATTCTGTTTTCATTGAGGGCTCTCCTCCTGGCTTGTAAAGGGCTGCTTTCTCCCTGTGTCCTCAGAAGATGGACAGAGAGTTCCCTGGAGTCTTCTCCTCCTCTTATAGGAACACAAATCTAATGGGATTAGGGCCCCACCCTTATGGCCTCATTTAACCTTAATTACTTCCTAAAGGCCTTGATTCCAAATACAGTCACAATGGGGCCTAGGGCTTCAACCTATGCATTTGGAGTGGGCGGGGGGTACAACGTTAGTCCACAGCACACACATACAGGTCCTTTATTAAGTTTGGATTTATAAAAAAGCCCCAGATGCCAGATATATTACTTTCAAAAACTCATGTCATTTTCTAGTACTAATCAGAATTGCCATTCAAGCTTTCTAATATAAGGAGGCTTTTGGAAAAATCCACAGTTATCTGTCTTGATCTATTTCTTACCAAAAAATTGGTAACTGACTTCTATGTATAATTTTAAAAGAATTATGCAAAAATTTACTCAGAATCAACTTCTAAAAATTATAACTCAGTTAAGAATTTCACACAATCAACTTCTGTGGAAAAGCTGGGTGGTTTCTTTCTACCAGCTTGTGACTACTTGGCCAATAATCTCATTTCTAAAGTAACTGTTACTGTTTAGTCTGGTATTTCCAGTGAAAGGTAAACATATACTTTTTTAAAATTTTTTATTTATTTATTTTAGACAGAGTCTCACTCTGTCACCAAGGCTGGAGTGCTGTGGTGCAATCTTGGCTCACTGCAACTTCCACCTCCCGGGTTCAAACGATTCTCCTCCTTTAGCCTAGGGAGTAGCTGGGATTACAGGCACGCACCACCATGCCCAGCTAATTTTTGTGTTTTAGTAGAGACGGGGTTTTACCATGTTAGCCAGGCTGGTCTCGAACTCCCGACCTCAAGTGATCCACCCTCCTCGACCTCCCAAAATGCTGGGATTACAGGCATGAGCCACCACATCTTGCCTAATATACTTTTAATCAGTCAGATTTTTTAAAATACTATTACTCATTTAATGTCAGAGAATGAAACTTTTCTTTAGCCCTTTCTCTTTGTTTCTAACTTCTCCATGTCTTTAAAATCTTAGCCTCCCAGATTCAGGAAGTGATTAACAAGCAATTAATCAGCTGTAAATGGAATTTTTCTAGGAGGTTTGATGTCGTTTGCCATAGAGTTAGAATCTAATACTACATTACCCCTCTGCACATCATTTTGCAAATAAAGATAACTTTCCGAGCCTCTATTTTCAAGATTACAAAACGGAAGTTAGAATAAAACCAGTGTAATCACACTTGAGTTATGTCTACTTGAGATAAACATGTGAATATATGTTGGAAACTATAAAATGCTATTAGACATCACCTTTGTTAACACAAACAGTCATGGGTTGCTTAATGACAAGTTTCTGAGAAATGTGTCATTAGGGAATTTCATCATTGTACAAACATTATGGAGTGTACCTACACAAACCTAGATGGTATAATCTACTTCACACCTAGGCTATGTGGGATGGTCAACTGTTCTAGGCTACACACCTGCACAGCTGGTTACTGTACTGAAATCTGTAAGCAGCTGTAACACAATGGTAAGCATTTGTGTATCTTAACAGAAAAGTTACGGTAAAAATACAGAATCACTGTCATATATGTAATCTGTCCTTGACAGAAATGTTGTATGTATCACATGATTATAAACCATGGCAACAAAAACAAAACAGGCATTCTACATTCTTATGCTATTAACATTAATAGAAGCATGAATTCTCCTCAAACATTAGAGATCTCAAACCAGACTTTAAAGAGTGAGCAATGTTCTGTAGCCTTTGATATCGGAAAATAATTTTACAAATAAATGATATTCTGAAAACTCCCTTTTTACTGAATTTTATATGTGCCTCTAAGCATATCACTTTAATTACGAAAATATGTCTCAAACAGAACAAGCATAGAAAGAGTAGCAATCAAATAAATTAATTTGAACATTAATAGCATATATTATGCCAGCATAGAGAATTATTACCCTAAAGAGAATACAGAGGATATTTAATCAACCTAATTTTATGAAAATACTGTTACTTTTAATAGTAAACCTAGTATCCAAATATATTTCTGTCTAATGGGATTAACAGCTACCTCTAAAATGAAATCATATATATGTAATTGAAATTCTGGGATTGCATTTTAAAAACTTGACAGGAAGGACAGGTAAAGAGGACATGCTATGTTGGGTGATTGTTTTCAAACTTATAATATTTCAAAATGGTAAAACAATGTATAGCTAAACCTTGAAGGAGTCTCTCTTTATGTATTAATTTTTGGATAAAAAATTCTCATAATCAACTTTTTCACGTCTTGCACAATAAGACCTTTTTTAAAAAACAGGATGCATGGTACTAAGAGTCAAAAACAAAATTACAATAGATTTCATATTATCTTAGTTTGTCTCACCTTCAAAGTTTATGGCATTGTTTTGAGGAACGATGAACATGTGAAGAGAAAAAGAACAGTAATAAAGAGAAAACATAGCTTTAAAGCAAATTAATTTTTTAAAACAACCTACAAATATATGCATGATATGGTTTGGCTGTATCCCTACCCAAATCTCCAGTTGTAGCTCCCATAATTCCCAAGTGTCATGGGAAGGAACTCGAGGGAGGTAATTGAATCATGGGGGTGAATCTTTCCCATGCTGTTCTTGTGATAGTGAATAAGTATCATGAGATCTGATGGTTTTATAAAGGGAAGTTACCCCACACAAGCTCTCTCTCTTGCCTGCCACCATGTAAGATATCTCTTTGCTCTTCCTTCGCCTTCTGCCGTGATTGTGCCGTGATTGTGAGGCTTCCTCAGCCATGTGGAACTCTTTCCTTTATGAATTACCCAGTTTTGGGTATGTCTTTATTTAGTAGCATGAGAGCAGACTAATACAATGCATAATTGGGTATGCTATAATACTTGGAATGCCAAAATGAAGAAGAAATGGGTCACTTACTTTCTGTGTTTCAGCATCCCCTTATGTAAAAATATTTCCAGCAAGCTTCAAGAAGTATCAAGAATATTGAATTAGGGTTCTACATTCTCTCCATCTTTAATCCACTGCCTCAATCCCTGCCATCTACCATACTGGGATTTTGGTGCTTGTTTCTTCTTTTGGATCCTTTTATTTTATTTTTTTATTTTATTTTTTTATATATTTTTTATTATACTTTAAGTTCTAGGGTACATGTGCACAACGTGCAGGTTTGTTACATATGTATACATGTGCCATGTTGGTGTGCTGCACCCATTAACTCATCATTTACTTTAGGTATATCTCCTAATGCTATCCCTTCCCCCTCCCCCCACCCCACAACAGGCCCCGGTGTGTGATGTTCCCCTTCCTGTGTCCAAGTGTTCTCATTGTTTACTTCTCACCAAGAGTGAGAACATGCAGTGTGGATCCTTTCTTTTAAAACTAAGAAAATGATTAATCACGTATTTACAAAAACTGGGTAATAAGTGTAACTAACATGTATGTACCTATGATATTCCCAAGTCCTCTGCTTGGCACATAATATATATTATATATTTAATCCTTCCAACAAACCAGTGAATTAGATGCCACTTTAAAAATAAAGAAACTGAAGCTGAGACATATGGAGTAGCTTCACTAGCACTACATAAATCCCAGGGATATAAAACCAGTTCTATATAACACATACAAACTCCAGAGTCAATGTTCTCTCCGCTTCCACAGTACCTTGTAGTTATCAAAATTTTTAGGATCTCAAAAAACAATCACACTTGCTCAGATTGTTTCTATTAGGCTACTTATCAGACCTTCTGTAAGAGCTCTCTCACTGGTCTCCCCGTTTCTCGTATAAGTTCCCCTCACTCTATTCTCTACATAGTAGAGTAATCCTTTTGAAAAGTAAACCTATTAAACCAGAAATCTAATCATATCATGCCCCTGTTCAAATGAGGCTTCTCATCACACTTAGAATAAAATCCAATATCCTTACCACACACTGTGCTTGACACAACCATCTCTCCAACTTCATTTTCCTCATCTCACATGCCACACCAACCACAATGGTTTTCTTGTTGTCCCATGAATATGTCCATATTCTCCAACATCATACATTGCACCTGCTGTTTCATGCCTCTGAAATAATCCTCCCTTAGTCTGTTTTAATTGTTCTAAGTTCCTTTAAAACATTGTTCATCATCGGATCTTTTTTCTTCTTTCACCTCCACTGAACTTCTTTAAAATCTCTCTCTGGGCCAGGCATGGTGGCTTAAGCCGGTAATCCCAGCACTTTGGAAGGCCAAGGTGGGCAGATTACTTGAGGTCAGAAGTTCAAGACCAGCCTGGCCAACATGGTGAAACCTTGTCTCTACAAAAAATACAAAAAATTAGCTGGACGTGGTAGCACACACCTGAAATCCCAGCTACTCGGGAGGCTGAGGCAGGAGAATCTCTTGAACTTGGGAGGTTGCAGTGGGCCGAGATTATGCCACTGCACTCCAGCATGAGTGACAGAGTGAGACTCCATCTCAAAATAATAAATAAATAAATAAATAAATAAATAAATAATAAAAACAACTTCCTGTATTGTGTCCAATTCTGTATTATAGTGATTAGAACTTTGCCTAATACCTAACAGATATTCCACACACGGTTGTTGATGTTAGCGCTTCTTTATATTTTACAAGGCTAATTTATTTGGCTTTGTCACCTCCTAGAAAAAAGGTCACAATGGCCTGGGCATGCAGCCCAGGGCACCTCACCAATCCAAAGAATCCTGAATGCAGAGATAGTTGTTTTAAGCCATCAAGTTTTGGAGTTGTTTGTTACTTAGCAGTAGACTACCAACAGAGGTGGCTTGGGACTTTTTGTAATAGAGAATGGATATTTCAAGAATCAAAAACTGAATAGTGAATCAAATTTATAAGTAAATTGGACTGGTTTGTAATGTGCTGCTACATCTTCCTTGCTGTCATGAAGAATCCAGCACTGTGACTTTTTTTTTTTAATAGGATCTTGCTCTGTCGCCCAGGCTGGAGAGCAGTGGCACAATTGTGTCTCACTGCAGCCTGGCCCTCATGGGCTCAGGAGGCTCGCCTACTTTAGCCTCCTGAGTAGCTGGGACTACAGGCACATGACACCATGGTCGGCTATCTTTTTAAAGTTTTTTGTAGAAACAGGGCCTCACTATGTTGCCCAGGCTGGTCTTGAACCCCTGGCCTCAAGCAGTCCTTCTGCCTCAGCCTCTCAAAGTGCTGGGATTACAGGCATAAACCACTAAGCCCAATTCTTTCTATTCCACACAGTGTCAGCTGAGTTCACTGCTGGCCTGCAATCAGTTGGTATGTCAGCTGGGCCTGGCTGGTCCCAGTCAGCCTTGGTCACATGTTTAGGGTCTCTATCTCCATTTGCTGTCTCATTTCTAAGTGGGCTAAATTTGGGTTTATTCACAATGGACAAATATGAATCTGAAAGAGCCATTTCTTCACGGCAGATCTCAAGTTGGTAACTGGGCCTAAATCTAAAATAGAGCCAAGTGGCCATTGGCTGATAAGGGGTCAAACACATACTCGGAGTTCCCCAGAAACCCACACCTTTTTATTTTGGGGACTTTCAGAGCTCACCTGAATCAACTAATCAGCGCTCACCTCTCTCAGCCAGTCAGGGCTCAGCTGTATAAACCAGTCAGGGCTCAGCTGTATCTACCAATCAGAGCTAAGCAACTTTTGACCCTTTATTTACATAAACAGACCTGATTGGGAACTGTGGCAGGAATCTTTGCTACAAAACCTGAGCCTACCCTTTGCTCTCTGGAATGTACCTTTGTTTTACAACAGAGGCTGCTGCATCTCCTTGGTATGCAAACTGTTCACTGGAATAAAGTCTCTTTCCTCCAAATTCCTTTTCAGAGGATTTTGTTCACATCATAAAGTGACAGAATCTAAGAAGGGTAAGAGAAGAAGCTGTACAGCCTCTTGAGGCATTGCCTACAAGGTACACAATGTCACTTCACACTGTTTTCATCAGAACAAGTCACAAGGCATGGCCTGGGTTGAAGAGGTGAGAAAAGAGATCCTATCTCCTTATAAAAGGAACTGCAGGAATTCATGGTCATTTGTATAATACAATGCCATCCAGTTTTTTGTTGTTGTTGTTGTTTCTTGTTTGTTTGTTTGTTTTGTTCCTGAGCCGTTGAGCTGTCTGGCTACGTGTAACTATATGGCCACTCTGCCCCAAAGAGATGCTGTACCCATTTTCACTTTGTTGAGACATTATTTCATAATACTCTTAAGTAGCATCCATTTTTTTTCAAATAATCTCTAAGAGTGCCTTCATTTGGCATAGAGGAACTTTTAGCAGTGTAAATCTTCCTACTGCTTTCTAAATAAGAATTTAAAAGCCAAATTCAAATGATAAATTCTTCTAGGATCACATCTTAGAAGAGGGAAAACCTTGTTGCCAACTCACTTAATGTCAGGTAGCTGATGTGGAGGGTAAATAAGGGCAGAACAAAAGAAGAGAGCTTGCAATCCTTTCGTGAGTTATTAAAAATAAAGAAGCAAGAAGAAAAAGCACAATCTGTTGAGCAGTTTTGTTTTAAAATTACCAATGATATTTTCAGACAAATATTTTCGTAATATGGTTTTGCTGATTTTGCAGAAATATTCTCTTTCCGATCTATAAACCTGGCATTTATACTTTGTAAAAAAAATTACAAGATAGCTAAAAGAGATTTTATTTCAGTGCAGCCCAAGAAGTATTTGTTCTTTTTTTATTTATTTATTTTTTATTTTTTTGGTTCTGTCTTGCAAAGTCCCAGGGGTGAGGAGGGGAATCAATATTATTAGCTTTTCACTTTCCTAAGAACTAGCTGGAAAGACCCCAAGAAAAAGAAATATATGGGAAAACATTCAAGAGACTATAGTCCAATATAAGAAGATGCCGTCAAATCGCCTATTTTTTTTACAAGCATTTCTTTTACATGTCATGCATTTAAGTTAACAAGTATTCATGATGCATGGATTATGTATGTGGGAGGTATGAAGGGCAAGTAGGTATTTATGATCTAGTCTTTGCTCTCTAGAAGTCTGCAGCCTAGTAAGATGATACAGATATTCAAATATCTCTTTTCCAAACCAGTAGAAGATAACCGCTGAACTAAAGACAAGACTCAGTCTATAAGCCTTCTAAGAAAGGAAATTTCATTCAGTTTTAAAGGTAAGAAAAATAAGGTTCATAGAAGTAAGAGCATTAAACCTGGCCCTGGAAAAATGATTTAGAATTTGAGAAGGTCACTCTAGTCAGAGGCACTGGTCTGATCATAGGAAAAAGGGCAGAAATCAACTAGAGGTAATACAGAAACTCTCCAGAACAAAAGCTCATACACAGGAGTAATGTGAATTGAGGACAGTTTGATATGCCAAAATTAGAATGCACAAAGCCTCGAATGTCTGTCCCGAAAGTCTGAACTTGATTCTGTAAAAGAAGAGAGACTTGGAAGCAATGGATTAAATGTGGACTTAGAAGGAACAATCTAGAAAATAGGGTGGAACAGAGAAGGTACAAATTATAATCAGACATTGGTTTGGAAGCTATTTCAATAGGCAAAGAATAAAACTCATAATAGCTCATACTGGGTTACCAACAAGAGCAAAAGAGAAAGAGGCTGTTATGAGAAAGGCTGTAAAAAATCTAAAAGACTTGCCAGTATTTGAGAGGGAGAGGAGCACTCAGAAACGACCCTGAAGGACTTAGTATAACTGAGACAGTCCAGAAGGTTTAGAGTAACTTATGTCAGTTAACATTTTGAAACAGAACCTGGTATATCTATATATCATTTTAAAAACTAAAAAACAAATATGGGAAAATAATACCATTGATTCCCAAATATAGTACATTCGCAACTCACAAAAGCAAGGTCTTAGGAGTAATCAGTTGTAATTGAGAGGCCTCCCTCTCATATTCAAATAACACCTGCATTTCTATTTTTCTTTCACTGAGTATTTGATACATGCTTAAAGTGGGACACACCACGACCTAACAAATCCCTTTGAACTAGAGCAGTGATTCTCAAATTTGTCTGTGTATTAGAATCACCTGGAGACCTTGAAAAATTCCAAACCCCAGGCCACGTTCTAGACCAATTAAATCAGATTTTGAGATGGAATGCAGAGTGTGATCCCAACGTGCAGACCAGTCTGAGAACCGCTGAATTAAAAGCAAGTAACACCAATTAGCTGAAATGTCCAAATTGCAACACACTGTACTCTACATGACCATGCCCAAGCCAAGACTTTAGAAATCTATAAAGTATTTCAATTTATCCTTAAAGAGTGATCAAAATGTAAGAATTTCACTTCTGTCAATTTAGAGCTTACCACTTTGCACATCATGTACAGCAAGGTTTATGTTCCAGAAAAGTGTAGGGAAACAAATAGTCCTAAGTCTGTTTTTGAAATGGTGACTCCTAAAGTTCTACCTGTGTTGAAATCAATCTCAGTAAAGTAGGCTGTGTCCAGATTTCTCTTCCTTAATGGATATCAGATCTAGACAATTTCTGAGATTTTTAAAATGTTTCACAGGTTGCACCTATACGTGTTCCAAATATAAATATGGAATCTTCATATTGTGGTTTCTGCTGCATTGATTTGATGTAGAATTTTATGGGGTTTTTTTTTTTTTCAGGTTGTCCCAGCTTCAAAACAAGTGTTGAGAGAAAGTATCTTCAAAAGTGCAATGGACAAGCTGCATCATGTTGAGATATCTACACAATTTTAAAGATCATTAATCAGACTGCAAGCACAATGCCTTCGTCCATTTGTGCTGCTATAACAGACTTGGCAATTTATAAAAAGAAGAAATTCATTTTCTCACAGTTCTGGAGGCTACAAAGTCCAAGATCAAGGTACTGGCACCTGTGTGGGCCTTCTCGTTGCATCCTCACATAGTAGAAGGCAGGAGGGCAAGAGAGAACAAACACTGTACCCTCACAATGAGAAGGAGAGAAGGGGATGAATCCAGTGATTCACACCCTTTTCATAACAACATTAATCTATTTATGAGGGCAGAGGCCTTATAAACTAAACACTTCCCATTAGGCCCCAGCTCTCAACACTGTTGCACTGGGGATTAAGCCTCAATCATATGAATTCTGGGGGACACATTGAGACCACCGCACTTAAGAACTAGGCTTTGCATAACTATGCCATGCAAAGCATTAAATTGGGTGTGTCTACATGTATTAGAATATATTATGTATATTAGAATATATTATAAAAGTGTATTCTATATATTAGAATATATTATAAAAGTGTATTCTATATATTAGAATATATTATAAAAGTGTATTCTATATATTAGAATATATTATAAAAGTGTATTCTATATATTAGAATATATTATAAAAGTGTATTCTATATATTAGAATATATTATAAAAGTGTATTCTATATATTAGAATATATTATAAAAGTGTATTCTATATATTAGAATATATTATAAAAGTGTATTCTATATATTAGAATATATTATAAAAGTATATTCTATATATTAGAATATATTATAAAGGTATATTATATTCAATAGATTAGAATATAATGCTAATTATACATAAGACTTAGTAGAAAGAGATTATATTTAGTTTGGGGAAGATTAAATTTGTGCATCCATCAGTTTAGAAATTTTGGCTAATTTGTGGTATCTGCTCTTGTTTGGTGGTTCCCAGACTTGTCTGCATGTTGGAATCACATCCTGCACTGCAGCCCGGATTCAGATTTAATTGGTCTAGAATATGGCATGGGCTTTGGAATCTGTAGAAGATTTTCAGGTAATTTTATCCATCGTACTTTATCCTTAAAAAGCTAAAAGTTGAACCACTTTCCTGAAAAGATACCACTTCACTTATTTTTTCTTTCCTTCAAGGAGATAAATCACATGATTAAATTGACCAGTTTGGACTTCTTATTGGTATTTGATACCCTTAGGGGGAGACTCACAGAAGGAGAATATTCTCTTTCCAAGTCTTTGCAGTTGAAATGCCAACCAGCTGCCTTTTTAGATTAAATGTCATTCACTATTAGGACATTAAAAACATTTATTCAGGAGAATTTCATTTTAAGAAATATATAGCCAGCAATATAAAAAAAAAACCATAGTCTCTGCATTTATGCTGCTTATAGTTTAGTGGAGAACATAGGCATTAAGTTTAATTAAACCTTAATAACATAATCTAGAACCACTTGATTTACCTATGCATCTCAGATGAAAAGTCCAAAAGAAATCAGAAAAGGAACTCAATTGAATAATCGAATACTCTACATTAGAGCTCCATATACTTGTAAAGTTCAATGCTTGTAAAAGTAAACAAGTTTCATTTGCTCATAGCTTTCCTCTGCCTGAGTTTATCTACGTAGTTCTTTTCACTAATCTGTAATGTGAATACAAATTGCTTAGAATTGTCAGCAATATAATAAATTTAGTTAATTAATATATAAAATTAAAATTATTACTCAATGGTGAAAAAATGAATAATAATCTGGAGGGGAAAACAAGTGAAAAAAAGCTTATGTCAAAGTTATCCTTGGGTCTCATATCCAAAATGTATAAGGAACTTACTGTTGAATAAGTAAAAAACAGACAACTACATTAAAAATGGGCAAAAGACTTGAATAGAAACTTCTAAAATGAAGACATACCAGCAGCCAACAAACATATAAAAAAAAGATTATCACCACTAATCGTCAGAGAAATGCACATCAAAACTACAATGCGATACCATCTTATGCCAGTCAGAATGGCTAGAATTAAAAAGTCGAGGCTGGGTGCTGTGGCTCACACCTGTAATCCCAGCACTTTGGGAGGTCAAGGCAGGCAGATCACCTGAGGTCGGGAGTTCAAGACCAGCCTGACCAACAAGGAGAAACCCTGTCTTTACTAAAGATAAAAAATTAGCCAGGCATGGTGGTGCATGCCTGTAATCCCAGCTACTTGGGAGGTTGAGGCAGGAGAATCATTGAACCTGGGAGGTGGAGGTTGCGGTGAGTTGAGATTGCACCACTGCACTCTAGCCTGGGCAAAAATAGCAAAACTCTGTCAAAAAAAAAAAAAAGTCGAAAAAACAATAGATGCTGGCTAGGTTGCAAAGCAAAGGGAGCCCTTATACTCTGTTGGTGGTAATGTAAATTAGTTTAGCTACTGTGGAAAACAATTTGGCAATTTCTCAAAGAAATTAAAACAGAGCTACCATACAACTTGCAACAGAATTACCAACTAGCAATGGAATTGCTGGGTATATATTCAAAAGAAAATACATCATTTTGGTGTCTACCAAAAAGACACCTGCACTTGTATGTTCATTGCAGCACTAGTCACAATAGCAAAGACACAGAATCAACTTAGGTGCCCATCGATGGTGGATTGGATAAAGAAAATGTGCTACATATACACCATGGAATACTATAAAACCATGAAAAAGAATGAAATCATGTCCTTTAAGCAACATGGATGCAGCTAGAGGCCATTATCCTATAAGAATTAGTGCAGGAACAGAAAAACAAATACTGCATGTTCTCACTTATAAGTAGGACCTGAACGATGGGTATTCATAGACCTAAAGAAGGCAAAAATAGATACTGGGGACCACTAGATGGGAAAAGGTGGGGATCAAGGGTTGAAAAACTAACTCTTGGGTACTGTGCTCAGGACCTGAGTATCAGACACAATATATCCAGGTAACAAACCTGCACACATACCCCTTGTATCTAAAATAAAATTAGAAATTATTTTTTAAAAAAGAAAAACAAAAACAAGAACAAAAGTTATCCTTGGATTTTCCTCTGGAAAAAAAGTTTATTACTCCAGAGAGCAAGAATGGAGACAATGGGGAAAGACAATAATGAGAAGAATTCGTATGTTCAATTGGAGACCAAAGATTGTTAATAAATATTCCTTGGAATCAGATGAGTAAGAACAGGCATGAACAAATAGCACATCAGTGTTCTGTTACAACTAGCATAAAATCCAAAGTTCAACATAGGTCTATGCACTAGATTATTTTGACTTAATGATCTCTTACCAATTAGTCCAATATGAAGGACATCATTTATCAAATTCAACACATATTTGGTTCCCTTATGTAACTGAGATTTTACAAAACTTGTGATGGCTTAGAGTTTTTTATTACAAGAAAAACACCAACAATAGTTTTTAAACCATATAGAGGAATAAAAGGAATGTTTTTGAAAGTCAAGGAGGCAAAATAAGCAGATTGCCTTGGAAACTGTAGGTGGAAATTTCCCCCAGAATATCATATATGTTCCTATTCTGCAGACCAATACATTGACCAATACATCTTATATATAAGATCAATCAATATATTGATTCTGCAGAATAGGAACAAGGAAAATCAATGTCCTGGCAGTTGATATAAGAGTTCTTAATTGTTGTTATTTCTAGGGTAATGAAGTCTGGCTCCAGAGATCCAGAATGAATAAATAAATCCTCTTTTCTACCCTGTCTCTGTGATCATATGCCATCTTAAATGCAGCAGATACAAATTGAGAAATATATTAAGTAATCAAATAATTTGCAGGGTTTTTTTAATAAAACATTTTTTTGAAAGTGGCTGCCTATAAATAACTTTTGTGGATTGCAGACTGTCTTAGTCTGTTTTGTGCTGCTATAACAGAATACCACAGACTGGGTAATTTATAATGAACAGAAATGTATTGGCTCATGATTCTAGATACTGGGAAGTCCAAGATGGAAGGGGCAGCATTTGATTAGGGCACTCTTGCTGTGGAAGAAGGGCAAAGAAAGGGCAAGAGAGAGCAAGAGAAAGGAGCTGAACTCATCCTTTTATCAGAAACCCCTCCATCAATAACAGCATTAATCCATTCATGAGGCAGAACCTTCATGGCCTAATTACCTCTTATTAGGCCCCACCTCCCAACATTGCTGCCTTAGGGTCAAGTTTCAAACACATGCTTTTTGGAGGACACATTCAAACTGTAGCACATACTTATAAGGTATTTATGACATCGAGAAATGTTTTAGATCTACAATAAAGAATTTGTAAAGCAGTAGTTCCCAAAGAGTAAAATGTGAATAAATGAGGATAACTTGGTAAGACCCATGTAGTTATTTATCGATCATTTATTCTATCATGTTTTATTTCTTTTTAATGCTTTCTTTTTCTGAAACAATACGGATTGTAGATAATATATATATATAAACATTGTATTGTGGATAATATATATAAACATATATATTTAAAATATTATATATATACATATATATATTTAAATGCCATTACTTTTCCAAAAAAAATTAAGAGCCTTTTTTTGCGGGGGGAGGGTTATAATAATATCCAGGCTCCAGTGGCCACTGCCACAGTGTTTGTCTCCCCCTTTGGAGGTAGAGTAGAACATATTTAAATAATCCAAGGTATTGGTCATTAAATTGCAGAGCTAAGGTCCAGAGTATTTCTCATACTCTGCCAAGTATTAACATATTTTATTCGCAAAAACTCTAGGAAAGTTGCAAGATTTTCACCTTCAAATTCACAACTCCCTCATCCCAATAACAATAACAATGAATGTAGTAAATGATTATTTGCATGTACATCACTCTTCGCCTTGGTACAGGGCCTTCAGGAACTCCTAAGCTCATTCTGGTTACCCACAGGAGGCGAGGAGGCTATCGTGCAAGCAAAAGGACCCATACTGAATGTGTCAAAGCGTGTAGAGGAGGGAGTTTGTTCACATATTTCTAATCTTCTAATCCTTACTCTAGAAAGCAGCCTGCAAGGTGCTCTGAGGATCAAGCTACCCATGATACAAATAATGGCCACAGAATACATCAGGTTCCAAAGAAATGCAGTCCCTCATGTGGCTTTCAAGGACCTCTGGGTTCTGACCTCAGCCTTTCTAACAAGTCTTCCCAATCATCCTATCTTAGAAGGCCTTTGTCACCCTCCACTAACACCCCATGTCTCTGCACCCATTTTCTTTCTTCATATTTAAAATCATGGATTTATTTGTTTACTTTATTTCTATCTAACCCGACTAGACTGTAAGCTCCAAGAAGACTCCATTTGTATCTGCTTCATTTACTAAAAAATACTGGCAACTAGCACTCATGAAAGAGCTGTTGAATGAATAAATAGATGAACACAATCTAGGAACCTTATTGCTTTAACGTGTAAAAAAGTGCACTCTGAATTTCTAGATGACAGTTGATAAACAGATATATAGAGGAGAATCCGAGAGTAAATGAGGTATCATTGCTAGTCTGCTGCTACAATACAGTTCCGTGATGCATTCTTGCTGAGTACAATTGAAAGTTCAACATTTTAAGCAGATGTCTACAAAATAAAATGTGAGCTGGGCGTGGTGGCTCACGCCTGTAATCCCAGCACTTTGGGAGGCCAAGGTGGGCGGATCACGAGGTCAGGAGTTCGAGACCAGCCTGACCAACGTGGTGAAGCCCTGTCTCTACTAAAAATACAAAAATTAGCTGGGCCTGGTGGCGCATGCCTGTAATCCCAGCTACTTGGGAGGCTGAGACAGGAGAATGGCTTGAACCAGGGAGGCGGAGGTTGCAGGAGCCAAGATCACGCCACTGCACTCCAGCCTGGGCAACAGAGTGAGACTCCATCTCAAAAAAATAAAAATAATAAATAAATAAATAAATAAATAATAAAAAAAAATGTGACTGGAGGAGAAAGATCAGAATGAGTGAGGTTTGTGTCATCTGAGAAATGAATGGGGAAGAAACCACAGCAAGACAAGAGGGGGTGGCCTTATTGTGTACAGAGGTCAGGATGAGGATTAATATGTGAATAATCTGTGGATGAAAAATTTGGCTAAGAATTGTAAAACAATTTAATCAATTAAAATGTCTAAAACAGAATTTTCTCACTTAAAACAGGATAAAATTACACCAGGGCCTGTCAAGGGGAGGGAAAGCATTAGGACAAATCCTAATGCATGCGGGGCTGAAAACCTAGATGATGAATTGATAGGTGCAGCAAACCACCAGGGCATGTATATACCTAAGTAATAAATCTGCACATTCTGCGCATGTATCCCATAACTTAAAATAAAATTTAAAAATAAAAATAAAAATAAAATGGAAGTAACTATGTGCTAAAACAAAACAAAAACAAACAAACAAACAAAAAAAACAGGATAAAGTTACCATAAGAAGATTTTGAGCAAAGGCTTTTGAGAATGTGCAAATGTTTCCTATGTGTGGATATAAAATGTGTTTTATAATATCTGACATCTTTTTAACTATGCTTAACTGTATACTATATTTTGTTTAGTGACGTTTAAAAATAGTTCTGGAAGTAAACTGTGACCAGTTGTTTGCTATTCAGACAGGAAATAACAGGAAATTATTCTGAATTTTCCAAAAAGCTCCAGATTACTTTTTGTCTTCTCCTCTACCTTTCCTTTCCAGGTTTTATTTCTGGCATGTCCTCTTTTACCTGGGTCAGAGCTCTTAGGACACTATTTATCTTATGCAATACCTCATTCTAAATAGGATTATCTTGGGTATAAGGAAAAAAAGGACTGCTAATTGATGTTCAGTTTTCTCATCAGGCATTAATGTTTATTGAATAATATATGCAACTGTGAGTAGTTCTGTTGACATATGCAAAATGTGTTACAGATATAAAGGATTTAGCTACCCAAATCAGTTTCAAAAATAGCCTAAAGCTTTAAGAACATTAAGGAATAGTGTTTACAAATAATAGATCATGAACGGAGATACACATATATATATATGAATACACTTATATACATATATATATATCTCTCATGAACAGAGATACATATATACAGGTGGTTATGAAATCTCCAGCACCATAACCAGAAGGAGTCCATATGAATGAAGAAAGAGAAACTGTATAGTCTGGAAAATTAAAGTGGCTTCTTTTGTCTAGGAGATAAATGATCACAAGTTCACTGGGAAATGGACCATGAGGAACTGGGAGTGAAGATGTACTAGGAGTCTGGTATTGTCGGCTATCCATGCAGCCAGTCACAGGATTCAAGAGGAGTTGTATTCTCTTTTAATAAAAAGGTGCTTTGGGTGGCTGAGGCAGGAGGATTGCTTGATGCTGGGAGTTCAAGACCAGCCTGGGTAACATAATAAGACAACCTCTCTACAAAAAAAAAAAAAAAAAAAAAATTTGCTGGGTGTGGTGGCATGTGTTTGTAGCCCCACCTTTTCAGGAGGCTAAGGCAGGAGGATCACCTGAGCCCAGGAATTCAAGGCTCTAGTGAGCTCTGACTGTACTGAGCAGACAGAGCAAGCCCTGCCTCAAAAGAAAAAACAAAAAATAAAAAAAAAAGCAAGAAAAGAAAAGAGATTTTTGTTTTCTTTTTTAAAAAGTACCCTACACTCATAGCTGAGATCAGATTGGCAGGTTAGGTGTTCAACGGATGGAAGTTTCATGAGGATCCCTTTTGGAAAAATGTTGTGTAATAGAACATTTTTCCACATATATAGTCTTAATATGCCTGTGCTGCCATGGCAGCTTAGTGGCCACAGCAAAATACCATAGACTAGATGACTTAACCAACATAAATTCATTATCTCACAATTTTTAGAGGCTGGAAGTTCAGTGTCAAGGTGCCAACATAATCAGGTTCTTGTGAGGACTCTCTTCCTGGTCTTCAGATGGCCACTTTCCCACTGTGTCCTCACATGGCCTTTCCTCAATGTGTGTGAATGGAGAGGGATGTCTTTTTCTCTCTCTTTTTATAAGCCCACCAATCCTATCAGATTAGGACTCCGTCCTTATGACCTCATTAACCTTAATTGCCTCCTAAAAACCCTATCTCTATATACAGTCACACTGGGGGCTAGGGCTTCAACATATGAATTTAAGTGGATAAAATTCAGTTCATAGCACCAGGCATCAATTACCAGGAACCAGCAGAAAAGGTGCAATGTCGGGGTGCAGGGGAAAGGGTCTGCCCAAATCAGTAGCTACAAATAGAAGATGTGGGTCCTGACCCTGCCCTTGCCTGTAATTTCTCAATCTACACTGGACCCAGTTACTTCATCACACCTCTAAAACCAGTGTCTTGCATAAGATATCAGCTAGCTATATCTGTAGAAATTGTTACAATCATGAGAAGAAATTCTACCAGTTATTGGAGTCAAAGTTTGCCCCTAAAACAGTCAATTTGGTTTTCATTCTTTTTTATTTGGTTGAGCTTCATTATTTAAAAAATTTTTTCTTAAATTGATACGCTGTCTCTCTATGTTACCCTGGCTGGTCTTGAACTCCTGGGCTAAAGGGATCCTCTCGCCTTGGCCTCCCAAAGTGCTGGGATCACAGGCATGAGCTGCCATGTCCAGCCAAGTTCCATTTCTTTTTATTTAGCTGAGCATGATTCTTTTTTTTCCCCTTCAAATCTACAGACAATTTAGAAATAGTTATAGCTATTTTATATATACTCGATCCACATATGTGGTGTTCATATGATCCTACAACTTAACCTCATTTGTTTATTTTTAGGAAACTAGTAATCACCATAGAACAGCTCCTGTCTTATTAAAAATTGAATCTTTTGCCAATGTTTCAAATCATGTTGACTTTCTAAAGTCTTGCTGGCAAGTCTAAAATGTTTCAGTATTAAAAAAAAAGAAGAAAAAAATGATTACATGAAGAAATGTCATTGTTTAAATGACAATATTTACATGCAATTAATAGTAGATGTGAGCTTTTTTCTCCATATGTTTAAATACTTTTGAAAACTTGGAGTAGTAAACCGCTTATAAGCAGGCAGTAAATTTCCTGTGACTGCAATTTCAAAAACTAATATTTCAGAGAAATATGAACATGATCTTGGAAACTCTCTTCAAAATCACTAGTGGAGATGAGAGCTCTAAAACTATCTTCCATTTCTTATTTTTAATGATTTGTTCTTAATAGAAGCAAAAGGAAGTATTTCATCTGGATAGTGCTTAAATAAAATAAGTATAGGAGAATAGTAGAGAAGAAGTCTGGAATATATATCCAAGAATCATATATCTTACTGATTTCAACTCAACATAGTATGGGGAAAACAGGTAGACAGCAGTGAAGTGTCTCCTGGAATCTGGAATAAAATGTTTTCTGGAGAGAAGGCCTAGTAAGATTACATCAGGAAGGTGATGAGTCATTTGCATGGTGTACACTAGCAATAGCAACTGGGGGCCCACTGGAGAGATGGCCCTGTAGAAATATTTTGTTTTGCCATCACTGTGTTGGGCTACATATGACTAAGAAATAATGAATGAATAGCCAATATGTAAGCGTTCGGATGTCTCTGGAGAAACTAGGAGATCTGGCATCCTGGGCCCAGGTTCCTACATGCCCCTAATCCTCCACAGCTGGGTAATGGCTGTCCTGTTAGGCTGGGCATTCTCCTTATGGTCCCCATGGTCCCCATGCCCCACTATTCTCCTGCATCCAGAAAGAAAACCTCTTAAGATAACTCATGCTATGTGGTCTTCTGTCTTTCTCCTTCTTTTAACACCGGAACTATTTACCTGCATGACTCCAAGCCCACTTGAATTTGCTCATCAAATGTAAGTGCAGTGATCATCTTTAAATACGAGAATGAAAAAGAAATATGGAACTGAAAAGTTTGAAATCCTTAGAACTCTAGTCAAGTTAACTTTCATGAACTCAGGAAAACAAATTTGGTATGTGCTAGTAATTGAGGAAGTGGAAACCTCCTCTACTATTTGTTCGGATGAATTCTGTTCGGAGGAAGTCTGTGTGAGGGCAAAGGGAGTAATCGATCCAAAATAGTGGTTAATAGAGCCCTCTTTAAAACTGGAATTCGGTTTCTTCATGTGAGAACTAGGCAGATACATAATACTTCAGGAAGATGGAAAGAGAAATTTCAGATTGATCGCATCGCAGGGGAACTTGGAAACAGGTATTTCTTGATACCCTGAGGAGGTTGAGAGATGGATTACTGCATGAAGAGAACCTGAGGAGGGGCATGAATGAGTCTACAAGGAGCAAATGGGTGCACAACCCTGGAAGGGTCCCATGTTTTGATCAGCCTTGTTCCCTTTATTCTACTTAGCTGCCCAGTGGCCCCTGCCCCCCTAGAAGCACTGTGATGCCTGCTCCCTACTGACAAAGCCCAATCAGCACTCAGGGAGGGCAGTTTAAGATTCACAGCAGTGGCTTCAGGTTGTCTGTCATCACTGACACCAACGGGAATCAGTAAGGTGCTTCTCGTTTCTCTCTCTCTATTTATCTCTCTCTGCCTCTCTCTTTCTCCAGGCATGTGTGCTTTGCAGCATTTCAATTTGTGATTGCCTAGGAGAGAAAGCAGAGAGGAAACTAGCTAAGTAGGTAAAAACAGCCACCTCGGAAGCAAAAAGACCAATGTGGAACAGAAGCTGCAGCATGCTAAAGCCAGGAAGATGCTTTCCCTGTAAGCCCCCTCATTGTCTTTGGAAACTGCTGGTGGTTTCACTTTGCTCTGTTCCAGAATTCCGCAAGGAGTGAGGCTGCTAATATAAGCACTGCTTCATCTGACTCTTATTTTGTATGTGGATGGCCTCAAGTCTGTAACTCATCCAAGACACAGGAGAAGAAGGAAGAAGAAAATATGTGCAGGTAGCTTGAGCTTTGATCAGCATAGGTTATTGAGGACTATAGTAGACAAGGGTGGTTTCCAGAAGGTACTAAGCACTGTCCTGTGCCTGAGAGTAGACAGATTTTGACACCATGGCCACCAGGTAAACACTTTCTCATTCCCTCTGTAACTAACTTACTTTCCTCTGTTTTTCTTCAGTGTATTCTTTTGCAGAAGAAAATGGTACTCAGATAATTTGAGTGCGAAAACAAATCTACTGCTAGACAAAGAATCCCAGTGGCGAAGCTATAATCACATATTCTACTTCACTATTCATTTTAGTGTGGAAATGGTCAAGTAAAAATGTCAGACTTTTGTTAGCAACCTAGTTCTACTTCTTGTCACATGGACTCCGTTTTACTTCCAGTCCAAACCACAAATGAGTCTTGGTTTTCTTGGTCAGAAAGGAAGTAGTCTCTCTATCCTTTTTGGTTTTATGTCTAACCCTCAGTTAAACACTACTTTCCCTACATCCATACAAGTTGCTTCAAATCAATGGATGCTTTATGAACATGAGCAAAGTACCCAGAATTGTTTCTTTTCTCAAGGAGATTCCAATCTCAGTTAGATTTTCCCCAGACTTGGTCTTTTGAAACAGTCCAGTCATTTCATGGCTTCTTGGTTTGGAGCGATATCCAGAGAGTTTAATTTTCCAAACCTTGATTTAAATAGAGAGGCCCTTTCACTTATTCCAGAAGAGAATGTACTTTATACTCGTGATGGCTTTGCCATAATGGTGACATGGGGAATGGTTTCAGACTACAGAAGTCGTTACTAGTATATGAGTTCTTAGTAAAAAGAAATACTTGGTTGAGAGGGCAAATTTGCCAATAAGAAAGGAGAGTGAACACGATGGTTGGAACAAACCGAAGTGGACAAGGCTCACGGGGATTTATGTGCTTGTATTGGAAGGAGGCCAATGAGGATGAGAGAATTGGAGATTGCCATTTATGGTGCCCAGAATGTTGGGTTCACCATCGTATCCTCTCTCTATCTTTTCATAATTTCTGATCTCTGTGTTTTTTTAATCGATTATACTTGGTCTCTTTTCATTGTCTCTCTTCCTTGTCTTCCAGAGCCACAAACTGGAGAGCATATAAAGTTTAAGGAATTCAGTGGAGCAAATGGAGTCTTGGCCAGTCTTCCATGTACCTGTTTAGTTTATGTTGATTGTAATGCTCAGTGAAATAACATCTAATTGAAGAGGACAATAAGTATCATGTACAAGGGCTATCCAAGCCACCATTAATTTCTCCCACAAAAGTCATTTTTAAAATCCTTTGAAATAATGCACACATGTTGAGTATGCACATACATATACATACAAACATACACAAACTCACACACAAACACACAGACACGTGCACACACATACAAATTGCCAAATTTCTCTTTAGAGACTTTGGAAAAAAAAACACTTTAGTATATTCCAACCTTGCCAAGACATAAGGATTTTTAAAAGCACTGCTGGCAATGCCAAGTTCTTGAGTTCCTAATTTTGCAACTGCAGCCCAAAGGAAGACAATGATACATTGATAAGGTGGCCATTGAGCAGAGAGAGGATGACTGGGGGAAAGCTCTGTTGGAATAAAATGGAGTAATGTGAGAAAATTAATATTTGTCCCAGATTCTGATTCCCTGCTGTCAACTCACTCCTGGCTTTATCTCACGGACTGCTTCAAAGCTGAAAATCATTTTCTCTTCCTCGATTCTTTCTGACAAACATTTAAAAAGTCAATAGAAAATCAGGAGGAACAGTGCCACAGCCATTTACCATTTACTGCAATTTGCATTCACCAGTGATCACTAACTGGAAAAAAAAAATGTTCTCTTTGAAATGTTTCAACATTGTCCTTAAGGAAAAGATAAAAATAGAGTTTTTTCTTTTGTGATTGTGTGCAGAATATATCACATTCTCTCTTTAGTAACAAGATAAGAGATATACATGGACAAAGCAAAATTTTTTAAAATCCTTGAAATGGCTGTTATAATTATTGTTCAGCAACAAAACTATCTGAACAAAGCCTATTAAATACATTCTAAATCTGCTCAAACCATAGCAAACTTATTCAAGGGAGCAAAATAACATTTTGACTCTCACGGCAAAAGTAATTTTAATTTCCATTTTAGTTACTTATGGACCAATAAGTAACTGAGCTATAGCTGCTTCAAGAAGGTGTCCTGAAATAAACAGATTTACCTTGGATGGGTTGATGACAGAAAGAGAGAAAGAAAGGAAAAAAAAGAAAGAAAGAAAGAGAGAGAGGGGAAGGAAGGAAGGAAAGAAGGAAGGAAGGAAGGAAGGAAGGAAGGAAGGAAGGAAGGAAGGAAGCAAGGAAGGAAGGAAGGAAGGAAGGAAAGGGAAGGAGGGAGGGAGGTGGGGAGAAGGAAGGAAGGAAAGTGGGGCGAGGGAAGGAAGGAAGGAAGGAAAAAAGGAAGGAAGGAGAGAAAGAGAGAGGGAGAGAGGAAGGAAGGAAGGAGGGAAGGAAGGAGGGAAGGAAGGAAGGAAGGAAGGAAACAAGGGAGGGAGGGAGGGAAGGAAGGAAGACTTCTGAATGTACTAAATCATGTTATTTCCTTATGCACATGATAGAAAACATTACTTTCCATAGAGTTTTGAGGAATAGTGAATGTAAAAGATTTCTCTAAAAAGTGTGTTTGCCTTTAGGAGATAATTTTACTATCATCTGGTACAATTGGTAACATGAGAAAAATTTCTAATGAATACTTATAATTTTGTTCTAGCACATTTCTGTATTTATTCATAGTTGTTTCCTTACAAAGCCTTATTTAACTACATTTCTCCCATTTGAATGTGACACTCTTCTATTCTGATGAAGATTAACCTCATTTACTCGTAAAAGAAATAAAGCAGTATCTGATTACTCAGTGGACAGAGGAAGATAAGTCATTTTTTATTAAAATATGTTAAAGAAAAAGAAGATGATCATTTATACCTGGTTTTTAAGATAACAGATAATTCTATAATCCTGTTTACAATGGACAAATGAATTGTTTTCAGTTCTTTGGGAAGGTTTGGTGAGATACCTTGTAAACATTTTCAGAGCATAGAATTTTAAATTAGCTTTTACTCTGTACTAGTTTTAAATGACAGAACTAGTAAAGATTTCCATTCAAATAATAAACACTGTGCAAAGCACTATAATCTTAGAAAAAGGAAGAATATTATAACCTAAATGTTCTTAGGAAAAAAACCGAGAATCAAAATCAATGCATTCATCTTTGAAAATTATAAAAATTTTCATTAAACCACAAAAGATCAGGGAGCATTATTTTTAGGTAAAAAATCCTGTCATGAAATAAAACATCTTCAGTTTTGGAAGTACCTAAAAGAGTTCCTTAATAAGAGGTGATATAACATGTGAATTTTAAAAATTTAAACAATATTAATTAAAGTTTTCTTTGTAAGTTTTTCTTTCAAATTGTTTTGGGCACAAATGGGAACCACACTGTGAATTCAAAATAAAAGAGATAGACGCTATGTAGGCAGGTAGGTAGATAGGTAGGTATGTAGGTAGATAGATAAACAGATTGATAGGGACAAATCTCTAGATATTATCTAAAAGGTGAATATTAATGATTTATATAGCTTTGTTCTTTAAGCTAGAGACTGCATAAATATATAAAGTTTACAAAAGAGTTAGAAATTACTTATAAAAGCCAAATAGTTCCAGCCGTAATAGTTTGTCACATTCATTCAATTCAGTGCAATGGATTCCAAACTATTACTTCAATTTAATAGCTAAAGCTTGAAATAACATATAGAAAATAACTCAAAACAACCGTTCCCAAGGGCTGCCAAGTTCAGTACTTTTGTTTCTAGACAGATTCAGACATCTATGCATTGCTCGGGCATGAACAGAAGTGTTTTCTTTCAGGGAAACACAAAAAGAAAACTAAGGCAGTCTCTTTTCATTCTAAACGTTACCATCTTTTCTTGAACATTTGAGTACTTGATGCCTTCTTTAATAGTTCATAGAGTGACATGTTAGCAAATATTTCTATCACAAACACAAAAGCAATGCATGGATAAGACATGCAAATATTTTTATAAGGAGACCCTTATCAAGCCAGATGCGGTGGTTGACGCGTATAATCCCAGCACTTTGGGAGGCCAAGGTGGATGGATCACCTGAGGTCAGGAGTGTGAGACCAGCCTGGCCAACAAGGCAAAACCCCATCTCTACTGAAAATACAAAAAGAAAAAAAAAAAAGCTGGGCGTGGTGGTGGCACTGTAATCCCAGCTCCTCAGGAGGCTGAGTCAGGAGAATCGCTTGAACCTGGAAGGTGGAGGGTGCAGTTAGCTGAGATCGCGCCACTGCACTCCAGCCTGGGAAACACAGCAAGTCTCCTTCTCCAAAAAAAAAAAAAAAAAAAAAAAATAAAAAAGAGAGAGAGAGAGAGAGACTCTTATCCCCTTATCTATCTTAGATCTGCTTCAGAAATACAAGGTGAAGTATAACTCCCTGAATATTTAGCAGAGTGTAAATATTAATCATTGCTTAAAAATAGAAACACAACTTTTCATACATATGTTTAGATAATCAGAGAAAAAAATTAAATGCCTTCTCTATTTGTAATGGCCTATCGATGTGTCTACCTAATAGTGTTTCCATCTAAGTCACAATATTTGACAAAGACACAAGAGACATTTTTGGGGAAGGTTCATAGAAAATTCTGGTTGCCACCATACAATTACAGAACGTCACTGTTTATCAGACACTATCATCCTTCATGTTTTCAGTGAATTGGTGCTAAATTGTTGAGTACACATTAATTTGTATGATAAAATAAATGGCAAAGACTCACTGTGATTCGTGTACCCAACTGGCATTAGTCTTTGTACATAAGTTCACGGACAGAGTAGATTCATCATACTACAGATCTTCATGGAAATAAGTAGTAGCTCTGATGTTCCCCCATATGCAGTAATAAAAATAATGCTATCAGCATGTCTGTGCCAACTCAGATTTATTTAGCCTTTGAGCTACAATCAATTCATTATTCCATTTGTGATTCTGAAAATCACAGGAAGAAAACCTAGTCTTTAAGGCCTAATCGATTGATATGGAATGGGATTGCCCAGTGAATGATCCCAGAAGCTCTCTCCTTATTGCCAGGAAAACAGATAGCTGAGAAGATGAGTTATGGCCCCCACAGGGACATGAGCTGAGCTGAATTCAATATTCCTTGAGCCCTGGTAACTCCAATCTAGGCGCTGGTGGATGACGTTTTTCACACTTTGCTAAACTGCTGGCAGTTAAGCCTGGACCATATGGTGTGGGATCCTCAAATGTGAATTTCCCTGTACAATCCCCCTTCCATGCTTGGGAGAGCAAAGAATTCCCTCCCAGGAGTACCGTCCCTCTGTGGGTGCATCCAGCAGCACTCTGGCCCCAGCACACCTCTCCATGAGCCACCAGGAGAACGGAGGCCTCCTGCATCTTCTGACCTCCCTGCTCCTGAGTTCCAGCCCATACTCAATGGCCACTTGTTCCTTCATCCTGAGCCCTTCGTTCAACATATAAAGAATGGACATATTCTGAACTACCAAAACAATTAATTTTAACATGATTTTAAAAAATCAACTAGACAAATATTTAGACCTATGACATTGGGGCTGAACTATAATTTTCATATTGAAAATAATAATTTTCATCTGAGTATGTTTGATATGTCCTCTTGGAAATTAGTATAGGCAAAGAAGAGAAATATGTTTGCAAAATGATAAAATAGCAAGTCAGCTGATTGACTGTTACTTGGCATTCTCTATATTCAAATTCACCTATCACTGTCACTATTTAATGCAGAGTAAGGATATATTAAAGTCCTCATGAATGGCTATGGAATTAAAGTAGAAAGAACTGGATGTGATGATCATATAATTAATCTTAGGATCCCTTGGGGAATGGGGAGATTAAATATGAGATTTCTCTTTGAACATGGAGAATGCAAGAATATTATTCACCCTGAAACATAATTCTTGTTCTGAAAATAAATTATATGACTAATGCAGTTAATAATTTTACAACCTGCATGTATCATTCTAAAGTCTATTTTCATGCCATAACTATAAGTAAACTCAATTAGCTAACAGTGAAGCATCAAAGAGAAAATTCAGTTATTCTTCATGGAACTCTTTGAAGGACAGCTATGGATTTTTTCCATTTTTGTTTCAATAAAGAGCTGACATGTCAAGCTAAGAATAATCTATAATTGAGCAAGATATATGATACTCTATTTTAATCCTCATTATCTTTTTTGAGGGTGAGCAATAATTGCAGATATCACTTCTGTCTGATTTACTATTTTCGGTACACTTTCTTCTTTGCAAAGTAAAGCCCTCATCAATATGCTAAAAGAAAATGAATGGGAGAAAATCAGAAGTTTAAAATCCATGTGTTTTTGCAAATTACCCAAACAGAAAAGACTGAAATAGATTTTGCTGTCGGTTAACACAACCTTTGGCAACACAGAGTGGAAGAAACAAGGCCGATTCTCAACCCACATTAGATAGGGGCTGTCAAGGTAGCATCAGGCCACTCTGCCAGGAAAGGCAATGACAGAGACCTGCAATTAACCTTCAGAATCAAGCAAGGAACAGAAGTTCAGGCAAAATTTCAGCAATATTGATTAATTTAAATGAATGAGTAGAAATCTAAATATTTCTGAAATTCATATGCTCATCCACA